>NC_000010.11:29385000-30010000 GCF_000001405.40 Homo sapiens | reverse complement strand
CTTGAGATCAGGAGTTCAAGACCAGCCTGGCAAACATGGTGAAACCCCCACCTCTACTAAAAATACAACAATTAGCTGGGTGTGGTGGTGCACACCTGTAATTCCAGCTACTCAGGAGCCTGAGGCAGGAGAATTGCTTGAACATGGGAGGCGGAGGTTGCAGTGAGCCGAGATTAGGCCACTGCACTCCAGTCTGCATGACGGAGTGAGACTCCATCTCAAAAAAAAAAAAAATTTTTTTTTGTTCAGACTTGTGTTCCAAAATATCTCATTATGTGTATGCAGATATCCCAAAGTCCAAAAAACTCCAAAATCCAAAACTCTTCTGGTCCCAAACATTTTGGATAAGGGATACTCAACGTATACCTAGAATTTTTTAAGTATTTAAAATAAAATGCACAACATGAAGAAGAGGGGAAGACAAGGAAACTAACATTGTTGGTTCCTTACTGTGGGCATCGCATATTATATGCATTAATTAATTTAATGCACACCATTTTGTGGGAGACAAAACAGGTACAGAGAGACTGAATTATTGCCTGCAGCACACAGCTAGCAGCCAAGCAGGGATTCAGACCTATTCACGTTAACCCCAACATCCATGCTGCTCCTTTTAGCTTGTTATATCCTAGGAGGATGACAGAATGATCCTCTATTTAGTCATGAAATTCAAAGGTAACACTCTTACAATGCTAAATGCATTTGTTAGGATTGGGTTAAGCTGCCTATGCCAGAAAATTGAAAATAGCAGTGGTTTAGGTGAAGTGGAAACTTATCTCTCTCACACTTCAAAGGAGCCCAGAGACAGGCAGTCCAGGGCTAGCACGGAAGCTCCTTGGCAATCAGGGATCTGGATTCCTTGTATCTTTCTTTTCCAGCATCCTTGCAATGGCTTCCATCCTGAAGGCAAGTAACCTCATGGTCCAAGATGGCTGCTATAGTACTGGCTATCTTGGACACTTTCTAGGCAGCTGACAAGAGGAAGAATTATCCTCCCAGATGAGTTAGCTTCCTTTAAAGAGACTTCCAGGAAGTCCTACACTCTTCTGCATATACAGTCAGCCCTCTACATTCACAGGTTCTGCATCCACAAATTCAACCAACTGCAGATCAAAAATATCAAGAAAAAGAAACAAAATAACAATACAACAACTTAAGAATACAACTATCACAGTATAATAACTACACAGTATTTACATCGTATTAACTATCATAAGTAATCTAGAGATGACTTAAAGTTTACAGAAGGACATATAAATATTATATGCAAATACTACATCATTTTATACAAGAGACTTAAGCATCCATGGATTTTGGTGTCCTTCAGGGACCTGATACCAATTGCCTGCATACCCCAGGAGGACTGTATTCCATCTGCAAGAATTCAGTCACATAGTCAAGCTGCAAGGGAGTCTTGGAAATGTAGTCCACTTAACTGGGCGCCGCTGTGGTTCTAAATAAGATCAAAGTTCTGTTGCTAAAAAAGAGTTACAGTAGTTATTGATTGGCAACTGGCAAGCCCTGACACAATTAACCCACCAATGAGCTGAGCATTAGCCCCAGGGCAGATGGAAGCTCACTAGACGGCAATACCAAGCAGCTTGTGTGTGTCCCGTGTCTCTGTGACTAACTGATGTGACCAGAACCTCAAAGGCAGCACGGATGATTTTGTCTCACCAAAAAATGAAACATGCTGCCCCAAAGAAAAGGGGGGTTCACATCTTTAATCCCCCCACTTTGGGAGACTCAGGAAGGAGGATCACTTGAGGCCAAGAGTTTGAGGCTGCAGTGAGCCAATATCGTGCCACTGCACTCCAGCCTGGGCAACGGGGAGACTTTGTCTCAAAAAAAAAAAAAAGGTTGGGGGCGGGTTAGTAGTGCCTTCAGTTTAACAAGGGAGCAGCCACAAGGCCAAGAGGGTTATCTGTAAGCAGTTGTCTGTGTAATTTAGTTCCAGGGTCTGTCAAGTGCAAACTCTCACATTCCTGGGAGATGCCCCTTCCATAGAGGAAATGACTTTGCCTGGACAGTGGCCCTTGCTGTTCATAATAGGGATACATGAGAAGAGGTGAATGGCAAACACAGGGGTCTAGATGCCAAGTTTCTGGGTTCTAGGAACAGCAGACCTCATCCATCATTGTGTGCTCTGCAGAGGAGGCTCTTCCCATTTTCTGCAGAGGCAGAGGCTGTACATGAGGGTCCTAACATCTTTAGAAGAAAACCATCAGGGCAGCTGGGGCAGGGGCAGCTGGTGGGTGAGACTGGGGTCGGGGAAGAGGAAGGGTTAGGACTAGATGACACAGAGAGGGATGGAACCACACAGACCCCTGCATCCTACTAGGAAGTCCCCAGGAAGGGCCTTTGTCACTGCCTTCCTGCCCGAGATGGAGCCCACAGCCTTGGAAATTCCAGAACAGGCCTCTCTGTTCAGATATCAAGTTTCACTCCTGAATGCTCTGCCTTTCTGTTTCATTCTTTCAGTTGGTCTCAGTTGCAGAGGAAGCATTCTGAACTCAGTTTCCTGGTTATTGAGATTTTTATTTATAGAGATACCTCTATAAATCCAGAAGACGCACCCCAGGAACAGATTTCAATTTTTTTTTTTTAAACGAGACTCTGTGACTAAAGGCAAAAATGAAACAGGTGCCAGAAGAAAGTGATGAAAGATATCAGGGGCAAAATTGTGTCCAAGGAGAAAGTTCATGCAGTACAAATTAACATGGCAGCAAATATTCTGAAGGATGTAGACTATCCCCTCGGTGGGTCTTCTCGATGAGGAAGGAGAGCCTGGGGGACTGTGGGGGAAGACAACTGCTGTATTTCATCACGCAGAAGGCACGCCATTTTATTTGCTTCATTCCAAAAAAGGAAGACAAGGCTATTGATGAAATTACTACTTGCCATTGATTATAAGTGCATTCCAATTTCAGAGAAGTTAAAATGTGAGAGAAAAAAAAAGTGCCCGTGCAGTTGATGAAATATGGTAACTAACCTTCATTCATTTGCTTTTTGTGGTTCGGCAAATATGCCTGTCCCCCATGCCTCCCGTGGAGTCCCTTGCTGAGCTGGTTCTGGAAGACCCTGTAAGACTTGCACTGCAAGAGCTCCCCGGCCATTACACACAAGCAATGGAGACTCTAGGGCTTTGGCTATCAAACTTCAACTTGTATCCCAGTGCCTGGAACGCGTTAAAAGAGAAAAAGATGCTGATTTAGTGCATCCGGCATGGGGGCCAGAACACTTCATTTTTAACTAGTACATACGTGATTTTAATGCTAGTGGTCCCATAGCCACTTGAGGTGTCTTCAGACACAGTACAATGGACCATCCACCAGCTCTCCTCTGGGTCCTTTATCTTGGCGCCGGTGTGTGTGCCAGTCATTTGTGCTGGTTGGCCTTCGCCTTCTCTTCTGTCAATTTCCATTCATCTGCCATGTCTGTTTGAGCCTCACGTTCCGCAGCAGCTCCCCTGACCTGGCCAGGTGAGGTTAGGCGGTTCTGGTTTAGGCTTCCCCTTCATACCACTGTAAAGACTGTAATGGAGAGTGCTGAAAGTATCAAATGTCACTGTCCCCTCCTCCTAGGCAACAGTGTCTGGAGGGTTTGGACTGTGTCTGTCTCGCAAATCCACAGGGGCTAACAAAATTCCTGGCACATATCAATAACATGACTTATCAATAAATATTTGTTTTGAAGCAAATTTGTGTCTAGGTATTAGACAAAACAGGGAGGCAGGGTACACCAGGTCCGCTATTTTATTTTGGTAGAGCAGGAGGTCCACACCATAGTACAACAAAAGTTTAGAACAAACAAACCTGGATATGTTTTCACCAAAATGTTAACAATAATGACTTCTGGAATTGGGGTTATGGGTATGTAGGTATGAATGGATTGCTTATCTGTATTTACTATAAAAAAACAAGTATTGCATGAAAAAAATTGGACACGTGGGATCACAGCAAGTTAAAAAGCCTCTGCACAACAAAGGAAACCATCAACAAAGTGGAGGCAACCCACAGAATGGGAGAAAATATTTGCAAACTAACCATCTGACAAGGGATTAATAACCAGATTATATAAGGAGCTCAAACAACTCTATAGGAAAGAATCTAATAAGCTGATTTCAAAATGGGCAAAAGATCTGATCAGACATTTCTCAAAAGAAGGCATACAAATGTCAAACAAGTATATGAAAAGGTGCTCAATGTCACTGACCATTAGAGAAATGCAAATCAAAACTACAGTGAGATATCATCTCATCTCAGTTAAAATAGCTTTTATCCAAAAGACAGGCAGTAACAAATGCTGGCAAGGATGTGGAGAAAGAGAATCCTCATACACTGTTGGTGGGAATGTAAATTAGTACAACCATTATAGAGAACAGTTACGGGGTTTCTCAAAAAACTAAAAATAGAGCTACCATTTGATCCAGCAATCCCACTGCTGGATATATACCCAAAAGAAAGGAAATCAGTGTATCAAAGAGATATCTGCATTCCCATGTTTATTGCAGCACTATTCACACTAGCCAAGATTTGGAAACAATCTAAGTATTCATCAGCAGACAAATGGATAAAGAAAACATGGTACATATACACAATGGAATACTATTCAGCCATAAAAAATAAAGAGATCTTTTCATTTGCAATAACATGGATGGAACTGGAGGTCATTATGTTAAGTGAAATAAGCCAGGCACAGAAAGAGAAACTTGGCATGTTTTCACGTATTTCTGGGAGCTAAAAATAAAAATTGAACTCATGGAGACAGAGAGTAGAAGGATGGTTAACAGGCTGGGGAGGATAGAAGGGAGGGGGGGAGTGAGGATGGTTAATGGGTACAAAAAATAGGCAGCATGAATAAGAGCTAGTATTTGATGGCACAACCAGGTGACTATAGTCAACAATAATTTAATTGTGCAATTAAAAATAACTAAAAAAGTATAATTGGATTGTTTATAACACAAAGGATAAATGTGGGCCAGGCGAGGTGGCTCATATCTGTAATCTAAGCACTTTGGGAGGCCACAGTGGGTGGTTCACTTGAGGTCAGGAGTTCGAGACCAGCCTGGCCAACACCGTGAATCCCCTCTCTACTAAAAATACAACAACAACAAAATAGCCAGGCATGGTGGCTCATGCCTGTAGTCCCAGCTACTTGGGAGGCTGATGCACGAGAATCTCTTGAACCTGGGAGGTGGAGATTGCAGTGAGATCACACCACTGCATTCCAGCCTGGGCAACAGAGCAAGATTCCACCTCAAAAAAAAAAAAAAAAAAAAGATAAATGCTGAGGTGATGGATACTTCCTTTATCCTGATGTGATTATTACACATTATATGCCTGTATCAAAATGTCTCATATACTCCATAAGTATATATAACTACTATGTACTCAAAAAATTAAAAAGTTAAAAAATTTTTACAGTAAAAAAATAAATAAATAAGGTTGAACTTTATAATCACCTAGCATATTGCAAAAATTATGGTGTGCCAATTCTGAATCTAGATCATAAAATACACTATGGCTTCCAACCTGTGCTCTTAGGGAAGCCAACTGCCATGTTGTAAAGGCGCTCCAGCACTCCCGTGGGGAGACCCACATCGTGAGGAATTAAGGCCTCCAGCCAACAGCCAACAGCCAACACCAGTTTGCCAGCCCTGTGAATGATCCCCCATGGACATGGATCTTCAAGCCCAAGTGGAGCCTCCACAGCCACTGACATTTTGAATGCAACCTCCTGAGAGACCTCCAAACCCTCAAGTTCAGCTACTCCTCTGTGCTGGCCCATGGAAACAACATGAAACAGTAATTGTTTATTATTCTTTTAAACTGCTGAGTGTGGGCCGGGCACTGTGGCTCACGCCTGTAATGCGGCATTTTGGGAGGCTGAGGGGGGCAATCACTTGAGCTCAGGACTTCAAGACCAGCCTGGGCAACACTGCAAAACCCTGTGTCTACTAAAAACATAAAAATTAGCCAGGTATGGTAGTATGCACCTGTAATCCCAGCTACTTGGGAAGCTGAGGTGGGAGGATGGTTTGAGCCCAGGAGGCAGAGGTTGCAGTGAGCTGAGATGGTGCCACTGCACTGCACTCCAGCCTAGGTGACAGAGCCAGGCTCTGTCTCAAAAAAAAAAAAAAAAAAAAAAGAGAGAAAGAAAAACCTAAAAGAAAACCTGCTGAGTGTAGAAGCAATTTGTTTTGCAGAAATAGAAAACTTATTAGGAGGTTTGACTTTGAACCTGAGAAGGTTAGAAAACAAAAGAAAAACTTGTAATTGCTACAGAGAAAAGAAGAAATATGAAGAATGGGGCTTGGAGCATTGATTTTGGTGGCCTCATAATTTTGCCATAGAGCCTGTCTTCTTTGTCTTCAACTATGGAAGGACAAATAGAAGCCATTGGAAGAGTTATTTCTGCCTGTGGGAAACGCCACATGCATGAACTTAGACGGCGCACTATGCTTGAATTATGCCAATCTTGTGCTGCACGATTTATACCAAAAATTTTATATGGCTATCTTTATTACAAAGGTAAGATCTGTTACTTTTAGGAGATTTCCTGCAGAGTTATAACTGTACCCATATTATATCTGGTTCAAATCCATCCCACATATATAAGGCTGTACCATGAAGATAAATAAGCTAAACCCAGCAGAAAATGTATTGCATTTACAATAGATCATCTTTATTAAGTTTGAGTGCTTCCAGTGAATGATGCCTACAAAGGGTTTCATTTTTCTCTTCATCTCGAGAAGTTTGAAGTTACAGAACCATTGCATAGACCCTGGAATCATATATTATACAATAGAGAGAAGATGCCTTCTGGTGAAAATAAAACGTGGTTATCAAAGGGCAGGTCTCTTTGATATGCCTCGCTCATGGCCGATCTAGGAATCTCGGGGTGGCAGGGAGGCACCCACTTCACAGACTGAGCTCTGCAATCAGGTGAATCACTTTTGATGTAATTTTGGTTTCTAAAGGAATAGTGACATGGGAGAGAACAGAAAATATACTTGAGGTTTGTGAAATCCAAGTTGAAAATCCTGTCAAGTATCAATACTTATCACTAGCCATTGAAATAAATGGCTTCAGAGGTGACAGATCATAATAATTGGTGTACAGAAGTCACTTTCAGAGGAAAAAGCTCCTTGTAGAGTGAAGCCTGCTGAAAGTGGCCGGCTGACCCAGGCAGCACAAAACTTCTCGGGACATTTTCATGTGGGGTCCCTTGCCCTTTGTGTAGGAGAGGCCACTCAGTGGGAAGTGGCCCATTCTCCAGAGTGGGAAATGCCGGACTCTGTTCTGCTCCCCATGGGAAGGCGAGGGGCTGACCTCTTGTGCAAGCTGAGCAGAGGTAGCCGCCTGCTGGCATTTCAACGCTAGAGGGCAGCGTACGTGCATGCCAACGGAGGACAGGTTCACTGAGCCCCACATCCAGGCGGGTTGTGCTAATTGCTTGCTGTTTTTCCTACAAGCAGAACCTGCAGACCTGTCTACCTAAAGATCTAGTTGGAAGTACTTTGCTGCGACAGGCTGGCAGAAAAGAGAGGCTTTCAGGGGCTCTGCTCTCTGGACCCCAACTTTATTTCTAAAAATGTGAAGATAACTCACAAGTCCTTTGTTGGAAGCATATCTGGGCCTCAGAGCCAGATAAGATCTGCAATGAGTTGGAGCTTTGTCACTTACCATGCGATGCAGGCATGTCACCCATAGAAAGGGTTGTTGTGAGGATTAAATAAGATGATGTGTGGGAAGGGCTTGGCATAGCACAGTGCCTGGAACTTGCTAAGTGTTCAGTGAGTGTCGATCAGCAGTCATACTGTGCACCAGGAAAGAGGTCCAAGCCAAGCTGGAGCCCCTTAGGAGACAGTGTAGGAACTGGGGCTCCTACATGTCCCACTCCCACGGGAGCTCAGTGAGAGCCCCTCCAGGGCCAGAGACCCTTGCTGACACTTGTTGAACAACAGGGAGACCTCAAGCCACAGGCCACAGAACCTTTGAGCCTGTCCTTCTTCCTGGCACAAAAAGAACGGGTATGAACCCTCTTCTGCAAAGCAGAAGAGCAGCAACATCCATGCAGGTGTGAGGGTCAGTGACTTCCCACTCCCATACGCCTGAGTCCTGCTCACCACTCTGCAGGTCACGGGGTCTCGATTGCTTCCGAGTGCCCGCAAACTCCCTTGTAACCCCCCAACACCCATGTTGGCATGCTGGAGCAGACCGTGGGAGAATTTTGATAACCCAAAACAAAGCCTGGTTATTTAACACACGCATCGCCTGCTTTCAAATGAGCTCAGCCTTGGAAACTGCAGAAGTTTCTAATGGTGCTGACTTCTCACTGTTGATGGCCTGTCACAATTTGTAGATTCTAGTGGGAATGAGTGAGGCTTGAGGGGCATTAAAGATGATCTTGCCAGTGGTGTAGTAGAAATAGCAGAGGGCCTAGAGCCTAGATTTCTCAGTGCTAGACATGGTGATTCACCAAATAGCTGGGTGGCTTTGGACACGTGCTGAACCTCTCATGCCTGACTCTCTTTCCACATAAGCATCATGATAGGGTTATTTTTACCCCTTCCCACCTCACAGGGCAATTGTTAGGGTAAATGAGGTTAAAGTACTTTACACATGCATAGCACTTGCACTTTCTCAATAGTGCTTGGTGGGGAGAAAATTCTCCACGGGTCTTTTGCCTGGAAAGGCAGAAGCCTGTTTTGCCAAGAGAGACACGGACCGCTTTTGTTCCGGACTAGCTTTCCAAGGGTGTTTGTGCAGAGAGCAGCCTGGGAAGATACAGTCAGTGTCTCTGTCTCCAGAGGAAAGGGCAGGTTTGTTTACTGCCCAGTAGAATAAAGATAATGTCTCTCTCAGGGACAAAGGTCAGGCAGGCTTCCTACTCATACTAAAAATAAGTGACTTTCCTAAACTCAGGTTCCTGCCTGGTGTGACCGTCTCACCCGGCCTCTTCACATCGCGCTCTGGGTATTGGAGTCTACGGATCCCACACAAGAAAATGCCGAGACTCTGGCTACTGCTGTTGCAGTGAGTAATAAATTCCCTTGGCTCTGACCCAGGAGTCTTGTGTCTTCTATCCCCATTCATGAAACTGGCAGGCCCACTTGTAACCTGACAAATGGGGTAAAAACCTCAGCCCTGTCACAGTCCTTGACAATTTTCAGCTGCTGTTTTCTTTCCGTTTTTACAACAACTCTGAGAGCCAGGCACATCAGGTATTCCTATTTTGCAGATGAAGTAACAGAGGGTTGGGAAGGTTAGGGATGCTTCCAAGGACAGCTAATACCATGGAACAGTAGACGCTTAGATCTAGAAAATAAATGCTACATAACTAGAGACACTAGTGTCTCCAAACTTCTCTTCCCCAACCTGGATGGGGTAACTAGGAGTTACTTTGCTCATTAGTGTTTTTTTTTTGTTTTTTTTTTTTTACCATTAATCTGCAGCTCCCTACAGAGAGAAAGTGATGTCAATGGGATTTTGCACAATTATCCTCTTGTCCTGGGGTCCCAAAGTACATAGGGCTTTCCCTCAGCCCTTAGTCCTGCATAGATTTTCCCCAGAAAGGCGGTGGCTGCTGGAGCTGAAGCAGCCACACACCTGGGCACCTGTGTGTGGAGGCAGCTGGTGGCCTCCAGACATCCCCCTCGGGAAAGCTGTCAGCCCATGCCAATCAGCAGCTCCTGCCAACCAAAAGGACTGCAGGCAAGGAGCCCTGAGGGTCCTTTTCCCAGGCCTGTGAGTGGAAGGTGACAAAGAGGAGCAGAGAGAGGGAGGGCAGAGGCTGAGCTCCGTGTTCCACCCAGAGAGGAAAGGGCCACTGCTCCCAAGATCACAGCTTCCTCACCGACAAAGGAACTGGCTCTGCCAGACCTGGAGGGACAGTGACAAGAGGAGGGGCCCTTCTGGGGCTTGGCATCTGCTGGGGGCAGGAGGACAAAGTGATGGAGCTTCTCTGAGGGATGTCAGCAAAGGTTGTGGGACCTACAGGGTCCAGCAACCAAGAGATGCAGAACAGCACGACTGTCTCTTCTGTTTATCCCTCTGTTTTATGTTGTGGTTTGGATTTTTTGTTGTTGTTGTTGAGACAGAGTCTCACTCTGTTGCCCAGGCTGGAGTGCAGTGGTGTGATCTTGGCACACTGCAACCTCTGTCTCGTGGGCTCAAGTGATCCTCCTAATTTCAGACTCCAAACTGTGTGTGTGTGTGTGTGTGTGTGTGTGTGTGTGTGTGTGATGTGATGTGAAGGAAGGAGGTGCACACTGGAAAAGGGAAAGCAAATGGGCTAGGCTGACATTTGGTATTTGGGTGACAGCCTCAGGCTCTCAGACAGACTAGAATTAATATAGTAGGGCCCGAGCACTGCATTTGTTTGTTGTTTTGGGCACAAGAAATTTTTTCATAGCCACTCCCCCGCCACCCAGGTGATTCTAACACCCTGCAAGGCCTGAAAACTCTAGTTGGATGGCTGTTCAATACTGCAAGCCCCGGCCACAGGTGGCAATTGAGCGCAGGGAGTGCAGGCGGTCCGAATTGAGACATGCTGTGAACGTAGAATACACCCAGACTTCGTACAGAAAGTGAATGTAAATTAGCTCAATCTTTTTATATTACACAGTGAATATATGTATTACTATTTTGTTTTGTTTTGTTTTGTTTTTTTGAGATGGAGTCTTGCCCTGTTGCCCAGGCTGGAGTGCAGTAGAGCAATCTCTGTTCACTGCAACCTCTGCCTCCCAGGTTCAAGCGATTCTTCTCCCTCAGCCTCCCTAGTAGCTGGAACTACAGATGCCCGCCACCATGCCTGGCTATTTTTTTTTTTTTGGTATGTTTAGTAGATTTGTATTTTTAGTAGAGATGGGGTTTCACCATGTTGGCCAGGCTGGTCTCGAACTCCCGACCTCAGGTGATTCGTCCGCCTCGGCCTCCCAAAGTGCTGGGATTACAGGCATGAGACACCTCGCCTGGCCCTATATATTACTATTTTTGATATACTGGGTTAAATAAAACATACGAGTAAAATTAATTTCACCTGCTTCCTTCTCCCGTTTTTAATGGCGTGATTAAAGAATTTAGTTTGGATCGCATGTGCAGCTCACACCGTATTTCTGCGAGACAGTGCTGCTGTAGCAGCCACTTCATGTTACAGTAAAGGGGCAGAAACTAAGTGGCAGAGCTAGATCCAAGGCAGCGACTCTCCTACCCAAGCCCAGCCTCGGAGCCAGGTGGCCACGTGGTGGTTCTCGGTTGCAACCCCTTACTCCCACGCCATCTTCCACCTCTCGAGTTTTTGAAGGAAGCTTAGTCTTGAAGGAAGAGACATTTCCGTTTTTATCATGGCTGGAAGCACCTAGCAAAATGACTGGCACATAGTAGGCACTGGATGTAGATTGTAAAGTTGATGAATCTTTGACACTTGTTGCCTCCTGAGGGAGCTCGCCTGTCCTGCAAAGCCTTTGCAATGCTGTCCCCTGCTGGCTGGTTATTGGAAGTGCTCAGTGAGGTCCCTAAGAAGCCGGCTTGGGTGTATGCTGAGTACACATGTACTGTGTTGCTTGTGTTGCATGTGTGTACGGTGTATATGCATGTGTTGTGTGTGTTGTGTGAGCTTGCACTGAGTGCACATGTGCTGTGTGTCCTGTGTGTTGCATGTGTGTGTGAAGCATATGCATGTGCTATGTGGGTTGTGTGAACTTGTGTTGTGTGCACATGTATGGTATGTCCTGTGTGGTGTGTATATACATGTGTTGAGTGAACACGTATTGTGAATTTTGTGTATTGCACGTGTGTGTGGTGTGCATGCATGTGTCATGTGTGTTGTAAGCTTGCATTGAGTGCACATTGAGTGTTGTGTGTGCTACATGTGTGTTGTGTATACAGGAGTTGTGTGAACTTGAATTATGTGCACATGCACTGTGAATTTTGTGTGTTGCATGTGTGTGTTGTGTATGCAGGTGTTGTGTGAGCGTGTGTGGAGTGTACATATTCTGGGTGTCACGTGTGTTGGATGTATGTATACTATGTGTGCTGCACGTGGGAGGAATCATGCATGTACACAACAGTTGCACTTCCATTACCACACCAAAGGCAACAGTGTCCCTTAGCTTAACTCTTTCTCCCATCCTGGGAGTCGTGGATGCGCACCCTAAACATCCTTAGGCAGCTGCGAGAAGAGCCCCGTTTACAAGTCAGGATCCCCAAACCTCATGAGGGTCTTGTTGCAGCGTTACAAATTTATTCTTCAATACAAGATTACTCTTGTACTAGTTCTCCACAGGCCTCAAGACGTCTCAAGCCAGAAATTCTAGTTCAAGCCTGTCTTTGAGATTCAGACGTTCCAGGCTCTGCACTAGACAGCTTGATTTCAGGCCCTGGGGTGATATTTTCTCGAGGAAGGCGGCAGTGAGTGATCAAGGGTAGCCACGGGAGAGTAGAATTCTCCAACGTGGAGGGAGCCCTTGTCTTGTGCCCGACAAGAAAAAAAAAAATGAGACATGAATATCTGATGGCTGAGCTTCCTGGAGAGCCCAAAAACATGTGGAACAAATGTTCATGCATTGGAAACACATGTCAATCACTGGCTGAATGTTCCTTACTCTCCCGCATCTGAGCACGACACATGGAGAATGCAGGTGGGGTCCCAGATACTCAGATGGCTTTCCTTCCCTCACTTTGTAAGAGTCAAATAAAATCACAGTATCTGTTGACACCACACAACCTATGAATCCACTTTTAAAAACATTATTTTTTTTCCTCCAAGAGACAATTACGTTGTGGTTTCTGGACAAGAGAATCTACTGACCTGTCTGCACATAATCTTCAGCAAGTCATCTCATTTTCTGAGACTGTTTCCTTATCCATAAAACGTCCCCCTTTTCTCAGTGGGGTAACTGGAAGATCACTTGAGATCCCACATGTCAGTGGGTCTTAGTCCTGGAGGCACATTCAGAAAGACTGCTGTTTGTGTTCCTCCAGACCAATGAAATCAGAATTTCTTGGTGTTTGGATTAGGCCACGGTGATTTGATAAAACTCTACCATGCAGCCACATCTGCTAACCGCAAAAGCCCCCCTAAGAACAGAGAACCACGGCAAACTCTACAGGCATGAGAAATTCTGCATATCATTTGCGCGTGGTAACCAGACACTCTCCCCAGATAGAGGATCCAGGGGTGTTCTGGCTGTGCCAGGCTTCCTGTGGTTAATCCACCCTTTCCCCACACCCTGGGCTTGTGACAAGTGTCAGACGACCAGCAGAGCTCCCATGCAGCTGTCCTTTTGGGTACTTCCAACAGCAGATGACTGGGGAGTCGGGCTGGCTTTGTGTACATGTCAAATAGGCTGCCTGGCATCTTACTTCACCTGAGTTCAGGGAATCTTGGTGGTGGGTTGAACTGGGATCAGATTTCCCCATAGGAAAAACAAGTATCAGGGGCAGGGCATGCAGCCCTCGGTTACCCCTCCCTCACCCCCCCTCACCTCTGACCTGTCCTCTGTCCCCTCCCAGTCTCTTTCCTTTGGTTAGCCCTTCCTGAGGTTGTCTAGGAGGTGGGAAAGGAAGGGGCTCATTTTTGTTCCCTTCCTAGTCCTGTCCAGGCACCGGTCCCAGGACTCTGCTCAAGAACCTGGACCAAAAACCAAGGGCAAGAGGAGGCTCTCTTGTTCCTTTTCAATTAGCTTGTTTTTTTTTTTGAAGGAGTTTCACTCTGCCGCCCAGGCTGGAGTGCAGTGGTGCAATCTCGGCTCGCTGCAGCCTCTACCTCCTGAGTTCAAGTGATTCTCCTGCCTTACCCTCCTAAGTAGCTGGGACTGCAGTCACCTGCCACCATGCCCAGCTAATTTTGTGTGTTTTTAATAGAGACAGGGTTTCACCATGTTGACCAGGCTGGTCTCAAACACCTGACTTCAGATGATCCACCCTCCTTGGCCTCCCAAACTTTTTTTTTTTTTTTTGAGGCAGAGTCTCACTGTCACCCAGGCTGGACTGCAGTGACACAATCTTATCTCACTGCAACCTCTGCTTCCCAGGCTCAAGTGATTCTCCTGCCTCAGCCTCCTGAGTAGCTAGGATTACAGGCGCACACCACCACACCCAGCTACTCTGTATTTTTAGTAGCGATGAAGTTTCGCTGCATCAGCCAGGCTGGTCTTGAACTCCTAACCTCAGGTGATCTGTCTGCCTTGGCCCCCCAAAGTGCTGGGATTATAGGCCTGAGCCACCTTACCTGACCACTTTTGTTCTTTTTCTACTATTTTCCATGAGCCTTTTGGTTATGCAGTTAGCTTTGCCCCCAGGCTGGGAGGATAATTCCTCCAGCACAGAAATTCTTCAGGGAAGTAGGAAAATGTTGGTCTGCCCATTGTTGACAACCCCCAAAAGCCATAAGGTGATTTTGGCCACATCCCAGCATAGCAAGGGAGGCCCCTGAGGACCTACCAAAAATTCGGGCCATCCCCCATCTGCTTTCAAGCAACCCCTATCCTGAGATGGCTTAACTGACTCTCCCTCAGGAGTGTGTTTTGGGAGTGACAGAATGCCTGTCTTTAAACAGTCTTTGGCCCAAAATCCAGGGACATGCAGGGAGTTCGAGGAGATCAAATACAATCTAGAGAGACTGTGAAAAATGGATTAGTCCTTTGCTGAAGGGTGTTTTACTTTAGGATTCGAACTTGAATTTCTTGTTCGGTAGACATTGCTTTCCTCCTCTGGCCTGTTTTCCCCTACTTCCCGAGTACTTGACCACACAGGTAAAGTCTACCCTCCCCAGCCTTCCATGTGACTGGGTGTGGCCATATAACCAAGTTCTTTTCAGAGAGACAGATGCCACTTCTGCCTCACTTGCTCAAGAGGAATTTGCTGTCCCAGACGCTCTCTCTTTTTCCCTTCAATGACATCTCACGACCTGGCCCCAGCTTTGCAGCCAAAGGCAACACCCTAGGAGATGATGAAATCACAAGACAGACACCTGGGTCCTTGCCAGTGAGGGTCAATGCTCTGATTTATTTAGCAGAAACAGTCCTCCAATGTGGAGACCATTACATGAGAGAGAAATAAACATCTATCTTCCTTCAGGCACCATGTGTTTGGTCTCTTGGCTATAGCAGCTGACCCTTTATCTCGAGGCATTCATTGTCCACATGAGTTTCAGGGATCATAACCTCTATGCCACGCTTCCACTCTTAGCACAATTGTCAACACCTCCCTTCTCAAGAACAGCAATTTGCCTGCCTCTATTTTCCAAATACTTTGAAATCCATCAGTCTTTCTTATGATCCCAGGAGTGGCCAAAGATTATTATGATGGAGAGCGCCCTACTTACAAATCAGGCTCTATAGTTAGAGGATAAGATGAAAGTCATACAGAGTCAAAGAGATCCTTGAAAAATGCTCCAGGGGGAGGGTGCAGTGGCTCACGCCTGTAATCCCAGCACTTAGGGAGGTCCAGGTGGGAGGTTCACTTAAGGCCAGGAGTTGGAGACCAGCCTGGGCAATGTAGCCAGACCCCATCTCTACAAAAAAAAAAAAAAAGTGTTCTGGAAGTCTCCATGTAAGATCATCTCTCAATAAGCCCAACATGGGGTAGCTTTTTCTTCACCCCAGGGTGTCTGGATTACATCCACAAGCTGCGCAGTAGAAGAAATATCTCTGAAACATGTTCAGTATGGCAAGATGCTCACAACATGTCAAAGCCTTGAGTTTCAAGACAGACAGAACAGAGAGCAGATTCTCATGCTCAGCTCACCCGGGGCAGTGGTTCTCAACCAGAGGTGATTTTGCCCCCAAGGGGGACCTGTAGCAATGTCTGGAGACATTTTTATTATGACTGGTGTAGAAGGCTCCTGGCATCTGGTGGGTAGAGGCAGAGATGCCGCAAAATATCCTCCAATGCACGGGACAGCCACCATAAAACAAAGAATGATCTGGCCCAAAATGTCAAGAACTCTGAGGCTGAAAAACCTTTCTCTAAGGCATAGGTTTATTGAGAGGCATGGCCTAGCAGATCGTCATGTGTAAACACTCCAGAATTCTCCCCAACCCTTTCCCTGACTTGTCCATGTTTATTTTCATTTGAGCAAGTTAAATATGCTCCCCTCGTTGCTCTTTGAGCCTGACAGGATGAGGATGACAAGATCATGGATCCTTGGCAATGTCTTGAGTGTCCTAGAGACCAAAGATATCCTATCCAGGCTGGTTCAGGGAGTTTCATCAATCACAGTTCACCGTGCTGGATCTTGTCTAATTTGTTGCTTTCTAAATAGTAGCCTCCCACTCTCCTGTGGAAAGAATGTTCTGCTGATGTGAGGCTTTCCTTGTCAGGGACACCTCCCGCCACAGCCAGTCTCAAAGCTTCTCTCCTTTGTTTCATCCTGGAATGTTTCAAGAAACACCCACCCCACGCCAGCCGCACACATCTCATAGTTGCTCTCCCAGGGTGTCTTCTGCTCTCGTGATCCCCCTCCAGCCTTGCCTCGTAAATCAGCCCGCGACCTCGCCTCCCTGGGGCTGCTGCGCTTCTCTGAA
The DNA here is from genome assembly GCF_000001405.40 of Homo sapiens. Classification (NCBI taxonomy): domain Eukaryota; kingdom Metazoa; phylum Chordata; class Mammalia; order Primates; family Hominidae; genus Homo; species Homo sapiens. The sequence goes on along the minus strand of NC_000010.11, from coordinate 29,993,466 downwards.
CTCGCTCCAGTGGGTCCACATCTTTCTGATAATGAGGTGCCAGACAGGAGCGGAGGGGCCTGCTGCGATCCGTGGGAGCGTTCAAGCCCTGTCCTGGGGAGCGCTGGGGGTGGAGCCCGGTGTCATGGTAGGGAGGGGGCCCTCTGGAAGCTTCAGTGCCTGAAGGGCTCACATAAGGCACCTCACTTCTTTATTCTTGCAGAGGCCCTTGATGGTGGACAGACCCCAGCACGGCCCTGGACAGATTGTGAGGCACAGAGAAGTCACCTGCCACCTCCCCACCGTCAGAACAATGATGGCAGACACCACCAGGTCCTGAGGCTCTCCTGGCCTTTGGGCACTGTTCCTGCTGCCTTACAGACATGATCTCATTGAACACTCATGAACACTCACAACATCATAAGCCTCACTCGGGCATCTATGCTAGACACTGAGGGGACAGCAGAGAGCCAAGAAGACAAAAACCTTGGCTGTCAGAGAAAGAGGTTGCGTTCTAGTGGGGGAAATAGACAAAATAAGGAACACACATGGTACAGTTGTGTGTCACTTAACAGTGGGGATATGTTATGAGAAATGTGAAGGCAATTTCATCATCGTGTGAACATCATAATGTTATAGGAGTTAATAAGAAATTATTTTAGGCAGATAGGGAAAGCGGTCCTTGGAAAGTTTTTGTTTCTTTTAAAGCAGCTAAAGAAAAGTTTCTTATCTAGCAGGAAAGCTCCGGCTCTTAGAGCTAGGCCGGCAACCTCTGATATGCAAATAAATGCTGGCCATTAGAAAATGGGTCCACCCAAACATGGCGATTCTCACCCTCTTCCTTGCCCTCACATGTGCCTGGCAACATGGCGGCACCCCCATATCCCCATGTGTGTAGAATATCATGGCGCCCTGCATTTGCAAAAAAAAAAAAAAAGTGTATATATAACTTCTGTTAATCAAAAGTCGCAACTAAGAAAATAAAAATGCAAGCCACAAAGTGGGAGAAGTTACTTGCAATACATTTCCTAACAAAGGATTCGTATCTAAAATATATAAAGAATTCCTACAAATTAATAAGGAAAGGGTAGATGACCGCAAAGAAACATTACAAAGTCTTGAATAAACACAGAAGACAATATCCAAATGGCCAATAACATAGGAAAAAGTATTCGACTCCATCACTCATCAAGGAAATGCAAATTAAAACCACAATGAGGCCTGGCGCGGTGGCTCATGCCTGCAATCCCAGCACTTTGAGAGGCTGAGGCAGGCGGATCACGAGGTCAGGAGATTGAGACCATCCCGGCTAACATGGTGAAACCCCGTCTCTACTAAAAAAATACAAAAAGTTAGCTGGGGGTGGTGGCACACGCCTGTAGTCCCAGCTACTCAGGAGGCTGAGGCAGGAGAATCGCTTGAACCTGGGAGGCATAGGTTGCCGTGAGCTGAGATCACGCCACTGCACTCCAGCCTGAGCAACAGAGTGAGACTCCATCTCAAAAAAAAAAAAACAAACAAAACCAAAACAAAAACAAAAAACCCCAAAAAACACCACAATGAGGTGTCTGTAGACACACATCAAAATGTTTCAAAATTATTAAAATATTGACCGCATAAAGCGTTAGTGCGATGGTTAATTTTAGGTGTCATCTAAACTGTGCCACAGAGTGCCTCATTAAATCATATTTCTGGATGTGGCTGCGAGGGTGTTTCTGGATGAGATTAGCATTTGAAGGAGTGGACTCAGTGAGGCAGGTTTTCCTCCCCAGTGTGGATGGGTACCATCCAATCCGTTGAGGGGCTGAATGGAACAAAAAAAGCAGCGAAGAGTGAATTTGCCAAATTTTGCTTCCAGCCTTCCTGTTTGAGCTGGGACATCAGTCCTCTGCTGCCCTTGGACTGGGATTCACATCGTTGGCTCTGGCCTTTGGACTTGGACTTAGACTGGAATCACAGCACTGGTTTTCCTGGGTCTCCAGCTTGCAGATGGCAGATCACAGGATTTCTCAGCCTCTATAATCACCTTAAGCCAATTCATTATAATGAATCTCTTCCTATGGCCTATTTGTTCTATTTCTCTGGAGAGCCCTAACTAATACAACCAGTGGGTTGTGAGGCAATGGGAACTACTTCCACTGCCTATTCAAGACTTTTGAATGATTCTTTCTGGTCGTCTGTCTTTTCCTTATTGATTTGTAGGAATTCTTTATATATTTTAGATGTGAATCCTTTGTTAGGAAATATATTGCAAGTATCTTCTCCCATTTTATGGCTTGCCATTTCATTTTCTTAGTTATGGTTGTAGCAGTATAAATTGGTACAATCACTTTGGAAAACTGGTTGCAAGTATCTATTAAAACTGAACTTATGTGAATCCTAGGATCCAGTAATTCTATTCTTCAGTATATACGCAATGTGTTCACCAAAAGACATATGCAAGAATAGCCCTAAACTGGAAACAGTGCAAATGGATAACTAAATGATGGGATATCCATGCAGTGAAATATACACAACAATGAAAATGAATAAGCTACTATGTCCTACAACAGGAAGGATAAATCCCAAAAATAATATTGAGTGGAAAAAAGAAAAACAGACACCAGAAGAGTAACAATTTTACTATTCCATTTATATAAAGTTCAAAAACAAGCAAAGTGAATCTATAACAATAGAAGTTTAGGTGGTGGTCACATTTGGAGAGGCAGTGGTGAGTGTGGAGGGCTTCCAAGATGCTGGGAATGTCCCGTGTGGAGATGTGGTGGTTATGGAGCATGGACGTAGCAAAACCCATCAAGCTGTACGCTTAAGCAGAGGGCACTTTATGTACTTTACTGTGAGTATGTAGCACCTCATTTTAAAGAATCGATCCATTAAGCAAATTCATAGGGGTAAAAAAAATGTTCCACCAAATCATTCTCCGTGCAAGTGGCGTGCAGTCGGGTGACACAAGGTGCAGAAGCAAGGGGTGGAGGGTGTGTATCTACAAGTTGAAGCGCAGGGTCTTTTGTAACGTTGGTAACTCCTCACAACCACCTCCTCTACTCCTTCCCAGTGGGAAGCAGGAAACGCCTGCTGATCACTTAAACTCGCTCTGCTCACCAACAATTGTACACTTTTTCATATCCAGAGTTATTTCTGGGGGAGATGGACACTTTCATACACAGCTGGTGAGAGTGAAAATTGGAGGACAATTTGGCACTTATCAGTCACAGTTTTTCAGGTGCATGTCTCCTCATTCGACAATTACAGTTCCAGGCGTCTGTATGTGTGCACGGAGATCCTTATATGAGGATGGAGGAGGCTTATTGCAGCAGTAAGAGCAACAATAACAAAAAAGCTGACAATCTAAACATCAATAGGAAATCATTACATAAAACAGAAGCCGGGCGCGGTGGCTCACGCCTGTAATCCCAGCACTTTGGGATGCCGAGGCGGGTGGATCACGAGGTCAGGAGTTCGAGACCAGCCTGGTCAACACAGTGAAACCCTGTGTCTACTAAAAATACAATAATTAGCTGGGCATGGTGGTGTGCACTTGTAGTCCCAGCTACTGGGGAGGCTGAGGCAGAAGAATCAGTTGAACCCAGGAGGCGGAGGTTGCAGTGAGCCAAGTTCATGCCACTGCACTCCAGCCTGGGCAACAGAGCGAGACTCCACCTTAAAAAAAAAAAAAAAAACCTTAGCTGGGCGTGGTGGCGCATGCCTGTAATCCCAGCTACTCGGAAGGCAGAGGTTGCTGTGAGTCGAGATCTTGCCGCTGCACGCCAGCCTGGGGGACAGAGAGAGACTCCATCTCAAAAATAAAATAAAATAAAATAAAATAAAACATAGAGCATAACAGAATGAAATTATATGCATTATGCAGGCACTAAAAAGATAAGATGAACTAACATGGAAATACATCCAGAAAATACATCTTTTAATGAAAAATAAAAATTAAGGTATAGAGTCAACACGAGAAAGAGTCTGACTTAGTGGTTACAAGCAAGAGTTTATGACCAGACCACTGGGGCTCAAACCCTAGCTCTGCCACCTCCCAGCTATGTGAAATTGGACAAGCCAATTAACCTATGTGTGCCTCAGTTTCCTATCTGTAAAATGGGGATACAAATAGTGCCTAGTAGGGTTATCGTGAGACTAAAATGAGATACTGCATGTAAAGGACTTATAACAGTACATGGTGCCATGTAAGCACTCCTCAAAATGTTAGCCACTAACATACACATAGTACCATCCCATCTATGAAAATCAAGAAAAGGAAAAATGGCCGGGTGCAGTAGCTCACACCTATAATGCTAGCACTTTGGGAATCCAAGGCAAAAGGATTACTTGAACCCAGAAGTTAGAGACCAGCCTGGGCAACATACCAAGACCCCTTCTTTAAAAAATTTGTTTTAAAAAGCATTAGCCAGGCATGGTGGCACACACCTGTGGTCCCAACTAATCAGGAGGCTAAGGTGGAAGGATCACTTGAGCCCAGGAGTTCGAAGCTGCCATGAGCTATGATTGCAACACTGCACTCCAGCATGGGTGACAGAGCAAGACCCTGTCTTAAAAAAGAAAAAGAAAAGAAAAATGTATATGTGTCTTCATAAATATACACGCATATATCTAAAGGGGAGGTACGTAATATTTTATCTCTACGTATGTTACTGATGTAATCTTTTTAAACAGTACATTTTAAAAGGTCACCTTCTCTGCTGTATAAAGCAGAGAAATAATCCCAAATGTCTTCAATCTGGCTTTGGGATGCAGTCACCTGACCCAGAGGAATTCTATGACATATCTGAAGACCCAGGCTCCTATCCTCTCCAGATCCACTTTCAGCATCCCCAGACCTGTCTGGTCTGTGATTAAGGATATTACAGAGTAAGGGCTGGCACCGTTATGAAGCAGGAGTTTTGCCTTCCCTCTTCCTGGCCTCTTCTTCCTTCTGTCTTTCCCCTCTATGTTTCCCTGCTCTCAAATTCCATTTCCTTACCCTTTAGAAAACCACCCTTAGTAAAGTTTCTAATCGGCTTATACATAATGAGTTCTGCATAACCGATGTTTTTTATTTGTTCTCCAGGAGTTTTTACCTTTGTCCATGGACAAAAGCAAAGATTTACACCCAAAAGGAAGACTCTGTTATTGGGGATGAGCAAAGAGCCATAGTGTGAGTCTCTTTCTGATAAGAGGTTGAATAAATGTTTCTACGTGTGATTTCTCCTCCATCACTACAGCTGTGTCTTCCACCATGGCCAGAGCCTGCTCCTACTGTTCATGTTTAAGTATCAAACCCCTGGTGTTAAGCCCCAAAGTCATGGGATTTGGAGTGAGTCCTGGATTCTAACGTGAGTCCTTCTGGGATATCTGGAAATATGGTTTTAACTCTAGACTTTAGAAAATAAAGATGATAATAGTTCTTGCATAGATGTATATGTTGTAGGTATTTATGACATTTCTATTTAGAAAGTACTTTGAACTCTTTAAGGGAATATCTCAATGTATTGAAGTTCTTCACTGTTTTCCTTTCCATGCGTACTTTTTAATCATATAAAATATATTGTGCATAAAGAATGAAAATCTTTGTTCCCTTATTTTTTCTTCTATTTCTAACCAAAGAAAATGTATTGAGTACAGTGAGAAAACAACTGATTTTCAAAACAAAATGATCAGTTCTTAATAGGTATAATCAAGCTGAAAAGGAACTTCGGACTCACTCAAATCATGCTAAAATTTTCCAGAAGCCTTTGGGGGTGGGAAGTGTGAACTAGCATTGATGTCATTCCTCAGAGAGGACCATCAGAGTAACTCCCTTTGAGATAAATAACTCTCTCTCAAATGTTTATCTTTTGCACATACTTGTGGGAAATCTATTACTTGAGTTTTGACTTGCCTGTGCAAGGCCGTATTCTGAGAAACGAAGGCATGTGCCGTCAATACCCTGTTGTCAAGGAGCTTAACAGTCTAGCTGCCCATAAAAATTTTTAACAGGGGATCAGAAATGTGGCAGGAGATACCAGCAGTCAATTCTGCATGGACAGAAGAGAAGACGATTAGGGAAAATCTCAGAGAAAATGCACTTTAGATTTGTCTTGCAATATTTGTAGCAGCACAATTTGCAATTGCAAAAATCTGGAACCAGCCCAAAAGCCCATCAGTCAATGAGTGGATAAAGAAAATGTGAGATATATGTATATATATACCATGGAATACTACTCAGCCATAAAAAAGAACCAAATAATGGCATTCGCAACAACCTGGATGGAATTAGAGACCATTATTCTAAGTGAAGTAACTCAGGAATGGAAAACCAAACATTATATGTTCTCACTCATAAGTGGGAGCTAAGCTATGAGGATGCAAAGGCATAAGAATGATACATTGGACTTTCGGGGACTCAGGGGAAAGGTGGGAGGGGGCGAGGGATAAAAGACTACACAATGGGTACAGTGTACATTGTTCAGGTGATGGGTGGACCAAAATCTCAGAAATCACCACTAAAGATTATTCATGTAATCAAACACCACCTGCTCCCTAAAAACCGATTGAAATAAAAAATAAATTAAAAAAAAAGATTGTCTTGCAAGATGGATAGAATTAGGTAAACAAAAAGCTATTAAGCAATGTGAGGGAAGGTGGAAAGTAGAACGGCACAGAATCTTCCAGGGCAGGCTTTCTCAAAGAGTTGTAGAACAGCTCATTGGATTAATGGGAGGATTTCGGAGCCTGGGTTACAGAAGGAGAGAATTGCCAGAAATATATTGAGAACAAGCAGTTTTGCTGAGATCTGTCCCCAGCACACCAGTGTTTTTTGTTTGTTGTTTGTTTGTTTGTTTGTTTGCTTTTTGAGACAAGGTCTCAGTCTGTCACCTAGCCTGGAATGCAGTGGCACAATCATGGCTCACTGCATCCTCAACCTCCAGGACTTAAGCTATCCTCCCACCTCAGCCTCCCAAGTAGCTGGGACTGCAGGCGTGCACCACCACACCCTACTAATTTTTTATTTTTTTGTAGAGATGGGTCTTGCTGTGTTGCCCAGGCTGGTCTCAAACTCCTGGGCTCAAGTGATCCTCCTGCCTTGGCCTCCCAAAGTGCTGGGATTATAGGCATGAGCCACTGCACTTGGCCCTACACCAGGGTTTTATACTGAAGTAGCAAATATCCATGGAAGGTTTCCAAACAAGTGATTGACTAGATCAAAGTAAATTTAAAATATATGAGTCAAGCTGGACATGGTGGATCACACCTGTAATCCCAGCACTTTGGGAGGCTGAGGGGGGTGGATCATCTGAGGTCAGGAGTTCAAAGCCAGCCTGGCCAACATGGTGAAACCCCATCTCTACTAAAAATACAAAAATTAGCCAGGTGGTGGGCACCTGTAATCCCAGCTACTCTGGAGGCTGAAGCAGGAGAATTACTTGAGCCTAGGAGGCGGAGGTTGCAGTGAGCCGAGATTGTGCCATTGCACTCCAGCCTGGGCGACGGAGCGAGACTCCATCTCAAAAAATAAAAAAATAAATAAATAAAATAAAAACGATAAAATAAAATAAAATGTATGAGTCAAGCAACAGGACTTCTTAATTGCTGGTGGAAAAATACAATGATCAGCCTCTTTGGAAGATAATTCAGTGTTTTCTTACAAAACTAAACATAATTTTACCATACAATCTGGCAATTGCATTCCTTCGTATTTATCTAGATGAGCTGAAAACTCACGTCCTCACAAAAGTACGCACATGAATTCCTAATTGTCAAAACACAGAAGCAACCAAGATACCCTTCAATAGATGAATGGATGAGCAAACTGTGCTACATCCAGACAATGGGTTATTCAGCAATAAAAATAAATGAGTTATCAAGCCATGCAAAGACCTGGAGGAACCTTAAAAGTATACTGCTAAGTGAAAGAAGCAGATCTCAAAAGCACTTTAATATGAATGTACTGGACGACTCTCCTAACTATATGACATTCTGAAGAAGACAAAACTGTGGAGACAGTAAAAATACCAGTAGTTGCCAGGGGTTGGGGTTGGAGCTGGAGGAAAGATGGAGACGGAAGTGGAGCACAAAAAACTGGGGGGGACAGTAAAACTACTCTATATGATACCATAATGGTGGACACACGTCATTATGCATTTGTCAAAACCCATAGAATGTGCTACACAAAGAGTGAGCACTGATGTAAACTATGAGGCTTTAATAATCATGTATCAATATTGGCTCGTTTAAAAAGTTAACTAAAAATACATATGTATATGAGTCAGACTGGATGGAAGAGAGCAACAGAGAGAGCCAGGAGGTGAGAGAACAGTGGAAGCTGGTACTGCTGATGCCTGGGAATGAGGTTGAGAGGCCTTGAAATACGGTGTTGAAATAGGGCTTAAAGTAGAGAAATGGGTGTTAAGAGTAATCTGGTGAGCTTTTTTAAAAAAATTTTTTTTTTACAGATGGGGTCTTACTATATTGCCCAGGCTGGTCTCGAACTTCTGATTTCAAGTGATCCTCCTGCCTTGGCCTCTCAAAGTGCTGGGGTTATACACATGAGCCACTTATATGAATAAATATAGATTTATAGACTAGTAAATTAATCTATATTAATAAATATAGATTCTCTGGGGATTAGGCCTTGGGACTTGTGTTTTTATTAAATTATTCCAGATGATTCAAATGACCAGCCCAAGTAGGAATTCCTGGTCTTGGGGTTCTTAAGATGCTCCTGACTTAGGATTCTTTGATTTTGCTGTTTCAGCCCTTAGAGGAGTGAAGTCACTTCAAAGACAAGAATTCCTTGCTTGGACTTTTAAAAGCGCTCGCAAGCATTATCCCATTTCAAGCAGATTTCTCCAATTTTTCAATAAGGAACTTGAGTAAATAAAGATTTGTCTAAAATCACTCTGAGTTAATTGTGAGTTGATGGGATCTACCCTCTTTTCTCACTCAAGCTTCTGCCTCTGGGTGGATTAACTTACTGTTCACAAGACCTTTTCTCCCCTAGGTCTGGGAACCCCCATGCTCTGTGATGTGTGGAGTCCGTGAGGTCTCTGGGCTGAGGATGGCAATGACTGTTTCCAAGTCTCTTGCTACAGACACCCTGTGTTTAACGCCAAGACCTCTCACCTGTGGCCTCTAGACCCTTCTTACTCCAAGTGTGGTCTGGTGACCAACAGCATCAATGGCACCTGGGAGCTTGTTACGAATTCTAACTCTCAGACCCCACCTCAGCCCTAATGGGTCTGCATTTTCATAAGATACCTGGACAATTCATTTGCATTCTGGAGCTCTGAGGTATCCCCTCCACCTGTTGGCTCACCTGCCTTTTTTCTCAGCTTTGTTTTCACTGTCCACCCCACCTGTGAGCTCTGTTGCCATCACAGAGACTTGGCACGGGGCTCTGAACATCCATCTCTGAGCCACCAACCCCACCACCAACAGCATTTTGCTCATCATCTGCCTATGGAGACCCCATGGTTAGTGAGCCAAAAACAAAGAATCATCACAGGAAAAAAAGGGTCTACTATTTGATGCATCTGGGGTTGTTTGTTTGAGCTGTTCCCTCCCTCCCTCCCTTGCTCCCTCCCTTCCTTCCTTCCTTCTCTCCTTCCCTCCTTCCTTCCCTCCTTCTCTCCTTCCTTCCCTCCTTCCCTCCTTCCCTCCTTCTCTCCCTCCCTCCTTCCCTCCTTCTTTCCTTCCTTCCTTCCAAAACCAACCTTCCTTCCTTCCTTCCTTCCTTCCTTCCTTCCTTCCTTCCTTCCTTCCAAAACCATCGCTATAAACTTTACAAAATTAATCAGGGAAGAAGGGAGGGAGAGAAACAAAAATACAGCAGGCTTGCACACACTCAGCATTAGTCCGGGGGTCAGCTGCTCTCTGACCCTTCCTCATAGTGGTTTGCTGCCTATTGCCCCAGAATCACACGGAACCTGTTACATATCCCCTTAACTGCTCTACAAATAACAACTTGAACATTACAAAATGTTACATTTTACATTTGAGATATTCTTTCAGGTCCTGGGCACCAGTGAAGCTACTGAGGTCAGGTGGTCTGAAGGAACCTACCAGAAGCTGACTCACTGAAGAATGCAGTTTCACTTCCTGATGATTTCACCCTCTCTTACCCTGACCAATCAACAACTCCAGTTTTCCAGCCCCTCACCCTCCATGATCTCCAGCCCAGAACTCCTGGGGGAGACAGATTTGAGGGTCTCTTCCCATCTTGTCAACGGTGCCCTGTGATCATCAAACTTTTTCTCTGTTGCAAACCTTGCTGTCTCAGCATAATGGTCTCTGACTGCACAGCAGGCATACAAACCTGTTGGTTCTATAACACTTCCTTCTTTCCTCCCTTTTCTCCCTCCTTCCCTCTCTTCCACCCTCTCTTCCTCCCTTTCTTCCTTCCTTCCTTTCTTCCTCTCTCCCTCTTTCATTTCCTCTCTCCTTCTCTCCCTCTCTCCCTTTTTTCTTCCTTCTTTCCTCCCTCCCTTTTTCCCTTCTTCCTTCCTTCCTTCCTCCCTCCTTCCCTCCCTCTCCCCTTCCTCTGTCCCTTCCTCACTCCTTCTTCCCTTCCTTCTTTCTGCTTTTCTTCATCAGTATTTCTCAAAGTATGGTCTTAGACCAGCAGTATCCACATCACCTGGGAGCTTGTGAGAAATGCAGATTCTTAGGCCCCAGCCCAGTCCTACTGAATCAGAAGCTCTGGGAGGGGAGGCCCAGTAGCATGTGTTTAACAAGCAAATTCTTTCTTGCTCTTCAGGAGCGGCTTTGTATTCAGGCCCCTCATTGAGCAAGACAGGCCATTTCAAGAGAGGCCACTAGTATTCTTAAAGTGTCATAATTGGTATATTGATTCCAATCTGTCCCCATGTGTTTATTGATTTGGAAAACAAAATAAAAGATATACGACTGACTATTGAACTACCAGATCATAAACTCTCCAGTAGGTTGTTTCTTTGGTACAACAAAAGGCATTTCCAACATCTGACCATTGATCTGAGAAGCTAAGGAGCAATTTCTTCCCATTGTGTAGGTCCAGCTCCCTTTGGCCTAAATAGGAGGCAATTCTGTCTTCCAGATAATTACAGACCCTCCTCCCCACGTACCCCTTATCCCACGTGATGAAAAAATGATCACTGGGCTGAATATTTTAAGGAAAAGAAATATCAGATTCAGAAGCATTTTTCTGTGCAAAAGATTTCAGTTTCAAAGGTGTATTTTCTTCTAATAACTATAGGTATCATTTTTGAAAGTAAGAGACGTGGTGAATGAGAATTTTAAAAGCACCACAGGAGCACTTTAATGATATAATCACTTTAATGATATAATGTATTTCAGAAATTACTTTCCCCCTTGATAATGCAGTCTAAGTTCATTGTCATAAGTAATGGGCAGAGATTGCTGGGCCCCTGAAATGAAACCCAGGCTTCTGGGATACTTAAGGCCTCTTTTTGCAGACAAAAAGGTCCTAGAGGAAACAAATGACAAAGACATTAACAGAGGAAAGGAGTGGCTGAGGCTCTTTTCTCTGAAACCAGGGCACCCCATGGCTCTTCCTGCCTCATGCCCTATGGCCATTTAATCACCATGTCCTGTCTCTAGACTCCCAGCCTGCTTCACCCCAAATATACCTTCCTCCATCCTGTGGTTAATTCTTACTCATCCTTCAAGTCTTAGTTTATCTTTTTTTTTTATTTTTTATTTTTTAGAGATAGGGTCTGACTCTGTTGCCCAGCTGGAGTGCAGTGGGATGATCTCAGCTCACTGCAGCCTTGAACTCCTGGGCCCAAGCCATCCTCTCATCCCAGCCTCCCAAGTACCTGGGACTAAAGGCGTGTGCCACGATGACCAGCTAATTTTTAATTTTTTGGTAGAGATGAGGGTCTTGCTACATTGCCCAGGCTAGTCTCAAACTCCTGGCCTCAAGCAATCTTTCTGACTGGGCCTCCCAAAGTGTTGGGATCATAGGCATGAGACACTGCACCTGGCCTCGGGTCTTAGTTTAAATGTCACTTCAGAGAGGAATTCTCAAACTCGAGAGAGAGCTCAAGTGATCCACCTGCCTCTGCCTCCCAAAGTGCTGGGCATGAGCCACTGCACCTGGCCCAGAGAGGAATTCTGTTACTGTCTTGACTAGAGTCTATCCCTTTGTTCGGCTTCCCCATAGGACCCTATCCTCCTATTCCTAATACAGGGCTCTGTCTGTAGTCTACTTTAGAGTCCTTCGACAGCGACAGCATAAAATTACTAATTCCTTTTTTTTTTTTTTTTTTTTTTTGAGATGGAGTCTCGCTGTGATGCCCAGACTAGAGTGCAATGGCATGATCTCGGCTCACTGCAACCTATGCTTCCTGAGTTCAAGCGATTCTCCTGCCTCAGCCTCCCAAGTAGCTGGAACTACAAGCGTGCGCCACTGTGCCTGGCTGAGTTTTGTATTTTCAGTAAAGACGGGGTTTCACTATATTGGTCATGCTGGTCTTGAACTCCTGACCTCAAGTGATCCACCCAGCTCTGTCTCCGAAAGTGTCGGGATTACAGGCATGAGCCACTGCACCTGGCCCAGAAATTACTAATTCCTATTAGTTTAAGGATTGCCACCTAGGCCTTGTTGCCATCCGTGAACAGAAGAAAGCCAAGCCCGAAGGCAGCCATGATAAGTGTTCCTATTATCTATTCTTGATCAACCCTCCAACCTTTCAATTAGCTTATAAATACTGGAAATAGGGTTTTTTAGCTTGAAAACAATGGATTGTTGACTGATACGTTGAATTCCAGCGATAAGCCCTCATTAGTGAAATTAAAGGAAGTCAAGATGTATAGACAGGAGAAAATATTTTAGAAACACTTCTCACCCTTCTACAGTAAGTCTTCACTTAACAGTGTCCATAGATTTCCGGAAACTGTGACTTTAAGTGAAACGAGGTATAACAAAACCAATTTGTTTTGGCTAACTGATATAAATGAGAGTTAAGTTCCTACAGTGTGTTTGTGTTCACAAAAACATCACCAAACTTCTAAAGACCAAAACACTTCTAATAGTAAACATTGAAATAAATGAAAACATTGAAATAACTGTGAGCTATATAGACATTTACGAGATGAATAACAATAATATGATCATTATTTATGCACTTATTCCAGTTGAAGGTTGCTGATGGCCAGAGCCTGTCCCAGCAGCTTACGGAGCCAGATAAGACCCAGCCCTGGGCAGGATGCCATCCCACTGCAGGAGTCACCCACAGCCACACCCACACTCACTTAGATTGGACCAGTTGACACATCAGTTTGCCTAACCTTGCACATCTTTGGGATTTGGAGTAAATTTCAGTACCTGGGGAGATTTCACACAGACAAGGAGAGAAAGTGCAGAATCCACATAGACAGTGACCTTGGCCAAGAATTGATTTTTTTCTCATCAATGTTATAGCCTAAGGACATTGAACAAACCATGTTGTTCAAGGACTGGCTATATGAGAGAGCCTGTAGCCTTTATTCTTAGACATGGTCCTGATGCTTCCCCCCACTGGTCTTGCTTCTGACATTTGTTTAAGGTGGATTTTTTTTTTTTTTTTTGAGGCGGAGTCTTGCTCTGTCACCAAGGCTGGAGGGTAGTGGCTCAATCTCGGCTATTGCAACCTCCGCCTGCCGGGTTCAAGCAATTCTCCTGCTTCAGCTGCCCGAGAAGCTGGGACTACATGTGCCCGCCACCATGCCTGGCTAATTTTTGTATTTTTAGTGGAGACGGGGTTTCACCATATTGGTCAGGCTGGTCTTGAACTCCTGACCTCAGGTGATCCACCTGCCTCGGCCTCCCAAAGTACTGGGATTACAGGCATGAGCCCCTGTGCCCAGCCTCAAGGTGGATTTTTGCTGCCTGAGGCCAGTAGAATTCAACCCATGGAATGTGCTCTTATCTGGAGTAGTCTTTTCATGCAAGGACACACTTGGATACCTAAACAGACAGAAAACTGGGCCTTTGTCAAACTTTCAAATTAGTTATCTAAACTTTTGGCCTGTAAGCTAATAAGCATTTGTTTAACAAATGTCTCTGTTTGGGACAAATTTCAGTCTACAGCTTGCTTTTATTATAACCTGTTAGAGAAATGCAGGGAGTAGCCAACTCTCAGTCACCTTGAATTTCTTCCAGGCTGCAGTGGGCTAGCAAAATGAGCCTGAGTGCTTTGCAAGACCTAACTGTGATGAGTTGCCTTAAGTCTGCTTGTTCCTGGTCAGTTGTCAGCTCCAAAGAGGCAGGAACTGCTTATTCAACAAATCAGAGGAACAAAATCCATCTGCAACCTATGGCCAAAGTGTTCTTGCCCAAATAGCTACACAAAGATAGCCCAGGAGCATGCCAAAGAAAATATAAACGGACATGTGAAGCATAAGTATGAGAACACATTTGCCAAAAAAATATGTTTTATGAAATTTCACCGAAAAAAAAAAGGATGGTGAGAAAGCAAAAATATTTATACATTGGCTTTTTTTTGGGGGGGGATGGAATCTTTCTCTGTCACCCAGGCTGGAGTCCAGTGGCATGATCTCAGCTCACTGCAACCTCTGCCTCCTGGGTTCAAGCAATTCTCCTCAGCCTCCTGAGTAGCTGGGATTACAGGCATGTGTCACCACGCCCAGCTAATTTTTGTATTTTTAGTAGAGACAGGGTTTTGCCATGTTGGCCAGGCTGGTCTCAAACTCCTGACCTCAGGTGATCCAAGTGCTGGGATTACAGGCGTGAGCCACCACGCCTGGCCAGTACACTGCTTTTTTGTTGAAATGATTTTTCTTTGGACTTTTTAATCCTTATTTTCTGTAATTCAAAATTCTCTGTTTCCCTATTAATTAGAGATTATGTATTAATATGGGATGGGGCATGGTAATGTTTTCTTTTTTTGTTTTTGTTTTCGAGAGTGATGGAGTCTCACTCTGTCGCCCAGGCTGGAGTGCAGTGGTACAATCTTGGCTCACTGAAACCTCCACCTCTCAAGTTTAAGCAATTCTCATGACTCAGCCTCCAGAGTAGCTGGGACTACAGGGGCTCGCCACCATGCCCAGCTAATTTTTTTTTTTTTTCTATTTTTAGTAGAGATGGGGTTTCATCATGTTGGCCAGGCTGGTCTCAAACTCCTGACCTCAAGTGATCTACCCGCCTCAGCCTCCCGAAGGGCTAGGATTACAGGCATGAGCCGCCATGCCCGACTGGCTTTTTATTTTAATGTTATTGAATAAATTATGAAATTTTCCACATCTCACTCAGTTCCTGTCAATTTTTTATGCTTATATGTCCACAGGGCATAAAATATAGTATGTGTGAGGAGAAAACAATTTAAAAAACCAAACAAACAGGAAAAGAGGCTCCAGGTACAGATGTGCACTAATTATGTGTTAGATTGAACTGAGAGAAGACTAGAAATTCTTCTTCTGGTGTTTATTGTCTTCATCTGTTATCAGGAAAGAGATTCTAACAGCCAAAAGCTCACTACTCTCTGACTACTGATTATTCTAGGACCGTTGGCTCGTTCTATCCTGTGGCTCACTTTCTTTTGACTAAAAAGGAGTTGAAGGTTAATCAATGTTGCTAGAGATTCAGATTGAAAGCTCTTCTGTATGATATGGCAGCCACTGGCCACATGTGGCTGTTGAGGTCTTGAAATGTGGCTAGTCTGAACTGAGATGTGCTGTAAGTATAAATAACCACTGAGCTTCAGAGATTTAATAGAACAAAGAATGTAAACGATCTATTACAATGTTGATATTGATCATGAGCTAAGATAATATTTCGATATTTTTCACGTGTTAAGATAATTTTTTACATCAAATAATAATGTTTCACATCAAATAAAATACATTTTAAATTAAATTCATTCACTTCTTTTTACTGTTTTAATGTAGATACTAAGGGATAGTATCTATATTAGGAATGGTATCTACAATGAGCTCACTTATTTCTTTTTACTTTTTTAATGTAGATACTAAGGAATTTTAAATTACATGTGAGGTTTGCATTTGCGGCTTGCATCGCATTTCTGCTGGACAATCTTCCTCTTAAAAAAAGATTCCATTGGAAACACAGCTGATGAGATGAAATGAGATTGTCCATGCTCTGGCACAGGTTGCTGGCACTTGGCCCCGGCCATCCATGGTTCCTGCTAAGTTGAGCCATCTGGACCTGTCTAACTTAGGCCAGAGCTAATGTCCCTCCCTTCTGCTTAATTTCTGCTTAAGGCCTCTCCTCTCTACCAGGTGACCACCAGCTAACCTGATAAATTAATCCTTGTGAGTGAACGGGAGATACTGGTGCACTAATGAGTTATCCCAATTCTGCAATTCCATATGGTCCTTCTGGATATCCATGATGACTTCTGTTCATTCATTCAACAAGTATCTACTGACTACCTACCAAGGGCCGATTACTTCATTCATCCCTAGACCAGAGACACACACTATCTTCTGGTCTTCAGTGAGAGAAAAAAGAGCAATATAATTTGAGTGCAGTGAGCAAGTTTCTGGTGTAACAGAGTAGAGGTGGGTAGAATGGATTTGGAATCTCTGACTTCATACTGGGAGAAGTCCCAGAAGCCTTCACAGAGCAGCTACTCAAAATGGAAAAGCATTTTGAATAGCAAATAAATGATCTCTAGGGGGAGAAGTTAGAAAGAACCTCCTACACAAGGGAACAGCACGGACAAAAGCACAGAACATGGAATGTCTTGACTCACTGATGGAGGGAAATTTCAAGTATCCCAAAGCCTTCCTCAGTTATGGACTTGTGTAAAGAATCTCTTCTAACTCTTGCTTCTGGGGATTAAAGAGATAGAGGCAGCATCACTGATAACTGATAAAGGGATCATTTCTGCCTCAGCCTTAGAATTGGGGGTGAATCATTGCTGAAAAAAGCTTCAAGGACTTCTTAACTTCCATGCTAATTAAATCAGGGAACTCCAGGAGAGAGTGATGATTAACTTCATATGAGGTACTTAACGTGCCTGAATTAGAATTATCCTCTATTTCTGATTAAAATAGAGAGAATGAGAAAGAAAGAATCCCATTACTCATATTGGACAAGTGCTATATTAAGTAGTAGTCTCTGGGTCCGTATTCAGTCAGTTATGTCCTGGCAGTACAACCCTATGGTTGTCTTTGGGGCCCCATGTACTTTCATCTTGAGGTCAGGACTTGTTGGCAGCTGTAGCCAGTGGGTTGGTAGTTGGCACTCATGACCAGGGAAGCATGAGCTCTGTGCTCTTTCCCTCTGTGGATTGAGGGACAAGTGCTCACCAGGCATCCTCTGCTCCTTCCTTTCTGCTGGTGAACTCTTTGTGGGATTGTTATTCCTTGGGATCCTACAGACTTACCTGGCCATGGTGTCAGCTTTATAAATAAAAAATGTCTTAGGAAAGAATATAATTCCTACCTTTCAACTTTTCATTTGGAAAAATTTTAATCTTACAGAAAAGTTGAAAGATTGTATAATGAATACCAGGATATCCTTTTATCAATTGTTAACATTTTGCACATGTCCTCTCTTTTTCTCTTTCCCATTTAAAAATCAGAAACAACACAATACTTCACTGCTAGGTGTGACAGGTATTCTAGGTATCTCCTAAGAAAAAGAAAATTCTCCTACATAATCAAAATCGTGTGATCACACCCAAGAAATTTAATATCAATATTATTTAATACAGAATCCATATTCAGAGTCCCCAGTAGTCTAAATAATGTCCTTTATAGTGGTTTAGTCAAAGTTTCTCATTTTGTTTCTTTTAATACAGAGCACTCTCTTGCCTTTTTTTTTTTTTTTTTTTTTTTTGGTTTGTTGTTTTAATTGCTGTTGTTTTGTTTGTGTGTTTGCTTGCTTTGAAGGGGATCAGAACATGCCACCCTGAAACTAGCCACTCTGGCATATTGATTATTTTCAGCTGAAGGGAATTGAGAAACAGTAGGTGCAACAAGGGCTCTCCACTCTCTTCCTTTCTATCTAAAAGTAGGACATAAAATTTCCATAAGAAGGCCAAGTGTGGTGGCTCACACCTGTAATCCCAGCACCTTGGGAGGCTGAGGTGGGCAGATCACCCAAGGTCAGGAGTTCAAGACCAGACTGGCCAACTTGGTGAAACCTCGTCTCTACTAAAAATACAAAAATTAGCCAGGTGTGGTTGTGCATGCCTGTAATCCCAGCTACTTGGGAGGCTGAGGCATGAGAATCGCTTGAACCCAGGAGGTAGAGGTTGCAGTGAACTGAGGTCATGCCACTGCATTCCAGCCTGGGCAACAAAGTGACACTCTGTCTCAGAAAAAAAAAAATCCCTTAAAAAATATGCCCTTCCTGTATCATGAAAAGGAGAACATTTATCGCCAGAGATAGGAAGCTGATGCTAAGATGAGTCTGTGCAAATCTTGCTAAAAAACCTTACGCAAATAATCCTTACCTTCCATCAGTTCCCTCCATATATTTCCTAGTCGATTTTTCCACAACTTTCCAGCTCAACCCAAGCTCCTTTTTTTTTTGTCTTGCAACATTACCACAATTTACCATTCTTTGTTAAAATGGTATATAAGCCCTCATAGCTAACTGCTTCTTTGGGGGGTCTTTATTCCTTTCTACAAAGCCCCTGTGCCATGTAAAGGCATTAATACCAAATAAAATTTGTTTACTTTTTTCTCCTGTTAATCTGTCTTTTGTCAGTTCAATTTATAGGTCCCAACCACAAAACCTAAAAGAGTAGATGAAAAGTCTTTCCTCTCCTACAGTTTATTTTGGCCTGTTGTGACATTGAATGTCAGAACATGACATTTCTTTACAGAACCCAGCCCAGTTTTTGGGGGGAAGTGTCTACATTCTGGATTTTTCTGATGTTTTCTGATTTTAAGTCCAGGTTACACCTTTTGGGCACAAATATGATACAAGTTCTGTGTGTTCTCCCACTACATCTCATCAGGATATCCATGATGTCAGTTTATGAAGAGATTTTTATAAGTTATGGGCTCGAAATTTTCCCAGATGAGAGATAACCCTAAATAGCTTCACCTGCGTGGTCCAGATGTAGTGAATAAGACATCTGAGAAATCTGCATTTGTCCAGTTATTAATAAAACAGAACTTAGATGCACAAAGAAAAATGGAAAATAAAAGTTCTTCTGAGGATCCTGTCAGTGATAGAAAGAGGTTCACCCCTCTCTGCCTCTGTCCCCTTGGGCTGCTAATTTGATGTGAATATTATGTTAATTACCATCTTGCTGCCTCTATCACTTGTATTTATGAAATATTCCACCTAGCACACAGCTCTGCCTGCACAACTCTGGCCAGGGCTTTCTCTCTCCCCCAGGGAGCCATTGGCTTCCTCTGCACATGTGGAGTTGAACTTTTCCTCTCCTCTTTCATTCTGCTTAGTAAGCAGACCTTGACTAACTCCACACCTGCATCCCATTCACTGTGCAACCCGAGCCAAAGGGTAAGGAAACAGGCCTGCGAGCGCTGAGGGGCTGGGTGTGGCATGGAGCTCAGAGGATCCCTCAAGCCTTCCCTTCTCCTCATCAAGCAACACAACTGGAAGGTTCCATCGAGGTTAGCCTCGCATACCAATCAACAATGAGGTTTATTGCTTATTGATGTATACATTCATTCCAGCCAATCCCCGCTGAGGGTCAGTCTTTGCTTCCTTGTTGCTTGCCTTCTAGTTGAACAAAAATCTGATCCAGGCTGGAGTGCAGTGGTGCCATCTTGGCTCACTAGGGCCCCAGTAAGGTAGACTTTGGAACAAAGGAACAAACAAAAACGCAGATTCTTTCCTTCCCAAATTTAATATTTTGAAGATTTACGTTCTAAAAGCACTATTACACCTCTGCTAAAGACAATAGCTATAGTGTAAATAAAGTGTCAGTTTGAGAATAGAATCATCGACATAAACACCAAATGTCTGCATCCTTACTATCAGTGGACACAGGCTCAGCGTGTATGCATATAAACATTTGTCAGATAAGTGTACACCACAATGTCATTATCTCTGGTATCTCAAAAGGCTGTCACCAGGGAGCTTATTAACATAAACATTAACATTACCAAATGCATGGCCCTGGTTCTATTTGTTTTGCTATAAATTAACATTTAGGTTACATTTCCATCCCTTTCTCAAGCTGGGGGTGAACAATGATACATTCTTTCTTTTTTTTTTTTTTTTTTTTTTTTTGAGACAGAGTCTTGCTCTATCACCCAGGCTGGAATGCAATGGCACCATCTCAGCTCACTGTAACCTCCGCCTCCCTGGTTCAAGCGATTCTCCTACCTCAGCCTCCTGAGTAGCTGGGACTACAGGTGCGCACCATCATATCCAGCAACTTTTTTGTATTTTCAGTCGAGACGGGGTTTCACCATGTTGGCCAGGCTGGTCTTGAACTCCTGACCTCAGGTGATCTGCCCACCTTGGCATCCCAAAGTGCTGGGATTACAGGCATGAGCCACCATGCCCAGCCAACAATGACATTTCTGATCAGGGCACCTGCTGACAGGCTGAATAGTGATGTCCTATCTAGCAGCTGAGCAGTTAGGCTGGGGTTACACGTCCATATGTGAACATGCATTTTCTTACTCAAGAGATACTGAATAATGCTAATATTTATCTACTGAGCACATATTGCATTCTGAGCACTGTGCTATGTGTTTTTGTTTTGTTTGTTTGTTTGAGATGGAGTCTTGCTCTGTCACCCAGGCTGAAGTGCAGTGGTGCTATCCCGGCTCACTGCAACCTCTGCCTCTCTGGTTCAAGCAATTCTCCTGCTTCAGCCTCCCAGGTGGATTACAGGTGCCCGCCACCACACCCCGCTAATTTTTGTATTTTTAGTAGAGATGGGGTTTCACCATGTTGGCCAGGTTGGTCTCGAACTCCTGACCTTAGGTGACCACATGCCTTGGCCTCCCAAAGTGCTGGGATTACAGGCTATGTGTTTTACAGATATCACCTTTTGAGGTAGTTAATAAATAGGAAACAGAAAGTAAAAATACTGTCCACTGACAGATGAATGAATACACAAAGTATGGTATACATATACAATGGAATATTTGTCAGCCTTAAAAAGGAAGGACATTCTGACACATGCTACAACATAGATGAACCTTGAAGACATTATGCTAAGTGAAGTAAGCAGGTCGCAAAAGCATGTATTGTATAATTCCTCTTATATGAGGTCCCTAAAGTGGTCAAATTCATGGAGACAGAAACTAGAATGGTGGTTTCCAGGGGCTGAGAGATGGGGAAATGGGGGCTTAGTGTTTAATGGGTACAGATTTCAGTTGGGGAAGATGGCAAAGTTGTGGAGATGGATGGTGGTGATGGCTGCACAACAATGTGAATGTACGTTTAAAAATGGTTACAATGGCCGGACATGGTGGCTCATGCCTGTAATCCTAGTACTTTGGGAGGCTGAGGTGGGTGGATCACCTGAGGTCAGGAGTTCGAGACCAGCTTGGCCAACATGGTGAAACCCCATCTCTACTAAAAATACAATAATTAGCCAGGCGTGGTGTCATGCTCCTGTAATCCCAGCCACTCAGGAGGCTGAGGCAGGAGAATCGCTTGAACCTAGGAGGCGGAGGTAGCAGCAAGCTGAGATCATGCCACTGCACTGCAGCCTGGGCGACAGAGTGAGACTCTGTCTCAAATAATAATAATACAATAAAGGTTACAATGGTGACTTCTATGTTGTGTATATTTTACCACAGTAAAAAAGTAAAAAGATTGTCCTGTGAGAAACTGACATTACCAAGTGATTTTTTTATTTGATAAGCTTGGGAATTTCTATCATAAAACTATTTTTTGATAGCTAACATGATGTGGATCTGTGTTCCTGCGAAATTTCATGTGGATTTGTTGTCCCCAGCACTGGATGTAGGGCCTGGCAGAAGGTGACTGGATTGACTGGATTGCGGGGCAGATTTCTCGTGAATGGTTTAGCACCATCCTCTTGGTGTTGTCCTCGCAATAGTGGGTTCTTGTGAGATCTAGTCATGATCGCCCCCCTCTCTCTCGTGCTCCTGCTTTCACCATGTGATGTGCCTGCCCCCACTTCCCCTTCCGCCATGATTGGAAGCTTCCTGAGAACTCCCTGGAAGCAGATGCTAACACCATGCTTCCTGCACACCCTGCATGACCATGAGCCAATTAAACCTCTTTTCTTATTAAATTACCCAGTCTCAGATATTTCTGTATAGCAACTCAAGAACAGCTTAACACAATAGCCCATTATCTGTGGATTTAACTTAAAAAAATTTTTTTATTATACTTTAAGTTCTGGGGTACAGAGTAGAATGTGCAGGTTTGTTACATAGGTATACACGTGTCATGGTGGTTTGCTGCACCCATCAACCCGTCATCGACATTAGGTATTTCTCCTAATGCTATCTCTCCCCTAGCCCCCAACCCCCCGACAGGCCCCAATGTATGATGTTCTCCTCTCTGTGTCCATGTGTTCTCATTGCTCAGCTCCCACTTATGAGTGAGAACATACGATGCTTTGGGTTTTTTTTAACAGTAGAGATGGTTTTCTCAGAACTATCTATGTAACCTTTATCCCAATGTCTTGAATAAAGGAAATTTCTGTCTCCTATTCACCACTGTGTATTTGATTTGCCTCTGAAGTGATGGGGAATGCTGTTCTCTCTCCTGAATGTTTATCTCCTGGTTTGACTTCCACTTCCTGTGAAGAAAAAGGTTCCAACTAGTCTGGCCTGAAATTACCTGGCCTGATGCCCATGCGGGCTGGGCCCTTGCATCTGAAGATATGAATCCTTTCCACTAAAGATGCCACAGATGCTGCCTCACAGAATCAACCGTGAGGGCAAGTGGGGTTTTCATCATGGTGTGGGAATTGAAAACATGGTCTTGAGTTGAAGGTGCTTCTTGGACATTTCCCTGAAGGAGACAATCCCTGAAATAGAACATCCTTGCAAATCATTGCCAAGAGTTTGCTGATCTCCTTCAGGGATGTTTTGTGCTTTGCACTGGTGATACTTTATTATTATTAACTGATTATTTGTTACTGTCCTTTACTATGTCTTAAGTGCCTTGATTTCCCCATTTGATCTCCACAACTATAGCATATGATTTTTACCATTTTGCAGGGAGTGAGGAACATAAGACCAAAGAGATGAAGAGATTTGCTAAGACCATGGCTCTTAAATTTGAGCATGTTTCAGAATCACCTGGAGGGCTGGTAAAACTCAGATTGCTGGCCCCACTCCCAGGGCTTCTGATTCAGCAGGACTGGGCTGGGGCCTGAGAATCTGAATTTCTCACAAGCTCCCAGGTGATGCCGATGCTGCTGGTCCCAACCACACGTGCAGAAGCACTGGCCTCAGGTCACAGAGCTGTCAGCAGCAGAGCCACGCCCAGCCTTCCCTCCCCTCCGAGAGCTGTCTACCTAAAGACGAGAATGCATGCAGAAGGGGGATGTCAATTCGTAAAATGAGCCCACAAACCTTTCCTCAAAAGAGTGTGATTACTTTGTAACCAGACAACTATTCTATAAGCCCCTTAACCCATTTATGCCAGAGGTTACAATTTGTGTGTGTGTGTGTGTGTGTGTGTATGTGTGAAAAATCAGACCTTGGCAATAACCTTGAGCAGTAGGATATAAATAACTCCCACAAGCTTAGTGTCCCAATAATGGAACGCTAGGCATAAATGGGTTAAAAACAAGAATCACGGACTTCACTCCTTCCCCTCAAAGTCTCTAGCCTAGTAGGCTACAAGTGGCTGTTGGTTAACAAGAAAGATATCATTTACCCAGGTACATGGTTTGCCCAGTCAGTAGACTGATTTCTAAGGTGTACTTTTCAATCTCTGGGAAAATTGACACACCAAGTGTTCCTTCCATCGCACCCTAAGCTGCTCGAATGTTCTTCAGTATCATGTAGCTCAACGCAGACATGATGGATTAGCTGCCACCCTTTCTCCTGCTTGCAACAGAAGACTCTCCTCCTGGAAACAAAATCTGTAACAAAATGTGGTAACACCCATAAATCTCCTTGTAATGATTTGGGCCTGCAGGCTGAGTTAAATCAGAAGCCGAACAGCACCTGCTGCTGTTAGCAATGCCAACAACATGTTACATGGAGGCCACTCACTGTCATCGGAGCACGGAAGTGGCCCTGCGTGGCTCAGGCACTCTCTGCACGCCGCATCTGCACTGTGTTAATGTCCAGGCCAGATGGCTTCAGCAGGATCTGCAGTGTGCCTGGGGTGGGGGGCGAGTGGGGTTTCTTTATGACATACTCACACACTCACACAGAGACACACACTGACACATACATGCCGACACACCGATACACACATATGCATACACAATTACACACAGTGGCACACTGACACACACACACTGACACACATACTCATTGACACACGCTGACACACATACACACTAACATACACATACACAATTATACACACTGAGAGCAAATATACATATATTGACATGCACACACACACGAACATACACATCACAATTACACACAGTGGCACACTGACAAACATACATACTGACACACACACAGATCCAGGCTGACACATGCATACACTCTAACATACACACACGTAACTATACACACTGACATACACATACACACTAACACATTCACACACACTGACACACAGACACTGGCACTCACATACACAAGCACACACACACACTGACACACACAGAGTAATGTATTTGTCCAATCCTCTACACAAATATATGTCCTTGTTTTGACATGAATCATTTTGATTTTTATTGTATTAACAGCCTGAAAGGAAGACTGCAGTTTCCTGGCAAATACAGATGATTAAATACCCAATATGAGTGTGTGTATGTTTCAGAGGGGAGAGAGAGATCCAGCCGAGGCCTGGGGCCTGACGGGAAAAGGGTCTGTTGCTTTAGATCTGAATTCTGGGTTCATTTCGCCTCTGCTTTCGAGGTCCCTGAGTGCACCCTGCCCTGGCCCACAGACCTTCGCCTCTGAGGCTGGGAATCTAGACCTTGACGGGGTGCTATTTTAATTATGTGTTTGTTTTTACTTCCCTACGTCCTTCCAATAACAATTGGGAGCTCTCTGCTTTGTGTTCTGGTGAATGTTAAAAAGCAAAACAAAACAAAAACCCCATTTCTGAAACATCTGAAGAGGCAAGATGGAAAAGGCAGTTTCTGAACATATGCTTAGCAAGTAGCATTTTCCCTCACAGTCCTGCTTCAGAAAGAAGAAAGAAAATGTGGAAGTGCTCTAGCAAAGCATAATGTGTGCCCAGGAATAGAGATCGTGCACTTGGCCTTGTGGATTTGAGTTTGTGCAGCAAACTATCTTGGATTCTGAGGCAAAAGGAAAATTCAGTCATACTGAGCCTGTCTTTATTTAAACTTTAGATATTTTGTTCATTATGGATTCCCTTGCATATGTTTATAATGTTGCATTGATATGGTTTGGCTCTGTGTCCCCACCCAAATCTCATCTTGAATGTAATCCCCTCATGTCAAGGGAGGAGGGAGGAGGTGATTGCATCATGATAGGATTGAGTTCTCACGAGATCTGATGGTTTTATAAGTGACTGGCCTTTCCCCTGATTGCACTTCTCTCTCCTGTCATCATGTGAAGAAGGTCCTTGCTTCACGTTCACCTTCCACCATGATTGTAAGTTTCCTGAGGCCTCTCTAGCCATGTGGCACTGTGAGTCACTTAAACCTCTTTCGTTTAAAATAACCCAGTCTCAGGCAGTTCTTTATATCAGTGAGGGAACAGACACTGCTGTAATATATGCATTAAGATATTATTTATCTTTTTTTTCTTAGAGACAGAATCTCACTCTGCTACCCAGGCTGGAGTGCTGTGGGCACAACCATACCTCACTGCAGCCTCAAACTCCTTGGCTCAAGTGATCCTCTCTCCTTAGCCTCCCAAGTAGGTGGGACAGGAGGCGCATGCACCAGCACACCTGGCTAATTTTTAATTTTTTTGCAGAGACAGAGGTCTCACTTTGTTGCCCAGGCTGGCCTAGAACTTCTGGCTTCAAGCAATCCTCCCACCTTGGCCTCTCAAAGTATTGGGATTACAGGCACAAGTCCCTGAGCCTGTCCTGTTTATCTTAATTAGAGTTTTCGGTGCCCCCTTAAGTGATGCTCCTGGGATGAGTGTGCCCTTCTCTCCTCATCCTAATCTGGCTCTGAGTTTGTGGATCATTTTCAGATGGCCACATACCTGAAACCCTGGGTTACTACAGCAGGTCTGGGGTAATGATTTGGGGAGATGGGTAATGTTCTTTATACTATATCAGCTTAGGCTTGTAGAGTGCTTTGGGTTTGCCAGGCACTTCTTGGGCCTTCTCTCATTCTGTAAGCTCCACATTCTGTCTTCGTCATACTGAACTCTCCAAAACAAGGATGGTCCCTTGTACCTAATAGATGTTCAATAAATATTTATTGAATGAATGTTTGACCCTATGATGTTAGTCTTGTTATTATTCTCATTTTACAAACAAGGAAACTAAGGTTTTGTAGGAATTTGGTAATGGCCCAGATTTATGCAGCCAATGAGTGCAGGAGCCAGATCTTGAGTGCCCGGGCTGTCCACTCTAAATGCTCTGTTCTTCACAGGTGACCTTTCTACCCCTTCCATTGTCACATAAAGCTGAGAATTCAGCCGGGTGCAGCGGTGGAGGTACCTGTAGTCCCAGCTACTCAGGAGGCTGAGGTAGGAGGATTACTTGGGTTCAGAGCTCTAGACTGTAGTGTTCTGTGATTATTCCTGTGAATAGCCACCACACTCCACCCTGGGCAGCCTAGCAAGACCCTTGTCTGTAAAATAAATACACAAACTTCCAAAATAATTTTTCGTTCTAAAGCTGAGGATTCCATCCCTCAAAGTTTTCCATTGCCCATCAATGTTGATGGTTGTTACTTCTTATAACATTAAATAAAATAACTCTGTGATTGACTGCGTTTGTGGTTTTCTTTTGTTTAAGCCTTGTGGGACATGTGGGGCCCCTGGGCTCAGAGGCCTCTGCTGAGCCCCCTGCATCCAGCCAGCAGGTGGAGGGAGAGAGTGAGGGGAGGATTCCTCAGGATGCGTTGACAGTCCAGGCTTGAATGGCGGGCATTTGGTGACTCTTTCCATGTTCTACTGGCCAGAACTCAGGGACCTGGTCATGCCTATCTGCAAGGAAGGCTGGGATTCACTGTGTGCCTGGAAAGAAAAAAAAAAACTGTTTTCTTTTCCCCAAGGACATTGTCCTCATGGTGGTGGAGTCTGCAGTCCTACTGGTGCAGTTCTAGCCTTCAGGTTCATTACGATTTAAACAAGCATCTTCTCATTGCCAGGGGACTTAACTCCCACATATAAAATGAGTTAAGTAGTAAAATGTGTCCTGATGAACAAAATAAAGACATAAAAAAACTTTTTTGAAATGTGACTCATAAGTTGTGAACTCCTGTAAGAGTTTAATCCATTTTTTAATACTACGTAGCTGCCAATCTTTCCACTCTCTACCTGGAATTTTTGGGTCACAGTTATTCAGCCTGCCTGGTACTAGGAACAAAGGTGTTGAGACTCATACACAGACAGGTAGGCTGCTGTTTTCATCTGTCAGGTAGCCAGAAGCTTCCGAGAGCTATCACAGGACAGCACCCTCTGTAAAGTACCTATCAGCAACTCTGACTTTTGTGGGGTCTGGTCAAAATATTTTAAGATATTTACTCAGAAAGTCAATCTAAAAACACGAAGGCTAGTGGCCTTGCTGCTGTATTCTGTAAAATAAGAATATATGAAATTATAGCTACTTGTATGAGCATAGCCACGGCACTCCTTTTACCTAGGAAGGTGGGCAATTGCCTTTGCCTCATGGGCAGAGGTGGGAGAGGATCCCATGTCTCAGGACTGGGAAAGCCAGAGAAAAAGGATGAAGAAGTCCAGCTTTCGGCTGGGTGGCTCACGCCTGTAATCCTAGCACTTTGGGAGGCCGAGGCACTTGAGGTCAGGAGTTCGAGACCAGCCTGGCCAACATGGTAAAACCCCATCTCTACTAAAAATACAAAAATTAGCCAGGCATCGTGGTGGACATCTGTAATCCCGGCTACTCAGGAGGCTGACGCAGGAGAATCGCGTGGACCTGGGAGGTGGAGGTTGCAGTGAGCTAAGATCATGCCACGACACTCCAGCCTGGGTGACAAAGTGAGACTCCGTTTCAAAAAAGAATAAAATAAAATCCAGCTTTCACTAACACAAAGCATACTCATCTAGGACAAGGATCAACAAGCTTTTCCATAAAGGACCAATACAAATGGGCCTGACTGTATTCCAATAAAACTTTATTTACAAAAATAGGCACGAGGCCAGCCTTGTCCCACAAGACAAGCTGTGGTTTGCCAGTGTTTGATCTAGAATGTTGTTTCCCTTTACTTAATAATGTTATGCTAATTTATCTACGTATTTCCAAACCAAATACACGAACAGATAACAACAATGATGGAAGCTGGCATTTATAGGACATTTACTACTGACTGAGCATATATGCAAAGACTCTCTCTGGGTCTGCAGAAATTAGCATCTATACGGAGTCCTCCAGCTCCTTTGCCACCCCTAATCCAGGCCCATCATCTCTCACCTGGACTATCCCAGTGAAGCCCTAGTTGCATATCCCTTCCTCCACTCCCACCCTGTTCAATCCGTTTTCTACACTGAAGTGATCTTTTAAACACATAAATTATATCAGCCTTCTACTTACAACCCTCCAGGGACTTCCTACTGCTATTAGGATTAAAACTCAAATGTGCCCTGTGACCCAGAGAACCCTGCATGTCCTGGCTCAGCCCACCTTCCCTCTCTCACTGCCCCCTTGCTCTCTGACCTTGAGACATGTTGGCCTTTTCTTTTCTTTTTTTGAGACAGGGTCTCCTCCATCACCCAGGCTACAGCACAGTTGCGTGATCTCAGCTCACTGCAGCTTTGACCTCCTGGGCTCAAGTGATTCTCCCACTTCAGCCTTCCGAGTAGCTGGGATTACCATCCCTCTCTACTCTTGGCCAATTCCTCAGCCTCCATCTCAAGCATCACTTCCTCAAAAGAGCCCGTTCCTGATGTCCAGAGGAGATCAGGACCCCCTGTTATTTCCTCACTCCAATCCCTAGAATATTCATTCCTAGGGCTCACTTCCATTGATAAGTTATTGCTCATTCATTTTTCTGATGCTGGGCTCCCGTTTAAACCACAGGCTCCATGAGGGCAATGCCCAGGCCTGTCTTATTTAAGCTGTGTACCCAGCACCTAGCAAATAGCCTGGCACAGAGTGGGTGCTCCGTAAATAGTTAAAGAGCACGGAAATAAATGAAGCCATGGATCTGATGGAATCAGCCCCCTTACCCAATGTGTCATCAGTAGGCTGAGGTTGGATGATAGCAAGGAGGGAGTCACAAGGAGATGAGGGTGACTGGGAACCTGAGAGTGTCATTCAGCCTGGAGAATGGCGAGGAAAAGGCAAGAGCTGTGTGCAAAGGGGAAAGAGAAGGACTATAGCTTCCAGGCTGAGGAAGCCAGCAGGACAACCCTGCAGAGAAACGGGGCAGGTGGTCTGTTCAGGTTTGGGAAGCAGACATCTGGGTCAGGACAGACAGTGCCTGTTTCATCACAGGCCAGTGGAAAGCTTTCTTCTTATTATTTCCTGGCCTATCATGTTGAGATCAAAAGTTGGTCGCTCAGCGCCCTGGGTTCCCAGATATATAGCTTTCCAAAAAGCCATTTAGACTTTCTCGACCTTTTGGTCAACACCTTGAAATACCCACTTGATGGTATCACAATTAGACATGAGCCCAGAGTTAGAGGCTCTGAGAGAATTTTATTGGATATGGAAGCACAAAGTTTAAGAACTTCAATTTCCTTTCTCTGACATATGGAGGCAACCTGGCTTAAGGTTAATGGCATGAAATCCAGATGCTGACTACCCAAGGATGAATTCTGACCCTGCTGCCTGCCAATGGCTGCTGACTTTGTGAAAATCGCTTAACCACTGTATTCTCATAATGCTACGAAGAAATACCCGAGACTGGGTAATTTATAAAGGAAAGAGTTTCAGTTGACTCACAGTTCTGCATTGAAGAAATACCTGAGACTGGGTAATTTATAAAGGAAAGAGGTTTAATTGACTCACAGTTCCGAATTGCTGCAGAGGCCTCAGGAAACTTATAATCATGGCAGAAGGCAAAGGAGAAGCAGGCATCTTCTTCACAGGGCGGCAGGACAGAGTGAGAACAACCTGGGGAAATGGCAGACGCTTATAAAGCCATCAGATCTTGTGGGACTCATTCACTATCAGGAGAACTCCCTGGGGAAACTGCCCCCATGATCCAATTTCCTCCACCTGGTCCTGCCCATGACAAGTGTGGATTATGGGGATTACAATTCAAGATGAGACTTTGGGTGGGGACACAGCCAAACCATATCAATCACATTCTATCCCACTATCTTCACCTGTAAAATGGGGAAACCTGAGTGCCTACCTCAAAGAGGAGTTGTGTGGATTTAATGGCACAATCTATATACAGAGTGGGGTAGGGCCCAACACATTGTGAGTGCTCAGTAACCAGTGTCACTTTCATCATGTCAGAGTCAGCCTGTGGAGGTGTCTTGGCCCAAGGATACTGGAATGACATAGAGGCCCCATCAGAATCTGAAATTTCTTTTCAAATTTGGGTGGGAGGTAGTCCTTGGAATCCTGGTGTGGGACTTATCTCTTGATCCACCCTGGTTCTAGGACCATGACCAGGCATGGACTAGGGGAATGGGATTTGATGAATCTAAGAACACCCGTCTGCCTCTGCCATTGAATTGTCAGCTTCCACTCTCCAGAAGAAACCGCCCCAGGGCAGAATCATAGGTTTCCTTTCAGGCTCCAAAGCGACACACTGAGAAAGCATGGGGGCTGGAGATGCTCCTTTGATCTCTGTCCCATCCATTCTTCCCAAAATCACAGACCCAGAACCTCCTGCCAATTTCTGATCTTTTGTCCTAAGTCAATTCATGAGCAGTCATAAATTGCTTTGAAGATAAAAGCACCACGTCGGCACACTGTGATGTCACTATTATTTTAATAATAGAGCTTGCACATGTCTCCTTGACATATGAACTGTTCAAAATATTTGTCTTGCTTTTCGGCTCAGCTGCTTGGGAAAAGCACTTGCCCTGTCTCTCCTGTATGCTCCTCCATACCCTACGATGTGGAGTAAGCATTGTTTTCATAAAAATGTTTGCCTTTTCTCCAACAAAAGAAATTGATGTTCCTCTTGGGGATACCTCTGTGTTAGCCAAAACTGAAGTAATTATTTTTAGAGATATGCACTTTAAAAATGTCTAATTTATTGCAATGCTTACAAATGCTAATAAAATGCACTATAATGGTCACAAGGCCAATACAGTTCCATGCACATAGAAAAAAAAGAGAAGAAACATATATGTGAACATAATAATGGATTCATAAATAAACATAAGAATGGACTTGACCTGCAGAGGAGGAAAAGAATAGATCATTTTATTCTCTAGATCTACCACTAATGTCAGTTCTATACCCAGGCTAAGAAGAGTCTTTGTAAATGTTTATTTTATTTATTTATTTATTTATTTTGAGATGAAGTCTCACTCTGTTGCACAGGCTGGATTGCTGTGGTAGGATCTTGGCTCACTGCAACCTCCGCCTCTTGGGTTCCAGCAATTCTCCCTGACTCAGCCTCCCGAGTAGCTGGAATTATAGGCGCCCGCCACCATACCTGACTAATTTGTAATTTTCATATTTTACAAATGGGGTTTCGCCATGTTGGCCAGGCTGTTCTTGAACTCCTGACCTCAGGTGATCTGCCCACTTCGACCTCCCAAAGTGCTGGAATTACAGACATGAGCCACTGCACCCGGCGTAGAAGAGCCTTTTAAAGGAGCTTCTCTGGAGAACATGTTCTACCATATCATGACACATGCCTTCTGCAAACATTGCCAGCATTACCTGCACTAACCACTAATTTCCCTACAGCCCTTCCCTAAACTCCCCAGACACCCCTGCCTGTTCCCCAGCTGGGGTCCACTGTGCACTGCCTTGTGGCATCTCTTGCATTGTGACGTCTATATTGTAATTACACTTTTTGCAGATGCCTTGTATCCTCAACTATTTGTACCATTTCATCTGCTTGGCTTCATTGGCGGCTCCCCAGTGACATTCCAGACCTGGCCCGTGTGCATAGGACTGGGAGGAGGCAGAGAATAAGGAAGGTTGCTGCTGCTGCCAGTGGAGGAGAGGCCATCAGCTGGGGCTTGACAGCCCAGAGTCATTTCCTCAACCCTGGGCCTAGGACTTGCACAAGGAGGGTCCTCACATCTGCCCCAGTTTGCAGGCTTTGTCACTTGGTTGCCACTTCAGCCTGACCATCATGTGCATTTTAGCCTAATTTAGTCTCTCAGCCATTGATGAAGGGAGTGAGTCCACAGTGTGGTCCGATAGGGGCCATGTCTGGGGGAATATACTACTCCATGAAGTGGAATATGCCCATTCTGAGCCTTCCCAGGAAGCCAGGCCTTCTCCTCTGTCTTAGGCTGAAATCCAAGGGGTTCTGGATAGAACCATATTCCTGATTCCCGCTTCCTTCAAACATTTTCTCAGAAGCAGATATGGCTTTCCACAGACCTGGCTCTCTGGGGTTAGCCAAGGGCCCCGACTGGGCTCTATCAACTGTTCCTGAACCCCAGGAGCTTCACTGATCCCTAATTTCCCCACAGCCCTTCTCTTCCCTAAACTCCCAAAGCACCCCTGTGTGTTCCCCAGCTGGGATCCACCGGGCACTGCCTCAGGGCATCTCTAGAATCATTCTATCCATATTGTACTTAAATTTGTTGCAAATGCCTTGTTTTTTTGTTTTCTCGACTAGTTTGTACCAAGCAGGGAAGGAAGGAGCAACTTGGTTAGATCCACAGAAAAGAACTTAAATCCCAGCATACCTGCCCCAGGCTGGCACCCATTCCCAGTCAGTCAGCGCCCCACTGGGCATGGTGGCTCCAACATATGCCAGACTAAACACATGCTGCAATACTTTAGCACCCCCACAGGCAGAAATATGTTCCAGAATTCTCCCTTGAGTACCTACTCAGGGAGACTGTCTCCACTCATAGCAAAATAAATGAACGCATTCAAGGTCTTTGATCTCTCATAAGAGCAAATTGTCCCTGGCTATCAGGGATGGGAGCAGAGGGTCTACCTCTGCTCCTATCGCTCCCAGATTGCAATGTGGGCTGATGTAAAAAACTGAAGCTGTGGGTATGGGCATGTGTGGGCTTCATCTGAGCCATGGCATTTCCAGGAGCAGTTCCAGGGAGCGACAGAAACGTTCTTCTCCGGCACTGAAGGTGTGCTCTGGTTTACTACCACTTTAGCAAGTGCCAGCCTCGCTTTGGATGCCACTTACCCTTCAATATGGTCAGTATTACTGGGTCCGTAAGTACATTCTACTCCCTCTCCCCTGCCCACAGGCGTGGCTGGCTGCCGCCGCCTGTATTTTCAGCTGTCGAACTGCCGCGTTGCCTTTTGTATTGATCTTCCAGGGATCAGTCTGTTTCCTACTGTGTCAAAACTTACAGAGGCCGGATGTCTTTTTTCTCATACATCTGGCTTTGCTGGAAGTTTTGAAAATGGAATGGGAAGTCTCTCAGATTCACGGGTCCAGCCAAGCGATCGGCATATGGTCCAGTCTTCATCTGCTGCAGCCGAGACGGGACGGGGCCTCTTCTCCCAGATAGCTGAGCGCTCAGCTGCAAGAACCCAAGAACCCAGATGTGTGTCCGTATGTAATTGATGATATAATAGAACGCGCGCTCTGGCTGCAGGGGAAATGTGATACGGTGT
The DNA here is from genome assembly GCF_000001405.40 of Homo sapiens. Lineage (NCBI taxonomy): Eukaryota > Metazoa > Chordata > Mammalia > Primates > Hominidae > Homo > Homo sapiens. Next base: position 29,959,622 of record NC_000010.11, on the reverse strand, counting down.
CAATCACCCTGCCAGAGAGAAAATGAAAGTGAGGTCCAAAATTTGAAAATGATGACTTCGCTTTTGTTGGTTAAAGTCATCATCAGGTAAGGGATCCTTCCCATATCCCAAACCCTCTGAATGAGAAGGAGGAGAGCATTCTATTCTATACAGGGGCCTTGAACACTAGAGAAGAGGGAAGGAACTCACGGTTGATGGGGTACCCAGGCCAGACACATTGCTGGTGAATCCTGACTTAACTACCCCAGCAAGCCGATAGTACAGACCTTGTTTGACAAACTGGGAGACTGAGCGTCTTCATCTGCCAGGGAGGCTATAATGGAATGTCATAGACTAGGTGGCTTATTAACAACAGAAATTTATTTCTCGCAGTTCTGGAGGCTGGAATCCTGAGATCAGGGTGTCAGTGTGGCGGATTCTGGTGAGGGCCTCTTCCTGGTTGATAGACAGCCGTTTTCTTGCTGTATCTTCACATGGCAGAAGGGGCCAGGGAGTACTCTGGGGCCACTTTTATAAGGGCACTAAACCCATTCATGAAGGCCCCACCCACATGACCTAATCACCTCCCCCAGGTCCCACCTCCAAATACCATCATACTGTGGGGTAGGATTCAACATATGAATTTTGAGGAAACACAAACATTCAGTCTATAGCACTGAGAGTCGGAGAATTCAAGTTGTGTGGAGACACACAAGAAACATGTGATGCATACGGAATTCTAATCTGAATCTTTTAAATCCAGGGCCCCTTTCCAACACCACAAGGTCGAAGCAAGATGGGGAGGACTGGGGCCCCAAAGTGCTGAGAAAAGAGGCTTTGGGGAGGCCCCAGTGAGAGCACAGAGGTGCTGAGAGGGAAGCGAAGCAGAATGGGTGGAGCCCGCATGGTCTGACAGGCAGGCAGGTGCTGTGGCATCAGGCTAGAAAGCAGAATCTTAGGCTTTTTGAGTGAATTGTGTAACCGCATCATAAAATGTGAATGCATTCTTTCTGATATGACAACATGAATATTATGATAGCCAGAGATGGTCTTATCTGTCTCCTTTTTCCTCCCAAGGTGTAATCTAAGCAAGGCTTAGCACATAGTAGCTGCTCAGTAAACATTTGTGCATGTCTTTATTGAGTCTAGAATAACCATCACCTTTTCCTTTGCTCTCAATACTATTTCGCCTTCTTCATTTCCATGTGTTTACTGAGAAAAAGTTGTGTCCAAATGCACAGCTCATTTTATACTAAAAGCACCTAGGCAGACGATGTCACTGGCAAAAGTCTAAATCCCTTATTTGAGTGTGCTGCTTCTAAGAATTGTCTCTAGGGTGCTTCCAGAAAGGACTCAAAAGCCATCCAAACTGTGTGGGTTGCACAATCAAAGAGTGCTCGTTCTTTCGCTGATCTTTTCCCCTTGCAAATACCTTGGGCTGTGTTCACCTCCTGCAAGATGGATTACTGAGCCCGAGGAATTAGTTGGCAAATACCACCAACTGGTTTTGACAACTGTTTTTCACAAAGTGAGAGAGAATTTTCCTTTTTGAAAGGCTGAAGGCAGGAGACATTCCCCTGAGACCAGGTCTTGGGCCCCTGCCAGGCTGCCATGGGCCATTGCCCTGCGGCTTTCAGAGTGGCTGAACCCTGCCTGACCCTGGCCTCCCTAGGGGACTGTGACCCTGGCAGGACACCAAGCAACAATACCAGCCTTCCCTGAGAGTGATGAGACTAAAAGGGCCAGGCAAATAAGGCAACAAGAGAGGGCAGGTCTTAGCATCAGAGGTGGGAACAAAGGGGCCCAGGTGTGGCAAAGATGAAGAGCAATCGGTCCCTAGGATACAACTCCTGCAGTGTCATCCCAGAGGTTCCCAGGCATTCAAAAGAGAAGTTTCCAATTTGAACAAAATATTTTCCTATTATTCAACAAGCCCAGGTATTCGCGTGTAGATCAAACCTAAGCGCCTGCGCATTTCCAGTCTTAATATCTGCTGGAAGGGATGGCAGGCCTTGCCCTGTTCTGTGCTAGGGGGAGTTTTCAGTGGGCCCTTTCCCCGAAGCTGTGAGACAGGGAAGGCAGGAAGCCCAAGAGGAGGAGTGAATGGAGCCCTAATAAAGGCAGACTGGAGAAAAGAGGTTTCGCTGCTACAATATACTGCACTTTCTGCATAGGGTGAAAAACAGGAACCGTGGTGAGCAGGCTGGCAGCAGAGCCTTCATTAAAGCAGTCAGCCACTGAGTGTCTTCCAAGCCTCAGGCCTGTGTGAGATGCTGTGAGGGAGACCAAAAGCGTAAGATGGGACTATTTCAGCCTCTAAAGAGGGACACCAAAATGCTAGCAATGATTGTATTTGGATAGAAGAATTCTAGATGATTTCTTTTCTTCTTTCTTTGTCTCTATTTTTGGTTTATCCTCATTTTAATAATGTTCTATAATAAATATAAACGACTATATTACTAAAAGTTACTTAAACTATTATTTTGTAACTGTTTTCAAATTGAAAATCTTTTGTTTGCTTGTTTAAGATATGATGCCTGTAATTCCAGTGCTTTGGGAGGCCGAAGGGGGAGGATCAGTTGAGGCCAAGAGTTTGAGACCAGCCTGGGTACATAGTAAGACCCGATTCTCTACAAAATTTTTTAAAACTTAGCTGGGCATGGTGGCACACACCTGTAGTCCCAGCTACTTGGGAAGTTGAGGCGAGAGGATTGCTTAAGCCTAGGAGGTCTAGGCTGCAGTGAGCTATGATCATGCCACTGCACCCCAGCCAGGACAACAGAGCCAGATCCTGTCTCTTGAAAAAAAAAATCCCTGCCCAGAGGAGCATAGTTGGAAACTGTTGAGGAAGACAGCACTGCCATTTAGACAACTAGAGTAAGCCATGTGAGTCCATGCGTGGCCATGTTCCAAGGTGTGTGGCACACAGCCTGCATTTCAGGAGTTTAGAGAAGACGGGGCAAAGGATGGTCGTAGTGTGGTTATCTGAGAAGACTTCCCAGAACAAAATGTCTCCTATGGGCCACTCCCTTTCACAATCACCATTGTCCTTTTTTCCAATGCCTGGGTTAGTGTATAAACCACAGTAGATGTTTGATAAGGCCCTGTCCCGTTGGAATGGAATTTGACCAGATGACGTGGAAGAGGGCTGAACCCCTGCAAGCAGAGGCAGGACTGGAGCACAGGGTCAGGGGCACATTGTGCACACCCCTTTGGTCATTGAGTACGGCCACTCCTCCCCCAGTATGGGAGGAGGAATCATAATGGCTCAAGCTTTACAACCGTCTTCAAACTGGGCCACACCAACCTCTGGGGTTTAAGAAACTTCCCAAGGGGCACTTGGGCACTACAGATTTAAGAGCATCAATTTCCAGATTCTTTTTTTTTTTAGACGGAGTCTCGCACTATTGCCCTGGCTGGTGTGCAGTGGTGCGATCTCGGCACGCTGCAACCTCTGCCTCCCAGATTCAAGACATTCTCCTGCCTCAGCCTCCTGAGTAGCTGGGACTACAGGCTCCCACCACCACGCCAGGCTAATTTTTTATATTTTTAGTAGAGACAGGGTTTCACTATGTTGGCCAGGCTGTTCTTGAACTCCTGACCTCGTGATCCACCCGCCTCGGCCTCCCAAAGTTCTAGGATTACAGGCGTGAGCTACCGCACCTGGCAATTTCCAGATTCTTAATCTTGGAATGTACTGCTTTCTGAGATATTTGGAACAAAACATTCGTGATGGAAACATTATGAAAATACCTCCCCTTCACAGTCTTCTCCCACTTTATAGGGGAAGGTCAGACCCTTCCCCCATCCCAACTACTGCTATAGTGCTAACCTCTAGTGCATTGACCCCAGTGTGTTAAGTGGGTGATTTAGTGGCTTAACACAACCCATATTTACTCTCTCATGGTTTCTGTTGGTCAGAGGTCCAGGCCTAACTTAGCTGAGTCCTCTGCTTCAGGACCTCATAAGAGGCTGCATTCAATGTGTCTGCCAGGCTGGGGTCTCATCTGAGGCTCCACTGGGGAACAATCTACTTCCAAGCTCATGTGGTTTGGGCAGGATTCACTTCCTGGCAGGTTGTTGAGTCCCAGCTCCCTGCTGGCTGTTGCCGGAGGCTGCCCTGAGTTCCCGCCACAAGGGCTTTACCACATGGAGGCTTACATCAACAAAGTCAATAAGGGAGAGAGTCGAGAAAGCCTGCTAGAAAGATGGAAAGTCCCATCTCCTGTTGCATAATCACAGACATAACATTCATCACACACCCTTGATGTATTCTGATTCCCCCCTTTATTTATGTATGTATGTATTTATTTATTTTTATTGATACGTAATAGATGCACATATTTTGGGGTAAGTGTGATATTTTGATACATTCCTATAATGTGTAATGGTCAAATCCAAGTAATTGGGGTATCCATCATCTTAAACATTTATCCTTTCTTTGTGCTAGGAACATTTGAATTATTCTTTTTTAGCTATTGTGAAATATATAATAGATTATTATTAACTATGGTCACTCTACTGATCTATCAAACACCAGCTCTTATTTCTTCTATCTAACTGTATTTTTGTACCCACCCTTGCTGTTTCTGTTAACTAGAAGCAAGTTACAGTTCCAACCACACTTTGGCAGGGGACTCTACAAGCCCATGGACTCTAGGAGGCGGGAATAATTTGGGACAATCTTAGAGTCTATCTGCCACCCTGGGTTACCAAAGAAAGGGATCATTAGAAATACTGGCATCAGCAAGATGTCCTTTCATGAAGGCACTGAGACACTCCTAGCCATCTTATCAGGGTACATTTCCAATGATGTTTTAGTAATTATTTTAATTAAAATTTATTTAATGTATAGTTTTGCTTCTTTTGAGACCCAGTCTTGCTCTGTTGCCTAGGCTGGAGTGCAATGGCACAATCATGGTTTACTGTGGTCTTGACTTCCTGGGCTCAAGCAAACTTCCCACCTCAGCCTCCCGAGTAGCTGGGACTACAGGCACAGGCATATACCACCATGCCCAACTAATTTTTAAAACAATTTTTATAGAGATGGGGTCTCACTATGTTGCCCAGGCTTGTCTCGAACTCCTGGGCTCAAGTGATCCTCCCACCTCAGCCTCCAAAAGTGCTGGGATTACAGATATGAGCCATTGTGCATAGCCTTTAATGTATTTTTAATCAAAATGTAGATTAATATTAAAATCATAACTGAATTCAGAAGAAATAATTTTTTTCTTTTCTTTTTTTTTTTTTTTTGAGACAGAGTCTCACTCTGTTGCCCAGTGCAGTGGCACAATCTCAGCTCACTGCGATGTCCATCTTCCGCGTTCAAGCAATTCTCCTGCCTCACCCTCCCAAGTAGCTAGGACTACAGGCACGTGCCTCCATGCCTGGCTAAGCATTTTTGTGTTTTAGTAGAGACAGGGTTTCACGGTGTTGCACAGGCTAGACTCGAACTCCTGAGCTCAGGCTCAGGCAATCTGCCCACCTTGGCCTCACAAAGTGCTTTGATTACAGGCATAAGCCACCACACCTGGCCAAAATAATTTCTTAAATGTCCATATTTATACATACTTCTGTGACAAGGAAGTAGGATGGGCAATTAATACAAATTTTAATTTATAAAATTATATTTTCTTGGAATAAAATTCAGTGTGAAAGAGGAGTGGAAATACAATATAAAGATATTAAATTGCCAACAGCTAAAGAAGAGAATATTAATGGTTTTTAAATAGATGGTAGTGAGAGTATCAAATCACCCTTGTGTTTATATTCCATCAGATATATTTTAAAGAGTAATGAAGTCATTTTTTTAAATGCCAGTGTTTACATTTTGCTGGAAATTCTATCTTTTTTAGTTATTTAAATATTTGAAGAAAAGGATTTAAATGTCAACTTAGAAATGTGCAAGGGGGAATGTAATTTTTCAAAATACTTTTAAGGTGTAGGCCAGGGTGTTTGAAGACAGTTGCTTTACAAAACTGAAGGTCACCAAATCTGTGGTACTGAAGACAAACTTTCATCATTGCCACGGTATCTTATAAAGAAAAATTCCGGTGGGGCTCAGTGGCTCACACCTGTAATCCCAGCACTTTGGGAGGCTGAGACGGGCAGAGGCAGGAGAATCACTTGAATCCAGGAGGTGGAGGTTGCAGTGAGCCGAGACTGCACCACTGCACTCCAGCCTGGGCAACAGAGTGAGACTCCGTCTCAAAAAAAAAAAGCGAAAATTCCCAAGATTTTCTATCAAATGAGCATGTATTTTTGCATGTCTTTGATCTACACATTGTGTACACTATTCCAAAACAAGATGAATCCCTCAGTTCTGCTTATGCTCCCCAACTTTTAAAACTCTTCTTTTGCTGTTTGGGATCCCGGCCACCCGGGGTGGGAGTGGGGATATTAATAGGTGATATCCTTTGTAGATTTGTCCCCACCCAAGTCTCATGTTGAAATGTAATCCCCAATGTTGGAGGTGAGGCCTGGTGGGAGGTGGTTGGATAATGGGAGCAGATTTCTTTTTTCTTTTTTTTTGAGACGGAGTATTGCTCTGTTGCCCAGGCTGGAGTGCAGTGCCACGATCTCGGCTCACTGAAACCTCTGCCTCCTGGGTTCAAGCGATTGTTTTGCCTCAGCCTCCTGAGTAACTGGGATTACAGGCGTGCACCACAACACCCAGCTAATTTTTTGTATTTTTAGTAGAGATGGAGTTTCACCAAGTTGGCCAGCCTGATCTTGAACTCCTGACCTCAAGGGATCCACCTGCCTCGGCCTCCCAAAGTGCTGGGATTACAGGCGTGAGCCACCGCGCCTGGCCTGGGAGCACATTTCTTATTAATGGTTTAGTACCATCCCCTTGGTGCTGTCCTCGCAATAATGAGTGAATTCTCACAAGATCTGATTGTTTAAAAGCGTGTGCTGCCTCCCCTCCTCTCTCCCTCCTGCTCCTGCCTTGCCATTGACTTGCCTGCTCCCTCTCCACCTTCCACCTGATTGTAAGTTTCCTGAGGCTTCCCTAGAAGCTGAGTGGATGCCAACACCATTCTTCGTGTCCAGCCTGCAGAATCATGAGCCTATCAAACCTCTTTTCTTTACAAATCACCCAATCTGTTATTTCTTTAGAGCAACGCAAGGACCGACTAATATAGTTGGGTTCTGTGAAGTTCAGCCACCTTGAATATATGTGACTGAATACACATACCACTGAATATAACATACACTTCTTCACAGACAGAGACAACCAGCATTTGTCTGTCCCCTTTAGAAATATTAATCATAATGTTATAATGTTGACTGTCCTGAAAGGGATTGTGACAAATTTTCTATTTGTTACCTGTTTTTGGTTTGTTTTTGCTTTTTTTTTTTTTTTTTTTTTGACAGGTCTCGCTGTGTCACCCTGGCTGAAGTGCAGTGGCTATTCACAGGCATCATCGTGAATACTACAGCCTTAAACTCCTGGCCTCAAGTGATCCTCCTGCCTCAGCCTGCTGAGTAGCTGGGACTGCAGGCACACACTACTGAGCCTAGATTTGCTACCTGGTTTTTACTGGAAATAGGCAAGCTGGTGACACAAGCTATATGGATTGTAATATTAGACCGGGGGTGGGGCTTCTATCAAACTGGAGGAGAGACAAGGAGGCCGGAGTGACGGAGCCCACCTCTCTGCAGGCTGAGGCTGCCTGCTGGCCCTCCAATGGTTATGGCTGTATTTGTTCTGAGAGAGCTGCAACAGCTGGCGAGTTCCTGGACTTGTCCGCACCTGTGCGGGCATGGGACAACGCTTTGGTCTAGACTGCCTTTGCATCTGCCCCTGGGCTTTTAGGCTGCAGGCCTGTGGAGTCACCACTGGCTGAACATCCTCTAAACAAAGGGCTATGGCAGGCCGATCTTGGCCCTTCCACCTCAAATGTGTTGAAACTGCAGGGCTCGAAGAATCCCACACACCACTGATCTTTTAGCATTTCAACATTCTCATCCTTTTATTTGTTTATTTAAATGTTTTTAACTTTTCGATAGACTTTCCTGGAGCAGCTTTAGGTTCACAACAACATAATTCCCATCCTTTTCCGACACCGCCTGGCTGGCAGCCAAGCTCCTTCGTACTCATCACCTTCCGATATATTCATCTGCTAGCAGGGATCAGTGAGGGATGGCTTTAAGCCCACATGTCTAAGAGAAAGGAGGAAAAGAAGAGGAAATTAAACCCTATGACAAGCAGGACAAATGCTGAAGAAATTGCAAGTGGATAAAGCCTAAAAGAATAGAGCTCCCTGCTCTAGAAAACAAACAAAATCCACGGAACCTTAGGTTACTTATCCCTGTGATGGGAGTCATGATCCTACTTAACCCTCAGGGATGGAAACTATAACAATTGCATAGCCTGGCGATGAATTAGAAAGCATTTGGGGAGGTGCTAAGATTTTAGATATAGTATTAAGAAGTAGTGATTTTTTTTATTTTTAATGTTTGTGAGTACACAGTAGGTGTATATATTTATGGGACACCTGAGATGTTTGGATACAGGCATGCAATGTGAAATAAGCACATCATGGAGAATTGGGTACCCATCCCCTCAAGCATTTATCCTTTGAGTTGCAAATGAAATATTACCATTAAAATCAACCATACACCTAGCTTTAAAAAAATCCTGAGCTATCAAGACTCTGTCTAACCTTAGAAGTAGGTAACACACATGTACCCCAGAAACATGTCAAATATTACATATCAATAAAAGAAAAAAAGGGGGAAACAAAAAGTGAGGAACAGCTCCTTTCAGTTTCACAGATTATTCTCCCACTGCCAGCTATTCCAACGCCATCATTATAGCTCTGTATCTGCAAGAATAATACTGTGTTTCATTCCTCTCTCCCCTACTCAGCCTCCCAAAAAAGTGTGTGTGTGTGTATGCGTGCAAAAGTACCGCCTCCTACCCAGATAAATCTAATTATTGATTCTGTCCAGACATGTCCTGACATCTATAAAGGCCTGTGGGAAGAGGTGAACATTCCTGGCCACCACCCCTCCCCTGAAGTTCTGCATAGGCTGTGGAACCCCCTTCCCTGTCCTTTCTCTCATGGGGCTAGGATGACAGCTCAGGCACTACAGAGCTTCCCTGAAGAAGGCTCGCAGAGCCGTGTGGGCCTCTGTTGGGAAAGAACACATCCCATCATTTGGATAGAGTCATTTTTCATCCAGCCGGGTGCTGCTGTGGGTTATGGGAGTGTGCACCAACTGTATTGTAGACAAGACCCACATTGCCAGGAGAATCCAACATCAAACCCTAAACAGGGATCTTGGTTTGGCTTAAATGCTCCTCACAATGGCTTGGTGGGGTTTCAAGGTGCCGTTACAGGGATTTCTCAAGAAATCAAAACCAGCCGGGCATGGTGGCTCATGCATGTAATCCCAGCACTTTGGGGAGGCCGAGGCAGGCAGATTGCTTGAGGTCAGGAGTTCAAGACCAGCCTGGCCAACATGGTGAAACCCCATCTCTATTAAAAATACAAAAATTAGCCCGGTGTGATGGCGGGTGCCTGTAGTCCTAACTACTTGGGAGGCTCAGGCAGGAGAATCACTTGAACCTGGGAGGTGGAGGTTGCAGTGAGCCGAGAGTGCCCCACTGCACTGCAGCCTGGGTGACAGAGCAAGACTCCGTCTCAAAAAAAAAGAGGAAACCACACATCATGTTGAATGTATCATATCTGGCACAAGTGTTCTAAACTGGACATAAACCTCATGCCTTGGCCAAGTTTTTCTGAACGAACCACAATGATTCATGAAAAAAAATTGTATACTTTTGAGTGGGGCAAAGACTTCATGCTACAGTTTGTAATAAAGGTCAAAGGTCAGGAATTGATTTTGGTGAAATCAGTTGAGATTCTTTTGCTATCCTGAAACTTGGAGATGGTAAAGGTTTCAGATTTCAAAATGAAAACTTTGCCAAGCAACAGGGTTTATTATGTATCATTTAGAAACTAGTCTTCATACCCTGAAGCTCCTTCGGCACGGCTATTGCTTGAAAATACTCTAGAAAACCACAGGGAACATTTTCCCAATGAATCATAATCTGTCTGGGAAGTTAGAGAAATCAATCAAATAAGCTTCAATTTTTTTTTTCCTGGACCATCTGGACAATTCAGATAACAATATATTGTGGTCACAGCTCACATTTTTTCAGACCTAAAGTTGAATTTGTTATTTGAATTTGTTATGAGACAGGAAGCGAAATGTCTGCAAAGATAAATGAAAAGAGGGAATGATTTTAGCAAACAGGCCTTGGATACATTTTCTAAGTGATTTTTCCAAGACTCACTGGTCCCAGGATTTGGTCCCATGGCCAGATCCTCCTAAATGAAAAATGTTCAAATTACTGTGCCGAATAGTGCCTGGATTCTTTCTACGAGTGCCAGAGAAAAAAGTGAATTAGCCCAGGAGTACCTCTCAGACTGAAAATCAAAACAGCCAAGGGCAAAGAACTGGAAGTAGACACTGAAGTTCAGGCTCCCTCTCGAAGCCGTATTGTGGCCTGTGAAATACACATCGCTCACACCTCATCAAAGCCAGTGAAACAGTAGCTGTCATGCAAGCTAAATCTTGTTTTCACAGAGCCTGCCTGTGGCTGGTTTCATTTGGCTCAGCCCAAGCTACCTGAACACCTGGTTCTATGCTTAGATTTTCCTATGTGTGGAAAGCAATTATCTTTCGACTGGAGAGAAAACTGTACAGAAAACCCAACCGCGATCATTTGGGGGAGCAGCCAGGCGCACGCTCGCCATTACACTGTGATGGAACAAATTGTTAAGCAGGTACAGAATTTGATCGTAATTTCAGCAAAGGCCTATACATGTTTCTAACGTTTTTAAAAATACCTCTGTTCATAACAGCAGACACTAAGGATTAGTGATTTTTCCCCAAGTGCATGATCAGGTCTATTTTGTTACAATGGTGCCTCCTGGCCAAGGCCAGACACACTCAAAGAAGGGTCTTGGGCAGATAGGAAAGATTTCCCTGCAGGAGGTTTGAGAGGGGCCTAACAATTTGTAGGTCTTTGAAATATAATTTGAAATGGTTACAAAGCTACGGCCAATGATGTAAGAGAAGGTGTGTTTTATAGTAAGTATTAAAAGAAGACAAATAGATGCTAAGGAGAGATGGATTGGCTAAGAGAAAGATTAACACACAAATTGCACCTACTCATTCCTATATAATTCGTTAGGGAGAGGTACAAATTAGGCTCTGAAATTTCCAGCAGCCGGCTCATGTGTATAATCCCAGCACTTTGGAAGGCCAAGGAGGAATGCCTGAGGCCAGGAGTTCAAGATCAGCCTGGGCGACATAGAGAGACTCTGTCTCTACAAAAATTTTTTTAAAAATTAGCCAGATGTGGTGGTGCATACCTGTAGTCCCAGCGACTATGGAGGCTGAGGCAGGAGGATCACTTGAGCTCAGGAGTTCAAAACCTGATGGGCAACATAGCAAGGCCCATCTCTACCAAAATAATTTTTTTTTTAATTAGCCAGGCGTGGTGGCACACATCTGTAGTCTCAGCTATGCCATAGGCTAAGATAGGAAGATGGCTTGAACCCAGGAGTTTGAGGCTGCAGTGAGCTATGATCGCACCACTACACTCCAGCCTGGCAAGGCCCCAGTCTCAAAAATAAAATAAAATAAATTTTAAAATGAATTTTCTAGGAGCCAGCCAAAGAGGAAAGTGCCATCAGTTGCATTGAGCCACCCTGTCCACAAGGTGAATCAGCAGCTCAGGATAAGTACAACTATTTGGGCAGGTCAGCAGGCACACCACTGCCGGGGATTAGAGAGTCAGGGGACAGGGTGTCCTCTTCTGTCTAGGACTGAGGAATTTCCTTTGATATGATTCTTTTAGTGCTAAAGGCAGTAAAGTCTTGGGACAACCAGGATGAGTTGGTCACCCTACCTGGGAATGTTTGCCAGTCAGCCCATCCTGGCCTGGACCCCCCACCTCCACCCAGCAGGCAGACTGCTGTCTGAGGTCTCACGCATATCCCAAGACTTGCAGCTGCAGGTGGGTGACAGGTTCCACAGGCGCTGACCCTGGGGTTCTGGCAAGCTGTTGGCTCAGTGTTTGTGGAACATAGTCGAAGCCACGGGGTGTAGAGAACTGAAAGGACATTCCCAGGGAAGGGGGAAACTTTCCCATGCAAATCCCAGCAGAAGCTGTGGCTTTGATTTTCCTCAGTCTGCAGCTGCATGGAGAGGAATCCGGGAGGGAAAACTGCCCATGCAGAGCCTTATGAAACACCAGCTCAAGTCACTAGCCTCCAACAGGCTCGGTGAATCATGCTGACTGCCTCCTGGACTCATATGAGGCTGCTCCCCTCAGCAGGGCAGCCTGCACTACAAACTAGCCCTGCTCCTATCCCTGGCTAGCTTGCCTTGCTCACCCTACCTTGGACCTTCCTGGTTCATTCACGAGAAAAATCCTGAGACTGGCAAGAGCCTGGAATTGTGAAAGCTCAGACTAAATAAGAAGGCTTTCGTGGTGGCCTTTTACCTAGCGTGGCAGTCAAAGACTGCTCTGCCCCCAACACAAGACACTCCCCTGCTTTCATAACTGGCACTGTAACATAGTTATCCTGTGCTGGAACATTCTGTCCTGTGCCAGCACAGACCTGAATCTCAGCAGAGTGCATAAACAGGGGGACTTTTGCTACACTATTCCAGGAATATGACATAATCCTACCCTGTCCCTCCAGAGTCACCTTCTTGGAAGGTTGACAGTCTCAGAGGCTTCCAGGGAAGAGAGTGCTGCCTCCTGGTAGACCCTGAATGGGTTCCACTGCTCTCCCTCTCATTACAGTGACGATGAGGCAGAAGGATCGGGCTCCACCTTGACTCGTATACCTTTTCTTGCAAAGATCCCACTGACAGAATTTTCTGGACATCTTTAGAGCATGTGGAAGACCTTACAGGACTACATTGTTTCTGGGTATCTGAGACCAAGATCAATTGGGGCAAACTTGTTTTTAAATTTTGTTTCTTATATATCTTGTGTTTTTTAAAACTTGTTTTTTATATGTAAGCTTTTTAAAAACTAAAATTTCAACATATCTTTCTTGAATTAAACCACTTGCCAAATTCAACAAAGATTTCCTTTGGAAGATATCTTCAAAGGGTTGATTGTGTCCCAATCAACATTTCCATGAATTTCTAAATAAGTGGCCTAATCTGAATATTTTTTACAATGTGCCCTGGATATGGAAGATAGAGGAACAGTCTCCACCCTTGAGAAACTCACAATTTATTAAGAGAAAAAAATAGGCCAGGCACAGTGGCTCGCACCTGTAATCCTAACACTTTGGGAGGCTGAGGCGGATCAACTGAGGTCAGGGGTTTGAGACCAGCCTGGCCAACATGGTGAAACCCCATCTCCATTAAAAATGCAAAATTAGCCGGGCATGGTGGCGGGCACCAGGACTCGTAGTCCCAGTTACTCGGGAGGCTGAGACAGGAGAATCACTTGAACCCAGGAGGTGGAGGTTGCAGTAAGCTGAGATCGCACCACTGCACTCCAGCCTGGGCGACAGAGTGAAACTCGGTCTCAAAAAAGAAAGAAAGAAAGAAAGAAAGAAACATACTTGATCACAATAATTGCCAGATCTTATAGGGCCTTGTGTGCCTGGGTGAGGAATTTAGGCTTTATCTTGTGGGCATTGGGAATTTATCGTAAAGGACATTATACAGGAAGGTAGCATGATTGAATTTGCATTCAGCTTAAAGAAAGGGTTGGCTTGAGAAGAGTTGGGAGACAACTAAACCAGCTGAGAGCCTTCAGCAATGGTCCAGGTGAGAGAGGAGGAGGGCTGGTTCTAAGGGGTAGGTGGAGAGAAAGCAGAAAAATCACATAATATTTAGGAAATAGAACTAACAGGATTTCATGAGTATTGGACATGAGAGGCAAGGTAGAGTGGATGTCTGGAAAAACAGCCCTCTCACAGAAGGCAGCATGTCCTGGAAGCATGAATCCAGGAATGACTTTTTTTGTTGTTTGTGTAGGACTAAGACTAAAACCCATATGTGTTTCTGGAGAATGGGGGTGAGGGGTGTCCCATTGTGGCTCGAGGCTGGAGAGGTGGGTAGGGAAGAGGCTGGCGAGGTAGGTAGGGGCTGCATTGTGGCGCACAAGGGTTCCATGTTCAAGGTCAAATATTGTTGGTGATTCTCTCATGCATATGGGATAGAGGAAGTGGCCCAGTCAGGGTTCTGAACACGCTGATGTTCAAACCAAAACCCAGGAAGATTTGGGGCCACCTCCATACCTAGTTTTGACCAGGAGAGGTGCCAGGGAAGCATAATACCCTAGAGTCACTACAGAAAATTCTATGGGCTCCTTTCTGAGGATTGCCTGCCTACTCAGGATACAAAACTAGGAGGTCAGACCTAGCAAGACAAGAGGTGGAAGGGGCACAGAGAAACATGCTAGTTGCTGGTGTGGATCATGAATGCTGTGCAGCCAACTTAACCTGAACCCAAGGAGGGCGGTGGGCTCCTCAATATTCCTACAGAAAATATTCTTATCAGAAAATTCATTTTATGGCAATAGTTCATAACTAACCTAGTGCACAGCTTGGGCAGTTTGGCAGAATGGGAATCTCCAACCACGTTCATTGTCTGCATGTGGGCTGAGGTTCAGCAATCTTTCCTTCTGCACCTCTTTTTACTACTTTCCTTTTGCTCAGTTTACCATTATGGCAGGTGCTCTCTTCACCTAGTTCCACCCATGAATTACTAGATAAACCATAATCTCCTTTTTCCCAGGAAAACACACGTAAAGCTCATACTCCATGGACCACGCAGGCTGGAGAGCAGCCCTCCAGGGCATGTGCCCACATCTGCCCAGTGAGTTGTTCAGGTACCTGAGTCAGGTGTGTTTACCTCCGGATCTGTGTCCATCAGTTACACTTATGTTAACAATTATGTAATTCTGTGAATAACCTATAAACTGATGAAATATGAGTACAGAAAAGAGCAGTTTCTATGATAACAAGGTTGAATGCCTTGGAAAACTTAACAGCAAGTCAATCAAAGAACAGCCTGCTGTTGAGCTGTTGAATTACAGATTGGTGAGAGAACTGAAAAATATGAAGGGAAGAAGTTAATGCTCCGGAAGGATACTGCACTCCATTACTTCCCATTTTCCATATTTGAAAGTCATTCCTCCACGTTTGAGAAATCCGCATTATGGGTTGAGGATTCTTCATTGTGGTTTACACCAAAAAGCCAAAGAAGCAGCTCTGTTAGAGGACTCAGACTTCGAGAGAAGACTTTAGCCTTGCCCTACACCTGCCAGATGAAGGTGCCTTTGCATTGAGTTAAAGTAAAACAGTTAATGAATATATATTTAGTCATTATTTTATTTTTGATGATGATGATGATAATTTTATTTTATTTATTATCATTATTATTACTATTACTTTGAGATGGAGTCTTGCTCTGTCACCCAGGCTGGAGTGCAGTGGTGCTATCTCGGCTCACTGCAACCTCCGCCTCCCAGAGTCAAGCAGCTCTCCTGCGTCAGCCTCCCAGGTAGCTGGGATTACAGGCACCCGCCACCATGCCGGGCTACTTTTTGTATTTTCAGTAGAGAGGAGATTTCACCATGTTGGCCAGGCTGGTCTCAAACTCTTGACCTCAGGTGATCCACCTGCCTTGGCCTCCCAAAGTGCTAGGATTACCGGCGTGAGCAACTGCACCTGGCCTATTATTATTATTATTATTTTCTTTTGAGGCAGAGCCTCACTCTGTTGCCTAAGCTGGAGTGCGATGGCACAATCTCGGCTCACTGCAACCTCCACCTCCCTGGTTCAAGTGATTCTTCTGCCTTACCCTCCCAAATAGTTGGGACTACAAGCATGTGCCACCACGGGTGACTAATTTTTTTTGTATTTTTAGTAGAGACGGGGTTTCACCATGTTGGTCAGGCTGGTCTCAAACTCCTGACCCCAAAAGATCCTCCTGCCTCAGCCTCCTAAAATGCTGGGATTACAAGTGTGAGCCACTAGGCCCAGTAATGATTTTATTATTAACAATTCCCTACTTAATCTCTTGATTAAAGGGAAACCCTGAGGCCTTTCTCTTCATTCCAACTTTCATCCCTGTCTTTCTTCTGCTGACCTTGAACTCTGATTCAGTTACCCCCCTCCAACTTTGGCTGACTCTTCCATGTCTTCCCAGAAACATCAGTGACCGGAGGGTTCTCTCTCCTCAGATACTAGCTGTCTAGGACCCATCAGGATCCAGATTTGGGATCTAAAACTTACGCAATTGGGGAAATTCTTCAAGAAATATAATCCATTAAATAAAAGTTAAGTATGAAAGCAAGATTTATTAGAATGATTTTTAAAAGCCAAATTATAAGTTTTTAAATGCTGACAAATACATAGACATATACAATTCCGGGAAAAAAAAGCAACGCTTTTTATTAATTGGGTGCCTGACACGACTCCGTAATACTTTTTTCCAAATTTTTTTGCAACATTCTCTTGGCCTATCTATAATACACTTTTATAATATCTTTCTATAGAAAAAAAAGGAAAAATAATTTAGTATTGTCTCTGATATGGTTGATCTTTATTTTTATTTTTGAATCTTATTATTGATTGTTTATAAAAGTTTCTTTCAGCCTCATGATTCTTTGTTGGCAGTGGCAAGTAAGTTGTCAGAATTATTGCCAAATTTTGGGAAATCTGTATGTTTCTTTCATACAAAAGCTATAGGATTTGGGGCATTCAAGATTTTTTCACCGCAACTAACCTTAAAAACTGAAAAATTAATGTCACTTCTTAATGAGTTTGTCTTTGATATACTTTTTTAGAGATATATTTATAAATTGTATGTTATCTCCATTAATGTCTGTATTTCAGGTGAAATCAGCAAGGAATTAGTGCAGATATGATTGGGCATGGTCATTTTAGTTGAAGGAAGAGCATGAAGAAAAACACTCTCCAGCAAAGGCAAAAAGTCTGAGCAATGGTCTCAGAGCAATGGACAGCAATGGACAGAGAGCAATGGACAAATAGACAGCAGTGGGCAAAAAGACCAGAGTCCATTAGGGAGATGCAAAAGGATGTCAAATGTTGGCAAGTGGCTGAGGATGGACCATCCTGTCCTTAATTTGGGGAGTCAAAGACCTGATGAGGGGTCACTAAGCAATAAAAGGCAATAGAGGATCATTTTTAGATCAGCACCATCAGAGTCAGACAAATCTCAACCCTACTTCTGCCTGTGAATTTCTGCCAGCAGTAGGTTAACTATTTACCTACATGTCTGCAAACCACCTACACATATCCCCCAAAGTCTACCCTAAATGTACGCCCAACTCAATGACCCTGAGCCAGATCCCCTAAATGCCATGGCCACTCCAGTGCCACCTGACCAGAAGGGAAGTGAGACAGAGAGACGTCTGAATGGAAAGAAGCAGCATCTTAACTGCTAAAATATCTAACTTTTGCAAAGTGTACAGAAGCAAATGACCATGGGAACACATTGCTGTGGCTCCTGTAGCCCTCTGCACATGGAAGAGGTGACAACTATAGCCTGCAGCCTCCTGGCAGTAAGAGCTGGAAAGATGTCCCTAGACCCCAGTCATTTAGGAGAAAGGAGACCTAAGTGCTTCTTAGGATAACTCTAGGCAGCCTGGGGAAGGAGAAGACAACCACCAACTGGTGAAAGTGAAAGGAAAAGATGGGGGCTCCTGTGGATATGAGTCTATTAAATGCAACAAGCATGCATTGAGCAGCCTGATGTGCACATGCTGGACTCAAGCTTAAAAGGTGAAAGGTAGTCCCTGCATTATAGTGGTTGAATCTAGAGCTTGCAAACTTAGACCCCACTGGAGGGCTGGAAAAAAACAGGACAAGCTAAAGAGGCAGGGACAATGGCAAGTGCTTTGGTGTCTCTGGCTCTTGTCAAGTGTTGCTAAGTGATGGGGCTGGTGTCATGGGCAAGCCACCAGTACAGTTGCACAGGGCTCTGGGCTCAGAAGGGTCCCTCAGTTGGGTTTTACTGCTCTTAATTTAATTTATTTTATTATTAAATTTTATCTTTGAGTTTGTGTTTTGTAAGTGAGGTCTGTTGAGACAATAGAGCATGCATGGGGACTTGGAACCTCAGCTCCTCCGTGACTGTCTTTCATCACCTCTCCAGTTCTTGGCCTCCTTCTTTTCACCCTCTGACTTCTCAGGCCCTATCTAGCCTTCCTTTTCCTGCTCCTGCCCAGAAACAACTGCTGCTGCCGTTCCCCCTGGGTGTCAATTAAGTCAAATCACCAGGATGCGCAATAAGGGGGACCCAATGTTCTTCCATCCCTCTCTGCTTTCAGTGGGGATCCAGGAGTAGGCACCAGGAGGGTTGGGGTCTCAGAGCAGGGCAAGACAGTGACCATCCCCACCCTGATCTGGGTGACTCAGTGCAGGTGAGCCTCGCATTCACCCTCAATGCAACTACTGAGTGTGATTCAGGGTGGGATTGCTGTCAGCAGTGGGTTAGGGCTGCAGGATGGTGAGAATGGGGAGCAGAGTTTATGGGATGGATGACTCCACAGCTGGTGGGCCGTGCTCACGAGTGGACAAGTTCATTGAGTCCCCCTGCACAAAGAGTCCCCTACATCTGTGAGGGGCTGCACCAGCCCCAGAGAAACTGCACGCCCAAGAGGAGCATGGCTAGCAAATAGAAAGCACCATTATAGGTCCAGAGGCTGCAGAAGAAAGGGCAACGTTTTACATGCTAGTACTTTAACAGCACTTTCCCCCTGCATTTGGAACAGGGGGACTTGCATTTTCATTGTGCACTGGACCTTGCAAATGATGGAACCAGCTCTGCTCAGTGGGTGTCTCAGTCCCATTATGCTGCTATAACAGAACATCATAAACTGGGTGCCTTATTGTCTTAGTCCATTCTATGCTGCTATAAAAGAATACCAGAGACTGAGTAGTTTATAATGAACAGAAATTTATTGGCTCAGGGTTCTGGAGCTAGGAATCCAAGATTGAGGGTCTGGCATCTGGTGAGGGCCTTCTTATCACATCATAACATGGTGGAAGGCATCACCTGGAAGAAAGGCAAAAGAAAGAGCATGAGAGACAGAAAAGGAGCCAAACTTGTCATTTTATAAGAAACTCACTTCCACAGTGACAAACCCACTCCCATAATAATGGCATTAATGCATTCATTCCACCTTCATGGCTTAATCACCTCTCATTAGTCCCCATATCCCAGCACTGTTGTATTTGAGATTACATTACCAACACATGATTTTTTAGGGGACACACTCTAACCATAGCATCTATAAACAATAGAATTTGTTTTTCTCATGGTTCTGGAGGCTGGGAAGTCCAAGACCAAGGCAATGGTAGATTCAGTGTCTGGTGAGAACCCACTTCTTGGTTACTTCTTGGTTCATGGACAACTGTCTTCTTCTGAGCCCTCACATGGTAGAAGGGATGAAGGAGCTCTCCTGCATTTGGAACAGGGGGACCTCTTTTTTTTTTTTTTTTTTCCCAAATACAGATTGTTGCTCTGTCGCCCAGAGTTGGAGTGCAATGGCGTGATCTTGGCTCACTGCAACCTCCACCTCCTGGGTTCAAGCAATTCTCCTGCCTCAGCCTTCCAAGTAGCTGAGATTACAGGCACGTGCCACCATCCCTGGCTAATTCTTGTATTTTTAGTAGAGACGGGGTTTTACCATGTTGGCCAGGTTGGTCTCAAACTCCTGACCTAAGGGCAGTAATCCCACTTATTAGGGCTACATTGTCATGACTTAATCACCTCCCAAAGACCTCACCTCCTAATACCATCACCTTGAGGTTTAGAATTTCAGGGAATTTTGGGGAGACACAGACATTCAGATCATAGTAGTGGAAATGCAAGTTGAGTGTTAGATTTATGACCTACCAAACAAAAGGAGTGAAACTGAAATTCTTTGTAAATTTCCTTAATTCTAAATGTCGGCAGTGGCTTTTTTGTTTTTGTAATATTGTACAAGCTACAAATTCCAATGACTAAGTTGTACTGATAATTTTATGATACATATGTGTCAGTCAGCTTTACCTGTTGAAAAGGTGCCTATTCATATTTATTGTCCATTTTAATTGTTTTTGTCTTTTCAACTTGTAAGTCATTTTATCTATTCTATTACCAGCCTTTTATCTGTTAAATGCATTTAAAATCTTATTCTATTTATAATTTTTCTTTTGACTGTGTTCCTTATATCTCTAACAAATACAAAAAATGTCAAAAACCCTGTTAATTTTTCTGTAGTGAAACAGATACTTCTTTTAAAGCCTCTGAGTTATCTGCTTTTAAAAGATCTCTACAACCTTTTTAAAAGATCTTTCTAAAGATCTTAAGAGATCTTTTTAAAAGATCTCTACAACCTTTTCTTATAAAGATATTCTGCAATCTATTTTTCTAAGCTTATATTGTTTTATTTTTACATTAAAATGTTTAATATACCCCAAATTTATTTTTGCATATGATGTGAAGTAATGCTGACTTTATTTTCTTTCAAAAGGAGAGTCAGTTTTTCCTATACCATTTCTAAAATAATTATTTTCCGCTGAATTGGAGCTTTGCCTCTGTTATATACTAAATTACCTTGCCTACTAGGATTTCTTTATGGACTCTCTGTTGGTCCACTAATGAAAACCCTAATGATTCTCATGGCTTTAACCACCCTCTCTATTAAATTGACTATATTCACATATATATACACACACACACACACACATACATACACATATATTTAGCGTGTACATACATACATATATATATAGGGTGTATATATAATTATTTATAGATAATACACACACACATCTGGAAGGAATCTCCAAATTGGCCATTCCAATTCCTTCTTTTTACAAACAAGACCTGAGGCCTGGAGATGGTAGGTGATGTAGCCAGGAGGCAGAACTGAGATTCAGCCTAAAGACCTCTTCAGCAAGGCACTTGTTCTACGACTTCACAGTGCCTCTCACCAGAGAGGTGTCCTTAAACACACAGAAGAGTTAAGAACTTTCAACCTGTGCTCTGCAATGACTTTTCTTGACAAGAGTATATAGAGCTACTTTTAGCTCTATATCTCTATATTCTATTTGGGCCCCAATAATTGGAAATCGATATAATTTCTCACTGTCCTGAACTGTATGTTTATGAATGCCAGGCTGGTTTAGGAAAAACAAATTGTTTTTTAACACATTGTACCCCTTCTTGTGTAAATAAAATAATGTGCTAATTACTTATCATACTAATCTGTTTATTTATATAGAATCTCTATTCTATAAATTATGGTAATAAACATATGCTATCAGGCTGGGTGTGGTGGCTCACACCTATAATCCCAGCACTTTGGGAGGCCGAGGTGGGCAGATGGTCTGAGGTCAGGAGTTTGAGACCTGCCTGGTTAACATGGTGAAACCCCATCTCTACAAAAAATACAAAAGAAACAGCTGGGCATGGTGGCAAATGCCTGTAGTCCCAGTTACTCCGGAGGCTGAGGCAGAATTGCTTGAGCCTGGGGAATGGAGGTTGCAGTGAGCCAAGATCACACCACTGCACTCCAGCCTGGGCAAAAGAGCAAGACTCCATCTCAAAAAAAAAAAAAAAAGTTATCAGTAACTATATGTAAGAGAAGTAATAAAATTCTAACCTTAAAAGATTTCATGAGTCTGAATGTTTGTGTGTGCAAACGCATGTACTGAATATTTTTGTGCATTTAATTTTTGTTGTTGTTTGTTGTATTTTTTTTTTTTTTGCTATTTCAATTTGGTCTTCCCTTCAATACTTCCCTTCAAGTAATAGCCCCAAACTGTAAACAATAGGAAGATGAATAAACAGCTGAGTTCTATTCATGCAAGGGACTATCACCCAGCAATAAAGATAAAAGAACAGCATGGATAGATCTCACAGTCATTGTGCTGAGAGAAAGAATCTTTACATGATAGAGTATAAATGATATTGTTGCATTGACCTGGCATTTTAGAAGAGAAAAAAAATAACCTATGGTAGGAAAAATTAGGAAACAGAATCTTCTGGGGGTGGAACATGATCAGGAATTGACTGAAGAAGGACACGGAGGGATCTCCTGGAGTGAAGAGAAAGTTCTCTAGGTCGATAGGAACTTAGGTTCCAAGGCTGTATGCATTTCCAAACCTCAGCTCATGTACACGAAAGATTTGTGCATTTCTTCATACATTTTACACCAACAAAAAATTGCTAACAAAGATTGAACTCTCATTAATAAAACACATGCTGAAGTATTTAGGGTGAAGTGCACTGATGACTATAATTTGCTTTGCAGTGCATCATAAAAAATAAGAAAGATTAGTGAGTGGATTGGGAGAGGGACAGATGAATAGATACGTCATAAAGCAAGCACAGTAAAATGTTAATTCGAGAATCTAGGTGGTAGGTGTCCACTATAAGATTCTCTCAACTTTGCTGTATCTATGAATATTTTCATAATAAAATGTCATGGGATAACATGACATTTTAAAGTCATGTTTGGCCAGGCGCGGTGGCTCACGCCTGTAATCACAGCACTTTGGGAGGCCAAGGCAGGCAGATATCTTGAGGTCAGGAGTTCGAGACCAGCCTGGCCAAAATGGTGAAACCCCATCTCTACTAAAAATACGAAAATTATCCAGGTGTGCTGGCAGGTGCCTGTAATACCAGCTACTGGGAGGCTGAGGCATGAGAATTGCGTGAACCTGGAAGGCAGAGGTTCCAGTGAGCCGAGATTGTGCCACTGCCCTCCAGCCTGGGTGACAAAGCAAGACTCCGTCTCTAAATAAATAAATAAACAAATACATCAATAAAGTCATGTTCTCTGTGCTTAAACAGAACAAAAGAGAAAAAGCTGTCCTCATTCTCTTTTCAGAAACTTTTATTATTTTCTCTCACATATAATTACTGACAACATATCTTTATTAACACAATTGTAGAATAGACATTCTATATGGATACAGACTAAGATTATAAGTACTTAACAAATTATTTCTTTACATAAAGATAGGTACAATGTAGTAGAAAACAATTTGTTTTTCCTAAGCCAGGCTGGCATTTTTAAACAGGCAGTTTAAGACAACGAGATGGGAAAGTATCATTAATTTCTAATTATTGGGCATCATTGAGAGGCAAGGACACAGGGCTTGGTACCCATGCTTCTTGTGAACTATGTTATGGTATCCAAAAATATTTCTTTTTTTTTTTTTTTTTTTTTTTTTGAGAAGGAGTTTCGCTTTGTCTCCCAGGCTGGAGTGCAGTGGTGTGATCTCGGCTCACCACAACCTCTGCTTCCTGGGTTGAAGTGATTCTCCTGCCTCAGCCTCCCGAGTAGCTGGGATTACAGGCGTGTGCCACCATGCCTCGCTAATTTTTCTGTGTATTTTTAGTAGAGACGGGGTTTCGCCATGTTGGCCAGGCTGGTCTCGAACTCCCGACTTCAGATGATCCGCCCGCCTCAGCCTTCCAAAATTCTGGGATTACAGGAGTGAGCCACCACGCCCCACAAAAGTATTTCTATGGCAATGACAGACAAAAAGACTACTGGAAACTAAAGAGCTGGTAGGGGGAGAGGGGAGGGACAAACAACTAAAAAAAAAAAAAAAAAGGCAGCAAGAAAAAGGATAAAGGTACCTCAAGCCCCATACAAGATCAGCCTTCTTATCAGTGTGGACAAGCAGTGTTAGGGAAGTTGGTGTCTGAGCCAGGTTTGGAGGCTAATCTCTCTAGTAATTAAAACTTCATTAGCTTGATTTCAGCATTTCTCAGAAATAATCCACAGATTTTGAACTTTGATTGTTTGAATATTATTTCTTCTTATCGCTAAGAAAAAAAGGGGGAAGAAAAAGAGCCCTGTTCGCTCACACACCAGGGTTTGGTTTATAATGAAGATGTAATACTGACTGGTCCTTGGATTCTGTCACTTTTGGCCACTTGCCTCCATTTGCGCCCCACTCAAGGTAGTCTCTATCTACACTCAGGGCAGAAATACTTTTTGCTACCCCATCTCTGTGCCACAATGTTCCTCTTCCCCCTTCTTTCCTTTATTTGCTTTTTAAAGGGCTCATCAGTGAAGAGAGGAACCTCTTTCTCCTCTCTGATTCTCCTGTCTGGGATTGCCTGTCCCAGAACAGGGTGTGTGCCCCAAGGGATGAGAACCTTGGGGGCCATTGTAGAGTTCTTAGAATTCAGCCCACCACAGGGAGAAATGGGCTTAGAGGATAGGAACTTCCAGGAAGACCAGGGCTGCCTCCAATTAGCCTGAGGCCTTGATACCTTCCCAGCTTTTAGGAAACTCCATTAGAGTTGGAAGGATTTCAAAAGGGAAGGTGGGTTAAAACCAGAGTAGGGGGCCAGACTCAGTGGCTCATGCCTCTAATCCCAGCACTTTGGGAGGCTGAGGCAGCCAGATCACTTGAGTTCAGGAGTTCAAGACCAGTCTAGCCAACATGGCGAAACCCCATCTCCACTAAAAATACAAAAATTAGCTGGGCGTGGTGGCAGATACCTGTAATTCCAGCTACTCAGGAGGCTGAGGCAGGAGAATCGCTTAAACCCAGGAGGCAGAGGTTGCAGTGAGCCGAGATCGTGCCACTGCACTCTAGCCTGTGCGACAGAGCGAGACTCTGTCTCAAAACCACCACAACAACAACAAAAACAAACCAGAGTAGGCCAACCATGTTTCTGAGTTTCCTGAATCAGGTGTTTTATTCATTTTTAAAGAAAGATAGAATATTGGAAAAGAGATTGGGGGTAGCGGTTGTTTTTGCTGCTTCTTCTCTGCATAATGAGGCTCCAGGTCTATTTCAGAGACACATGGCGTTATCAGGCAGAGAGGAATCCGGAAGTTGGACCCATATAGAAATCATGCCAGACAGCAGAGAAGTTGGGTTTTCTTTAAAGACCTCATTAGAAAGAAACCCTTCATGTTCCTTTAGGACTCTATTGCACTAGGTGGGATCTCTAACTGGCAGGGTGGACTCTTCTGTTTCACTGAAAGCCTTGCAGCTAAAGTACTTCTTTTAGTAACCTCAGTGAAGGCAGAGATAATTATTCATTGATTCATACATAATAAAAGAAAGAGAATGAGAAAGAGACAAAAAGAGACACAGAGGCAGAGAGAGAGAGACAGAGAAATTTGTAAATCATCTATTCCTCATCCTAAAGACTAAAAAAAGTTTCAGGTTTGGGCTTGGGCACCCCCAAAGACCAAGCCATGAGCCAGAGTAGTTCTTCCAGTCCTGGGGAACAACTCAGGCAGAGTGAGACCACCCCAACCATCTCTGAGGGAAGAAGAAATTAAGGCTAGAGGAGAGGCTGTTCAGCAAATGCCCAACCTCTTGTTGGAGGGTTACACCCACGGGGGCGACAGCCGTGTGCTTCAACTCCTCAAAATCATTGCACTTCTACCCAGGAGTGTGGAGTCTTTCCCGTCCACTTTTTGTGAGGGTTGCTTCGAGCAAAACCGTTCTGTAGGAGCTATTTATTACATGCTTACAATGTGCTCGGCTCTGTGGGAATCCAGTAAAAAGGCCAGACATAAACCTGTGAAAAATTAAATGGCAGGACCTAATACAAAGACAACAAGAGAAGAGATACCAGGGGGTAGCGAGTGATTAATTGCCAGATGCTGAGGATAAAAACCTTCCAGGAGTTCAGAAGAGGCAATGATTACCTGGTGCTGGGATGCTACCTAGGAGGCCGACTTGATTAAAATTTTTCAGCATGTGTTAAGCCCACACGATTTTTTTTTCCTTTCATGACCCTCCATTCCCTTCCTCACAGATCTTCTGGATGTTTGGAAGTGATATGGTTTGGCTGTGTCGCCACCCAAATCTCACTTGAATTGTAATAATCCTCAGGTGTCAAGGGCAAGGCCAGGTGGAGATAAATGAATCATGGCAGCAGTTTCCCCCACAGTGTTCTAGTGCTAGTGAATATGTTTCATGAGATCTGATGGTTTCATAAAGGGCAGCTCCCCTGCACAAGCTCTCTTGCCTGCCCCATATAAGATGTGCCTTTGCTTCACCTTTGCCTTCCACCACAACTGTGAGGCCTCCCTAGTCATGTGGAACTGTGAGTTCATTAAAGCTCTTTCCTTTATAAATTACCCAGTCTGGGTATGTCCTTATTAGCAGTGTGAGAACAGACCAGTACAGAAAGTTAAGGTATTTTCCAAACATATCTAAGAAAAGTTGCCATCTGGGGCTTAACTTAAACTGGCTTCCAAGGAATAGAAACAAAACTCAAAGAAGTAGCAATTTTCACAAGTACTGATTCTTTTTCACTTGATGTGGTATCTTAGTCACAGCAAGAATTACAGAAAGTCATGGTTTGCTACCTTTCCCTTACCTTAATGACCTCTACGCCAGTAGAATCAAAAATTTTCACCACTCCCTCTTTAATGCAAGCTGATTGTGAGTCAGCAATGCTGTTAAGCCTGACCTAACCCGAGAACACTTGAGAAGCCTTTCAGAAAGTATTTATTGAGCCTGTTGATATTGTTTGGCTGTGTCCCTACCCAAATCTCGTCTTGAATTGTAGCTCCCAGAATCCCCACGTGTCATGGGAGCAACCAGATGGGAGGTAATTGAATCATGGGGGTGAGTTTTTCCCATGCTATTCTCTTGATAGTGAATAAGTCTTACGAGATCTGATGGTTTTATAAAGGGGAGTTCCCATGCACATGCTTTCTTGCCTGCTGCCATGTAAGACGTGCCTTTGAAGGAAGACTCCTCCTTCATCTTCCACCATGCTTGGGTTGCCTCCCCAGCCATGCGGAACTGTGAGTCCATTAAACTTATTTTTCTTTATAAATTACCCAGTCTCAGGTATGTCTTTACAGCAGAGTGAGAAGGGACTAATACACCTCTACTTAGAATACAGCAGATTCTGAACTTAAGTAGCAGATAATTATAACACAGTATGTTTTGGTTATCTATTTCTGTATTTAAAAAACCATCCTATGCCTGTAATCCCAGCACTTTGGGAGGCTGAGGCAGGCAGATCATGAGGTCAGGAGTTTGAGACCAGCCTGACCAACATGGTGAAACCCCATCTGTATTAAAAATACAAAAATTAGCCAGACGTGGTGGTGCACACCTGTAATCCCAGCTCCTCAGGAGGTTGAGGCAGGAGAATCGTTTGAACCTGGGAGGCAGAGGTTGCAGTGAGCCGAGATCATGCTACTGCACTCCAGGCTGGGTGACAGAGCAAGACTCTGTCTCAAACAAACAAACAAACAAAACCATCCTAAAATTCTGGCTAGAAAAAAAACAATGATTTTTATTTCTCATAATTCTGTGAGTAGACTGGGCTCAGCAGGGAAGTTCTTCTGATTCTCATGCTGTAAATGCAGCATGCAGCTGGGAGCCTGGTTGGGGCTGAAAGGTTTGAGATTGTCTTTCACGCTCCAGGGTCTCTCATCCTACAGCAGCCAAGCATGGGTTTCTTGTTAGTGTGGTGGCTGGAATTCAAGGGGGAGTAGCCCACGAAAACAAGCCCCAGTGTGCAAGCCCTTATCAATTATTTGCTTTTAGCCCTTTGACTAATGTCCCAATGACCAAAGCAAGCCACACCACCAAGCCCACAGTGCATGTGGGAGGGGACCATCCAAGGTTGAGCAACCCCTGTTGCTTGTTAGCAAAATCTTTCTTAAACTTCTAGGCCCCATTTGAATAAAAACTTGTCCTTTTTCTCCAGGATAATGAAAAGTAACATTACTTGTGTTATTAGCCAGCCCATTCCTCAACAGTCAAAAGCTATAGATATTCCTGACATGCCTAGTGGTTCTTTCATGTCTGAGATTTGATCTCTGTGTCTCCAGGAAGTCATGGTTGATATTTAAGTCTGGGTTTGGTGCCACTCCCACGTGCTCTGTTGGTACCACATTTGCGTACAACTTGTATGAAGACAACTGAAGAACATCTATCAAGATGACACTACCCTTTAACCCGGAAAATTTATTTCTGAGAATTTATTCCACATATGTACTTTTACTTACGCTTTTCATTGTAACATCCTATGGTAGTCAAAGATTGGAAACCTCACAATTGTTAATCAATACGGAAATGGTTAAATAGACTACGGTACATTCACACAGTGGAATACTCCACTTATATTTTAAAAATGAAATAAAATAAAAAACAATAAATACGTGTTCTAGGATATACTAAATGAGAAAGACAAAATGCAAAGAAAGTAGCAAACTACATTTACAAAATAGTAAACTGTATTTTGTATATAAAAGGAGAAAATATATTTGTATATATCTTAGTATGTACACAAAGACACTTGAGAAACAAACATAAGAAACTAATAATAGTGATTGCCTGGCATTCATATAGAATTAGTAGAGTGGAGGGGCCCCTGAAGAGATGGGAATAAGAGTGGGAGGGAAAATTCTTACTGTACAGACATTCCCTGACTTACAATGGCTCAACTTACAATTTTCAGCTTTGCAATCGTGTGAAACCATTGCAATTTCTATGCAATGTATAGTATTCAATAAATTATATGAGATATCCAACATTTTCTTGTAGCTTTCATGTTAGGTGATTTTGTCCAACTGCTGGTGAAGTAAGTGTTCAGAGTATGTTTAAGGTAGGCTAGGCTAAGCTATGATGTTCAGTAGGTTCATTGTATTACATGCATTTTAGACTTCTTATATTTTTCACTTATGATGGATTTATTGGGATGTAACCCTTTCATAAGTTGAGCAACATCTGTATATTACATGTATGTGTGTGTGCATATGCTTATATATGCATACATAAATTTGGTTTGAATTCTGTGAATATATTACCTTCTCAAAACACAAATTAAAACATTTTTTAATTCCCTTTCATTCTTCAGAAAAGTGGTTTAGTTTCTGTGGCTTACAATTAAGAATGTTAACTGATTTGATGGGATAGGCACCTTGCTGAATACTCTGCAAGGAGAGGTGAAAGTATATTTATGATCCCTGCCTTCTGTAGGGAGGTACTTTTCTCATGTTTCTCTGTGTCTTGTCAGAAGAGGCACTATCTTTTCAAGGATGCTTCTATAGCACATAGCCTGGAAGATAGAGATAGTATCTTCCTCCAGAGAAATGGAAATGTTTGTTTTCTATCTGTGATGATTAATATTGAGTGTCAACTCGATTGGATTGAAGGACACAAAGTATTGTTCCTGGGTGTGTCTGTGAGGATGTTGCCAAAGAAGATTAACATTTGAGTCAGTGGACTGGGAGAGGCAGACCCACCCTCAATCTGGGTGGGCACCATTTGATCGGCTGCCAATGTGGCTAGGATAAAAGCAGACAGAAGAACTTGGAAAGACTAGACTGACTGAGTCTTCCGGGCTCCATGTTTCTCCTATGCTGGATGCTTCCTGCCGTCGAACACTGGACTCCAAGTTCTTCAGCTTTTGGACTCTTAGACTTAAGTCAGTGGTTTGCCAGGGGCTCTCGGGCCTTCGGCCATAGACTGAAGGCTGCACTGTTGGCTTCCCTACTTTTGTGGTCTTGGGACTTGGACTGGCTTCCTTGCTCCTCAGATTGCAGACAGCCTATTGTGGAACTTCACTTTGTGATAGTGTGAGTCAATACTCCTTAATAAACTCCCCTTCACAGATACATCTATCCTATTAGTTCTGTCCCTCTAGAGATCCATGACTAATACACTACCCAATGTAATAAAGATTTCTCCCTCCAGGGCCAAGGTCAGGCAGGTTTGCTTGCATCCCATTATAAAAGATTGGCCTTGCCTAAGCACAGGTTCCCTCATCCATGATGCCACCCACTGTATGTGTGCCATCCATCTGGGCATCTCTGTTGTCCCTGTGAGACTTGAGGATCAAGAGAAAACCAAAAAACATGAAGCTCATGCTGCTTTCTGTGCTGTGAGTAGTAAAGTTCTTTGTCTCTGATCCAGGAGTCTTGTGTCTTCTGCCAGCATTTATGAAATTGTGGTGGGCTAGCTAGTTATCTTGTAGGTAAAGTAAAATCTCAGATCCTTCCTACCTCGGAGACTCTCATGGACCTATCATTCTAATGGGGGAAGAAAAAAACATGAAAACAAATAATGTAATTATAAATTGTCAAAGGTGCTGGAAACAATGATTAAATAGTGTGGAACAGGGCAGAGGGTAAAGACAAGATAATGAGGGAAGACCTCTCAGAAGTGGTACCATTTAAACCAAGGAGTAGCACTATTTAAAGTGTCTGAAAGAGGAGTTCAGTTTAACCAGGCACGTGAAGCTTGAAACCCAAAAACTCTGGGCAGAGGGAATAACACACACATCTGAGGCATAGACAAAGAACAGAGAAAGGTCAATGTAGGTCTAGAGGGATGTGAGGCCTGAGATGAGTGAAAGATTCTCCCCACGGCCTGAAAGCTTGAAGGGATGAGGAACTCCTCCCTTCTCAGGCCCAGTGCCAAAGAGCAAGGCTACTTGCACCAGCAGCATGCGCCAGCAAGAGAGCAGAAGCAGGAAGAAAGCCAGCCGGAAGACACCTACCCTGGCCGGAAGACACGTACCCCCGAAGATCGAGAAAGAGGCTGTCCGGGTAGTATGTAGCAGTCACGTCAGACTGAGACACTTCTTGTTTACAGGAGACCATAAAACCCCTGCCCCATCCTCATTTGGTGCTGAGGCCGTTTTAGGCCTCAGCCCGCCTGTACCCAGGCACTCATTAAAACAGCGTGTTGCTCCACAGGGCCTCGTGTTGTCTGTTGGCACGCTCTTGGGCTTGGAACCGATACAAGAACCTTACAATGAGGTGGAAGAGAGAAGCACGGCAGGATTGTGCACAAAGTCTTGTCTGTTGTGGAATGGAGTTTGGACCTTTCCCACCACTTTCAAGGAAGGGAATGAATTGACCTGGTTCACTTCCTAAGAAGGCTACTGTCTGTGTGGTGCTCCTAGAGGCATGGGAGAGGAGTGAAGACAGAGATGACCAAAGAAACACTTGGGGAAAGAATGGAAGCGGCATGTGTTAGCTTGGGAAAGGGAAACATACCAGCATCCGAGATCTGGCCATCAGGGAGAATAACAAACACTGACGGTAAGCCAGAAATACTGCGGGTTTTGGAGATGGATCTAATTCTTCAGAACATCTGTAGATGTTATAAGAATGATATTTCCCTAATGACTTATTTCAGTGATGCCATTATCTGCATTGATTTTCTTTCCCCCATCCCTCTCCCTCTCCCTCTCCCCCTCCCTCCCTGCCTCCCTCCCTTCCTTCCTTCCTTCCTTCCTTCCTTCCTTCCTTCCTTCCTTCCTTCCTTCCTTCCTTCCTTCCTTCCTTCCTTCTTTCTTCTTTTTCAGGGTCTCACTCTGTCATCCAGGATGGCTGAAGTGCAGTGGTGGGATCTTGGCTCACTGCAACCTCAGCTTCCCGGATTCAAACGATTTTCGTGCCTCAGCCTCCTGAGTAACTGGGATTACAGGCATACGCCACCACGCCCAGCTAATTTTTGTAGTTTTAGTAGAGATGGGGTTTTGCCATGTTGGCCAGGCTGGTCTCTAACTCCTGACCTCAAGTGATCTGCCCACCTTGGCTTCCCAAAGTGCTGGGAATACAGGTGCAAGCCACCGTGCCTGGCCATCTGCATTGATTTTCTATTGGCAATGCTTCCAAACACTTTCCCCTGATCATCCCTCTTTTCTATGTCAATTGCTAGTGACCTCTAAAGAAAAACTTTACTAGAGAAGTTGCTATTTAAAATAACTTACACAATGAAGAATTATCTTTATTTTGTTTGTTTTGTAAGTTGCAATAGTAGTGTTTTCAGGGTGAAAGCATGCTCATTAGTTAGGTGAAGACTAGGGGCAATAGTGATACATCCCAAACATGAGTCATGCATGTTGACAGGGCACTCGGCTCCACACGGGCATTCAGGGCAGGGTGGATGGAGGCTCTGCTCTTGCAGCTGCCCCATCTGGAACATGTGGTCTTTTTGGTTTTTAATTGCCTCAGTTAGAAGTGGCACATGTCACTTCCTCTCACCATCCACTAACCAAAATTAGTCCTATGGCCTCAACCTAATGGCAAGAAAGGCCAAGAAACCTAGAAAGTAAGTTCTCACTTATCAGTGGGAGCTAAACACTGGGTATGCATGGACATAAAGATGTCAACAAAAGAAACTGGGGACTATCAGATGGGGAAGACGGGGGAAGAAGGGAAGGAAGTTATGGCATGGAAGTTAGCTCATGTGAAGTGCTAAAGAGGGCAGTAATGCAGTGGAGGGAGACGAGGGTAGAGAAATGGACTTGCGGTTTGAGACAGGTGGCTGGGGAGGCCTTGCTGAGAAGGGGGCATTTCGATATGGCCTGAGGAAATGTGACAAGGCACCTGACAGAGATCTGAGGGAAGAGTTTTCCAGAAAGAGGGGACAGCAAAAGCAAAGGCCCTGAGATGGGTGCTTGCCTCACATTTGGGAACAGTAAGGAGATAGAGGGTCTAGGGCAGAGTGGACAATGGGATAACTGATGATGTTGTGGTCAGAGACACGAGGGGCGCAAGATTTTGCAGGCCATTGTGAGGACTTTGGCACTTAACCTAAGTGATATGGGGAACTCCATTAGAATTTGATCTTTGGGAATTAAAGACGTAGAAACTGGGAGAAAAAAGGATTCAAAAACGTAAGCATCAGTGGCAGCCTAAGGTTCTAGGACAGTTAAGGGAGCATTTGGGACTTTGTTCATAAGACAGTTTTGTGGTATTTCAGCATTTTTCCTTTCAGGAGATCATGCGGTGACCAGAACAATCACTGCATGTCAGTGCTTGCACAAACCAAAACAGCCCCCTGCTGGCTTTCAGCAGTGCGGCAGGCCAGGCATTTTCCTTAGATCCAATTGCAGCCTCGTGGGGTACCTCACTCACAGCAGGGTGGGAGGTAGACGGGTGTATCAGTCAGTGTTCTCCAGAGAAACAGAACTTGACATGGTTTGGGTATCTTTCCCCTCCAAATCTCATGTTGAAACGTGATCCCCGTTGTTGGAAATGGGGCCTCGTAGGAGGTGTTAGGGTCATGGGAGTGGGTCCCTCATAAATGGCTAGACGCCATCTCCATGGTAATGAGTGCATTCTCTCTCCGCCATCTCCATGGTAATGAGTGAGTTCTCTCTCCGTGAGTTCACAGGAGAGCTGTTTGTTTAAAGGAGGCTGGCACCTCCTCCCCTTTCTCTTGCTCCCTCTCTCACTATGTGATATGGTTTGGGTTTGGGTACCCACCCAAATCTCATGTTGAATTGTAATCCCCAGTGTTGTGGGAGGTGCCTGGTGGTAGGTGATTGGATCATGCTGCAGATTTCCCGCTTCCTGTTCTTGTGATAGCGAGTGAGTTCTCCCGAGATCTGATTGTTTAAAAGTGTGTAGCACTTCCCCCTTCACTCTCTTCCTCCTGCTCCTGCCATGTAAGACGTGCCTA
Organism: Homo sapiens; assembly: GCF_000001405.40. Classification (NCBI taxonomy): domain Eukaryota; kingdom Metazoa; phylum Chordata; class Mammalia; order Primates; family Hominidae; genus Homo; species Homo sapiens. The sequence continues at coordinate 29,926,194 of NC_000010.11, read as the reverse complement.
CTTCCCCTTTGCCTTCCACCATGATTGTAAGTTTCCGGAGGCCTCCCCAGCATCATGCTTCCTGTACATCCTGCACAGCCATGAGAAAATTAAACCTCTTTTCTTTAGAAATGACCCAGTCTCAGACATTTCTTTACAGCACTGTGAGAACGAACTAACACACCATGTCACACACCTGCTCCCCTCTGCCTTCTGCCATGAGTAAGAGCTCCCTGAGGGCTCATCAGAAGCCAAGCTGATGCTGGTGCCAGGCTCATACAGCCTGCAGAACTATGAGCCAAATAAGCCTCTTTATAAACTACCCAGTCTCAGGTATTCTTTTATAACAACACAAAACCAATGAGAGAAATATAGCTCCTTTTCCTGGTCCCCTGCTTGTAGACAGCAGGTCATGGGGTTTCTCAGCCTCTATAATCATGTGAGCCAGTACCTTATAATTAGCTTCTCTCTAAAGATTTGGACTCTGCAGGTTGGGAAGTCCCATGATCTACCTTCTGCAAGCTGGAGACCCAGGAGAGCCAGTGATTTAGTTGGGAGGCCTGAGAGCTACAGAGCCAATGGTGTGACTTCCCCAAGTCTGAAGATGTGAGCACCAGGAGCACCAAAGGCTGGAGAATCCATGTTCCAGCCCAAGCAGCCAGGCAGAGAGCAAATTCACCCTTCCTCCCGCTTTATGCTCCATTCAGACCCTCAGCAGATGGGGTGATGCCCACTCACCCTGGGGAGGGCCATCTGCTTTGTTCAGCTCACCAATCCAAATGCCCTTCTGGAAACACCCACGGAGACACATCTGGGAACAACATTTAACCAGCTACCCATGGCCCAGTCAGGTTAACACACAATGTTAACCATCATAGCAGGGTTCTGTTTCTTTCCATTTTATTTCTTCCCCAAGGGTAGTAACCCTGCAGAGTGAGTCCAGGTGAATGTCTGTGACACCCACTGGGCAGCCTCTCACAGTGCCTCTCACTACCTTCTGCCTCGATTTCCCATGAATGGCCCTGATATCCAGTCACCCCTACTGTACTGAGCAGATGAGGAAAAGCCCAGTGCCTGCCCCTCCTTAAGAGTCTTCCCAGGTAGTGATGGGGGTGCCCACATTGACGTGAGGCTGGTTGGGATATGTTTTCTCCCTCAAATGGGAGAGGTCAAAGGGTTGGAATAGCCTGGCTCTGCTCCTTCTTTTTCTTTACCTCTTTCTTTCTTTCTCTTTCTTTCTTTTCTTTCTTTCTCTTCTTTCTTTCTTTCTCTTTCTTTCTTCTTTTTCGTTTTCTTTTCTTTTCTTTTTTTTTTTTTTTTTAAGAGAGACAGGGTCTCACTCTGTCACCCAGGTTGGAGTGCAGTGGCAGGAGTTCATTGCAGCCTTAAACTCCTAAACTCAAACAATCCTCCTCCTTCAGTCTACTGAGTAGCTGGAACCACAGGCTCGCAGCACCTCACTTATCTAATTTTTTTTTTTTTTTTTTTTTGGTGGAGACAGCCTCTTGCTGTGTTGCCCATGCTGGTCCGGAACTCATGGCCTCAAGCAATCTTGCTGCCTCATCCTCCCTTCAAATTGCTAGGATTACAAGCATGAACCACCATGCCTGGCCTTTGTCCCTTCCTGCCCCTGCTCTGTCGACCTCCAGGAATGTTTCCTTATTGCCCACTCCCCCTTCCTCCCATCCCACTGCCTTTCAAGGATCTAGTGAAGGGTCTAAAGTATTTCTGGGTCCTGCCCAATGCTGGAGTTATTGGACCTCCTATCAGGTGTCTCCCACCACTCATCCATTTGGCCATGTGTAACTATGGGGGCTGTGACCATGATGCTGAGTGGCTCTGTCTTGACTTGCTGTTGCTTACATGTGCATGCACCCACATTTAAGCATTTACAGGTTGTGCTGTGTCCGTGTGTGAGCTCAGGAATACCTGTATACCTATTCAAGAGCATCTTCCAGAGGTGGCTACTTCATGCTCCTGTGTTTTTAACGATGGGATATTGACAACAAGGAACAAGAGATAAAGGCAGAGGTAGAGATGATAAAGACAGAGACAGAGAGAGACAGAGAGGCCTCCCCAGGCCTTCGGCTCTACTAAGACATTCTAACTTTTTGGTACATAGGCTGAAGTCGGGTGGAGTTGGGAAGAAGAAACAAGAAATAGGACAGGGAGAAATGTTGTTCCACTTTGCCATGATCTCACAGGATTTCCAACTTACCTGCTTCCTTTCCCTAATTATCAGGACCCTACAGCATGGCCAGGTTTTCTTTCATGGTCTTCCATTTGCCAAGTGAAAATGTTTTCAGCTGGGAGTCTATGCCACTCCTGCCACAGCTGGAAACCTCCCCAGGCCTTCAGAAAGTATTTATGGTTGAGCGCTGACTTTTCGTATTGTAGATGAAGATGTCAGCATCCCAGGCAGCTGTGCGTTAAGTTGGGACCAGCACAAATAGCTCTTAGCATTGTTCAACGACAGCACAGCCCCATGTGTCTTTTAAAAATAGCAATGCTGTATTTGAACTTTTAAAGAGAAGACATGTTGGGTGTGTGTTGGCCACGCCCTCAGCTATCTTCATTCTAAGGAGATACAAAATTAGAACATTTAGGAAGAGAAAAGGGAAGGAACAATCATTAACACGCTCCCCCACGCCCACACACCCTCTTCACCTCATTTCACAGTGAGGCCCTTCTTGTGCACATCCCTGAGAGACAATACTCAGAAGAACTTGTCCTCTCTAAGCCACCAGGATTAATCCATAGAGGATTTTGTCTGAAAATAAGTGAAGAGACCTAAAACTCAGCCTTATTAGTTGATATCAGTTAAAAAAAGAAAGTCTACTGGGTCAGAGTGAGAAAGAGGAAAACAGTGTGATGATTTTACTAATGTACCAGATATGATTTTCAAAGGAAAAATTTCTCCTATCCAAACTACTTCAATGCCACAAAGCCACCTTCTTGGACGAGAGCAGGAAGAAAGTGTGCTGGTTGCTGGCAGCGGGCATAAGACTCTCCCTAGCACTGTCCCAGCAGGCCCAAGTCCTGCCCATGACAGGGCCTCTGTGTAACTAGCACCTGAGGGTGTGTACTCAAGGTGAAAGCAGACCCCAGGCGTTCTGACCCTTGTGAGTGAATATAGTATTGCTTGGAGGTGGCAGCTGGGATAGTTGGAATTGTTATGAGAAATTCCAAGAGGGCCAGACGCTTCTGTGGGAATGCCTGCAAATTGAGATGTGAAAGAATGTTCCATCTAGGGAAAGAAAAAATGTTTAAAGAACACTGTTACTCCCAACCATCAACTTCAAGTTCCAAATGGGGAGAAATGCTGTATGCCTTGGAAAAATGAAGCTCAACTATAAACACCCTGTCTTCAGGGAGTGGTTGGCACTCACTCCTACAAGGACCCTGAGATTTTTTTTTTCTTTTTCCCCACAATAAGCCTTTTTATAAAATTCTTTTTAAATTTATATATATTTAGGGGTCTGAGGCCATTTTAACACATCAAACTTTAGTCTTCCTGCCACTCTGGGCATCATGACAGCTGCTTTGAGAAACAGGTCTCTCCCAATACTCTCCACTGCTCCAAAAGAAAGTTGCCCTCTGCTATAGATCCTTTGTGCAAACAGACATTTTGCAGGTACTAAGGGTCAGTTTCTGTATCTATTCTGCCACATTTTTGCCTATTTGATTCCTCTTACTCATGCTTCACTGCTTCCTGCTGCTTGCTCCTTTCTGCTTTCTACTGAAATTCTTGGGCATTTACCCTAACTCAGCAGTCCCCAACCTTTTTGGCACCAGGGACTGGTTTGGTGGAAGACAACTTTTCCACAGACCAGCGTTGGTTGGGGGGTGGTTTCAGGTGATTCAAGCACATTGCACTTATTGTGCATTTTCTTTTCTTTTTCCTTCCTTCCTTCCTTCCTTCCTTCCTTCCTTCCTTCCTTCCTTCCTTCCTTCCTTCCTTCCCTCCTTCCTTCCCTCCTTCCTTCCTTCCCTCCTTCCTTTCTTTCTTTTCTTTTCTTTCTTTCTTTTTTTTTTTTTGAGACAGAGTCTCACTCTGTTGCCCAGGCTGGAGTGCAGCGGCACAATCTCGATTTCAGCTCACTGCAATCTCCACCTCCCAGGTTCAAGCAATTCTCATGCCTCAGCCTCCCGAGTAGCTGGGATTACAGCCGCACACCACCACACCTGGAGAATTTTTGTATTTTTAGTAGAGATGGGGTTTCACCCTATTGGCCAGGCTGGTCTGAAACTCCTGACCTCAAGCGATCCACCCGCCTCAGCCTCCCAAGTTGCTGGGATTACAGGCATGAGCCACCGTGCCCAGCTTACTGTGCACTTTCTTTCTATTACTATTACATTGTAATATATGATTAAATAATTATATAACACAGCATAATGTAGAATCAGCGGGAGTGTGAGCTTGTTTTCCTGCAACTAGAGGTCCCATCTGGGGACAGATCATCGACATTAGGTTCTCATAAGGAACATGCAACTAGATTCCTCGCATATGCAGTTCACAGTAGAGTTCGCGCTCCTGTGAGAATCGGATGCTGTGGCTGACCTGACAGGAGCCAGAGCTCCACGGGAATGTGAGAGATGAGGAATGGTGTGGATTCAGGTGAAGCTTCCCTTGCTGGCCCACCACTCACCTGCCATGCAGCCCAGTTCCTAACAGATCGCAGACTGGTACCAGTCCATGGCCTGGGGGTTGGGGACCCCTGCTCTAACTGTATACTAGGTCCTGGTTAGGAATTGTACAGACTTTCTCTCATTCCATCCTCACAATTACCCTGTGAAGGAGACAGTATTAACCTTAATTTGCAGAGAAATAAATGTGAGCAAAGAGAGGATGCTACCTTGACCGAGGCTGCACAGCTGTGAGTGTCGAGTCAGGACTGGAGCCTGTGCTATCTGGCCTCACAGGCCCATGCTTGTCGAAGCTTATGCTGCCACCCACAGCCTCCCCAGGGTGCCCGTGGCATCAGGGACCACGCAGACGGCTTTGGCAGAGTGTTCTGTCATGGCCTTGGATGAGTCCCAGGCAAACCTCTGCTAGCCGACTTGAAACCCTCCTTGTGTGGATTTCTAAGCCAGCTGCTGCTGCCCTTCCAGGATTTTGGGGATCCCACTATAGGCCCAGGGCCCTGCTGCCTGGGGGACTTCACAGCCAAGACCTCCACAAACTGCATGATTTGGGCAAAATGAAAAGTAACTCTTCTTACATAAAGGTTAGAAATCCACACTCAGTTACAAAAGTGAAAGTGGCCTGAGAAAGAAGGGGATGGCAACTTCTAACAAGATCGGACAGAAAGCTGACTATCTAAGTACATCTAAAACCATCTCAGCAGAAACTGCCAGCTTCCATGTGGGAGGAAAAATGCAAGGAACTCGCCCAAGGACAGGACACTCTCCTCATATCTGCACTGAATCCTTTCATCGACACCCCAGTCCCTTCCATCCTGGAGGGTCCCAGTCTTCTGGACACAGTAGGGCAGTGCTGGCTGTGACCCATGAGAAGTTCTCTCCAGGAACCCTCAGCCAGGGCTATGCTCCAATGAATGATGGCACGGAGCTAGAACTCAAATATGGCTCCGGGTCAATGATGGGCTGTGAACACAGGTGATGTATTAACCTTTGTACTACCGGCTCTCAAATGCAGCCACACTCTTTCATATTTAGCTCTCCAAAGGCACAGTGTCTTCCCGAAACTCATGTCCATTTGCACATATCTTTTACCCCCAGCTCATTTCCAATCTCGCCTACCATCTTCTCAAAACAGGTGAAAAGTAATTTCGGTAACTTCCCTAAGTATACAGAAGAGGAATTAAGCCCAGGGAGGCAAGTCCAATTAAAGATCTGATTCATGTTACAATTCTGTCCTGTGGGGAAAAAATTGATTCTCTGCTCTCTGGTTGCAAATAGCCTCTCAGTTGCACATCAGTGAGGTTAGTGCTTTGCACAGCCATGGGCTCTGGGCATTAAGGGTTGAGACCAAAAGAAATGTACAGATCAGAAAAGGCGACTCAGCTCCTAGGGGTGAAGAATGAAGGAGATAAAACAGCTTAAAGACCTAGAGTGGCACCCTCCATCTGGAAGAGAAGAGGAAAAGGAGAGGAGGTGTGTGGAGTGAGAGGAAGAGAGAGAAAGAGGAGAGGTGCTGGCAAAATGAAGGGGGCAGGAGAGGCAGGCAGGAGGGAAAGGAGGAGGAAGAGGAGGGGGAGAAAGAGAAGAGGAGGACAGAGAAAGGGGAGGAGGAGAGAGAAGGAGGAGGAGAAAGAGAAGAGAAGAGAGAAAGAGGTGGAGAAAGAGAAGAGGAGAGAGAAAGAGGTGGAGAAAGAGAAGAGGAAAGAGAAGGGGAGGAAAAGAAAGAGGAAGAAGCCAGGCGTAGTGGCTCATGCCTGTAATCCCAGCTCTTTGGGAGGCTGAGGTGAGTGGATCAACTGAGGTCAGGAATTCGAGACCAGTCTGGCCAACATGGTGAAACCCTGTCTCTACTAAAAATACAAAAATTAGCCAGGTGTGGTGCCAGGTGCCTGTAATCCCAGCTACTCGGGAGGCCAAGGCAGGAGAATCACTTGAGTCCAGGAGGCGGAGGTAGCAGTGAGCTGAGATCGCGCCACTGCACTCCAGCCTGGGCAGCAGAGTGAGATTCCATCTCAAAAATAAAAAAGAAGGAGGAAGAGAGAATAGGAGAAGAGAGGAGGTGAAGAGGAGGAGAAAAGGAAAGAAGGAGAAGAAGAGAAAGAAGGTAAAGAGGAGGAGGGAAAAGGGGAGAAAAAAGAGGAGGAAGAGAGGGTAAGAGGAGGGAAGGGGGAAGAAGAGGTAAACAGGAGGAAGAGAGTGTAAGGAAGCAGGGGAGAGAGGACATAAGAAGGAGGAAGAGGAGGAGAGAGAAGGGAAGGAGGAAGAGGAGAAGGAGAAGAAAGCAGGAGTAGAGAGAAGGTGAAGATGAGGAGAGGAGAGAGAAGGGGGGAAGAAAGAGGAGCAGGCTGGGAGAAAGAAGGAGGAAGAAGAGGAGAGAGGAGGGAGGGGGAAAAGAAGAAAGGAGTGGGAGAGAGCAGGTGAAGAGGTGGAGGAGAGAGGAGGAAGAGGAAGAGAGGATGAGAAAGGGATGAGGCAGAAGAGAGGGGAGGAGGGAGGAGGTGGAGAGGAGGAGGAGGAGGAATAGGAGGCAGGAGGAGATGAGGAAGAAAAGGAGGAGGAGGAGAAGTGAAAGGAGGGGAGGGAAGGGAAGTAGAGATTGAGCTGTGCTCCAGAAACCACTTGTTCTCAGCATTCCAAGAAGAGGGCCTTTCCCAGCCAGCAGAAGGAGTTCAACTTTTACAAGGCAGGAGGAGAACGTGGACAGCACCAGCACCTGGAAGCTGTTGGTTCAGGTGGCTGCTGCCTCTCCGCAGCCAATGCCCAGGTCACACATGATTATCAGCTGGCTCAGGGATTTGCTCTGTGAAGGGTGGCAACTGGTCCTGATTGGGCTTTGCTTGAGCCTTGGGGGGCAAGAAAGCTAGATGTTAACTTGAATGAAAGTCTTTCTGGCTCACCAGTTAAGACGGAAAATGTTGTGCCCTTTTTCTGAGGAACTGCCAATATGCTTGTGGGGGCGGAGGAAACTGATCAAAGCAAATCACCCTCTTTTTTTTTTTTTTTTCTGAGACGGAGTCCCACTCTGTCACCCAGGCTGGAGTGAAGTGGCACGATCTCAGCTCACCGCAACCTCTGCCTCCTGGGTTCAAGCAATTAAGCCTCCCGAGTAGCTGGGACTACAGGCACGCACCACCACACCCAGCTAATTTTTGTATTTTTAGTAGAGACAGGATTTCACCATGTTGGCCAGAATGGTCTTGATCTCCTGACCTCATGATCTACCTGCCTCGACCTCCCAAAATGCTGGGATTACAGGCATGAGCTACAGTGCCCGGACACCTCATTTCTTTAGGGAAGGCATCAGCTGAAGGGATGGCCCTGCTGTCTGGGTGAAAAGCAAAACTGCTTACTCCAATCTGGGCACTAAGCTTTAACCCCCTTGGGGTGTGACAGGGTCAGACATTTAGCCATGACACAGTCCACCTGATTTGCTGAAATGTGGTGATGCACATCAAAAAGCACTAAGACTGGCCAGGGGCAGTGGCTCACATGTGTAATCCCAGCACTTTGGAAGGCCGAGGCAGGTGGATCACCTGAGGTAAGAGTTCGAGACCAGCCTGGCCAACATGGCGAAACCCTGTCTCTACTAAAAATACAAAAATTAGCTGGGGGTGGTGGTGTGCACCTATAATCCCAGCTACTCGGGAGGCTGAGGTGTGAGAATTGCTTGAGTCCAGGAGGCGGAGGTAGCAGTGAGCTGAGATCGCGCCACTGCACTCCAGCCTGGGCTCCAGAGTGAGACTCTGTCTCAAAAAAATAAAGCACTAAGACCTGTTTCTCTGGGGTCTTCAACAGTGCTTCTGACATGACGGTGTCTTGTAATATATTCTTAGAAGTTTAAAATTTTCTGGGCAATGAAAGAAAGGCCCTGCTTAAAAAATATTCCAAATATGGCTGTAAATTTGTGATGTGAAGACTGATATCACAAAAGTATGAAGAAAATAAGATTGCCTTATCTAAAGCTTCACTGCTTCCTTTCCAAGCCATTGTACTAAGACCACAAATGAAACCAACTCCCAGTTACTTTAGCTGTCACGTGTAAATTTGGCCAATCTGTCAAGTAAATAACATGTAGTTACTGTGTGCCTTTGGCTGGGTGTTACTGGGCAAAATACCACAGAAATATGATACTTGCTCCTGGGACAAAGGACTTTCCTTGCTAAAATCAAGATAGTCCTGGGCAAAGAGACGGTCGGTCACCCTAGGTATGACACGCAAATGGCTCAGCACAGGCATCCCTCTCCTATCCACCTGATTAACTATGAAGACTTAAGTTTAAGTTTTTCTATCCTCAACACCTGGATCTCAGGGATATTTGTTTTTCCTCTGAGAATCTCCATGGAACTTGATCTAGCTGGATGTCGGCACACAAGGACAGTATCATAGTGTTTGGTTAAGGGATATGTGGATATTTGCCATTTTTCCTGGCAACTTTGCATCTAAGCCCCTTCCTGTGGGAAGCAAATCCCTCATCTTGAGTCTTGGCCGGAGGCAGATGATTCTATATTTCTATTTTCATTCACACACCATACTTTGGGCAGTAACAACCTAGAAAAGAGCATGTCCCCAGGGGCTAATGAAGAGGAGGCATGCGCCCTTGGCTTCACCCTTGAGAGGATCTCCACAACCCTTGAAGATAGAGCTGGCTGTGCAGAGAAACAGGGGCCCAGCCAACCAGTCTTGTTGGCAGTAGGGGTGGTTGAGCAAGAGTCCAGGGGCAGAGGAGGAATGAAGCCAGCCAACCGGGTTGGCAGAGCAACATGTAGGCTCCAGACCAGCAAGAGAGATGGTGGCCTCCTCCCTGGGCTCGTCCATGATGAGGTGCTTTTTGCGTGTGTGGTAATGAAGTCTCTGAACTTGGCTCTCTGGTTCCCAATTCTGTGAGCTACTCAATATACTTTCAGCAAATTCCATTTCTGCTTATGAGCTTTTTTTTTTTTTTTTTTTTTGAGATGGAGTCTCGCTTTGTCGCCTAGGCTGGAGTGCAGTGGCGCCATCTCAGCTCACTGCAAGCTCTGTCTACTGGGTTCACGCTATTCTCCTTCCTCAGCCTCCCCAGTAGCTGGGACTACAGGCGCCTGCCACCAAGCCCAGCTAATTTTCTGTATTTTTTAGTAGAGACAGGGTTTCACCGTGTGACCTGACCTTGTGACCCGCCCACATCGGCCTCCCAAAGTGCTGGGATTACAGGTGTGAGCCACCGTGCCCGGCTGCTTATGAGCTTATTTTAAGACCATTGATGTGGCCAGGGGTAGTGGCTCATGCCTGTAATCCCAGCACTTTGGGAGAGGTGGCGGAAGGATCACTTGAGGCCAGGAGTTCAAGACCAGCCTGGGCAACACTATGAAACCTCGTCTCTACAAAAAATTTAAAAATAGCCAGGCATGGTGGCATGTGCCTGTAGTCCCAGCTACTCGGGAGGCTGAGGTGGAAGGATCCGTTGAGCTCAGCAGTTCAAAGCTGCAGTGAGCTATGATCTTGCCACTGCACTCCAACCTGGGCAGCAGAGGGAGACCCTGTCTCAAAAATTTTTTAAAACCTGCTTACAAGGGGAGATAGATGTCTATTTGCGAAGATAAGGACCTTCCCTTCTAGACAAAGTGGGCTACAGGTACCCAAAAGGCAGGAGAACCCATGGGATTTAGGGATACTAAATAGGGCCTGAGAGTCTAATGGAAAAGGTGATATATTCTGATTTCCCACTACATTTTCGAAGTGTGGGCCAATCAAACATTTCACTGCACTGGAAGATATTCAGGCAAGTCCCAGGGACCTGTGGAGCAACGTACACACTGTACATTTTAGCACAGGAAAAGAAAAAGTCATAATTTTTTTTTTGCTTTGGAAATTGCTTGATCTGGCACAACGAAACTCAGCCAATCCATCAAAAAGCTATTTATTGAACACCTACCATATGTGGACTTGGCTAAAACTTTGCCCAGTCTGCTTGGCAGAGTATATCCAAGCTTAGACTCACATCGTCCTACAACTGGAATCAGTTAGAGTGATTTGTGGTCTGCTTTAGAAAATTTTGAAAAACTAAATGTCTTGGAAAACCTTCCATTCACCCTGTAGTTCTTTTTCCTTCTTGTTGGGTGATGTGAGAAAGAGAAGGAAGAAAATAGTGTCCTCCAATGGGTTTACTGGTGGTGACCAGAGCTTCATTGTTAGAAACAAAACCAAAACCACAAAAAGAGGAAAACAAAATGATTCTCTCTTGTCCAGGAATCTGCTACCACCAGCTTTTCCAGTGGGAACCTGATCCTCATTTCTTAGAAGTATCTCACTTGTAAAGCCCACAATAGGAGAAATTCCCTCAGGGGAGCAGTGAATAAAGTGGTTCTCAAGCTTCACTTGTTCAGGCCTGGAGTACACTTGGAAAAGCTCATGGGAACAAAATCAGCTAGTGCATGGAACAGATACCATGGTGGAAACTTAAAGGAGGTCAGTAGGACAACGTCTGTTCCACAGTGGAATCAAAGGACAGCTGGAGATCTGACAACAAAATGGGCCTGCTTCACTCCTTCCTGGATATAAACATGTCAGCTCAACTCCACAGACACATTCTGAGTACACTCTTTATACCCAGTTGAATGCTTCCATAAGCAGTGCAAGAGGTACATTCTTGTGTCTTTTTTACAACAGGGATTGGCTGTTCACAGAGTTCACATCTCAGTGCTACTGAGATACTAGTTACTCGTGGAGTGGTAAAATTTGATCTATCAGAATGATTCTTTCCTGGGTGGACCCATGGGTAAGACAGAACTCATACATAATTTGAAAAGTTTTGCCAACCCTTGTATTTGCCGATAGTTGAAAAGCACCCCATGCTTTTTAGTCATCGTTGGAACATATTCAATTTGGGACTGCTTCTGTTTCCTGCATAGAAATTCTACTCTCATGTTTGAAGAACCAGCAGCCATGTCATAGCCTTGAGGATGGAAGCCACGTGCTCAGGATGGTGGAGGAGGAAGATAGAAGGGGATGGTGTTTCCAACGACTTCATAGTGCTGCCCCCATCTAGAGTTCCTTTACAGAAGAGAATAAACCCTGTGTGTTTAAGCCTCTGTAACCAGGTGGTATGGTTTGGCTATGTCCCCGCCCAAATCTCATCTTGAATTGTAGCTCCCATAATTCCTATGTGTTTCAGGAGGGACCCGGTGGGATATAATTGAATCATGGGGGCAGTTTCCCCCATACTGTTCTCGTGGTAGTGAATAAGTCTAACAAGATCTGATGGTTTTATAAAGGGAAACCCCTTCTGCTTGGTTCTCATTCTCTCTTGCCTGTTGCCATGTAAGACGTGCCTTTTGCCTTCTGCCATGATTGTGAGGCCTCCCCAGCCACGTGGAACTGAGAGTCCATTAAACCTCTTTTTCTTTATAAATTACCCAGTCTCAGGTATGTCTTTATCGGCAGCATAAAAACAGACTAATACACCAGGTTTTTAGCTAAGTGTAATTCCTGATAAAGGTGGTTCCTGACAGTGTCATTCAAAGGAGATAAAAGAAAGATACTTAAATATCTAACTATAAAAGATGGACCAAATAAATTATTGTACCATATTGTTGGCTACCAGTTGGTTCTTTACTCAACACTCATTCATTCATTTATATGTTACTTATTAAGTTCCTACTATGTGCCAGACACAGTGTCAGACTTTGGGGATATAGTAACAAACAAGCAGATATGGTTCGTACCCTCAAGGAATTGTACAAGAAAGTGCACGGCACTGAAATCTATTCCACTGTAGGCTGTGGTCATGTTAGATTGTGCTTCCAAGGCCAGTCCTTTGGGTAGGCAATGTTGAGTGGCTATCCAGGAGCCTCAGGTGTGTGCGTGTTTCATACCATTCATTTTTTTCAAACCTCATTAAAATTCAGTTTTGGGCCTGGACGTGTGGCTCATGCCCATAATCCCAGCACTTTGGGAGGCCCAGGTGGGCGGATCACCTGAGGTCGGGAGTTCAACACCAGCCTGACCAACATGGTGAAACCCGGTCCCTACTAAAAGTAACAAAAATTAGCTGGACATGGTGGAGCATGCCTGTAATCCCAGCTACTCAGGAGGCTGAGGCAGGAGAATCACTTGAACCCGGGAGGCAGATGTTGCAGTGAGCCAAGATTGTGCCACTGCACTCCAGCCTGGGCAACAGAGCAAGACTGTCTCAAAAAAAAAACCAAAAAATTAGTTTTGGAATTTGTCTCTGAGTCTATCCCATGGCATCTGTGAAAAAGGCTGTCAATTCAGTGTCATCTTTCAGCTATGATCATCTGGGGCATGTCCCACACTGGCTGAGCTGCACAGAGACCAGATCCTTCTAGAAACAGTGCCTCTATTGTTGTTTAAAAACATAGAAAACAGGCTAAAAGGAAATACGAATACGTGAACAATGTTAATAATGAGTACGTGAACAATGTTAACAATGAGTATGGGCTGCAGAGTTCAGATGATCTTTTTTTTTCCATTTATTTATATTTTGTAAAATTTTATAAACATGCATTTCTTTGAAAAAAACTTTTCACTGTGGTATGATATATTAGGCTGTTCTCACATTGCTGTAAAGGAATACCTGAGACTGGGTAATTTATACAGAAAAGAGGTTTAATTGGCTCACAGTTCCACAGGTTGTACAAGAAGTGTGATAGTTTCTGGGGAGTCCTCAGGAAACTTTCAATCATTGCGGGAGATGAAGGAAAGCAGGCATGTCTGAAGTGGCTGGAGCAGGAGGAAGGGGCTGGGGGAGGTGTCACACACTTTTAAACAACCAGATCCCATGATAACTCTCTCAGTTCTCATGAAGAGCACCAAGTGGGGGAACTCTGCCCCCATGACCGAATCACCTCCCACCAGGCCCCACCTCCAACACTGGGGATTACAATTCCACGTGAGATTTGGGTGGGGCACAAATCCAAACCATATTTGTATGGTATACACATCTGTATAATATAAGATGGGTATCACAAGCATATACAGACATGTATCATAAGCATATAGAACAATGAATTTTCACAAATTATGCACTTATGTATCCAGCATCTAGATCAAGAGGGAGAACATTAACAGCTCCCAGAGACCTTGTACCTCCTTCACTATTCACATGGAGAGTAATTACTCTCCTGACTTCTAACAAGCGTGTATTAATGGTACTAATTTTTGTAGTGCTATGAATAGAATCTTACTATTTTGTGTCTAGTCTTTTTTGTTCAACATTTGCGTGTGAGATTCATCCATGCTGTTGAACAAAGTTCCATGTCATTCATTTCCATCATTGTATAGTACATTGGGTGATTAAACCACAACTAATTTATCCATTCTACTCTTTGTAGACTTTTAAAAAGATTCCCCTTATAAGATATTACAAATAGAGTTTCTATGAGCATTCTTATGCGTGTCTTTTAGTGAACATTCTTATGCATTCCTGTTGGGTATATGCCTAGGAATAGAATAGCCAAGCCATAGGACAAACATGTTTAGTTTTAGTAGGACTGTGAGTTTTCCAATGTAGTTATGAGATGTATTATTGTTAAAATTTAAAAAACGTATTTACAAAGCATCCTGGCACAATGCTGTATTACCAGAACATTTTCCACATATATTTAAATCCATTCATGATAGAATTCTTTGAGGTCTTTTTTCTTGATAGAAGTCTTTCAAGTCTGTTTCTTTTTTCTCAACCAATCATTATATACAACTCACTTTCCTAGACACTATAGAGGATAAAAAGATGTTCCAAATAGAGCCCCAGACTTCACGGAACTAATAATCTAGTGAGGGACGGTGAAACTATGGGAAATGCTAATGCATGCCCAGCATGACAGGTGACCCCCCACCCCACCCCGAGGAGCACAGAAAATGATACAGAGGACAGAAACTGGAGAAATTACTAGCACACGGCAGGAAAAGTCAAGAAAAGCTTCTTCTAGATGATGATGTTTGGGGTAGGTATGGAGAGATGGGCAGATTTTAATTAGAAATGTAGAAGCTTCGGAAAAACTTTTTTTTTTTTTTTTTTTTTTTTTTTTTTTGAGACAGAGTTTTGCTCTTGTTGCCCAGGCTGGAGTGCAGTGGTGCAATCTCAGCTCACTGCAACCTCTGCCTCTCGAGTTCAAGCAATTCTCCTGCCTCAGCCTCCCGAGTAGCTGGGACTATGGGGGCCTGCCACCATGCCTGGCTAATTCTTTTTATTTTTGATACAGATGGAGTTTCACCACATTGGCCAGGCTGGTCTTGAACTCCTGACCTCAAGTGATCTGCCCACCTCGGCCTCCCAAAGTGTTGGGATTACAGGTTTGAGCCACTGTGCCCAGCCAGGAAAAACATTTTAAGAAGAGGGCATCGTGCAAGCAGAGGCATGGAGGTGGAGTCTGAGGGAATGATGACCAGCCGAAGTGAGGTGAGGTGCAGAGCGTGGAAGGGGACAGCCCAGGACAGCAGGCAGGAAAGGCAGATGGAGATCAAGATCCTTCAGTGCTGGGTTAAAGTGTTTGACCTTGAGCCTCAGGATAACCAGCAGTCTTTGAAGCCTTTGGGTAGGGGTGTTTTGGTCAGGATGGGCCATGTTATGCTACAGTAACAAACAATCACAAAATCCCAATGGATGAGAACCTCAAGATTGACTTGTTGCATCTGTTATATTCACAAGTCACCTGTAAAGGTGATTCACAGTATCCTCACTTCAGAACTCAGGCTGATGGAGTTGACACCATCTGGGGCATACTGATCACTGTGGAAGAAGGGAAATAGAGCTCTGTATGGTCTCATCCCAGCTATTCAGTGTGCGGGTCCAGAAGTGACAGACACATGATATTTCCAAAAATATGGCAGTCCGAAAGTGCACCCTGACCATGTTCCTGAGAGCTAGGGTGCTGGGTGCTCTTTGTGAACTAAGGTACTAATGCCTTCTGCAGGGTAAGCAACGGCCAGAGCTGAACTCTAGGACAATTATTTTAGCACAGTGCATAGGATGGAATGGATTGGAAGGAAAATGGGGACTCAGCAGCCACCTAGAAGGCAGCTGAAATCATCTGGGTGAAAAATGATTCCCTGATACAGTGGCAATGGGAACAAAGAGGAGGGAACAGATGCACAAAATGTTACAGAAAAGGAATTTATAGAACGCATAGACCTCTTGGATGCAGGTGGCAAGATAAAGAGAAGATTCGAAGATGGCTCCAGGTCTCCAGCCAGGAAGATGCTGATGACAGCAGTGCCAGGAGTTGGAACAGGAAATGGAAGGTAAGGAATATTTCTATGGGATGAAGATGAATTACCCAGGGAGAAAGAAAAGTAGTTTTCCTCTTTTTGTTGTTGTGCGAATGCAAAGCAAAACAAAACCGATTCACCTGGCAAGCGCCTGTGAGCACCTGCTCTGAGCTCAGTGTGGCATATTTTATAACCCCACACTGTTGAGAATTCGGCAGTCTACACACACACACCCCTCTACAAGTGATGGGTTTTATTTTCTTTTTGGGTTATTTTCAGAAACTTTGCTCATCTTAACTTCTTTCTTTCTTTTCTTTTCTTTCTTTTTTTTTTGAGACAGAGCCTCACTCTGTTGCCCAGGCTGGAGTGCAGTGGCACGATCTTGGCTCACTGCAACCTCCGCCTCCCAGGTTCAAGCTATTCTCCTGCCTCAGCATCCTGAGTAGCTGAGATTACAGGTGGGTGCCATCACGCCCAGCTAAATTTTGTATTTTTAGTAGAGACGGGGTTTCTCCATGTTGGCCAGGCTGGTCTCAAACTCCTGACCTCAGGTGATCTGCCCGCCTCAGCCTCCCAAAGTGCTGGGATTACAGGTGTGAGCCACCGCACCTGGCCTCATTTTAACTATTTTGGATAGAAAATTTCCAAATTGCCTTATAGACTCACTTGTCACAACTGTTTAAAACGACTGCCTTATTCATCTGTATGATTTCCATATCTGTACAATCCCCATATTTTTCATAAAGCTTTGAATATGGAAGGGGTTCAGATTGAATGAAGGAATTTAGCCTTTTCATACCAACACAGGGCCACTGTTAGGCACAGTGACCATGACCCTATGCTCTAAGCCATCACCATGCGTGCACAGTCTATTCCGTAGACACGCATCTGCTCTGTTGTCACTTCTTCCCTTTGTTGGTCTTGCGGCAAGCATTTATGACCCTAGAGACTCTTCCTATGATAATCTTTACATCCTTACCTTACTATGCCAAAGGCAAACAAGCAAAGTGATTAAAAATCTCATTCTGATAGCGAGTCAGCAGACTCAGAGTGAGAAAATAAGAACCTGTCTTTTGAGAAAAACTGAGGTCTAGCACCCGGCAAGCAGCACCTGCTCCCACTCGCTTCACCAGCAGGTAACACAGACTGGCCCTCCCACTGCATCAGGCTGCTTGCCAAGCACTTCCTGTATGTTTCATCCAGTCCCCTGCTAGAGCGGGCCTTGCTCATTTTGCACAGGAGGAAATGGGGCCTCAGCGAGGTCCCATACTTCACAAGTGCCAGGATCAAGATTCAAACCTCACTTGTCTCCTAAGCACATACTTTGTAATAGGGTTTCACAGAGGGTTTTTGCTTCGACTCTGCCTCTTTTCTTTGTCCTTCTCCTCTTCTTCTTCCTCCTCCTCCTCCTTTTTCTTTTTCCCTTCTTTCTCTCTGTCTCTCTCCTCGCTTTCAGTTTCATTTATTTTGACATTTGAAGTTTCATTCCAGAGAGATAATGCTGCCAGGAGTCCAACCTTTCAATACGTTAATTTATTTGTGTATTTATTTTGAGATGGAGTCTCACTGTATTGCCCAGGGCTGGAGTACAGCGGCACGATCTCAGCTCACTGCAATTCCTGCTTCCCAGGTTGAGGCGATTCTTCTGCCTCAGAGTAGCAGGGATTACAGGCGCACGCCACCACAGCCAGCTAATTTTTGTATTTTTAGTAGAGACAAGGTTTCACTATGCTGGCCAGGCTGGTCTCAAAGTCCTGACTTCAGGTGATCCACCTGCCTCAGCCTCCCAAAGTGCTGGGATTACAGGTGGAGCCACCACGCCCAGCTATTTTCTGTATGTTTTTATAGCTGCCCTCAAGGAGTTAAAAAGTTTGCAGAGGGCCTGGGGCGTGAGATACAATGTGAGAACTCTAGAAGGTAATTGATAATTCGGCGATCAGTTGGATGTAATAGCATGTTGATAAAGCTCTAATTCCTATCACAATCTGATTTCATCCTCATTGCTCATCACTTTATATCCAGTCTCTCTCAGTTTCCAGGCTGGTTCTTTTTCTCCCCTGGAATGCCTTTCCCTCACCTCCTGGTCTATCAGAAATTATATTTAGTCTATAAGACACAATTCAAGTGGTAAAGCCATTATGAAATACAGTATAGAGGCTTGTCAAAAAATTCACCATAGAACTACCAAGTGATCCAGCAATCCCACTTCTGCATGTATCCAAAGGACATGAAATCACTATCGCAAAGAGATGCCTGCACTGCCATGTTCATTGCAGCACAATTCACAATAGCCAAAATATAGAATCAGCCTAAGTGTTCATCAGTGGACCCTTAGTGTAAAGTTTTATACATATATATAATATATAGCATATGTAAGTTATATATGATATATAAATGTCATATATACACACACATATATATAAAATGGAATATTATTCAGCAATAAAAAAGGAGGCTGGGCACAGTGGCTCACACTTGTAATCCCAGTACTTTGAGAGGTTGAAGCAAGCAGATTGCTTGAGCCCAGGAGTTTGAGAGCAATCTGAGCAACATGGCAAAAATCTCATCTTTACAAAAATACAAAAATTAGCCTGGTGTGCAGGTACGCCTATGGTCCCAGCTAGTCTGGAGGCTGAGGCGGGAGGGTCACCTGAGCCCAGGGTGGTTGAGGCTGCAGTGAGCCGTGATCACACCACTGCACTCAGCCTGGGCAACAAAACCAGACCCTGTCCCCTCCCCACTCCAAAAAAAGGAAGAAAGAAAGAAAGAAAGAGAGAGAGAGAGAGAGAGAGAGAAAGAAAGAAAGAAAGAAGAAAGAAAGAAAGAAAGAAAGAAAGAAAGAAAGAAAGAAAGAAAGAAAGAAAGAAAAAAGAAAGAAAGGAAGGAAGGAAGGAAGAGAAAGAAGGAAATCCTAGGTGAACATGGAAGGCATTATGTCAAGTGAATTAAGAAAGACAATTGCTGCATGGTGTCACTTATATGTGGAATCTTAAAAAAAGAAAAAGAAATAAATTGAAATCATAGAAACAGAGAGTAGAATGGTGGTTTCCAGGGGCTGGAGGTTGGGGAATGGAAGATGTTGGTGGAAAAGTGCAAACTTTCAATTATAAGATGACTAAGTTCTTGGGATCCAGTTATGATGCTGACAGTTAATGATATTATAGCATATACTCGAAATTTGGTATGGGAATAGATCTTAAGTGTTCTCACCAAGAAAGAAAAAAGGTAACCATGTGGGGTGATGGATGTGTCAATTAACTCGATTGTGGTAATCATTTCATAATGCATGCATGTATCAAATGATCATGTTGTATGCCTCAAATATATACAATTTTATTTGTCAATTATACCTCAATAAATCTAAGGGGAAAAAAACGCAATTCAGGTGACACCTTCTCTGAGGTGGCTTCCTGAGCTCTGGTGACAATCAGCAGCTTCCTCTTCTGTGTTCTGTCTCTGCTGGATTGGATCTCTCCATGTGGCTCTCTTCCCTGTTCTTCTTTGGAGTTGATGATAGTAAGTTTTTTCTCCTGCTAGGTTATGCCTGAGAGGTGAGAGCAATGTCCCCAAACCTTTGCTGAGTCTAGAAGGTGCTCGTGCTTCTGTTGTTGTCTGTGAGCTGAAATTTTCATAGAGAAAGAGACTATGTATTTTAGCAGATCATGCATAACATCCAACACAAGCAATGCAGCCTTGGTTGGGGGGGTTCACTCTTGCTCTCCAATGTCGCTACCAGTGGGAAATGGCTTCTTCCACCATAAGCCCTGAGATGTGCTAAATCACATAGAATTTCTTTGTCCTGTTTATGCTACCGTTGGAACTCAGAAACCAACACTCCAAGATGAAACCCTCAGAAGCAAAAATTTGTCTCTGACCTTCTCTTGCCCTCCCATCTGTCAGTCCTATTCTCCTCCCTTGGGAGCCAAAGAAACTAGAATCCCTCTTCCCCAAGGCAAGTCAGAGAAACCAGAGCCCCTTTTCCCCAAAGCCAGCCATAAAACCAAAGACCCTCACTGCAGAGAGGGTCGTTCCCCAGAAGGAAGGGATGCATGCTCAGAGAGGCCAAGAAGAACCTAGACAGACAGGCCTTGCTGGGTTTTCCCCACTCTGTCTACTAGCCTTAGATCTCTGGGTCTTCATTCTGAAGGCTCTTGAAGACGTTAATAAATTTGCATGCCTTTTTACCAATGAGTCTACCTCTTGTGGGTGATTTTCAGTGAACCTTCAGAGGGCAAAGAAGGTTTCCCTTGGCTTCTACAATACAACACGCAAAAAAAAAAAAAAAAAAATGCTGTGACATTTTGATTCTTCTCAATAGGTTCAAGACATCTTACCATTTAAGTCAACAATCCTTCAAAAATCACTTTATTGTGACTTTATGAAGTTTGCTTTAATCTAATACAATAGCCAATGTAAGTGACTTTTTAGCTTATATTCTTAAGAATGTGACTCACTTCAAAAATTACAAGAAAGGGCTGGCGTGGTGGCTCACGCCTGTAATCCCAGCACTTTAGGAGGTTGAGGTGGGTGGATCACCTGATGTCAGGAGTTCAAGACCAGCCTGACCAACATGGTGAAATCCCTTCTCTACTAAAATACAAAAATTATCTGGGTGTGGTGGCGGGCGCCTGTAGTCCCAACTACTGGGGGAGCTGAGGCAGGAGAATCACTTGAACACGGGAGGTGAGGTTGCAGTGAGCAGAGATCGCGCCACTGCACTCCAGCTTGGGTGACACAGCGAGATTCCGTCTCAGAAAAAAAAAAAAAAAGTTACAAGAAAGGTCAGCAAAATCAATTGTTGCCTCTACGTAAAGGTCTGTGGGACATTGCCCAAAAAATCCTCCTTAATAATGGTGCTGATATTTTCATGGCTACCCAATTCATATAGAAAAGGTCAATAAGAAGCTCTTTCATAATTTATACTGAACTAATCCTCACTTATTCCCTTTCACAAATGACTATGTCCTATGGACTGAAAATATGCATCAAAGGCTTGGTGTCTGCTATTTACTTAGTTAATTTAACAAATATTTATTAAATGCTTACTATATGCAAAAAACAATTCCAGCCATTTGGGATGTAGTAGTATATAAAACAGGCAAAAATCCTGCCCTCATGGAGCTGTTTGTGACACATTATCTAATCACTGTGCTAGGCATGTTCACAATCCTGTGAGAGGATTTGCTGGTGTTTTTTATCGGTGAGAAACTAAAACTCAGGCAGAATAGGTGACTAGATGAACATAAAATGGCTCACCAACAAACACATGCAAATTCACATCAGTTCTTCTGGTTGCAAGTTTTGTTCTACTGGAGTGCATTTTCAAAACTGCTGTTTTGAAATACTTTTCCAAGAGGCAGATGTTTTCTAAAAATTACATTTCATATTTCAATCTGTTTGGGAAAGACTTTTTGCCTCAGGTTGGGTTCTAGAACTAGATGCTAAGATGTATTTTTGCATGAAGAGATTCTTAGGGCATGCTCTTAAGATCAACACCTGGGGAAGGGAAGGGAAGGGAAGAGAAGGGAAGGGAAGGGAAGGGAAGGGAAGGGAAGGGAAGGGAAGAAAGTAGGATTAGAAAGGCAGAAAACTGAGTGGCAATGCAGTCTTAGGGCAAGCCTCAACTGACACTGCAGGGAGTTCTGATGATCAGAAGACCCTTCAAGGATGTCCTGAGTTGGGTCGAGATGACCATGCCTTTAGGTCTCCAAGCCAATCGGTTACTGGATGTGATCCATCCCAGGAAGTGGGCATGACCTTGGGCAAGGTAGCTCTTTTCAGCTGAGCAAATCCCCAAAGGAGAGGTAAGGAGAGGTTTCCGTGGGTACCACCAGCAGCTGGGGCAACAGATCCTTCATTCCTAAAGGGGTGTCTGGGATGTACATCCTAGCATCCACCAGACTGTGGTATTTGTAAACATCAGATTAAATGAAATGAAACAGGCTTCTTTACTCCTATCCATTTAGAGCTTTTAATGAGCAGGTTTGTACTGTGAAGCTTCAAAAGGAAAATTTGCTATGCAGATTTTTCCCAAATTTATTTAAGCTCAGAATATTTTTGAGGGTCTGTATTTATTAACATTATCTGAAAAAATATACTTAGGATGCATGTGTACCAGAAATTATAGTGCAACTGGGCAAGTGCAAAAAGATGGAGATGCAAAATGCAGTCAGATACAAAAATGAATTCAAAATGGTTCATAGACCTAAAACTATACAGCTCTTAGAAGAAAGCAGAGATATAAGTCTTTGTATTGTGGATGAAGCAATGGGTTCTTAGATAAAGCACCAAGAGCATAAGTGACAAAAGAAAAATAGCTAAATTGGTCTTCATCAAAATTAAAGACTTTCGTGCTCCAAGGAACACCATAAAGTAAAAAAAAAAAAACCCTACAGAAAAGAAAAAACATATTTGAAAATCATATATCTGATAAGAGACTTCTATCCAGAATGATATATGAAGAACTCTTACAACCCAACAATAAAAGGAAAAATAACCCAATTTAAAGACAAGCAGAGAGTTAAAATAGACATTTCCCAAAAAAGACTTACAAATGGACAATAAGCACATGAAGGGGTGCTTGACATCATTAGCCATCAGGAAAATGCAAATCAAAACCACAGTGAGAGACCACTTTATGCCACTTCAAATGGCATAATCAAAAAGACAGATAATGAGAAGTGATGGTGAGGATGTGAAAAAACGGGAACATTCATATATTCCTGGTGGGAATGTGAAATGGTGCACCCAACTTTGGAAGAGTGTCTGGCAGTTCCTGAAAAGGTGAAATACAGTTATCACATGATCCAGCAATTCCACTCCCAGGTATGGACCCAGGAGAACTGAAAACATATGCCCACACAAAAACTTGTACACAAATGTTTGTAGCAGCATTATTGAAAACAGTCAAAAAGTGCAAACAATGCTAATGTCCATCAATTGATGAACAGATAAGCCAAATGAGGAATAGGTGGGCATAAAAAGAAGTGATGAAATAATACACACTTGTGGTGGTTAGAAATGATGAAATAATACACACTTGTGGTGGTTAGAAATGATGAAATAATACACACTTGTGGTGGTTAATTTTAGGTGTCAACTTCATTGGATTGAGAGATTCATAGACAGCTGGTAAAGTATTGTTTCTGGGTGTTTCTGTGAGGGGGTTGCCAGAGGAGATTAACATTTGAGTCTGTGGACTGGGAGAGGAAGACCCACCCTCACCATGGGTGGGCACCATCCAATCGGCTCCCAGTGCGGCTAGAACAAAGCGGGTGGGAGAAGGTGGGATGAACTTGCCTGCTGAGTCTTCTCACTTTCATCTTTATCCTTTGCTGGAGTCTTCCTCCTGCCCTTGGACATCAGACTCCAGGTTCTTTGGCGCTTGGACTCTTGGACTTACACCAGTGGTTTGCCAGAGGCTGTCAGGCCTTTGGCCACAGACCGAAGGCTGCACTGTTGGTTTCCCTACTTTGAGGCTCTTGAACTTGGACTGAGCCACTACTGGCTTCCTACCTTCTCAGCTTGCAGATGGCATATTATGGGACTTTGCCTTGTGATCATGTGAGCCAATTCTCCTTAATAATCTTCCTTTCATATATATATATATATATATATATATATATATATATATAACCTATTGGTTCTTCCCCTCTGGAGAACCCTGACTAATATACAATGCTACATGGATGAGCCTGGAAAGCACTGTGGTAAATGGAAGAAGCCAGACACAAAGGTCACATGTATAATTCCATTTGTACGAACTGTCCAGAATAGGCAAATCCATAGAGAAATAAAGACTGCCAGGGGAGTGAGGACTGACTGCTAACAGGTATGGATATGCTTTTTGGGATAATAAAATTAAAAAAAAAATTAATAATGGTAATGGTTGCACAGCTCTGTGAAAGTATTAAAACCACTAAATTGTACTTAAAGGATGAAGCACATGGTTTGTGAATGACACCTCAATATAGTAGTGGAGGCATCAATGCGAGGACCATTAACTTTGGAATAGGGAAGCTTTTCAGACTTCTTGTGCTCACAAGTAAAAAGAAAAACCTCAAGTTATTTTGAGAAAATGTAAAAAGGAGGGGACGAAGAAATTTATTGGCTAACATAACCAGGAAATCGAGAGATATCATTGGCTTCAAAGTCTTACCAAGGGGACATAATGGCACCAAGCAACCACAGACTCTTTTCTCTCAATGTATAACAAGTCTAGCAGAAAGACAGCTGATATCCTTCAACCTCCTTAGAGCCATCAAAGGGAAGAATTTGATTGGTGCTGCTTGGAACACAAACATTCCTGAACCAATCACTGGGTGGGTACAACAGGTCTGTGGTATTTTCACTGACTGTCCAATTAATAGTTTGTTAATTGTTCATGTGCCTATCCCTGTGGGATAAGTATTTTGGGGAAGATTTAGTGATTTATAGTTCCCCAAGGAAGCTAGAATGCAAGCTGAATCTAAAGGGAGGAGTGAGTTTGCAGATGAAAAGAAAATAGAAAAAATGAAAAGGAAGAAGATGCCAGGCAGAAGAATTAGGATGGCACCTTTTCTTTACCTGTCATTTTTAATGTCACTTTCTGCTACCATCAGGACTCCTTCCTAGGGGATTAAGAGCAAAGAACTGACAATGCTTTAACAGTATCACAGTAATTTTTTTTTTTTTTGACAGGATCTCACTCTGTCTCTCAAGCTGGAGTGCAGTGGTGCTATCACGGCTCACTGCAGCCTCAACCTCCCCGGCTCAAGCGATCTCCCCCCACCTCAGCCTTTGGAGTAACTGAGATTAAAGCATGTGCCACCACACCCAGCTAATTTTTGTAGAAGTACTTTTATGTTCTATAGTGAAGATTTAGCAACTCTATTTTAATGGGCTATTGCTATTTGTATGAAAAAACATAATAGACTTTGAAATATAATAGACTACAATAGACTTTTAGGACTTACACCTTACTCAGAATTTCCTCCCTTCTGGATGTTTTGGTTTTGTTAACCTAGTTCAAACCCATCCCACAATCTTTTTTTCTACCTTGATTCTCATAGTCCCACCTTTTGGCCACCAAAGAGATAGACACGTTTCCCTACAAATCTGTTCTTTCCCGTCTCAGTGCATGGAATTAAAATTCTCCTAGTCACCCAAGCCAGAAGTGTGAGAGGACCTATGATTCCTCCCTCCCTCTCCCATCTCAACAGCCAATCTATCATCAGCTCCTAGAAATGGTGCATTTTAATTGTCTTGAACGCAGCTCTCTCATCTCTGTTCCCCATGCCAATGGAGTAATTTAGCTCTTCATGAATTCTTTCATGCTTGGATTATTGTAATAGCCTCTTCTGGTCTCCAGCTGACATCCTCTCAATCCATCCTTAATCCAGTGACCTCAGTAAACTTTTAAATATGCAAATCTCATTTTGGCTTCACTCAGGCTTAAAATTCTGCCCTCTACATGGAACCCAGTATCAATCCCATTGGATGCACATTCCCCAGTCATCTGGACTAAGGAAGTCACCCTGACCTTTAGTATGCAAATAAAAATGTCTCAAGCTCCCATCTCCCGGTGATGGAAAGCCAGTGTTCATCACCAGCTGACCCCACATTCTTCTCTCCAGGGCTTCCCAGAAGGCTGATGTCTCTCCTGGTCCCCAAGTGTTCTGATTTCCTGCTTCAACTGAGTCTCTATCTCATTTGTGTCTCTGTAGATATCTCTCTTATCCCCGCTGTAGATATCTCTCTTATCTCCATGGCCCTAGAGATTGGTGGAAAGAGAACAGTGCCTAAGAATTTGACCCAGATACAGAAAAGATAATTAATTTCAAGGTTTATATCACTGCTGTTACTAAAAGGTAGAGTCTCAAGTCAGAGACTGTTTACATAGGGAGGCTCTTCCTGCCTTTTGGGGCACCCAAAGTCAGACCTAAAGTAGTTTGGGGAAGGGGTAGAGAGAAAAACCTCTATGCATAAAAGATACACAAAGATGTTATTATTGGAAGCCCTCTTCTAGTAAAAAGAACAAGAGTTCCAATAAAATCATGGGAAAATGGAGACCAGGGATAAACACAACTCAGGAACAATTCCCTTGGTGGAAATGGTGGGGACTTTTAAGTGCAGACACGCTCCAAGTACAGCCTGAAGTCATTGCTGAGTATAAAACACACTCCCACTCTTTGACCTCTAGGTATCTCCAGCACAAGGCGTTAGTGTGTAGTAGAATTTTCCTGAAGGTTTGGGACAATGGAGGAAGATTGCATTACTCTTAAAGCAATGACTTCAATGATTCTTGTTCCTTCCCAATGTGGTGAATAACTCCTAATGCACCATTTCAGTCTTACTTCTGCAGGGTGTTTTAAGGTCAGTTCAAACCCTCAAAGGGCGAAGTGCAGAAGTTAACATTTTAACAGCTTTGAGTTTTCAAGTTCCTGTTACTGAAGTTGGCAATGTGTGTTGATGTCCAAATTGCCGTGATAGACATACAAACATAGAATGATTTTTTGGATTTTATTTTATTTTCTTTTTTAGACAAAGTTTGCTCTGTCACCCAGGCTAGAGTGCAGTGGTGCTATCTCACTGCAACCTCTGCCTCCTTGGATCAAGTGATCCTTCCACCTCAGCTTCTCCAGGAGCTGGGACTACAGGCACATACAGCCACACTCAGCAAATTGTTTTTGTATTTTTTGTAGAGATGGGGTTTCGCTATGTTGCCCAGGCCAGTCTCGAACTCCTGGGCTCAAGAGATCCACCCACCTTAGCCTTCTAAGTGCTGAGATTACAGACATGAGCTGTTGAAGTGCTGGGATTACAGGCATGCGCCACTATGCCCAACCCAGGATGATTTATATCATTCACTTTTATTTAAAAAACTAGGCATTTGAGCTGACAACATTTCACACAACATGGAAATTTTCCTGTTATACGTGTTTGAAAATAAAAAGTGAGAGCACTTTATACAATGTGGTTTTGACATACTTCAATGGAAGGCTCCATGTCCATTCTAAAAGCCTGGAAACATTTCTATTTTCCAGGCTTTTTTCATCCATGATCCTCCTGGATGGTTCCTTCGCTATTCTGGGAGCAGCTTGAGGGCAAGTAGAACATCCTGGTCAGCTCTGGACTCCATAGATAGTAAATTCCCTTCCCTGTCAGTGCCTCTCAACCTACGCATGTAGATTTTCCAGAAATCTCCCCCAACTTCTGAGCTTCAAACTCCAAATATCTTGTTCTTTATTTCCCTTCTATACCTCCTCTGCTTTCTTTTGTTCATCTTCTTCATCCTAGAAACATAACTCAGACCTGGATTCAACCTCACCTTAAATAATCTATTTCTTCTTTGGTCCAGATGCCTTTGATCTAATTGTATATTATGTTAAATTGGAAGTTTTGACTGAGGCGCCCAGATACAATCGAGACCAAGTTCCGAGTGAAATAGACAACCTGGGAAGACTTGCAAAAATCATGAACCAAACTGGCTGCAGGACTCTCAAGTCCCTTCCTCACACCGAAGCCATAAAATAAGTCAGAAGTGGATTTGGTGAGGAAGGATTTGTGAGACCAGTTTCTCTGGAGAGAGCTGTTTTAGGAGGACCTCCCCGCCAAGCAGGAAAATGGGAGATGTACTTGCATCAGCTTGAGTCAAGAGAAGGTGGCTTCAGGTGACCCCTTGGAGGCTTTAAAAGGTGTCCCTGGATATAGGAGGGTGGCAGACATAGCTGACTAAACTAGTGTTTGACTCTCTATTGAGAAATCTAAATGAGAGTGACAGTCTGGCCAGCTACAGTTGGACAGATCGAAACAAAGGAAGAGGCCCTGGGACCTGTCTGCTAGTCTAGAGTTTGTTGGAGCAAATGAAACGACACACTTGCCAGGGCTCTGAGCCAGTGAAGTCACCCTAGAACATGTGAATCAAGCTGCCAGAGGGGTGCGCTGGCCTCGCTTTAGAGGCTATGGAAGGAGTAAATGACCAGTTAAGCCAGAGGACGACCCACCCAGGTGAGAGATCTCTGGAACTTGGGGGAGGTGGGGAAATAGGGCCTCCAAATAACTCACAAAAGTGTGCCACAAGATAAAGAACTTTGAACAACTGCCCAAATTCAGAAAGCCCAAAGCTGTATGATGACCCTGTTGGTAAAGTAATAACTTTCTTGCTTCTCTGACCTGTTCTCCACACTCCCACCCCTGACCCCACACCAACCCCAGAATGACAAAAACCAGAGTTAGCAAGCTGGGGAAGAAAGACAGAAGAAACCATTTCCCAAGAGGCAGGAAACCAGCAGGCCCTAGTTTTCAGGGGAGAAAGGAATTATGACTTGGAATGAAGTTGAAATTTTTTGCTATTACATGAGTTTGGACTTCTAGAATGGAGACCGTATTTTATAACTTACTGTGAATATAGGAATTTTATTATTTAAGAATAATCTTTAAAAAGTCATGAGATAGCTCAAGTTTTAATCCAGCAATTGAACATATTTTAAAATTCTATGGTGGTTATATGCCATAATCCTATTTGTTTTATATCTAGTTACATAATATGCCCATTACATAATCCTTCTCATAGGACCTCCCCCTAGAATGGTGGTTGGCAAAGTTTCTTGGTAAGAGGCCAAATCAAAAATATGTTAGGTTTTGGGGACCCTAGACTGTCTTTTGCTACTACTCAACACTGCCATTTTAGTGCAAACACAGCCACAGACAGTAATTCAATGAATGGGTGTGGCTGTGTTCTAATAAAACTTTATTTACAAAAACGGGTAGAGGGCCAGATGGGCCACAGCTGGCTGACACCTTCTCTGGACTCTAGGCTTCTGGAAGGCGGGAGCTCTGTACCGTATCTGAAACACTCTACACATTGTAAAATAATGACTAGATAAAATATTGTAGCTTCTCCCTCACCCATAGTGCAAATTCAGTTCATTTCAAAAAATGCTTTTTGTTGTCTTGTCATGAACTCCCAAGAGAAAAGAACTGGTATCCTTAGGGAGAATAACCTGAACAAAAAGGCATTTGACTGAAGTTAGAGGAGCTTATTTCTACGTGAGTGAGCTGCGGAGAACAGTAGCACCTCAGGGTATCTAAGCTTATATAGGTTGCCAAGAAGGCATATTCCAGTACATTAAATTCTATGCATATGCATTTGCAACTAGATCATTAAAATGCAAGTTTTGATTGGATATGCCTTCTCCTCTTTATCATTTTATGATTGATTTGATATGATGTCCTGGACATAGGGGATATAGTTAAATGTTTCTTAAATAAAGGAAGGGCAATTTTATTCAGTAAACAGCTAAGGGGATACTCAAAAATGCATATTTAATGGAAGACATATCTTTACTCAGAAGATTCTGTTAATTAGATGATATACTATAGGGGGCCAAGGGATACAGAAGTTGTGATCAAACTAGGAGAAAGAAACCCCTGATGCTCAAAAAGCAGTTTTATCTTTGATAGTTTATCGTGAATTTATTTTCGTCTAGGTGTGACAGCATGACATTTTGTCAATGTTGTATACATTTTATTGCAATTTTGTTGAATCTTAACAGCACAGGTATTACTGATATTGAGCCGCTAAGGCCTCAGGGCTATACAGAAATGCTGGGTTTGTGCTTGAATTGGACAGATCCAGTGAAAACTAATCAAATACCTACTATGTGCCAAGCATTGTGTCAGATGCTCTCACATGCATTATCTTGGAAGAAAGTACATGATAGTGAATTGGAGCACAGTCCTGAAGCCACACTGCCCAGATCTGGCCATTGGTTCCGTCACTCGCTAACTATGAGACCTTGAGCAAGAAACTTAACCTCTCTATGCCTCAGTCTCTGTATCTGTAAGATGATGAAGAGTAATAGTTCCTACATTAGAGGATTGTTGTGAGGATTAAATGCTAGAATATATTTTAAGCCCTCAACACAGTGCCTAGCACATACTAAGCTCTCAAAAAATATTAGCTATTATTATAATCCTATTGAATGTATCCTTACAGCACTGTGGTGAGTTTGGCCTGATTACCTTCTCCTACCAAAGAGAAAACTCATGTCATAACTTCCCCCAGGTCACTCAGGGCCAGAACTCAAGTGAGCCAAGCTCCTGACTGTATATCCAACGTTCTGTTCATCTCACCATGAGGCCTTCTCAAGGAGCACTGGGTCGAGGTGCCTTCCTTCAAGCACTTACTCATAGCTTTAGCTCCAAATATGCTTTAGAAAAAAAAAAATCTAATCCTTAGACTGCACCATTTCCACTTCCAAAAGCTAAAATTATGTTTATGATGAGAACCTCTGAGTAGAGGTTCCATAAAAATATTACATTTTTCTTCATCATAAAAAAGGTGTTTTGTAAAAATAGTATTACTTTGTTAGGAAGTGTAATAATAGCTGTCTTTTTGTGTAGTGTCCCTGGCTATTATTCAAAGCCAAGCCCACGATCCCTTCATTGTTGTTTTTTTTTCCTTTAAATCAGGAAAGACCTAAAATTTGGCTCTGAAAATGTCCTCAATTTGGAAGAAGAAATAATCCCCTGGAAGTCCAGTTGGTATGACCAGAGGAAAAACAAAGCTCTAACAAGAAATGAGCAAAATTGAAACCACGGGGTTTTCAGAATTAAATTGTTGAATTTATGTCACATCCTTTCTTGGCCATCCTCTAGATATATCTGCCAAAAGTAACAAAAATTGTTGCTGCAAGCAGAAATCTTTGGTAGTGACACTGATCATACCTCCCCCTGCGGAGCCTCGGGAAGCATCTGGAGGGAGCTTAGGGGCAGGCATGCACTGAGTCATTCCCCGGGGGAGGGGGATTTCTTTAAAGCCATTTCAGACAGAAGAATGGTCACTCTCTGACCGCCGAACAGCTTTCTTTGGCAATTTCCAGAAAATCTGCTTCCAGAAACAATTTTTTCTTTGTTTCCTCTCCACCACCAAGCATTTATAGGACACCTACTCACCTCTGGGGAGGCATCCAAGATGCGTGGGGAAAAATAATACATAAGATACCTATAGCCTTGAGAACTTACAATCTAAGATGCGGACATACAGAAAAGGTGCATAGGGCCCGGCGCGGTGGCTCACACCTGTAATCCCAGCACTTTGGGAGGCCGAGGCAGGGGATCAGGAGTTTGAGACCAGCCTGGCCAATATGGTGAAACCCGGTCTCTACTGAAAATACAAAAATTAGCCGGGCGTGGTGGCGCGCACCTATAATCCCAGCTACTCAGGAGGCTGAGGTAAGAGAATCACTTGAACCCGGGAGGCGGAGGTTGCAGTTAGCCAGGACTGCACCACTGCACTCCAGCCTGGGCGACACAGTGAGACTATCTCAAAAATGAATAAATGAATAAAAAGATAAAAATAAAAAAAAGAAAAGGTACGTAGGTAGGAAGAATCATTATGTCAATACATGGCCAGACGTAAGTGACAATATTTATATCATCACTGCCTGAACCACTTACACTCTTCCAGCCTCAGTTTCCTCTTTATTACTGGGCAGAAATAAATAAAATAGAAGCTAAAAAAAAAAATACAAATGACCACAAAACTAAGAATTGTTTTAAAATCTAAATAAAATGGACAAATCCTTAGCTAGACTAACAAGAAAAACAGATGACTCAAATAAATAAAATCAAAACCAAAAGAGGAGACATTACAGCCGACAGCACAAAATACGATACTATGAACAACTATATGCTAACAAATTGGATAACCTAGAAAAAGTAAATAAATTCCTAGACACGTACAACCTACCAAGACTGAATCAGGAAGAAATCGAAAATCTAAGCAGACCAAAAATGAGTTAAGGAGATTGAATCAGCAATAAGAAGTCTCCCATCAAGGAAAACTCCAAGACCAGATGAATTCACTGCTGAATTCTATCAAACACTTAAGGAAGAGCAAATACCAATTCTTCTAAAACTCTTCTAAAAATGTGAAGGGGAGGAAATACTTTCAAACTCATTTTATGAGGCTGGAATTACCCTGATGCCAAAGCAAGACAATGACACTACAAGATAAGAAAATTACAGGCCAATATTCCTGATGAACATAGACACAAAAATCCTCAACAAAACACTAGCAAACTTTATTGAAAAATACGTTAAAAGGATCATTCACTATGATCAAGTTGTATTTATTCCAACTCAAGGATGATTCAACACATGTAAATCAATAAATGTGATACACCACATTAACAGAATGAAAGACAAAAACTATGTGATCATCTCAATAGATGCAGAAAAAGCATTGACAAAATTCAACATTCTTTCATGATAAAAACTTCAACAAATTAGGAATAGAAGAAATGATTCCCCAACACAACAACATCCATGTGTGACAAGTCCATAGCTAACATTACACTCAACAGTTAGCAAAAAGTTGAAGGTCCTTCCTCTAAGATCAGGAATAAGATAAGAATCCCCACTCTCACCATTTCTATTCAGTATTATACAAGAAGTCCTGTCCAAAGCAATTTGAGAAGAAAAAGAAATAAAAGACATTCAAATAAGAAAGGAAGAAGTGAAATTTTCTCTGCTTCCTGAAAACATGATCTTACATGTAGAAAACCCTAAAGATTTTACCCAAAATTGTTCAAATTTATAGATAAATTCAGTAAAATTATAGCATACAAAATTAACACAAAAATTATAGTGTATCTATACACTAGCACCAAACAATCTGAAAAACAAATTAAGGAAACAATACCTTTTACAAAAACATTTTAAAAGTAGGATAAATTTAATCTCTTTATAACTGAGGAAGATGGGGATTCCACTGAGCTCTAAGGTTGTATGAGAGGAGGCTGAGTGAATCTCGAAATTGGTACAAGCCACATAAACTCAAGTTTTCTCTGTCCGGGCAGGTAAAGGAAATCTACAACCTTCACTGATCATGGAAGAGGCAAGGCTGTCCAAATTGTCAAAATGATGTGGGGAGAAGATGACCTCTGGACTTGAAATAAGAGACAGAGAAAAAATTTTTTCCAAATATCACAGTAAACGGCCAGGTGCAGTAGCTCACATCTGTAATCCCAGCACTTTGGGAGGCTGATGCAGAAGGATTGCTTGACCCCAGGACTTTGAGACCAGCCTAAGGAACATAGCAAGACCCCATATCTACCAAAAGATTTTAAAAATGAGTCAGGTGTGGTGGCATGCGCCTGTAGTCTCAGCTACTCAGGAGGCTGAGGTAGGAGGATTGCTTGAGTCCAGGGGGTTGATGTTGCAGTGAGCTGTGATAGCACCACTGCACTCCAGGCTGGGCGACAGAGCAAGGCCCTGTCTCAAGAAAAAAATAAATTTACAATAAACATATGTCAAAGCTTTGCTTAACTCATTAATGAGGGAATCAATAAGAAAGTAAAAGCTAGTTCAAATAATATTTAAGGAACTGAGTATAGAACTGAAGGAAGAAGTTTGGAATCAGATTACTTAGATTAGATTCAAAAGTGGTTTTTCCTACAAGGTAATCAAATTATGGTATTTAGACTTATTTTTCCTATTGTATAAAAATAACTTACATCTTTATCAAGCAAAAATCTGCAAGTTAACACTTCAGAATTTAGGGCCAAATCAATAATAAATAGTGAACCAAACATAGGGAAATCCCAAAGGAAATTAATCTTTGAGTGATGTCTTAGTCCATTTGGGCTGCTGTAACAGAATGCCATAGACTAGATGGCTTTGAGATACCATAGACCTCAAAGTTCAGGAGGCTGGAAAGTCCAAAATCATGATGCTGGCAGATTCAGTGTCTGGTGAGGACCCACTTTCTGGTTTCATGAAAAGCCATCTTCCTCACATGGTGGAAGAGAAAACGGAGGTCCCCAGGGCTTCTTATGAGCAGTCATCCCATCCATGAGGGCTTTGCCCTCATGACCTAATCATCTCCCAGTGGCCCCACCTCCAAATACCATCGCACTGGGGATTAGGATTTCAACATATGAATCTTGGAGGGACACAGTGGAAGCACATGTGGACTTTCTTTGCTCATTCCCAAGTTTTGGCTAGAGCTGGTAATCACAAATAATCTATAAGGATGATTTTTGATCACCCTTACCAAAAAACCCCAAAACCTTCTGTCCTTATATTTTTGGTTTGATTAATTTACATAAGTGCCATAAGAGATGTCAATTAAATTTATTGAGTATGGTCAGCAAATATAGTTATAGAGTACTGAGCAATTACTACAGACAAAAATTGGCATATGTCTAGCAATGGCAAACAGAAGCTAGAATTGCATTGTGAATAGCCTCTGGTATTCCAGTAATTTTCTTTTGTTCTTTTTCTTCTTATGGGTTATTCTATTCCAAGCTAGGAAATCAAACCTAAGAAATTGATCTCTGCCAGTTTCACATGCAGTGCCTCCACGTTTGGGTGAAATCCTCTCTCTAGATCCGTCAAATCTCTTAATGTTTCTGGCTGCCATGCAGTGACTTTCTTTACAGGTGACGACCTTGCAGGCTGTAGTACAGGTACCAGCGAGTGTCCTAGAAAGGTATTGTGTGGGATCTCCTGGCTGGAGGCTAGCTGGCTACAGCGTCAGGAAGAGCCTAAAGATTAGATTGTAAGAGAGAAAATAGAGGCCAGGCGTGGTGGCTCATGCCTGTAATTCCAGCACTTTGGGAGGCTAAGGTGGGTGGATCACTTGAGGTCAGGAGTTCGAGACCAGCCCGGCCAACATGGCGAAACCCCATCTCTACTGAAAATACAAAAATTAGCCAGGCATGGTGGTGCATGCCAGTAGTCCCAGCTACTCTACTTGGGAGGCTGAGGCAGGAGAATCCCTTGAACCAAGAGGCAGAGGTTGCAGTGAGCTGAGATCATGCCACTGCACTCCAAGCCTGGGCAACAGAGAAAGACTCTGTCTCCAAAAAAAAAAAAAAAAGAAGAAGAAGAAAAATAAAAGAAAATAGAAGCCATTTTCAAAGACCTACAGGTTTGGAAGACCTGGGTCTGAAACAGCTAGCCATTTGGTTCTTTAAAGATCCCTGAATGATGTGAGTTACTTGGGCGAGTGGGTCAGGACCCTGTTATGAGGCAGGTGATGGAAAAAATCCATTCACAATATTTTCTCTAGCAACAAGCCAGATATGGTGATCAGGGGACTGTGAAGTTTACCAAATGGGGGATGTCAGTCAAAAGAAAACATGGCATAGATTATCAGTATTCTGGCCAGGCCTCAGAGATGTGGCATAGCAGTATGTGAAAAAGGGATCTTGAGTTTATGTGGAAGGGCAAGTAGACTATGGTGAATATATGGATAAAAATAATGTGAGGTGGCAAGCAATGACTATCATAGCTGATAATATTATACTTCTAAGAGACCAGGCAAAAGAGAAGGCGTGGAATGGATGATTCTTCTTTGGCCATCATTTGGTACAGCCTCATTTCCAAATCATATATAATCTTTATAGTTCCCAATGACAAGAATTAAAATACTCTTATACATTAAAAGAAAAAAGGTTTGTGTGCATTAATCCCCACATGAGAAGCACAATCCTTATTCCTTAATGGTGAATTTGGCATACTTGATTAAATGACATTTATTTTTAAAGATGATAGTC
Source organism: Homo sapiens (assembly GCF_000001405.40). Classification (NCBI taxonomy): domain Eukaryota; kingdom Metazoa; phylum Chordata; class Mammalia; order Primates; family Hominidae; genus Homo; species Homo sapiens. The sequence goes on along the minus strand of NC_000010.11, from coordinate 29,890,819 downwards.
CAGGTATGACTTTAGTTGTATAATTATTTTGTCTGATTATATTCTGGTTAAAAAAAGAAGAGGTCAGATTCTTATCTGACCTATGTAGCTCAGATAAGATTATGTAACCTATGTAAACCAAAGAAGCTCAATAAACTTAGGGGTAACTAATTGAAAATTCTGTCATATCCAGATATTTTAGCAGGTCAGGTCAGCAAACCTTGTAAGCACAAATAATAGAATCCCCTGGAGCCTCATACATCCCTCTCACACTCTTATAAACAGCAGAAAGTGAACATGTGTGATAACAAAACCCAAAGGACTAGCTTCTCTATAATGTATAATAATAAGCAAAGATATGTCTACACATACACATACATTTAGGACTGGCTACATAGTTTGCAGGACTCAGCACAAAATAAAAATGCTAGCCCCTTGCTTAAAAGTTACATATATATGATTAAATAAAATGTATTTTTTAAAATGACATTTCATGTATAACCTTGGCTAAATAATTATTTTGTCTCATTATATCCTAGTAAAAAAGTCATTCTAAAATGTAGTTGGATGAATATTTCAGCAGTCTACTTTTTTTTATCTAAAAATTGTTGAGGTATCTGAAAATTGTCCATTAATTACCATGATTTAATATTAATTTTAAGTGAACTCAGATTTTGGGAAATTATATTTAAGCTGATACACTACAAAGAATTATTGTTGATATAAAAATTATCAGAACTCTATAGGATACAAAATAGTTGAAGACATAATTTTACATTTTCTTAATTTTAAACATTACATAGAAGTAATGAATGTTATTTTGTCTGATTAGTAAACGAGTAAAAAATATATATAGCTTGGAAAGTTTAGATTATAATTAGTCTCTTTATGAGAAAACAAATTCTAGTCTTCAAATAAGGTAAAATGTATGTTTGTATTATAATGTATTCCACTCTTATAAAATCTGGGAAAAGACATGTAGCTGTTTTTTTTTAGACCAGTTTGATTTGTTAAACAAATCTCCTTGCTTATATGAACTTGGATTCTTGTTTGTTTGTTTGTTGAGACAGAGTCTGGCTCTGTTGCCCAGGCTGGAATGCAGTGGTGTAATCATGGCTCGCTGCAATCTCCGCCTCCCAGGCTCAAGCAATCCTCCCACCTCAGCCTCCTGAGTAGCTGGAATTATAGGCATGCACCACCACACCTGGCTAATTTTTGTATTTTTAGTAGAGACAGGGTTTCGCCATGTTGGCCAAGCTGGTCTCAAACTCGAGGCCTTAAGCCATCTGCCCAGTGTGGCCTCCCGAAGTGCTGGGATTACAGGTGTGAGCCACTGCCCGGCCTGAAATTGGATTCTTAATTAAAGACTTCTGAACTTGCGGTTTATGTAAGACGGCCTTTTCATTTCTTTTTTATGCTTTGATTTAACTTTTCTTTTTTTATGTATATAAATTTATGGAGTGCAAGTACGATTTTGTTACATGTGCTATGGTCAATTAGGGGCTTTTCGGAAGTCGATCACCTGAATAATGTACATTGTAGCCATTAAGTAATTTTTCATCGTCCTTCCCCCCAACCCCTTCACCCTTCCCAATTTCCATTGTTCTTTTCCTTAGAAGACAAACAAAGTATTAAAATTTCCGTTTATTTATTTTCTAGAATTTCAGGGAATGTTAGGTATAGCTAAGCACTTAAAATTCTCTATAAACCCAGTGGAATAAATTCTGTAAGATAATTTATCATCTAAATTATTCATATCCTCCAGAATACATTTCACATGGACACAATGAAAGAGGTTGGTCTCATTTCCAGACCCACAGACCCACTGAGATCTTTTAATTGCTATTCCGCAGTCTGAGCTGAAGGTCCTAAGTAAGCACAAAAATAATAAAACTCAGTCTTCGAGATTTCGAAGAGCCATTCTCCTCTCTAGCAGGCATGAAATGCTTTCTTAATCTATGCGACTCCAAATAAACAAACAACAAAAAAGACTAACAATCAGATTCTCGCGTCATCCACCTAACTCAACAGACATCAAGTAGTTAAACCATAAAGCCAGACTCCCAGTCCCTGCTCTCAGTGAGGGGCATTCACTCAGCAAGCTGTGCACAAACTAGATTCACATCTAGTTTACAAAGGGGCTCCCTCAACTGTGCAGTAGAGACCAGACCACTGGCCAGATACCTATTCTTCCTGGACACAGCATGGCCCACACCATCAGTTTCTAATACACAGGGGGAATCTCAACTCTCAGTCAAGGTGGCTTTCCATCCAAGATGAGAAACAGACCTTTCAATCCCTGGAACCAGCTGCAGAAAGAGACTGCAAGTTATATGGACTGATGGACTTGGCCAAGGACCAGAAGCAAGAGCAAAAGCACAGCATCAGAATTTGAAACAGATCAACCCACAAAAAACCCAGAGAAACCAAGAGACAGCAAAGGTAGTGTTCTGTTAGTGCTTGGGACTCATTCTGGAACCAGGAAATGTTGTACCTGGATATCTGTAGCACGTGGGGCTGTTCTTGGGCAACACAATTTAATCAGCTCCGACAAGTGAACCTGTTTGGATCTTTCTGTGAGACAACAAGTTTCTGAAGTGTTAAAAACATGAATGCAGAAAAACAGAATAAACATCTGCCAAAGATTTATTTAACCCATTAATGAGGGAACAGCAGATGGAAAAGCTCAATCAGGAGCACTGAAAGTGCAAGTATTTGCAGCCATTGAGGAAAGAATATAGAATGACACAGCTACCAGGTTACATGTGAAAAGTTGGCTTATGTCCTGCCATAATCATACCTTTTGAAGTTATCTTTTTCTCCCAAACAGAAGTAATGTACATCTCTCTCTCCAGCACAAATCTCCAAGTAACTTCTGACTCTAGGTCTTTTTTTGTTATTTTCATTATTTTTTAATTGACACATAATAATTGTACATATTTACAGGGCACAATGTGATATTTTGAAATGTATTGTCGTAGTCTGTTTTGCATTTCTATAAAGGACTACCTGAGGCTGGGCAATTTGTAAAGAAAAGAGGTTTATTTGGTTTATGCTTCTTCTGGCTGTACAAGAACCATGGAGTCAGCATCTGCTTCTGGGGAGGCCTCAGGAAGCTTCCACTCATGGTGGAAGGTGAAGGGGAGCAGGCATCACACAGCAACCCAGAAAGGAAGCAAGAGAAAGAAGGAGGTGCAAAGCTCTTCTCAACAACCAGTTCTTGCGGGACTGCTTGAGAACTCACTCACTCCTACGAGAATGGCACCGAACCATTCATAAGGGATCTGCCCCCACGACCCAAACACCTCCACCAGGCCCTACCTCCAACATAGGGATCAAATTTCGCCATGATATTTGGAGGGGACAGACATCCAAACTGCATCACATGTATACAATGTGTAATAATCAAATCAGGATCTTTAGCACATCCAGAACCTCAAAACATGTATCATATTTTTGTGCTGGGAACATTCAGATCAGCTCTTCTAGCTATTTGAAAATATGCAATATGTTGTTAACCCCACTATGTAGTGCTGTAGAACACTAGAACTTATTACTCCAGGTCCTGATCAGTAGTAAATGGTGAGTCAAGCAAAGGCACAGGTAATGGAAGGATCCTTGGATGAGCGTTTTAGATCAAATCCAGCGTGACATTGAAGGGACATACATTTCTCCTTTTGCCTTGTTTTTGCATTTTTGGATAGCTACTCTTAGCAACATAGGCAGATGGTACAATTGGGAACATGGGGGATTTGAGCAGGTGAGTCTCTTATGGGAAGCAAGATGGCCGAGAAGGTACAGAAAGAATACTGGTGTCCTCATGTGAGTTCACATGGAAAAGGGGATCTGCATGGCCAAGAGCAATGAGGATTCCTTGAAGAGGAGTTGGGCTGTCAGGACTGGTGGAAAAGGTCGTAGCTGATTAGCACAGGGTTCCTCAGTCAGGTCATTCTTAACTGCCTGTGGAGTTTTCCTACCCCCATCTCCTTCCTCTCTGGTCTGAGCCGTTGGTGCAGCTCCCCACTCTTGGTGGAGACCCTGTGAGCCTTCCCATCTTTGAGGAGTGCTGTCCCCAGGATCTTTTCCCTGTGCATCTCTGCTTCCTGATTCTGTCCACACCTCTACCCTCACCACAGTACCTGGCCTCACCAACACAAGGTGACCATTCTGCAGTTCAAATTCACCAGCTCTGCAGTGGAGAGGTGACTCTCTCTCCTCCCCGACCCCATACCAGCTCACCCCCTGGCCTCCGCTATGCTATCTGCCTGCCTGTCTAACACTTTCTGTCTCAACTCAGGCCACAGCTCTCCATAAGGCTCTCTTTCTAACAATGCAAGGTCTGTTTCTTCCTCTTCCGAGCAAGGCCAGCTGCATTCCTCCACCAGCTGAGGCCTCTGGATTGTGGGTACCTCCCCTCTTAATAACTCCCTACATGGTGTGACCTTGTCCCATCTCTTCTCAGCTGTATCCCACTGCCCTGAAGTACTTTGCTTCCAGCTTCCCTGGGTTCTAAATCTTCCTTGGCTCTAAGCCTTGAGGCTGCCCCTCCACTCTGCTTTAAGACCACATCCCACTTTCTCAGAGCATTCTGACACATCCCAGATGGCCTGTGGGTTAGACCCCTTGTTCCCTGGGGTTATCTAGGACTTTGGACCACAGTGAGATTATCTTTGCAGCTGTAGCCTCCCCAGGTTTACTTCAAGGTCCCCCATGGCCCAAGGCTGGGGTGAGATTAAATGTAGAACACCCCCCTCCATGGGCCCCACATCCACCTGCATCTCAGGGCCCTCAGCCTCGATCCCTGGAATCAACTCCTCTTTGGACATTCTCCGAATCCCAGAACAGCCCCGCATGAGCCTCAAAACAGCCTTAAAATAAATCCAGGGTTTTTTCAATTTGCCTTTCTGATTTTTGGAATAGCCTGAGATATAATTAGTGGAGGTATTTGTGCCTATCCTTCAAAGCCTTTAGAAGAACCTATGTGAGCCAGAGCTCTGTTACCTGCTTTAACTTGCTTAGCAGGAACCAAAGAGGCAAATGTGAGAAGAAGGAGATGCCCTCTGGTTCCCTTCTGCCCTCCCAGGCATCCCCAGCTCTGCAGGCTCCTAGGGGCACTCTCAAGGACTGAGCTCTCACCAGCCTCATTAGCTCTAGCTCTGGGCAACATGGAAAGCCCAAGTGCCTAGTCAAGGGCCTGTGAGTCTTTCCTCTGACCTTTCCCTAAAGAATCCAGAGGCCCTGACCCTCTTCTTCCAGACGTAGAACCATGGAGCTGCTGCCTCCTCCTAAAGATAGAGCCGCTGCCTCCTCCTAAAGATAGAGCCAAAGACATAGAGCCAGGTACCCAGGGTTTGAGTCCAGGGCCCATTATCTACTGGCTGTAGGAATTTGAGCAAGTCACTCTCTTAGCTTTTTATCTCATCTACAGTTGTTAATACTACTATTCACTAGCAAAGACATGGAATCAACCTAAATGCCCATCAGTGATAGACTGGATAAAGAAAATGTGGTACATACACATCATGGAATACTATGCACCCATAAAAAAAGAACAAGATCATGTCCTTTGCAGGGACATGGATGGAGCTGGAGGCCATTATCCTTAGCGAACTAATACAGGAACAGAAAACCAAATACCGCATGTTCTCATTTATAAGTGGGAGATAAATGATGAGAACACATGGACACATAGAGGAGAACAAGACACAGTGGGGTTTACTGGAGGGTGGAGGGCAGGAGGAGGGAGAGAATCAGGAAAAATAACTAATGGGTACTAGACTTAATACCTGGGTGAGGAAATAATCTGTACAACAAACTCCCATGACACAAGTTTACCCATGTAACAAACCTGCACATGTACCCCTGAATTTAAAATAAAAGTCAAAAAAGACCCGTCATCTCACAGAGCTTTTCGGAGGACCAAAAGAGATCTAAATAATTTTCCCAACAATGAAACATCAAATAAAAGAATAAATGTTGCTGTTACCATCTATAGTAATAATATAGCAAAAAGTAATAGTAAAATTTCAGATGTGTGATTAATACACCTAACCGTAATAACACCTGTCATCATACACCTATCATAATAATAGATCTTTCTTAATGGCGTTTCCCAGTCTCCCTATAGACTATCTTTTCTTAACCTCATAGAGTAGGACACCATTTCCCCCATTTCTCTTGCCCAGGCAACGCATACATTACTACCTAAGGATTTTTTTTTTTTTTTTTTACCATCTTTTTCACCTTCTTCCAAAATTTCCTCCAAAGACTCACACCTTGAATTGCAGGGCAGTGTTGTGTACAATGGAGGCACACTTCACCGTCTGTCCATCTGTTCTGTCCAGCAAGCGGCAGACTAGCTAATCCTGCAGCTTTGATAGCTCCTTCCTAAGCCAGCTGGGCATTAATTCAGTTCCATAAACACCAGTGGCACATCCAAGGACACAGGCATTCTATGAGCAGTGGTTTCTGTGACATTTGCTAAGTGCTTGACAAAATTAAAATGATTTTGTTTCCCTTTTTCTTTTTCTTTTTTCTTTTTTCTTTTTGACAGGGTCTCGTTCTGCCACCCAGGCTGGAGTGCAGTGGTGCCATCTCGGCTCATTGCAACCTCTGCCTCCTGGATTCAAGCAATTCTTGTGCCTCAACCTCCCTAATAGCTGGGATTACAGGTGCCCACCACCACGCCTGGCTCATTTTTTTTGTATTTTTAGTAGAGACAGGGTTTCACCATGTTGGCCAGGCTGGTCTCCAATTCCTGACCTAAAATGATCTGCCTGCCTCTGCCTTCCAAAGTGCTGGGATTACAGGCGTGAGCCACCGTGCCCGGCCAGTTCCCTTTTTCAAGTGTAAGATTTTTCAGACTTTATTCCTTTAACACGCATTATAAATTTCCAAGTGGCAGATGTAGCATGCTGTTTCCCAAATTTAGCTAGCCATGGAACCCTTATTTCCCGCATGGCACCTCCTTGGGTTAGTGCCCTGTAGAGTGCCTTGTCTTCACCTAGCATGTGGAATCCGCACACAAAAACCCTTTCTCAAGGCATCCCAGCCCTGGGACAAGAGAAGAGCCCTTCCTGAAGCTTCTGTTATGGACAGCTCCTTCACTCCCTTCTCAGCCTTCTCCACATCAATCTTAAGCACTTTTCTGATCTTCTACTGGACAGCATTTCATCCCATAGAGGTTTCCTTCTACACACTGACTCCCTGGAGCCACTCAACGTGGTAGTGCTGTTAGCTCATAGAACCAAGGCCTTTGTCTTTCTCCCTCTCAGCATGGAACATACCTGGTCTACACGCAAGAGTGAGGGACTCAGCATGGGAGAGGCCTTCTTGGCCAATTTCAGCAAAACAGCCAGGGACGATGTGGCTAGAGCAGATGAATGGCCATGATTAAACCTGGCTGGGTGTGGTGGCTCACACCTGTCATCTCAGCATTTGGGAGGCTGAGGCTGGAGAATTGCTTGAGGCCAGGAGTGTGAAACCAGCTGGGCAATGTAGCAAGACCTTGTCTCTACTTTCAAAAAAAAAAAAAAAACAAGAAAAAAGATTAAGTCTACAAGTGTCTTCAGTACAAACTTCTCTAGAGAGAAGAAGTACAGGCCTCCAGGCCAGAGGCCCCCAAGTAACTCCCGAGACCAACCCAGAGGGGCCCCTCTTTGTTGACAAAAAAGGAGCGACTTATTATTCCTACTCCAGGCAAAGCAGGAATATACTCATGTCCTAGGTACAGGAAGGGAATTCCCCTTTGCCTTTGAGCCCACTTTAGGAATTTCAGATTCACTTGGGGATCTGTTTTTTGCCTTCAGTTTCATTCTTCACTTCAGCATTCATTTCAGCATGGGCTGGCTGTGGGCCACAAGCTTCACCAGAACCCAAGGCAAGGCTGCGAGGAAAACGTCCCTGGGGGAGCATGGTCGCGTGCTTGGAGGACCATGCTTGGAGGACTGTTGGAGGACATGGGACACATGCCTTCTTTGTTTTGTTTCCTGTAGGACACGTTCTAGGAGGACTGTTAGTTGGTGGGGGAAACAAAGCCCACTCAGGCCACCAAGGGCCGTTGTCCCTGCCTGAAGTATGCTAGGACCCCATGCCCAAAGGGCAGGCTTGCTGTGAACAGCCTGACTACCCTCTGCTGATAACCCGTGGTGGGGACAGAGACAATTCACTACTGTGAAGTTAAAAGAGCTTAAGTTTCAAGGCCTCTGCCCTGCACAGCCTCTTTCCTGTGCAGGGCCCTGTCCCTGGTTTCGCACTTGTAATTTAGTATTCTTTTCCAGATTCTCAGGTGGAATAAGGTTTGGCCCCAGAAATCCTGGATCCAGTCTTGGTGGATAAGAGGCACATGCCTCTCCAATGACATCACATTCTGTGGAAATTTACAGGACCAGAAGTGGGTTCTGAACTCAATGGAGTGCAAGAAAAGCTCCTAAGACCAGCTCTCAGGCTTGGTGCATTTGCAGAGAAAATGGCTTCCTAGGCAGATGCTGGAGTTTCTGGATCTGAATTGCTGAGATGGCCTCAGAGAAACTCCTGTAGACACCTGACAATGCACAGAGCCCAGGGGCCTTGAACCAAGCTGGGGGATGAGCCATTCTTTTTCTACTACGGTTCTTTTTCAGGAAAACTCTAGGGAACATCACGAGGCTTCTAGCCTTCTCAGTTTGTTACTAGACTGGCTATCTCCCCACCATGTTTGATTAATTTTTGTCTTTAAATCAGAGCAACTCCTCGTGGAGCTACTACATCAAGGCAAGTAGCAGATCGAGATGGAAGTCATAACCAATGTTCCCAACAACAAGACTTCCCAGCCCAGCAGCTGCTCTGTCTCAGGGCGGACTCAAGCCCTTCGGTTCCAACATTCCCATCAGTTTCAGGACCCCTTCTGTGTCCTGAAACTTCAAAGCAAAATGCTTCCTTTTCTCAGGATGGTCAGAAGTCACTGGATTCCCTTTAAAGTCCTCTAGAATCCCATTCTCCCACTTATTGCTTCTAAGATAAAACAGAGTGTTCCATTCTTTTGCTGTAAAGCATGTTGGACAAGAAAATCCAACTGAAGGCTTCATGGCTGTAATTTATTTGTGCTTTTTTTCTATCCCCTTGAGAAAAAAGAGAAAAAAAAAAAAGCACAGGCATTGCCCAACCGTGGACACAGCCTCATAAGAGTGCGATGTGTGTGCGGAGTAACAGTGCCTGGGAGACAGGCTGCGCACAGATAAGCCAAGCCAACACCCATAAAATAAAAGGGCAGCCCTAATGAAAGGGCAGACTTTGAAAGAGAAAACCTGAGGCCAAGCCCACTTGGTGGGAAACAGATGTGCCTATGACCTAAGATGAGATTTGTGAGCCTGACTTTCTCCCCCGCAGTTGCTGGCCACGTTCAAGGTAAGCCCCTTCTGGAGCCAGACAGCCGTGGGCTCGCTGCAACGGAGGGCTGTTCAGTCCAGCTTTCAGTCATCACTGGGTTGATCAGAAATTCCCTGCACTTGAGACACTAATACAAATGTTCTTCATTAAAAAAAAATACTAAACAGTGAACATGGAAGTGACCTCAGAGCCAGAACTTTGAGGGAACATTAAGATAAAGTATTTTACAAATGGGTCCTCCTCTGCCTTGGAGAAAAAGGAATTGATAACATTCTCGTTACCATTCAAGTTCTCTCCTTACAGAAAAGTACAAGGTTTATTGTATGACTTCTTCCCACACCCATCTGTCTCCTGTCCACTCCTTATCTAAGCAATGGGCCACATTCATCCCTCAGCTGTTCTCAGGCCACTAAGAGATGTAGGCTTCTTACTAAGTCAGTCCTGAAGGGTCTGGGACTTCCCTGCACACTGGTGAATGCGTGCCACTGCTGGCAGCTGTGACTGTATTTGAAAAGCGTAATTCTGGTTCATGTTCTCTTTACGACAGACTTTGTTTCCTTTTTTATTCCTTTTTTTTTTAGTGATAAGGTCTCACTCGGTCACCTAAGCTGAAGTGCAGTGGCACAATCACAGCTCACTGCAGCCTCGAACTCCTGGGCTCCATTGACTCTCCTGCCTCAGCCTCCCAAGTAGCTGGGACTGCAGGCATGAGTCACAATGCCCAGTTAATTTTTTCATTTTTTGTTGAGATGGGGTCTCACTATGTTGCCCAGGCTTGCCTTGAACTTCTGAGCTCAAGCAACCCTCCCATGTCAGCCAAAGTGCTAGGATTACAGGCAAGAGACATCGCACCTGGCCAAAATTATCTTTTGATAAGAATGCTGACATTCGCCTTGTTTTCTCCTGATATTGCATCGCTGAGATAAAGTCTGGGTCTCCATCTTGTCTCTATCCATGAGACAACAACATGTATGCTGAGTCTGCTGAAGTGGGGCTTGGTACATAGTCTGGGGTTGGCCTAAGCCCCCTTCCCTTTTTTCCTACTTTTTACCTTTGACCTTTTGTTTTCTTTGGACTAACATATTGTAGGTGCATGCTCTGAGGCAAGCACTGTGCTAAGTATTTCACATGCATTAGCTCATTGGGTGCTCCCACTGCCTTCCATGAGAGAAGCAGCCTTCTGAGGTCAGAGCGGGCCGAAGATGTGCAGCCTGACTTCTCACCCAGGTCTTTCCAAAGTCTAGGGCAAAGCTCTAAGTACTTCCTGCCCCTTGCTCAGCAATCGCCCTGCTTATAGCAGAAGAGAATAGAGTGTCTAGAAAGCATCACACAAGTCTCTTCTCTGGAGAGAATCTCACAATGTGAGTCCTGGAAGAGATTGCCAAGCCCCCAGAAGAGCACCACCCTCATTACACAACTGGAAAGAGTGAATGCCAAATTGCCTAGCTCGAGGTCAGCCAACTCATTAATTGAAGACAGAAAGATAATGTGGAAATCAAGCAATGTTACCATTTTGTGATGGCTTCAGACAAAGATTTTACAAGGAAGATGTTGGAAACCGCGAGTGAAGTTTGGGACTGGGCATTATATATGAATTGAGTTTTTCCCTGCATTCGACAGGGTGGAACACTTGACAGGTGACTATGGGTAAGCGAGAAATACCAAGAATAAAATAATTTACACATTTGGGATGCAAGAGGCTTTGTAAAGGGACCACAGAACATCATCCATTCCAGACCTTTGAGATGAAGTGGAGCCAGCCACTGTGTAGGAGGCTTTGGAGTGGGGGTGTAGACATAGATGTCACCTTTCAGGTCCAGGCTGATGGACATAAAGAGACTCGTACTTTCTGTCTTAAAATATAATCAACAGGCCTAGTAGAAGGAAGCAGGGCTCTTGGAAGGAATGGCTGCTTCCAAATCTAGGTGATTCCTGCTGTGATGGTGAATCAGGAGGGAAGGCTGCTATTGGTTAGCCTGGTGGCTTTTCCCATCTTGTCTCCTGTCCTACCTTGTGAACAGCTGAGGTGACAGTAGTCCCATCTTAACTCAAGGTTTGGATGCTTATTCACAGGACCTGACCTTTGACTTCTGGGTAACCCCATAGCATGGTTGACTGTGGCCAGAAACCAAAGGTATGTGTTGAGACCAGAATCAGCCTGGATCCTTTCTGTGGCATCATCAGATGGGACCACTCAGATCCCATCTTCTGTAATCCTGGCACCTCACAGCAAGGTTGCTTAAAGCCAAAGGAAGTTCTCTAGACACCCACAGAAGAAATCCATGAAGTCTAGAAGCCAGTTAGGTCATGGTCCTAATTCTGGGCATGGTGTCTTGATTTCAGTCAGGACTCCTCTCCTCCCTAGCTGATCCATGGATGGATCATTCCTTAAGATCAAGCTCAAGTTCTTCCCATCCTGGCTCCTGGACCTTTTGCTGATAAGCCAGCCACATACATCTGCCAGTCTTCAGCTCCTACAACAAACACTGTCTCCCTGAATTGCACTGGCCTCTAGCCTGAGCTAGCTGAAAACATAACTTATTTATTTATTATTATTTATTATTATTATTATTATTATTATTATTATTATTGGCCGATCTCATTCCTCTGCTTAAACTTGAAGCTCCCTGAGGACTGGGACTTGATGCACGTAATTCCTGGTGTGTCTTATGTTAATACCTAGCAATGCTGTGAAAGGTCCCTGAGGATGATTTGTCAATGGCAACGAAGCCATCTGTGCCGTGGTTCCTGCGTCTTGCAAGAGGAAGCTCATGAAACGGGTTGTAAAGTGTCTGTCTCTCCCTAGAACATTAGCACCTGCAAGGCAGAGAAGGCTTTTTATAGATGATGTGGCATCTGTGAGAAGAGCCACGCCTTGGTGGCAGTGCTGTTTGGGGCTGGCAAGTGGGGCCTGGGCTAAGGGAGGAACAGGAAGCGCTTTGACTCTACCGCAGGTCCCGAAATTCCTCTTGTCCTTCTTGCCTGTGGTTAGGAGAAGTCATTTACAGCCATGTCAGGCCATCTCCTTCTGGCTTCCGACTGGAACACGCAGGCCGACTGTCCCCAGGGGAAACCGAGATTGCTGCTGGGGCTGTCAGGGCAAAGCTTTTGTTCCTTTAATAAACCGTGTGGTGGATCTCAATCCTGCTGACATTTGTCGGGAAAACATTTCTTAAAAAGTCCCAGTCAAGAAGGAATGCCGGCTGGACTCGAGCCACTTCTGAAAACACAAGCATCTACACAAAGCCCTTGTATTGTTCCTGTCCTGTGACCTCATGGGTTGGTCACAGGCTGGTCTGGGGAGACCAGGCGCTGAGGGAATGGACTGGGCAGGTCACCAGTGGCCTCTGGCCTTGAAGGATGGCCTAAGTGGGTGCTCCAGTTTGGGAGGAAAAACATCTGAAATGTTCCCAGTACAGCTACATTAACATTATTTGGGTTTGTGGATGTGCAGTGAGCTCAGCGCTATGTTAGGTGACACAACTAAAAAAAATACTGATTAGTGCCAGGATAAGTATTTATGTGGCAGGGTTCCTTGGAGCATTCCTATGGAAAGAGACAGATGTAACCAAACATGGTCAAAAAAGGCTTGCGGAGTGTGTGAAGTCCACTAGGATAGTAAACTAAGTACAGGTGTGTGTGTGGTGGGGGAGAGGATGCATCCTAGGACCCGAGGATGGCATGAAATGTACAGGAGAAAATAGAGGCACTGTGTTGGGAGTACCGAGTCCTGTAAGAAGGTTTCACCAGCTGGGAACAGATGTGAGACCGGTAGCAGATGGGACTAGGAAGGCAGATTGTCTTCATAATGGGGCCTTGAATGCTAAGCAAAAGAGTGTGGTTCATAATCCCACAACCAAAAATGAACCGCTAGACGTTTTGGCAAGTGGGATGGAATGACAAGATTTTGGAGAGCTGACCCCCATGGAGGGGCCAGAGTTTCACAGCAGAGGGTTAGGGGCCTGCTGCCATGGTTCAGGCAGGACATTGGGAGAGCAGAGACACGCTGCCGGCCATGAGGAGGCTTAGCAAGGGAGAGGGACAGTAGAGGGGATCCATCTCGTAGTGGCCCTTCCTGCCTGGCAAATGTGTTTGCTCCTCATTCCAGGCAAATGAATTATCGGAAGAATGGTTCTAACAAAGCGTCACTTTAGTCTTGTTACTCTTCCATCAGGATCTGCCCCCACCCCCGGCTTCCCCGCTGCTGGCCGTAGAAAGCTCATATGCCTCAGCTTGCCTTCAAGGCCCACACGACAATGCTCATGCTTTGATAAAGCAGCAGAACTCTTGCTTCAAAGGAGATCTCACACAGAAACCCGAGATGCGGAGCAGATCACAGGAGAGCCACTATACTTGCCTCTAAACACAGCCCGGCAATCCTCCCGCTCCAATCGGCCCACCCTGCACACTTTGGTTTCCAATCCTTCACCCACCCTACCTCAGCCCCACCCGAGTAGCCTTAGAGACCCGTTGAAGAAAACCCCATGGCCTTAGGGAGCACAGTTTGAACCATTTCCCTACGAGGTCAGTTTCAGTCTGCCTTCTCTCCTGCTATTTTTCATCCCCATCAGAGCTCTCAACCCTCCACCCCAAACACACCTTGAACCTTGGCCTTCTGTTGTTATTGCTTGTCCTGAAGCCCTGACAAGATGTCCTGATAGCATCTCAAGGGCTTCCAGATGTCACTGGTCACCAGGCCAGCCCATGCCTCTCCCCTGCCACCATGTGCAGCAGCAGCAACCATGATTTACTGAACACTTAATATATCCATTTTATAGAGATCATCTCATTTAATCCTCAAACCAACGCACCCAGATAAGTATTATTATTTTCTCACTTTACAGAGCAAGAACTTAAGTATCAAGAGGTTAAGTAACATACTCCAGGTCACGCAGGTAGGAAGCTGCTGAACCAAGATCCAAACCCAGGCAGTCTGACTCAAGAAGCTCCATTCTCAGTCAGTTCCCTTTACAGCCTCCCCAAACATATACGTGTAGACTGGCTGATGGATTCATGAACTTTATGCCTGAGGGAATGCGGGTAACGAAAGAGAACCTTCACTCGTTCATCCAGCATACACGTATTGCATTCTTAGTATGCGACAAGCCCTGGGCCAGGCCCTGTGGAGATGGTGGTTGAGAGCGGTGGACACTACCCCTGTTCCTTTGGACCTTGAAGTTCAGGAAAAGAGGGCAAAGATGACTCTGAGTTCGCCAGTGTGAGTAATTCAGAGATGAAATGATAGCTCCATGGGGACAGACGTCAGGAGAGGGAGTCAACGTGGAGGCAGGAAATTGATCTTGGCAGGTGGTCTGTGGAGCTTCAGGTGCCAGGTTGAAGCAAATTTAACAAGTGGAATTGTTCAGAAGGTGATGGAAATACTGGCTGGGAACTGAGAGAGAGACAGTGTGGGAGATGTGGACTGGGGAATTGCATAAATAATGTTGACAGCTGAAGATAGGAGAATAAGCCAAGATTAACATGGAGAAAATTAAGTCTAGAGACAAGAGCCAAGCCTTGGAGAACACCCCAGAGAGAATGGACCCCCCTCGAGAGAAGACATGGCCACAGGGAGTGCAGGAAGCCCAGGCACTCGGGGGTCTGAAGGAGAGAAGGCGCTAACAGGGCCAAGGGTCTTGGGAAGAGCAACGAAAAAGAATACTGGAGAAGTTTCTTTGGTTGGCCTAAAGGAAGTTCTTGTGATTTCCAAGAGCACAGTTTCAGTAGAGGGGTGAGGGTAAATTACAGATTATAGGAGATTTAGGGAGAAAACGGGTGATGAGGAAAAGCCATTTACTAAATACACTTCACATGGAAAAGCTGGCATTACTAGGGAGCGAGAATGGGCAGTTAATGGAAAAAAAATGCCGAACAAAACCAGTTTTATGGATTATGTGACCTGGACCAAATATAAATATGTTCAAATGCGACAGTCCCTGGACTTAAAATAGAGTGGTAAAGCCAAGCCAGCTGAAAGAAGACCTCCAGAGGTGACCTCCCTGAATCCCAGAAGATCCACCCCAGATGAATGGTGGTCTCGTCTCTCTGTTTCCTGTTTGGGATCACGACTTCATTTGGTTCAGCAGATTCTTTCTTATTTTTATAATTAAAATTTTTTGAAATAAAAGAAACTACCCAGTTAATCCCCCAAATGTATTTTTTTCCTTGGGGAAACATTTACATTCTTAGGACCCCAAATGCTAAGCCAATAAAAGCAGCAGCAGAAACCATTTTTCATTATTATCCACAAAAAAGCAGAAGGAAGTGAAAGCCTCAAAGAATTTCAGTGTTTCGGGGGGAGAAAAAATGACTTTTTTGCCTTTGGATTTTTATCTTTTCTGCCACCATAATTTAGATAGACAAAGAACAGGCCTGGCAGTGAGGCCAGTCTCCATAAGGTCAAATAGCTGATTTCCCAGAGGACTTGAAGAAAAGATTATCAAGAGTATCTTTGTAAAAGCACAGCGAGCTCAGATCTGAGATCATGGGAGATCATAGGAGTGAGCTGTTTCTTGTTGAAAGCAATTGTTAAATTCAGCACCAGAGCGCATTAATTTGTGAATCATAGAGATACCGTTCTTCCTAGAAAACTCATCACCTACTGACCTCGGGTGCAATTCACGCCCAAATACTAAAGCAAAGGGCAAATCAGAAGAAGTGAAATAAGAAAAGCCTCAGGTCACAGCTACTCCGAGGAGAGGCTAAGGCAACTGGGTCATGCTGGCTTGAGAAAGAGGAAAGGGAAATGGAGAAAAGATAGGAATCACAGGAGTTAACTGCCGGCTCTTTGTGTTAGGAACAAGACAAGAAGGAATGGTTTAAACTCCCACATGAGGACTTTAGTTTGAGAATAAGAAAGAACTGTTGACCAATTGGTTTGTAAAACATGAAGTGTGTTCCTAAGGATCATTGAGATCATTTAGTTCAAATCCTACATCCTCCTACCTGAGCTTCAGCAAGTTAACTTAACTTTTCTGTGCCTCTGGGTTGGCTCATATCTATAATCCCAGCATTTTGGGAGGCAGAAGCAGGAAGATCACTTGAACCTAGGAGTTCAAGTCTAGCCAGGGCAACGTAGTGAGATCCCATCTCTACCAAAAATATAAAAAATTAGCAAGCATAGTACTGCATGCCTGTGGTCCCAGCTACTCAGGAAGCTGAGATAGGAGGATTACTTGAGCCTGGGAAGTTGAGGATGCAGTGAGCTTTGATCATGCTACTGCACTCCAGCCTGGGAGACAGAGCAAGTAACTTTCTTAAAAAAAAAAAGAGAGAGAGATTTCATAGTATCTCTCTGTTGTAAGAATTTTGAGTTTGTTCATATAAAGTGCTTAGCAGAGAAGCAGACATGACAAATGCTCAATGAATGTGAGCTCTTATCATCTGCATTGTGGTCATTGGTGGCATCATTACACCCAACAAGCACTCACCTCAACCCACACAGCCAAGTGTGAAAGAAATGTCACATATTTATTCTAAAACTGCATTCATTGTCTGTTTTGAGCCCCCCATTTGGAGGCATATTTATCCCAAGCAATTCAGAGTCACTTCCTTTCCTTGAGTGGGGGAGAGTTGGCTTCTGTAAGCCAAGGTGGTGGGGACGAGGAGAGTGGGCAGGTCTGGTCCTGGGGACATTGTCAGTCCATGTCAGCATCCTCTAAGAGCTGAATGCAGCCTCAGGCCTCAGTCTGCACAGATAGCTACCACTCTCCAGGGTTCCTCAGCCAAGCTCTCTCTCCCCTGCTTTCAGAGCCAGCTTGGGTTATGGCCATGGGACCCCTGAGAGGCTGGATAAACCCTGATGCGACTCAGGGCCTGAGCAGCCATTTCTGTCCGGGGATCTTGTTACCGCCCAGAGCTGGGCCGAGGAGTGGGAGACCCAGGATTCCTCTGTTGATTGATTTCCCCAGAACTTTTTTCCCCCTACCGGAGGCTTTGGCCCAGAGAGAGCAACACATGGGACCTCCCTTGGTTGAATCCTCAAAATCTATGAATACTCCTGACTTCTTTTCTGGCTGTCTATCCACTGTCAATTACAAGGACAGATGAGGGACTAAATGTTTGGTTAGTTCACAACATTATCCCACTGCACCCTGAATAAGTTACTCTTCCACTTCAGCCCCCGATGGAAGGCTCCTATTGGGCATGGTGGTCTTGCTGCTTCTCTCAAATAACTTCCTTCTGCCCGCACAGAAAAGCTGCAAGAGCTCCTCAAAAGAGCCCGTGGCTGTCATCTGTGTCCTTCTGCAAGGGCCCGCACAAAGGTTTGTGAAGCCAGCCATTTACCTTCGAGAGAGGGAATTTTGAGAGGCTTTCACGGGCAAACAAGCAAAGCATTCCACTCCCATCAAGTCTCACAACTAGGGTAACTTAGGGCTCAAAACATAGCTTAGTTTCATCCTATTAATATGTCTAAATAGCTTACAGAAAATACGGGTAGGAAAATAAGACGAAGCAGGAAGAGTTTACTCCACGTGCCAGGGATCCATACTTGCTACAAGACAACCCCAAAGGGGACCCACCTTTCTAATAGCCCAGGCAAAGGAAGTCACATCTCTCCCCAGCAGGGAGAGAAATTCCCACCATGGGTCTCAGGAGGGGGACACTGTGTAAGGCAGTGAATGAAATTTCAACCGTGTCCTTCCAGGAACAGATACAGTGAACTTCCCACATATAACACCCTGGGGGGAGTTGGACAGTTGGGGGAGGGGGTGAAAAAACCACCCTGGGTACAGACTGAGAGCATCTTGACAAAGGGAATTCATGTAAAAATCATTCCACAAGGGTCGGTATTGTCAACCCTGGCACACATCTCGCTGCTACTTAAATACATAATAAATAATCTAAATACACCTAAAAGAAAGTTTAGTAGATAGAGAAGAGAATAGACTACCTATTATTAGGGCAGTTCTTCCCAGATTGTTCCTTTCCAGTATCCAGTGAGTTCAGGTCAGAGTGACCAACTGTCCCATTTGCCCGGGACTGAAGACCTTCCCAGAATGTGGAATTTTCAGAGTTAAAGCCAGGATAGTCCCAGGGACACCAGGATGGTTGTTCACCCTAATTCAGGATGACAATGCATGGTACCTGGATCATAGCTCTTCTGTGTTGCTGGGTTTTTGTTTGTTTTGTTTGTTTGTTTGTTTGTTTGTTTGTTTGTTTTTAAGAGACTGGTGTTACTCTGTAGCCCAGGCTGGAGTGCAGTGGTACAATCACAGCTCACTGCAGCCTCCAATTCCTGGGCTCAAGTGTTCCTCCCACCTCAGCCTCCTGAGTTGCTGGGACCACACCCAGTACAGAAGGAGTCTTGCTATATTTCCCAGGCTGGTCTTGAACTCCTGGCTTCAAGTGGTCCTCCCGCCTCCTCCTGAAGTGCTGGGATTACAGGGGTAAATCACCCTGGCCAGCCCTGTGTTGCTGACTTTAAAAGTCGGACAAACCGAGGTAGGGAGGAACCCAAGAGGAAGTAGAGAGCTGCCAGATCTGTGCAGGGAAGGGGACTGAGAGAGTATGTGGCAGGGCCTGGATTCTCCTCCCGAAGTCTTCTCTCCTATAATGCACAGGTCAAGGCCCACAATATGCCTGGCCTGGTGCTTTGTCTGTTCCAGGTGCTCAGTCAATGCGAGGGTTCAAGTTGAATGGAAGTGACTTAGGGGAAAGCGTTCCTCAGCCTGTCCCAGCTCCTTTTGCTTCATCTTACCTTGAATCTTCAGCTTCTGTTCAGGGCTGAGCTGTGTGTCCTGGAGGCTGGGCCCCTAGAGATGGAGAAGCACAGTCCTCTTCTACAGGGACTGATGCTCTTCACCTGGCTGCCCAGATACTGAACTAAGTAACCTGCCCCCCCGCATCCTGCTCTGGGTAATGTTCTCACTGGGGCTCCCCTTTCCTGAGAAGAGACTGTGACCGGCATCTGGGGCTCTTTTCTTCTTAACATTATCACCTGTTTCGCATCTCAGCCACCTCAAGGACCCAGGGTGCCAGACTTATGGCACTGGGATTTTAGACAGAAATAACATCATCTTTGCCCATGGGGGTCTTGTGATGTAGTTGATCAAACAAATAGGTAAATTGGGAAATGTAGTCTTGTCAACTTTATTTTGGAGGCTTTAGAATTGATATACAAATTAAAGCAAAAATAAACAAACAAACCCACTCCCAGAACTCAGCTCTTAGACCAAAATTAAATCAAAATAATTTAGGCCTCTGAAAATTATCTCCCACTTCCTACCTCTGGCTCTCCTCCTTCACTTTCTGGGAAAGAGAAGCAAACAATCAAAGAAATAGATTCTCTAACTCCTGATTTATTTATCCTAAACCTATAGGTGGATCACTTACCTTTTCTGGGGCTGAGTTACTTTATCGATAAATACAAATAGTAATAACAACAGCAACAGATGGATTGATGAATGGATGGATGGGTGGTGGATGGATGAATGATAATAGATAAATGGATGGATGGTAGATGGGTGGATGGATGGTGGTAGATGGATGGATGAATAAATGGATGAATGGTAGGTGGATAGATGGTTATGGATGGATGTGTGGTGAATGGATGATTGGATAGTAGATGAATGGATGGATGGTAGATGGGTGGATAGATGAATGGATGGATGATAGATGAATGAATAGATGGAGGGATGGGTGGTAGATGGATGGGTGGTGAATGGATGATAGATGAATGGATGGATGGTAAATGGGAGGATAGATGTGAGTGGATGAATGATGAACAGATGGATGAATGGGTGATGGATGGTGGATGGTAGATGGATGGATGGGTGGATGGATTGGTGGTGGATGATAATTGGGTAGATAGATGGTTGGATGGGTGGTGGGTGGATGTGGATGGTAGATGAATGGATCGATGGTAGATGGGTGGTGGATGGATGAATGATGGACAGATGAATGAATGAGTGGATGGTAGATGGATGGACGGATGGATGGGTGGTGGATGGTAATTGGGTAGATAAATGGTGTTGGATGGGGGGTGGATGGATGTAGATGGTAGATGAATGGATAGATGGGAGATGGGTGGATGGATAGTGGATCGATGACGAATAGGTGTATGAATGGGTGGTGGGTGGATGATGGATGGATGGATGGATGGATGGATGGATGGATGGATGGATGGATGGTGGATGGTGGATGGTTAGACAGATGGTGGTTGGATGGGTGATGGATACATGAATGGGTGGTGGATGGTCAGATGAAGACACTGGGCCCAGCTATTACTCAGATACCTCTCTGAGGTAGATACAGCACTAACATTTGAAATGCATGCTATTGGCATAAATTGTGGTTGCTATTCTTCCAAATTAAACAGAGGGGTATCCACTGGGAGCAAAACAGACAAAAAATGGGTCCTCCAGGACCCTTTTAAATATCTGTGGAATGGAAGCAATGAAGTTATGTTTCTCCAAAATGAATTAATCTGTGAAGAGTTCCTTGAGAATCTTGGATTAAAATTGCTCTTTTAGAGCCAAGACTAACACATATCTTACATAAAAGTGAAAAGAATCTTTTCAGCTCCCCCCTCCCCAAATAGATTACTGTATCCAGTCAACAAAATCTTATCTTAAACCTCCAAAGAATTACATGAGCTCTCCTTAAATTTTACTCTTTAATTAAGAGACCAGTTTGAGGTTAGCCAGATCTGGGGCTTTGACGTAGCAGTCGCCAAACCTCAGCGACAGGCCTGGTTTCCATCTCTGTGATATTAATCTTTTGAAGGCCAAACATTCTCCTTAATAAAAGCATTTCATGTGCCTTACTCTTAGCAGATGCCTAATGACTGCTTAGAGAAGGAAAGAAGGAAAACCCAATGAATCTAAAGAATCGAGATAGACTGAGTTCCCTACACCAAATGGCTCACGTACGAAAGGAACCATTGTCTTCTAAAAACTGACCCTTGGTAAGATTTTGAAAGACTTGGGTTTTTCTTGTGATTTTGCTCAGAAGATGATTGTCTTATTTTCTTTTTAGTTGTTCAATTGGTAGGTCTAATTAATGCCATTCACTTTTTCCATGAGATCTGGGATTTAAATGTGCCTATGTGAATTTCATCCTTATGCCTCCATTTGAGTTAGTTCATGTTGTTGGGAATTCTGCAAAGTGAAAAGCTCTGGACAGGAGATTGGTATATTACTTGGGCTCTACTATTCTGAGCCATGAAATTCTATGCAAGATACTGAACTCTTCTTGGCCTCAGTTTCTCAGCCTCATCTCCCTTACCTGTAAAATGGAGATAATCCTATCCACCATACCCTCTAGGCATTGTAAAGAATGCATCTTGACCAAAGCTAATCGCAAGTGTAGCAGTCAATTATAGTTGGGGAAACAATAAGAAAAGTTATCTTGTTAAGAAGAAGAAATCATGATAAAGTAACATTTGCATTATTATATGAACATGGCTTTGAATGTCCAAAGTTAGTTTATAACCAAACTTCCCGTACTTAACAAATCCCTCTGATATTACCAGTGAGGCAAACATCAAGATAACTTACCCTCATATAAAAAATAAGACCAAAGCGGGGATACAGAGTTTGATAGAGAGTTTGTCTAAGGGGTGGACTCAGAGACCTTTGAGGTCCTTTTGAATGGGGACACTGAGATTCCAAGTTTTTGTTTTTTGTTTTGTTTTGTTTTTTGAGACAGAGTCTCGCTGTCTCCCAGGCTGGAGTTCAGTGGCGCAATCTCGGCTCACTGCAAGCTCCACTTCCCGGGTTCTCGCCATTCTCCTGCCTCGGCCTCCTGGGTAGCTGGGACTACAGGTGCCCGCCACCACACCTGGCTGATTTTTTGTGTTTTTAGTAGAGACGGGGTTTTACCATGTTAGCCAGGATGGTCTCGATCTCCTGACCTCGTGATACGCCCGCCTCAGCCTCCCAAAGTGCTGGGATTACAGGCGTGAGCTACCGCGCCTGGCCTGAGATTCCAAGTTTATTAATGAGTTTCCTCAGATCTGGGAATTCCTCATAATTTTTCAGTGCCCTATCTCTCCCTTTGGTCTTTGGTCTTTTTAGCATTATTTATATTATAAATTTAGCATTCTTTATGTTATAAATAAGGCTAAAAGTATAAGTTTCCAGTAACAGAAATGCTAGGGTCACATTAGTAGTCTTTTCTCAATTTCAGTTCTTTACAAAATATAGGGAAAAAAATAATTTATGACAATGAACGAACTAAGATTTATGGTGGTTGTTTTCATGAGAGTTGAGAGCATTAAAGAATCCATAAGCTTTGCTGCGGGAATGGTGGCTTACACCTGTCATCTCAGCACACTGGGAGGCCAAGGTGGGAGGATCATTTGAGGCCAGGAGTTTGAGGTCAGTTTGGGCAACACAGTGAGATCCTATCTCTACAAAAAAAGAAAAAAGAAAGAAAAGAAAAGAAAAAAAAATTACGTAGCTTCCAAAAAACAAGCTACTTTTGGGGAACATGAATGGAGCTGGAGGCTATTATCCTTAACAAGTTAAATGCAGAAACAGAAAACCAAATCCCACACGTTCTCATTTATAGGTGGGAGCTGAATGATGAGAACTTATGAACACAAAGAAGGGAACAGCAGAAACTGGGGCCTACTTGAGGGTAGAGGATGGGAGGAAGGAGAGGAGCAGAAAAAAATTAACTACTGGGTACTACACTTAGTACCTGTACCTGGGAAATGAAATAATTTATACAGCAAATCCCAGTGACACGAGTTTACCTATATAACAAACTTCACATGTCCCCCGAACCTAAAATAAAACTGAAAATAAAATAAATTAATTAATAAAATACAACAAAATAAAATGAAAAGGGAGCTTGCTGCTTTGAAAAAAACACCATGATAACCTCGAAGTCTATGTTCAAATTTAGAATTCTCGACTGTCTGGAATTCCGCAGTGGAGTATGGTGGTGTGGGGAGAGAAGGCCCTGGCTCCAGGCCTTTGTACCATAACTCACCCTCTGTTCTCTCATTCCCTCCATGTTGCGGGGAGACTCATACTCACCTATGTGGACATCCCAGCACACACATCCAAACTCCAGTCACCAGCACATGCAGGGGTGTGATCCAGAAAAAGGAAAGCTATGGCCCCTTAGCTCTGGGGACACCTTGTCCCAGGGGGAGGCACAAAATTGGATAAAGAGGCTTGGTGCAATGGCTCACACCTGTAATCCCAGCACTCTGGGAGGCTGAGGCAGGTGGATCATTTGAGGTCAGGAGTTCAAGACCAGCCTGGCCAACATGGTGAAACCCTGTCTCCACTAAAAATACAAAAATTAGCTGGGTGTGGTGGTGGCCGCCTGTAATCCCAGCTACTCAGGAGGCTGAGGCAGGAGAATCACTTGAACCCGAGAAGCGGAGGTTGCAGTGAGCCGAGATCATGACACTGCACTCCAGCCTGGGTGATAGAAGACTCCATATCAAAAAAAAAAAAAAAAAACCTCGATAAAGAGTCAGAGTTTATTTCCCTAGAGTGAAGGGCTGTAACAGAGTTTAGCAAACTGCAAAGTCTAATGGAACAGTCCCTTACTTCAGACAATAGTTGCAAGTTTGGGGGTCTTCAGGATCACCCTCAGATTCCACAAATCAGCCAGGCATGGTGGTGTGCACCTGTAGTTCCAGCTACTTGGGAGGCTAAGGTGGGAGGATCACTTGAGCCTGAGAGGTCAAGCCTTCAGTGACCTGTGATTGCACCACTGCACTCCAGCCTGGGCAACAGAGCAAAACTCTGTCTCAAATAATAAAAATGAAATTCTCCCCAGAGATGGCTGTGTACATTGCCTAGGTCAAGCATGCTACTTAGAGCAATTATATTTGCTTCCCAGGTACTTCTTCAGACACCACAGCCTGGCCTTAAAAAGACTGTTCTGAGTGTCACAAGCGCTATATAGGGACTCAAATACCAGCCAGATGATCCCTGACCCCAGAAACCTCTTCCATTCCAAAGACGCTTTGTCCACATCCTAATGGCCACAGGAGAGGCCCCAGCCCCTCTTTCAAAGTTTCTTGTGACTTCAGTGTGTGTTTATTAATAATGGCTCCTCTGAGCAAGCCTCCAGTGTCTCCAGCTCATTCATTCACAGTTCCCCTTGCTCCAGCTAGGATAGTAAAGCATTTGGAATCATGACATGTAAGGGAAGCTGAAGGAGCAAGACAAGAAAGTCTTAGTGGAAACAAGGTTTCTGATTTTAGAGATGAATGCTCCTATGAAAGAAATACCAGATTTATTGTTCATGACTTATTATTCCTGACCGGATTAGTATTCATGACATCCAAGGACTGATCTGGGACCCATGAGTGGACATAGAGGTAGATTCCTGGCTTGGTATGAGGAAGAACAGTCTGTTTAGCACCAGAATCGGCTGCCTCATGAGAGAGAGAGTTCCCCTGCATTCAAAGTGTGTGCAGGCAGAAGTAGTCTGTTTAACAAATTAACATTTGTTAATAGGACATCTTGCTTCCAATAGAGAGCTTGTCTAAGGGATGGACTCAGAGACGTCCGAGGCCCTTTCAAACGGGGGCACCAGGATTCCAAGTTTATTAACGAGTTTTCTCAGATCTGGGAATTCCCCATCATTTTTCAGGCCCTATCTCTCCCTTTGGTCTTTGCAGAAAGCCTGCAGTAAAAACACTTCACATTCCCCAGATATCATTCTCCCCACCCAGTTGAAAAGGTGAAAGTGACATACTTCAACCTGAGAGACTGCATTCTTATCAATACTGCTCAGGGCAGAAGTGTGTGAAGCCACTGAAGTCTGAAGTTCACATTTCCCTCTTTTCTCAGAAGCCCCTGCTTTTACAGAAACTTCTTTCTTCTCTTAGAACAAAGCAGTTTATTGAGCTCATGACATCTTCATCAATATATGAGAATATATAAAGATTAAATAGGGCCTGGGACATAATAAGTGCTCAATAAATCTTTGTTGAAAGAATCAATAAATACATTTTAAAAGCAAGAGAAGAAACAGGACAACGCTCAACCCAAAAGGCAACTATCTTAGCTGTCCCAGGCCCATCTGTACGATAGGATGAATATACTAACGGTGCTTTGCTCTTGGGTTAGTCTGTGGATTGGATAATATAATGAATGTAACATGCTTAGCAGAGTGTTTGGCACATATTCAAGGCTTACCAAATGCTGAGGCTGGGTGTGGTGGCTCACGCCTGTAATCCCAGCACTTTGGGAGGCCGAGGCAGGCACATAGCTTGAGCCCAGGAGTTCAAGACCAGCATGGGCAACATGGCGAAACTCTGTCTTTACAAAAAAATTTTAAAAAATTAGCCAGGTGTGGTGGCAGATGCCTGTGGTCCTAGCTACTCAGGAGGCTAAGGTGGGAGGATCACCTGAGCCCAGGAGGAAGAGGTTGCAGTGAGCTGTGATCACGTCACTACATTCCAGCCGGGGTGACAGAGCAAGATGCTGTCTTAGAAAAAATAAAATAAAAGTAAATTCGCGCAAGTTCTCTTCTCTGTTGTTATAATTATTATTATTATTGTTGCTTTAAACAATGTGATCTGAAACAGGGTGGACAAGGGAAAGAGCTGTTCGGGATTAGAACAGGGCTTCTTCCTGGCTATCCCCCCCACCTTTTTTTTTTTTTTTTTTTGAAATGGAGTTTTTCCCTTGTTGCCCAGGCTGGAGTACAACGGAGTAATCTCGGCTCACTGCAACCTCCACCTCCCAGGTTCAAGTGATTCTCCTGCCTCAGCCTCCCAAGTAGCTGGGATCACAGGTGGCAGCCACCATGCCCAGCTAATTTTTGTATTTTTACTAGACACGGGTTTTCACCATGTTGGCCAGGCTGGCCTTGAACTCCTGACCTCAGGTGTTCCTCCTGCCTCGGCCTCCCAAAGTGCTGGTTACCCCTTTTATCGCATCACACCACGTCTTATCACATCATCTGGGATTGGCAAACTATTTCATGCAGATTTTAAGGAGAGAAAAACAGACCCTCACTTGGCAGAGGGGTGCATTTTCTTGCTTCAGAGGGTTGGATTGCCGAGAGAACCAGGGACTTGTGCTCATTGCCTTGGTAATTACAGAACCCTCTGTAAGATGGTAGATGTCAGAATTACAGATGCAAATGAGCCCTGGGCTTCAGAGGAAGTTAAGGGTAGTCTGAGATTTTATATTGGGAACGTCTGTTGGAAAATGTCATAAAAGAATGAGTCTATGATTTAAATTTTCAAAAGTACTTACCAACAGGTGGGAGAATTTGTGAAAACCAAAACATATATGTTTTTTTAAAATCTTGTCGATTCAGGCTATGTGTGCTGCCAGTCACTCCTGGGGGTTGGGGCAGACCAGGCCCACTGCTACCTCATCTTCCTTCTAGCCTGAGCTTCTGTTGATGTCATCCCTGTCGGACCCTGGATGAGAAAGAAAACGGGAACAACACGAGGAAGACGAGACATCTTCCCCAGTGAGAAATCTGCAAGTGTGCCATTTTAGAGTTCGTGGTAACATCTTTTCTTTGTTCTTTTTTTTAATTTAATTTAATTAATTTTTTTTTTTTTTTTGAGACGGAGTCTCACTCTTGTTGCCCAGACTGGAGTGCAATACCATAATCTCGGCTCACTGCAACCTCCGCCTCCTGGATTAAAGCAATTCTCCTGTCTCAGCCTCCTGAGTAGCTGGGATTACAGGCACCCACCACCACGCCTGGCTAATTTTTGTATTTTTAGTAGAGACGGGGTTTCACCATATGGGCCAGGCTGGTCTTGAACTCCTGACCTCAGATGATCCGCCCACCTCAGACTCCCAAAGTGCTGGGATTGCAGGCATGAGCCACCGCACCCAGTCATCTTTTCTTTGTTCTAACAGTTCTAGCAAAGCACTGTTCCTCTCTGCAAGCAGGGAAACTCCTAGAGTACTAGGCTATGTTTGGGAGGCCAAGGTGGGAGGATCAATCTGGGTCAGGAGTTTGAGACCAGTCTGAGCAACAGAGAGAGATCCTCCCCATCTCTTCAAAAAATACAAAATTATCTGGGCATGGTGTTGCACACCTGTAGTGCCAGCTGAAGG
Source organism: Homo sapiens (assembly GCF_000001405.40). NCBI lineage: Eukaryota > Metazoa > Chordata > Mammalia > Primates > Hominidae > Homo > Homo sapiens. The sequence goes on along the minus strand of NC_000010.11, from coordinate 29,863,466 downwards.
AGGGACTAAGGCAGGAGGCAGGAGGATCACCTGAGCCCAGGAGCTCAAGACTGCAGTGAGCCACGATTGCACCACACTCCAGCCTGGGCAACAGAGCAAGACCCTGTCGAGAAGGAAAGGAGAGGAGAGGAGAGGAGAAGATTTAATGTAGGGTCGAATGATTTATTATCATTTAATTTTTAAAAAGACAAAGGTTAAAAGAGATTCTATTGTTCAGTATGATTCACTTGCTAAGTGTTGTGAAGGGCCTGTAATTCAGGTCCCTAATGACCCATGAAACCAAATGCCCTGGTGAGTCAACCTCAAAAATTACCTAGTCATCTGATAAGTATTAAGCACAAACAAAAAACACTTGTTAAAAGCTGCAGACAGTATCAATGTGTATTATTAGCCAGTTATAACTCAAGCCTTTAAAACCAGGCAAGTCACAATAGGCTCTTCAAACACCTTTCTGACATAACTAAGGCAATCAGCCCATTGCGCCATAACCAGAAGACAATATCTAATGGCAATTGCCATGTATAGTGTGAAGGCCTTTCCTTGTGGATTCAGAATGGAGCATGGACCACAATTCTCAGAAGCGACTTCTAGAGAGGTAAACTATGTTCTTCCCATTCCTCAGATAGAGAAAGATCAAAGCATGTATATAAGTAATTTGCTTATTTTCAGACTATGTTACATAATTAAACTATATCCCAGGGCAGATCCTGCATGATAACTTTTGTGGGGGGAGTGGGGGACAGAGTCTCACTGTCATCTAGGCTTGAGTGCAGTGGTGCGATCTCTACTCACTGCAACCTCCACCTCCCGGGTTCAAGCGATTCTCATTCCTCAGCCTTCTGAGTAGCTGGAATTACAGGCGCGTGCCACCACGCCTGGCTATATAGTCACCTTTTATTAGGTGTAGGAAGTCATAACCTTATTGTTCCAGAAGACAGAAGTTGTCTTTTTTTACCTGAATTTCCCAAAGATTGCTTCTCAGAAACGACTGCTTTAATAGTCCCCAATTGGTGTGAATGGAATAGTTAATTAAAATTCTATGATGAAGTGCATTAGAATTTGCAATAAGCCTCTTGCCTTTTATTCACTCCAGATGACTGCCTTCTGACATCATTGTTTTTTTTCTTCTAGATGTTGGGTGTAATGCCAGCCATTGTTACAATAGGACATTGCATTTTATACCTGAGATCACTGACTGGTTGTCATCAGATAGAATCATGTAGTCCCCTGTTGTACAAACAGAACATTCTGATGACTATTCATTAAGTGAAATATAATGGAACACTTAAAGTGACCCCAAGATTAAACCCTTATTTGGGGTTTGTCTAATGACTAATGGTCACTACCACCAGTTTGGAGACATTACAACAAAACTCTGCTGCTGACAAAAATATTAACCATAAATGATGAGAAATTTTCAGTTGGGACCAAAAGAACATCTGGAGGCCATTAAAGCAGGAGAATTTTCCCTCTATGTCCTGATTGCCAAACTTAGAACCAACCACCCAGAAACTGTGGCCCTCATGCTAACTCAATGTTTATATTTCATTAAAAACGATTTCAAGGGTTTGCGTCTTGCACTTCATGGCCCAACTCCCATGCATACAGCTTTTCATCTCACTGAGCATGTCCTGGAGCAGACGAGCATTCCTCACCTCTTGGTTTCAGAAGAAGGAGCTTCTTGGGGAATAATTCCAGGTTCTTTTTTTGCATCTATAATCTAATCAAGAATCTGTAGGTCCTACCATCCTAGGATAAATGAGGAGAAGAAAACAAGGATGCAAGACCCAACAATAAAAATATTAGAATTTTAAAAATACTATACTAGAGTTTGCTTTTAAATACCTAGTAAAGCTACAATAAGTCATGAAATTGATGAATGGAAAGTTATATAATTTCAGCTGTATATTAGTTGCTTTTTGCTGCTATAACAAATCACCACAAACTTTGTGACTTAAGACAGATGTAGCCAGGCACGGTGGCTCATGCCTGTAATCCCAGCACTTTAGAAGGCTGAGGCAGGCGGATCACCTGAGGTCAGGCATTCAAGACCAGCCTGGCCAAGATGATGAAACCTCATCTCTACTATAAATACAAAAATTAGCTGGGCATGGTGGCACCTATAATTCCAGCTACTCGGGCGGCTAAGGCAGGAGAATCAGTGAGTCGAGATCACACCACTGCACTCCAGCCTGGGCAACAGAGCAAGACTCCATCTCAAAAAAGGAAAAAACAAAACAAGACGGATATATTACCTTACAGTTCTTGAAGTTAGAAGTCCAACACAGGTTGCACTGGACTAAAATCAGGGCATCAGCTGGGCTGCATTCCTTTCTGGAGGTTCTAGGGGGAAATCTATTTCTTTGTCTTTTAGCTCCTTGCAGCTGCTCCATTCCTTTGTTTATGGCCTATTCTCCATTTTCAAAGCCAGCAAAGTTGCATCTTTTTAACTTTTCTTCTGCAGGAATATCGCCTTCCAACTATGGCAAGAAAAGGTTGTCTGATTTTGAAGATTTGTGTGATTCATTTAGGCCCACTAAAATAATCCAAGATAATCTTCCCATCTCAAGATTCTTAATTTAATCACATCTGCAAAGTTCCTTACAAAAGCAACATATTCACAAATTGCAGGGATTAGGACGTGGACATCTTTGGGGGATCCATATTCTGCCTATCACAAGCTATTTCCAGACTCCAAGTAGTAAAGAGAGTTGAAATTCAAAAGCTCATCAGTCACCTTTTTTCACTGTCATTCCTTTTAGCATTGAGTTTTACCTTAGGAAATAGGACAGATGTTTTCAATACCTAAAACCTTAAACATAGAACAATTTTACAAATGTCATGAAACCAGAATGAATCTCTTGGCTGAAAGTTTTTCAATTTTCAAAGAACTAATTTTAATTTTACTAGTAAATTTGAAATGGATCCAGCTTGCCTGCTGTACTTTTATATGAGACACTAAATCACGGTTCTTTGGAAACGGCAACATTGAAAGCATAAACTGTCATTTTCCCAGAATGTGTGGAAGGGCGGATGTGGTTGATATAATGTGTTTCTTAACACATCTTTTCACCCTGAGCTCACTCCCACCATGTGTTTATATGCACTGCAGGGCATACAGCAGCCTTGGTCGGTGCACGTGTTCGCAAGTAGTTTCGCCTATTTCTCAAGCATATATTCCTACGGGTGCCTAGCAAATGCCTTAGCTGAGGACAAGGTGTCCAAGGAATAAGTACTTGCTGCTGTTTTCCAACACACACCACAATTTCGGCTGATTCTCAGCAAAGGGCATTTCTTCTACTCTGGGATCTGTGAATTTGCTCATGGTTTTTAACAACCTGCAGCCCGGCTCAAGTCATAGTCTGGATCCCAATTTGAAATTAGCTACATTTTATTAGTAAGTGTCCAGAAATGGCTTGGCGGGTCATTTTCTGTCTTGTAAAATGTGGTTCTTATTGGCAGTAACATGCTTTTTGGGCACTGACTCATGTTCTCTCTTCAAGCAAATGATTCCTTCAGGAGGCACACGCTATATCTAGGTTTGCTGTGTGCAACACATCAGATCCTGGCCATAGGGTGACTTAGCAAAGGTACAGGCAGTTTATTGCACACCTATGTACACTTCAGGTCCCGTGCTAAGAGTTTTAAGGGCATTATCTCATTTAACTTTACAAAACCCTGTAAGATAGAATCTGTTAATCATCCCATTTTCAGACGATGAAAGCAAGATTTAAAATGACTTGCACAACCTCATGAAACCGACATGCTTGGGCTGGACTATATTGAGACTAGGTGAGGTGAGTGAGCACTCAGTTTGGTGCAAAATGTAAAGGAAAGCCAAAAGGCTCAGTAAGCAAGGTAAAGGATATTTCAGTGCAATTTTTTAAAAATGCAAAATTAGTGAAAACATTCCATAGTAAAATATTAAAATGTGAAAAAAAGACAGACTCTGACCTTATACTGGGACTCAGCCTTAATCACCTGACTCTAATCCTGGCCCTGCTGAATCCTGTCCCTTCCCTGGCTGGAATTTGAACCCAAGGCTGGCTGAGGCTGAAGCCCATGTTTGTACCCACTACTCTATAGGATGCATCTGCCTCCTCTGCCAGCAGGGCAGCTGGGAGGTACTTAAAATGCTTTTCAACAATGATGACAGGCTGGGTGCAGTGGTTCATGCCTGTAATCCCAGCACTTTGGGAGGCCGAGGTGGGAGGATTATTTCAGGCCAGAAATTTGAGACCAGCCTGGGCAACATAGCAAGACCCAGTTTCTAAAAAAAAAAAAAAAAAAAAAAAATGTAATTAGCCAGGCACGGGGGCATGCACCAGTAGTCCCAGCTACTCAGGAGGCTGAGGTGGGAGGATACTTGGAGCTCAAGAGCTGGAGGCTCCAGTGAGCTCCACTGCACTCCAGCAGTGATTGCTCCACTGCACTCCAGCCTGGGCAACACAGCAAGACCCTGTCTCTAAAAGAAAACAAACAAAAAAAACAAAACCAAAAAAATAATGATGAAAACAGAGCTGATCCTCTCTGCTACCCATCCCTGTGAAAGGTACATTGCAGCAGGACTAAGAGTGGCATCAGTGATGGTGAGAAGTCATGTGAAGTAGCCTCTGATCCTTATATCAGCCAAGGAAACTCTTGGTAGAGTGAGTCCTAGTTTAGGGAGAGGGACTTTTCCCTGAGCAAATCAGTAGTAATCAGTCTGTGAGTAGATTTGCTTTAGTGCAAGTGCCGTGACTCAGTTCAGATGGACCCAGGGCCCCCTGGCAACTAAACTATTCCCGAGTGATTTTGTGACTTCTTCCTCCCTGCCCAGCTGGCCCCCTGCAGGTGGCACTGTGGACTCAAGGCCTCTGTTCCTCCTAAAATAGAAATTCCTTTGCACAAGTCGATTGGAAAGCCAGCGTCCTGTTTAACTTCTTGTCTCCTGCAATTTGAGCAGCTGTCGAGCCGCTGCCAAACAATGCCCACAGCTCTTTTGAGTGCATCTCTCACTGCAGCCCTGCCTGTCCAGCTTCCACGGCTGTGGAGGGGACGCACGAACCACACTTCTGTCAAAGAGGGTACTCCATAAAGTTGTCATTCCTCCTGCCTCTTTCTCCTTTCCCAGCCAGATCTGAACTTCATATTATATTACTTCTTGTAGCATCTTCTTGTATATCTCAGTTTAAACTTTTGGCCATAACTTCGGTACCCAAGCTTTAAAAAACATGTTGCTTTCCTTAAATGTCATCTTGAAATTGAGCAGGATGCTTTGCTCTGAGGAAGCCGTCCTTTTCCTGGGATCCACAGTGATATCTGTCTACCCTCTGAGCTCTCCCTGGGCTCAGGGTACTTGCTCTACTTCATGTTCAACTCAAAGTCACTTTCTCTGTTGGACATTTTAGTTGTTCCAGTTCACAAATGGATTGTGCAATTTTTTTTACTTTTTAAGAATTCTTGCTTTTTCTTCCTCTACTTTTTAAAAATTTTCTTTAGAGACTAGGTCTTGCAATATTTCCCAGGCTGGTCTTGAACTCCTGGCCTCAAGCGATCCTCCCACCTTAGCCTCCCAAAGTGCTGGGGTTACAGGTGTGAGCCACTGAGCCTGGATTTCCTCTTTCTTCTTAAGACACAAACATAATTTTCTCTATGTTTTCTTCTGCTAAGAGTATTAACAAATATATTCTTCCTTTATCAACAACAAATACATGTCTGTCACAGCCCAGGCTCCATATCATCTCATGGATTTTCCTTACTCTCTGAGAGTTCGGCTGAGACTCTTCCCAAAAATTCCTCTGAACTTAGCTATTTGCTCTAGTCAAGGGGGATCTGGGTAGTTGAAAAAAAGAATGTCTTAATCTGTCCTGGAGACAGCTGAGTTTAATAACAACAATCAAAAAGGAGAATATTCTTCTCTGAAGACAACTGAACAATCGTTCCAGCAAATACCATTATATTTTATTAAAAAATAAGACATGAAATGTAGGTAAGGAATGGAGGTACTCATATTTCCAGACTGCATTTTCAATTAGCGTTTTCTTTTTTTCTTCTTTTTTTTTTTTTTTTTTTGAGACAGAGTCTTGCTCTGTCACCCAGGCTGGAGTGCAGTGGCACAATCTCAGCTCACTGCAACCTCTGCCTTCCAGGTTCAAGCAATTGTCCTGTCTCAGCCTCCCAAGTAGCTGGGACTATAGGTGCATGCCACCACGTCCAGCTAAGTTTTATATTTTTAGTAGAGACAGGGTTTCACCATATTAGTCAGGCTGGTCTTGAACTCCTGCCTTGGCCTCCCAAAGTGCTGGGATTATAGGCATGAGCCACAGTGCCTGGCCTCAATTAGCATTTTCTGAAGACTACTTTATTGATGTTTCTAATGAAACAATAATAATACTCAAACAGAACATCTGAAAAACTCAGAAGAGCATTCTAAAAAAACAGTTACAAAACCAACCATCCAAGGTAACAACTGACAACATATGTTTTTTGGTTTTTTTTTTTTGAGACGGAGTCTTGCTCTGTCGCCTAGGCAGTGGTGCGATCTCGGCTCACTGCAAGCTCCGCCTCCCACATTTAAGCAATTCTCCTGCCTCAGCCTCCTGAGTAGCTGAAACTACAGGCACGTGACACCATACCCGGCTAATTTTTGTATTTTTAGTAGAGACTGGGTTTCACCATGTTGGCCAGGATGGTCTCGATCTCCTGACCTCGTGATCCACCTGCCTCGGCCTCCCGAAGTGCTGGGATTATAGGCGTGAGCCACCCCGCCCAGCCAACAACATATGTTTTAAAGTAAACTCTTTCAGTATTTTTCCCTACACATCTGAAAAATGTATGTATTTTTAATCTGAAATTAACTCTTACTTTTCCTACTACAGTATTTTCTGTTCTGGTTAACATGAACGTAAATGTAAGTTAATGATTACATTCTCTCATATGAATACACTTTCTCAAATATTTGCCAAGTTGCCTCCAAATTTTGCTGTCGTAAGCAATGCTTTCATGAACTTCCATATATACGTCTTTGAGCACAGTTTTTAATTCCTCTGGAATAAAGTCCTAAGAATCAAAATGCTGGCCAAATAAATATGCAGTTTATAAAGTTTTTAATAATATAGTAACAAGTTGTCCTAAAAAGAAAATTATGCTAATCAACACTTTCACACTATGGTGTAAAATCACCAGAGAAATGAGCCTTCCACCAAAGGAACCTCAGTTAAGAATGAGAAAATTTGGCCAGGCACAGTGGTTCATGGCTATAATCTTAGCACTTTGAGAGACCAAGGTGGGCAGACTACTTGAGCTCAGGAGTTTGAGACCAGCCTGGGCAACATGGTGAAACCCAGTCTCTACAAAAAATACAAAAAATTAGCCGGGTGTGGTGGCATGCACCTGTAGTCCCAGCTACTCAGGAGGCTGAGGCAGGAGAATCGCTTGAACCTGGGAGGTGGAGGTTGCAGTGAGCTGAGATTGTGCCACTGCACTCCAGCCTGGGTGACAGATTGAGACTCAGTCTCAAAAAAAAAAAAAAAAATTACCCAGGCATGGGGCATACGCCTGTGGTCCCAGCTACTTGGGAGGCTGAGGTGGGAGGATCACTTGAGCCCAGCAAAAGGTGGAGGCTTCAGTGAGCCGTGATCACACCACTGCACTCCAGCCTGGGCAACAGAGTGAGACCTTGCCTCAAAAAAAAAAAAAAAAAAAAAAAAGTCCAGGCACAGTGGCTCATGTTTGCAATCCCAGCACTTTAGGAGGCCAAGGCAGGAGGATCACCTGAAGTCAGGAGTTTGAGAACAGCCTTGCCAACATGGTGAAACCCCATCTCTACTAAAAATACAGAAACGTTATCCAGGCGTGGTGGTGCACGCCTGTAGTCTCAGCTACTCGGAAGGCTGAGACATGAGAATCACTTGAATCCAGGCGACAGAGGTTTCAGTGAGCCAAGATTGCGCCACTGCACTCCAGCCTGGGTGACAGAGCAAGACTGTGTCTCAGTTAAAAAAAAAAAGAAAGAGAGAGAGAGAGAAATTTTTTTCTGAGAGCATCAGAAGAAATTCATCAGTGAAAAGGATTATTGAGAAAGGCCATCTAATCTTTATCTTTATCCAGCCTTAGTGATTATACACCAGGATCCTCTGGTGAGCTTTTAAAACCCCCCACCCCTGGAGATTCTGATTTTATTAGTCTTGGGTGTGGCCTGAGCATGGTACTATCTTAGAGCTTCCCAGATAGTTTTAATGTCAGCCAAGGTTGAAAGCCACCAAGCAAAAGCATGTTTTAAGTGGAAGAAATTTCCAGAAGTTTGGTGAGGTTCAGGTGTGTGTCTGCTCAAGGGATGACCTGAACAAGTTCTTGTTTTTTCCCTTAATTCTTTGACTTTATGAAAAATATTTCTGAGAAAACTTTGACAATTTATAAACCTCTGAAAATAAATCATAAAAATGTCCAAGTTAGGTTCTTTTCGTGGTGTTCAGATGACCGAAAAATGAGAGACTTAGAGGCATCAGTAAGTTTGCAGTCAGAGAGAAGAAAGTCACACTGCAGGGATGGCTTCACAGTTGTAACTTGGCCAAAGGTGGAGAAAGTCCCTTTCTGGACACAGACGAAGACAGGGCAGTATGGAAGAAGGAGAAAGGGCGTGGCTTTGGGGTCACACAGACCTATGGTTGAATTCAAGTTCTGTTATTTATTAATGTGTGGCCTGGAACAAATTCTTAACTTTTCTGGGTCTCAGTATTTTAGTTTTTTAATCTATAAAATAGCAACTATATAGCAACTTTCTCATAGGGTGGTCATGAAGGTTATAGTGGGATAATGTATGTATGATTCCTAAACACTGGTCAAAGATAACTGCATTTTTTAAAACTGATACCAGCAGTTCTTCATACATGGCCTTTGCAGCATACTTACTTCTTGATTTGCTTTCACTATAAGGGACCCACCTATCCTAACTATACTCCAAGTTAGGGCAGGTGGATTCTAAGACCAGCCCTGCCACTCCCCAGAGGCATGACTTTGGGCAAGTCACAGCTTTGCAGAGCCACAATTTAAGCCTTGTTTAAACACTTGGAAGCCTCTCCTAACTTCAAAAATCTCTAAAGGAGATCTTTTTCCTTGCTTGGAATTTTTGATATTCAAATTAAATACATCACGAGAACATCTCATATCATGATTTTTAAGAGCTGTAATTTATAGTGCCTATTATGTGCATATGCATGTGATAGCATTTAAAGTTCCCAACAACTATGGGTAGTACAGGGTAGTCGATATTCCTATCCTCAGTAATGCGTGAGGGAACAGATTCAAAGGAAAATAATTTATCCAAAGGTACACAGTTGATACATTGCACAACTGAAATTTGAACTTGATTCCAAAGCTCTTGGTCTCAACATGCCTGATTCCAGAGCACTGCTGGTTGTTAAAACAGCCCCGATTATGCAAAGGTAAACCCTTCCATTTGAGGACCATGCAAGCTTTTTCATTTTCCTCTTCTTTCCCACTTCCCAAATTCTCGCAATTGTTTTGACTCAATAACTCCCCACCCAGAGTTTTGGCAGGAATGGGAAAATCCTACACTCTTAATTTTCTAGAGTCCTTTGAGTGAACCACATCAATATAAGCTACCAAACCCAAAGTAAATGCATCCCCAACTCCTCTTTTATTAACTGGATCTTATAAACACCCACAATCATCCCAACACTACCCAAGAGAATGGGAAACATGAATGAAAGGAGATGGCAATCGTAACAGATTACAGCTACAATAGCATACGTTTTAAGATTATGAAATATATGAACATATAACCGCACTGCTAAAGTCCATCCCAGGCCCTTGGAAGGGGCACATTCTTGAGGGATACCAAAGTGTTAGCTTCATCAGTTACAGGTAAATTCACCTCTAGCCCTGCCTCGCTCAATTTTATTTTTTTATATGAGACTTGTTTACAAATAGCTACAGAGGCATTATGAGTTTTAAAGAAAAATAATGAAGGCTGTTAAATATGGTCTATTTTTTCTATTGCTATCATACATGATGGATTTCCCTTTTTAACCTTAAAATAGAGAATTATTTGATTCTAATTATTTTCATCCGTCACATAATTACAGAACTTCAGAGCTAGAAAGAACAGAGTTAGAAAGATACAGAGCTCATCTATCCACAGATATCTGGGTTTTCAGGATGAGAAAACAGGCCTGCAAAGGCTGCATGACCCAGGCATACTCTACAAACAGAGACAGGCTCTTGTTCATAAAACAGCAGCGACAATCACTCCAGCCTGCATCTGTTGAGAGTTTATTCTGCCCAAGACAGGTAGAAGCACAAGGCACGCTCTCTGTTCCCAGAGAATTTTGCTCTAGTTGGGAAATTTATATATAATTAATAATGAGATAGTAGCTGATAATAATAAATAATGATATTATTATTAATATCATAAATAATAATGATAGTATCCGATAAAGTGAGATTACTGTCAGAGGAAAGAAGTGTGATCTCAACCCATTTAACACTTATAACGCTCAATATGAGAAGTTTAGCAACTTCGATCAAATGTGGGGTTCTATCACCTTGCCAGTCAGCCTCTCCTGAACCAATGGGGTTGTCAATTCCGTTAAGAAGCCCCTTGGGGGCTGGGGATTCTATGGCCGAAAGAAACTACCAAAGACTCCATTTTTATCCACATTTTATTGGTTTTGGCTAGATGCACCATAAAACTCTCTGCAATAGACAGGTACAGTGTATTCTATAAAGTACGTATGTGTGTGGGTGGGTGTGGGTGTGGTGTGTATGTTTCAATGGAAAAGAATACAATGTTTCTGGGAATATAAATACAAAATAGTTGAGTTAATCCTAAACCTAATATACTATGTTTCAAATTAACTGCTTCCTCTGAAATAATATTTGGATCAAGTTTTTGAAGAAATCTTCACAAATACAGGAACTCCAGATGGTAAGTCCAGGTCAATATTCAAGCACAAATGACTTCTTGCTTCTAGTTGTGGTCTTAAGTGAGAAGGAATCTTGTCCAAATGACTTCCAGGAGATGTGCTTCCCTCACCCCTCCATGTTTTTGTTCCTGCAGCCCCTAAAGTACAGTTAATCCCTAGGAGCCCCTAAAGTACAGTTTTTAAAACCTAGCTAATGAGTACAGCAAGTAAATACAAGTTCCAGAGCTAAAAGTGTCCAGTAATACCCACCTGCACTCATAGCCATGGCCAAGATGTGGGACAATATTTTGCAAAAGCTTACTTAAAATTAGGAAAGGAACCAAGCATAGTGGCTCATACCTGTAATCCAACACTTTGGGAGGCTAAGGCAGGAGGATTGCTTGAGGCCAGGAGTTCAAGACCAGGACTGGCAACCAATCAAGACCACATCTCAAAACAACAACAACAACAAATTAATCAGCTAGATGTGGTGGTGCCTACCTGTAGTCCCAGCTACTCAGGAGACTGAGGTGGGAGGATTCCTTGAGCCTAGGAGCTGAAGGCTGCAGCTCAAGTCTGATCACACCACTGCACTCCAGCCTGGGTAACAGAGCAAGACCCAAATGCTAAAAAAAAAAAAAAAGAAAAAAAAGAAAAAGAAAAAATTAGGAAAGAGCAAAGACTAAAGCAGCACTATCTAATGTAACTTTTTTTAAGGGTGGAAATTCCCTATATCTGGGCTGCTCAATGCATTAGCCACTCACCTTATTAGCTATGGAGCCCTTGAAAAGTGGCTGGTGAGACTGGGAACTGAATTTTTAATTTGAAATAGTTTTGATTCCTCATATGGCTACTGGCACCATTCTAGAGCATTTTGCTTCTGCAAGTAAAATTACAAGTACAGAATCTGCAATGAAATGGATGTCTACCCTTTTGGTGGAAACATCTAAGGAAGCAGACCATCCCCTCCTCTTACTCTTCTCCCTCTTCCACCAAAAGGAAAGTTCAAACAAGAACACTTTTGTATTAATTTCCTGTTCCTGCTGTAACAAATTACCATAGACTCAGGGGCCTAAAACAACACACATGTATTATCTGACAGTTCCGGAGCTCTGAAGTCGAGAATAGGTCAGCCTGGCTGCGTTATTTCTGGTGATTCTCAGGGTGATTCTGTGGTCTCGACTTTTCCAGCTTCTAGGGCTTGGCTGTATTCCTTGGCTCATGGCCCCTTCCTCCATCTAACTCCTGTCTCTCTTTTATGAAAATCCTTTCTGATTAACTGGAGCCCGACTGGATAATCCAGGTTAATATCCCACCTCAAGATACTTAACTTAATCACATTTGCAAAGTCCCTTTTGTCATGTCAGGTGACATAGTCAAAGGTTTCTGGGATTAGGACATGGACATTGTGGGGGCGTGGGGGATCATTCTGCCTACTGTACCTTTGCTATAGATGAACTTGAAGTAAGGCCATTATCTCTCAGTGGATTCATGAAAACTCAGCTTCTAGATTCTAGAAGGTAGCCCTGGCTGGTGAGGCTTCACTACAAGTGAGTTGAGGTTTTCTTAGTGTCCTTTTGTCCAACCTGGTCGTTCCCCAACTTTAGCCAGCACCAAAATCACCCAGAGGGCTTGTGAAAACAGACTGATGGACCCAGCCCCACAGTGTCTGATTCAGTAGGTCTGGAGTGTGGCCCAAGAAAGTGCATTTCTTGGCCAGGTGTGTAATTTTTAGAATATGTCCACAACCTTTTTCACATTCCTGCCTTCAAAAGGTGGAGACTTCTTTTCCTCCCCTTAAGTGTGATCTAGATTAAATGACTTGTTTCTAACTATGTTTGATGTTAATAGATGGCCATGTGATTTTAAGACAAGGCTCTAAAAGGCACAGCAGTTTCCACACCCTCTCTCTTGGATCACACCCTCTGGGAAAGGCAGACCTTCGTGTCTGGAGGACACGTGAGCAACCTAGGGAGGAAATGAGGCATCTCACCAACACCTGGCACAAATTTGCCAGCCGCCTGTGTGTGCCACCTTGGAAACTGATTTCATAGAGCCTTCAGATGAGACCACAGCTCTGGGTAACATCTTGTCTGTAATCTCATGGGACCCCAGCCAGTTAAGCTAAATTCCTGACCCACAGAAACTGTGAGAAATAATAAATGTTGACTGGTGTTTAACACCACTGAGTTTTGGGATACATGCGATGCAGCAATAGATAACAATATGCCAGGTGACACTGATGCCACTGTCTAAGGATTGCATTTTGAGAACCGCTGGTCTAGCCTTTATACTGTGTAAGGCAAAGGATATTTCCTTGCCACCTGCACTATATACTCCAGGAAGCCAGAGGAGGGAAAATGTTCTCATATTGAAATGTACTGCATATTTATTTTCTTTTTTTCTGCAGACATATTCAGTTACCACCAGTTGCTCTTTTGTGGAAGTGTTTTTACTGGGAAGAATAACAACAATATGTCAAATGATAGCTGGGCTCCAGAAGCCCATTTCTGTCTACTCAGTCATAAAAAATGTTCCGCATATGGATGAAGAACCAGACAGGTTTAGCGAGAAGAAGAAATGATGAAAAGACTAGACCATCATTCTCTCTCACACTTTCTTAAATCTGAAGGTGAACCAGATGAAGAAAGAAAACAAAACCCTTGAAAAAAGAGGGAAAGATAGCCCTAGGATCCAAGAGAGCAAGTGGGTGTCCAACTGTTAAATAATGAGAAACTGAAGCTTCCTTCATTGTGTCAGAGAGGCCAATTCCTGAGCCAGCTGTACAGGAAGTGGGGAGTTTACATTATCTGGGATGTCAGTGAGAACTGAGGGGACATGCTTCCTGTGTGGTTCTCCACAAAGATTAGCAGACTCTCCAGGAAAGATGCCTTTCCAGCGGTTTCATTTTCTGTTTTCTTTTCCAGTTGGTAGATGTGGGCCAAGAAGGGAAAGGCAGCTCCAAAAGCGAGGGAGAAATCGCCGTGAGTACAGAGTGCCACAGAGAGAAGCCTGAGCTAGAGTGTGGTGGGACCGTGAGCCAGGGAAGAGCAAGAGCTGTGCCTATAGGATAGTCTATCTCCAATTTGAGCAGTGCCAAGAAAAGCTGGCCAAGCATATCCAGATCCACACTGGTAGACCCCATTCCAATGGATGGGGTTTCTCTGGCTTTTCCATTTGTTTTACAGAAGCTTAAAATATGACATATGATTCCATTTATAGGAAATTCTTGAAAAGGCAAAACTAATCTGGAGTGACAGAAAACAGAAAAGTGGTTGCCTGGGGCCAGTATGGGTGGGGAGGTGATTGTAGAGGGACATGTGAGTGTTCTGCTTTATTTATTTATTTATTTATTCATTTTTTGAGACGGAGTTTCGCTCTTGTTGCCCAGGCTGGAGTGCAATGGTGCGATCTCAGCTCGCTGCAACCTCCACCTCCCAGGTTGGAACAATTCTCCTGCCTCAGCCTCCCAAGTAGCAGGGATTACAGGCATCCGCCACCACACCTGCCTTTTTTTTTTTTTTCCAAGATGGAGTTTCACTTTTGTTGCCCAGACTGGAGTGCAATAGCTCAATCTCAGCTCACCGCAACCTCTGCCCCCTGGGTTCAAGTGATTCTCCTGCCTCAGCCTCCTGAGTAGCTGGGATTACAGGCATGCACCACCACACCTGGGTAAATTTTTTTTGTTTTTTTTTTTTTTAGTAGAGACAGAGTTTCTCCATGTTGGTCAGGCTGGTCTCGAACTGCTGACCTCAGGTGATCCACCCGTGTCCACCTCCCAAAGTGCTGGGATTACAGGTGTGAGCCACTTCACCTGGCCTAATTTTTGTATTTTTAGTAGAGACAGGGTTTTGCCATGTTGGCCAGACTGGTCTCGAACTCCTGACCTCAGGTGATCCGTCCACCTCAGTCTCCCAAAGTGCTGGGATTACAGGTGTGAGCCACCATGCCCAGCCATGTTCTGCATTTTGATTGTGGTAGTGGTTACACAAGTGGAGATGTTTGCCAAGATTCATTGAACTGTACACTTATAATGGGTACATGTTATTGTATATGAATTATATCTCAGTGCAGTTGATCTTCAAAAAATATACATGACATATGAGGAGCCCTTCGATGGGGTTGTCAACGACTGGTTTGCAAAAAAAAACAAGAGTTATCTGGTAGAAGAAGGATCCGACTTATTCATTGCAGCCCAAGAAGTGGAACTAGAACAAATGCACATACACTATAGGAAGTGGATTTCTACTCAATGGATTTTTTTATGAATAGTCTTGCTCTGTCTGCCCTTGAATTTGTTTCGAGCCAGTGATCTGAAGGTTTTTTGTCTTTGTTTTTGTTTTTCTGCTGTCCTGGAAATTTTGCAAAGGTGTAGCCTTCAGCCTGAAAGCAGCAGGAGCTCTGCTTCCATGTGAGCTCCTTGGTGAATTATAATATCTCAAACAATTCAGAGAGGAAAGCGATCTTATTCCGAGTGTCATTTACCAATGAGGAGACTAAGGTTAAAAAGTTGATAGTTTTGACTCTTCCTGAAAGGTAGATGGGGTATATCAGGTACCAATTACGATGCTTCAGGTTGGAAATAATAGAAATTCTAACTCAAAAATGGCCTAAAATGGGAGGCTGAGGCAGGAGGATCGCTTGATGCCAGGAGTTCGAGACCAGCCTGGGCAACATAGCAAGACTCTGTCCCTGCAAATAATAAAAAAAATAGCCAGGCATGGTGGTTTGCACCTGTAGTCAGCACCTGGGGAGGCTGAAGCGGGAGGATCGTTTGAGCCCAGGAGTTCAAGCCTGCAAGGAGCTATGATCACATCACAGGACTCCAGCCTGGGTTACAGAGGAAGATCCTAACTCTATTTTTTTAAAAAAATGTTTGAGAAAATGAAAGAGCTTATCAAGCTCAGAGGTCCAATGGGCTTCCAGTTTGTATTGATCACGGCTCTGGCCCCATTTTTCTGCAATTCTCTGGTCCTCTTCTCTTCCATATGTTGCCTTATCCCTTAGGTTGGTTTCCTTTCTGGTAGCAAATGGCTGCAGTTAACCTAAGTCTCATATCCTTATACTTACCATACCACACAGAAGAAGAGAAATCTTTTTTTACCCCAAGAACTAGAAAAGAGTTCTGAGTTGCAGTCTGATTGGAACAATTCAAGCCACATGTCTTCCCCTGAACTGATTGGTAGGATTATCCTGATTGGCATTAGATCAGTCAAGGCCCACCCTGGAGCACAGATGGGGTCCAATCACCAAACTAAATGTGGCTCCACCCAAAAGGGGAGAGATGGAATTTTTGCAGAGGAGGCCACCGTGTCTCACTACTACCCCCTCAACCAAAGCAACCGATGTTCCTCCTTGGTGAGAATTTCTTCCTCTAGGTGTGCATGAGTATTTTTACTATCTTCAAAGGTATGAAAGGAAAATAAATATTGGGCCCCCAAATCACTAAGCTAAAGAAAAGTCAAGCTGGGAACTGCTTAGGGCAAACGTGCCTCCCATTCTTCAAAGTCACCCCTCTGCTCACTGAGATAAACCCATATCTGATTGCCTCCTTTGGAAAGGCTAATCAGAAACTCAAAAGAGTGCAACTATTTGTCTCTTATCTACCTATGACCTGGAAGCTCCCTCCCTCTTGGAGTCTTCCTGCCTTTGCTACCAGTTGTCCCACCTTCCAGACAGAAACAGTGCTCATCTTGCATATGTTGATTGATGTCTCATGTCTCCCTAGGATGTGTAAAAGCAAACTGTGTTCTGACCACCTTGGCCCCATGTCATCAGGACCTCCTGGGACTGTGTCATTGGGCACGTGTCCTCAACTTTGGCCAAATAAAGTTTCTAAATTAACTGAGATGTGTCTCAGATTTTTGGGGTTCACAATGGATATTTACTTAAGGTGTCTACAAGAAAATTACATAGTCACACAGTAAATGTCCTAAGAATTTACTGTTGAAATTTTTAAAAATTACATGATCCAATAACCTGTGATCCTTTCAAAATTACTTTCCTCTGATCTGTGGCACAGAATAATGAAGTCCCAGAGCCTCAGCGTGTTTAAGAACATGCTTTTGGTTTCTGTGAATTTTGCCCATAAGAGTAAACATCTTGCTAAAGTTGCCTGTAAGAGGTAATAAGGTGAAAGAACAACACAAAATTAAACAAAATTAAAATTAACCCAGTGGGAAAAACTGAGGCTCAGAGGAATTAGGTTGGCTGATGATGATGTTAGTGGCAGTAGCTGGATTAAAATGCAAGTCTCTTTATTCTCTAGTCTGGTTCTCTCTTCAAAAATCAAATACTGACTTCTGAGTGAAATCAAAGAAAACCTATTTTCTGCCAATGGATGGTGTGAAGGTTAATTTTATGTCAACTTGTCTGGGCTGCAGTGCCCAGATATGTAGTCCAAACATTGTTCTGGATGCTTCTGTGAGGATGTTTTTGGATGAGATTTGCATTTAAATCTGTGAACTTTTAGTAACATACATTGTCCACACTATGGGTGGACCTCCTCCTATCAGTTAAAGTCTAGAACAAAAGGCTGACCTCCAGAGTTTGAGACCAGCCTGGGCAACAAAGCAAGACCCCTATGTCTACCAAAAAAAAAAAATTAAAAATTAGCCAAGTAGCACAAGCCTATATTCCCAGTTACTGGGGAGGCAGAGGCAGGAGGGTCACTCGAGTCCAGGAGTTTGATTGCGCCACTGCACTCCAACTTGGGCAACAGAGGAGACCCTGTCTCAAAAAAAATAAAATAAAAAAAAAATTGCTGAACTCTCTCAAGCAAGAGCAAATTCCCCATCAGACTGCCTGCCTTCAGACTTCGTCTGCAACACTGGCCCTTCCTGATTTTTCACCAGACTGTCCTTGGACTCAAACTGTAATTTTTTCCTGAGCCCCCAGCCTGATGGCCTCCCGCATCAGATGTTGGACTCACCAAGCCTCCACAATTATATGAGCCCATTCTCTAAAGTAAGTATCTTTTATACACACACACATTCTATTGTTTCTCTTTCTCTGGAAAACTCAGACTTATACAGATGGTCATATATGCAAATGTCCATGTTAGAGGTGAAGCTACAATATTTGTCCTGAGAACTGGGTTGTTTTGTCATAACAAACTACACCAAAACTCAGTGACTTAAAATAACAGTTCTGTTACTATTTCTTGTAATTCTTCCATTGTGGCTGGGCTTAGCTGAATGGTTGTTCTGCTGATCTTACCAGAGGTCACTTGTATCGGTGCATTCAGCTGAACAGTCTGCTAGGGCCTGGGCTCAGTTGGGGTGCTGGGATGGTTGGTCTTTCCATCCATTTTGTCTCAGGGCCTCTCCCTTCCTTCTGACCTCCCTGACTGCCCCTCTAGGGGTCTCTCCATGTGATCCCTTCATCAGGGTAGGTGAACTTCTTACATAGAAGCTCAGGGTATCAAAGTGCAAAAGCAGAAGCTGCAAGGCTTTCTTAAGGCTAAAGCCCAGAATTGGTATAGTGTAACTTCCATCACAGTTTATCGGTTAAAACAAATCACAGAACCAGCCCAGATTCAGGATGCATCCAAGAACATGCATACTGCAAGGCATGGTTTATCAAGGGCCATGGCCTTATTTAACAACAACACAGCCTGAGTGTACCCTTATGCAATGGCATCCTTCAGTTCTATCACCACAGAAGGTAAATTGAGGTCCACTGACTTTAAAATGATGCCATATGGTAGCCAATGGAAAACCAGTGTGGTGAGATGGATTTCCTCACTGGACACAGACTCAGTCTCACAAAATCCTAGTGGCATTGTGAATGGTGTTTTCTCATTAGCTCTCATCAGCACCTAGCATCTGTATATTTATCATTTTACTCTCCCTGCTCAGATTGGTCTGTTGACTCTCATTTCATGATTGACGATAACCAGATTCTCACCAATAATGGGGCATAGAGGATTAAAGCAATTAACCTGATAGTTCATTCCAACAGCATATTTCCTATAGTATCTATTAATGTCTTCATTTTATCACTCAAATAATCAAGTGCAAGTTGGAACTCTGGATAACTTATCGTAAGACAGACTTGATGCTCCATTGGCTTTAGTAACCCGGCTCCCTTGCCTGGTGTTGTCTGTGGAACCCCATGTACTTTGCAATTTCCAAAAAGGTGAAGCACTTTTGAGCCACTGTGAATGTCATCAGCAGTCCCTAAGAAGAGCATCTGGGAGCTGCTGAAGGCAAGAACAGTGCAGGAGAGCCAGGCAGGGGAGCACATAGCGTGGAGCATCCCAGGCCAGGCTCTGTGGGATGTTTTGGGCACTAGACCCTCTGGGTAGCTGGCTTGGCAAGGCAAGAAACATGGCAACCAGAACCTTCTCCAAGACTCCAAGCCAAAACCTGCCCCAGACTTGGCTACTTGGTTGTACCTGTAAGAGCCCAGGAGTACATTTGATATAGTTTGGATTTGTGTCCCCACCCAAACCTCATGTTGAGATATAATCCCCAGTGTTGCTGGTGGGGCCTGGTGGGAGGTGACTGGATCATGGGGCTGAATTTTCCTCTTTGGTGCTATTCTCATAATAGAGTTCTCACAAGATCCAGTTGTTTAGAAGTGTGTGGGACCTGCCCCCTCACTCCCTTCCTCCTGCTCCAGCCATGTGACATGCGTGTGCTTCCCCTTCACATTCCACCATGATTGTAAGTTTCCTGAGGCCTCCCTAGAAGCAGAAGCCATCGTGCTTCCTGTAAAGCCTGTGGAACCATTTGCCAATTAAACCTCTTTTTTTAATTACCCAGTCTCAGGTATTTCTTTATTGCAGTGTGAGAACTGACTAATACAACATCTCTTTTTTTTTTTTTTTTTTAATTTGTGACAGGGTCTTGCTGTCCACTCCAGGCTGGAGTGCAGTGGTGCAATCTCAGCTTACTACGGCCTCCACCTCCTGGGCTCAAGCAATCCTCCCACCTCAGCCTCCTGAGTAGCTGAGACTACAGACATGTCCTGCCATACCCAGTCTTTTTTTTTTTCCATTTTTTGTAGCGACAGGATCTTGCTGTTTCCCGAACTCATCTAGAACACCTGGGCTGAAGCAACCCTCCCTCCTCAGCCTCCCAAAGCACTTGGATTACAGGCTTGAGCCACTGTGCCTGGCCAGGAATAAATTTCTAACCCATCCCATGACTCCCAGCAGAAGGAAAGTCTAAATTTAGCCATAGTTTCAGAAACAATGCCCTTACATGACGTGAAATAAACAGGTCTTTAAGAGAGAGGTGCCAGCTCCTCGTTCGTGGATGCATTTGTCCACCTAGGAATAGACACACGCTGCACATTTCCTGCATGCTGGGCTCTGTAAGGAGGAAGGGAGAGGCCCCTGCTTGGAGAAGCTTTCCATCCAACAGATGTGGATGCTACCTATGCCACCAGTGTCAAACATAACTTCAGGATCACAGAAGAGGCCGAGAGTGCTAAAAGGTCACGCTGGAATGAAGCATATGAGGTAATATTAAGAGAAGTAGCGAGAGTCGGTGCTAGGGTCTGAATGTCTGTGTCTCTCCCGAAATTCAGACATTGAAACCTAATCCTCAAGGTGATGGTATTAGGAAGTGGGGAATTTGGGAGGTGATTAAGTCATGAGGGCAGGGGTCTTGTGAATGGGATGAGCATCCTTATAAAAGAGACCCCAGAGAGCTGCCTGGTCCCTTCCACCAGGTGAGAACATAGCAAGAAGCTACCATCTGTGCACCAGGAAATGGGCCCTCACAAGACATCAAATCTGCCAGCCACCTCAATGGTGGGCTTTCCAGCCTCCAGAACTGTGAGAAATAAATTTCTGTTTTTATAAGCCACCTGGTTTATGGTATTTTGTTACAGCAACCTAAACAGACTAAGACAATTGGCAAGATCAGATGTATTTGGCAAAGATTTGCATAGACTAGAGTCCCGCTGTGTGGCTGGAGCAAGGGAAGCTTGCGCTGTGCCTCAGGTTGATCCAGTCCTTACCTTGTGGCCTTGCCCGATCCTCACAGCACCCCTCGGTGGTGAGAATGATTATCTCCATTCTATGGATGAGGATATGGATAACCAGAGAGGTTAAGTGAACAGCCTCAGATCACACAGCCAATTCAAGTCAGGGCTGCTGCAGAGAGCCTGAAACAGGGGGATCCTGGGAGGGAAGGAAGAGCATGCATCCTCTCACCCAAAACAGATGTCTGGCTGAGTTCCAAAAGCAAAAGTACTCTGAGTGGGTCCCACCCCTGATGGGGAAGGCAGCCCCCTGGCCACCAGCCTGGGGAGGCCACACAGTTGCTGCTATCCCATGGGCAGCTGGCCCCTTCCTCCCACAAACAGCAGCACCTGCTCACCAGATCACCAGGCAGAGGCAAGATGAATGTTCGCAGCACCACGTCCTGCTGAAGCTCTACACAAACACAGCACCCATGGCAACCAAACAGAGGGCAAACACAGGAGCAGGAATGCCGCTGTGAGAACAAGGCCCAGGAGTGACAGCCACGAGCCACCCACTTTATGGGCACTTACTAAGTGCCAGGCGCCACATCAAGGATTAAATACCTTATTTAATCATCGATGCAGCCTGATGAGGAATGTGCCATTGCTGCCCGCTTTAACAACAACGAAACAGACATGAGCAGAGTTGATGGAAGCTGTGTAAGGAGAGAACCAAAGGCTCTGTCTGAGCCCGGGTGTCTGATGCCACAACCCAGCCACAATCTCCATGCTACCATTTCCCCTGACAGACACCGAAGTAACACAGCCCCTCGGGAGAGCTGGGCCCCCAAGTTAGGGACAGGTAAATGGCGACACAGAATATAAGCTCCTCCAAGGCAGGAATTTTGTGTTTTGCTCATTGATGGGAAGCAAGCTTCTACAATAGTGCCAGGCAGGTGGATGACTTTGAATAAGTATTTGTTGGCCAGGGGCGGTGGCTCACACTTGAAATCCTTGCACTTTGGGAGGCTGAGGCAGGTGGGTTGCTTGAGCCCAGGGGATTGAGACCAGCCTGGGCAGCATGGTGAAACCCTGTCTCTACAAAAAATACACACAAAAAAATTAACCAAGCATGGTGGCGGTTGCCTGTAGTCCCAGCTGCTTGGGAGTCTGAGGTGGGAGATCTCCTGAGCCCGGGAGGTCATGGATGTGGTGGGCCATGATCACGTCACTGCACTCCAGCCTAGGTGACAAAGACCCTGTCTTAAAACAAAATTGTATTTGCTAAGGAAAATCAAGATCCAGAAAGCCACCCTGAGATGTAAACGCTCAATTGGTCAAGTGACTTGATCTCACACATTAGCCTCGCAGTTTGAAATTCAGATTTTTCCTTACTAAGGCCTAATAGTAAAGTCCCTTAAAAATGTCATTTTAAATATAGTATAATTGGTCAAGGAACCACATCTTTAGCTCTGTTCTTATTCCACACGGGAGAAGGTTAGGGGAGGAAAGTGACACATTTATTGTCCTAGAAAGCCGCTGGCCCGAGAAGGACTTTGACCCCAGCACCTTCCTCAGCCAGCCACACAGGCTCACCCTGGGTCATCTCATTTAATATTCAATAATGCAACCCCTGCTTTAATGACATGGAATTTTGGGTTCTCATTTACTGTATGATGGTGGGATTTTCCATGTCGCCATGTGTCGCAGATGTTTCGTTTCCATGTAAACAATCACCCACATATTGCATCTACTCATGACAAAGCCAGTGGCCCTCAGAGGCTTTCCATGGTTTCTGCCCACAGCCCCAGGGGTCAGCCCTGACCTCCCCTGCTCAGGTATGTCCTGGTGACAGCAAGTGTAGAATCTGCTGGAAATAATAAATACTATGAAGCAGCAGAGAGGGTTTCTGCCACACTGGCGTTTTATTAGACCTGCAGGATCTGTCAAGTGCGTCTGTTTTGCTCTCTAGATAAATGTGGAGCCAAAGGGTGTTTTTCTGACCGTGAATTCTTGGCATTTGTTCAGGCTTCTAAATAAGCAAAGTGAACACTGCCAGTCTCCTCTGGCACTGCTCGGGACCATTTAATGAATAATAGGATCATGGATGGGACCTGATGCAGGGGCTTCCAAACTTTGCAGGCAGTGGAACCCTTCTTTCCCTTACCCTGAAGTCCATCATTGTATTATAGTATCACATCATATGTATTACATCATCTTATAGAGCTGGCAGTTCTGTGGATGAAGCCAGGTGGCATCTGGAGATTCTCCGTCTGAGCCCTCCTTAGCCTTCCTTCCTCTAGCCCTGGGCCACGGCTTCTCTGGAATATCCGGGGCCTCAGTGAGCACATTTCCAGAAAACTGGTCTAATCCAACCCCTTCATTACAATGGTGGTAAACAAAGGGCCCCAGAGGCCAAGAAACTCAGCCAGGATCACACAGTGAATTCATGACCAAGCTGGGGCCAGCACCACGTCCCCGACTCAGGAGACAGTGCTCTCTGTATAGTCCATCACCAGTCCAAACCTGCTTTGTTTCTAACCTGCGGCGCTGGGAAACACACCTGCCTGGGACAAGTGCCTGGAAAGAATGCAGCTTGCCCTGGCCAGAAGGCTCCCGGCAGGTCTTGTGCAAGTGGGTACATGCAAATGATCGCACCTGGCTTACCTGTGAAATGTGTAGATTGTCAGAAAGACAGCTTGCATGTAAAACCTGAATTCCAGGGTTGACTGCCCCACCCCCAAACCCATCCTGGTTTAGATGTAAGAACCTCTCACAGGCAACAAAGCTCTCCCTGGCTGGCCTGACTTCCCACCTCTCAGTGAACATTTTTTCTTCCAAATGTGTTCTTTAATGCTCTCCTTCCTTTCCTCCGCAAAAAACAAACTCAAAACCTTCTGTTTCAGCCGTTTATTTACTGGAGGCAGATCAGAGATGCACCTCGCAAAAATGACACCATGAAAGTCGAGTTAGAACCGGGAAGAGCTTATTCAGTACCAGGGCCTGTGTTCACCAGGGCAGCCCCTCATGGAGGCCCTGGCGTCCTCATCATCTCGAAGCTCCCTCCCAGCTTCAGCATGCTAAGAGCCTAAAAGAAATTGGAAACAAACCAGTTGCCCTCTGTCCAGGTGGAGGAGTCCCTCTCTGGCCAGGAAACAGGTGCCACCCATGAGCCCCCAGCCCTGCTGCAGGGGCAAATGAGCTCTTGGAAGAATAAGTGCTATGACTGATACAAAAACACAACAGAAATGCCTCCAATCCCCACAGAGTTTGTGGTTTATCCTCTGCCTCCTACACTAAAATGTCAACTCTTTGAGGAAGGCATTGTGTCCCACAGAGCACACCTATTTCAGTAGTCTTTTATTTTCTTCACCTTCTCAGTTACCTTTCTCGTTAGCTTTAACTACTTTAGGAAAGCTGGCCAGATACAGCTGGGCCCTAGCATTTGTTCTGATCCCCCTCTCCTGTCCACCTTGTCTCAGCTGATAGCCTGGTGCCAAGGCCTGAAATGGGAAGCTCCTTCTCCCTCCCTACACCCTCCTTCTCCCTCCCTCCCACACCCTTCCCTTTCTCTCCCTGCACCCCTTCTCTTCCCTTTTGCAATCTTCTCCTCCCTCCTGTATGCCTCTCC
This sequence comes from Homo sapiens, assembly GCF_000001405.40. NCBI lineage: Eukaryota > Metazoa > Chordata > Mammalia > Primates > Hominidae > Homo > Homo sapiens. The sequence goes on along the minus strand of NC_000010.11, from coordinate 29,839,010 downwards.
CTCCCTCCCTCACCCCTATCCGCTCCCCATTCCTCCAGCACCATTACCTCTCCCCCTTCCTCCTTGCACCCTTCTTCTCCCTCCAGCACCCCTCCCCTCCTCCCTCCTGCACTCCTCCCCATCTCTGTATCTCCCCCCTCCCTCCCCCCTTCCCCCTTCACCCCTCTCCCTCCCTTCCTTCCTGCACCCCTCACCCGTGCTTGGAGGAAAGTCACATGGGGTCTTTGGCTGGAACACTCAGTGGCGCTCAGAAATCCTAAACACTGTGGGCTCTGCAGCGCCTGCCAGAGAGAACAGGGAGTCCTCTCGGAGGCCAGACTCAAAGCAAGCAAGATGGAAGAAGCCTTATTAGGTCATCCAGCTAGAGCAAGGGATGAGCCTCTTTCTTCTGCTCCCCAGCCCACAAGAAACGCCTGATCTGGCCATCTTTGTCCCTCTATTTGCTACTAACTCCCCTTTGGGAATGTGCCCTCCTCCCAGTGACCCACAGTCCTTCTCTGGCTGCATCTTGTCCTTCTCCAGACCTGGAAAGGAAACCCAGGGAATGACTTCTGCCCCAGAGCCTGAATCCTCTTTGTTCCCATCCTCCTGACCTCCCTTGCGTTATCTCCAGCACTTAGCACCTTTTACCTTCCATGTGGCTACTTTATTTGTTAGGTTTGTGGTTTATCCCCTGCCTCCTATGCTAAAAAGTAAACTCCTTGAGGAAGGCATTGTGTCCATTTGGGTCAGGCGTGTATCTTAAGTGCAGTTTCCATAAATATTTATTGAATGAACTTCTTAGGCACTAAGATAACCTTCAATGCATATTCTCTCACCCCCTACCCTGTGCTGCTGCTTCTCAGCTCTTCCTGCACATAGAGCCATTTATATGACATGCCGTGTGGAAGGACGGTATCCTTGTCATTTCCTAACTCATTCTATCTGGAGGGCAACAGCTCCCTTCATCTTCTTGGAGCAGGTGAACTGATCTGAGCAAACCCTGCACTCAATTTCCCCATGCCATGAGCAGGTGAATTTCCAAAGGCTACTAACAACTGTCAGAACTCAAGGGGCTAAGAAAGCATCAGCAAGCCAGCAATGAACAATACAGCCCAGCAATTCTGACAGCCCCCAGTGCCGCTGTGACCCTGGCCTTGCCTTGACCTCTTCACCCAGCTTCCTTGACCCATCACCTCCCATCTACTGTAATTGCTCTCAAGGAAGAATCTTCCAACCTCTGCCACACTCATGCATGAACACTCAGTTAGACTTGGCATGCTCCCTCTGTGAGAGCAGTTGTACTTTCAACAGTCAAGCTCAAGGTCAAGAATGGACCCCTGCCAGTAAAATGTGAACATCTATTGGTGGGCTGGGTCTGGCTGATCAGACAGCTTAGATTTTTGGTCCTTGAGTCCACAAACCTCCAGGGATTGAACCTACTCTTTCAAAATATTAATTTGTGATTTCTTATTATGAAAATAATATATCCTTATTGAAAGTGTTGTTACAATTTTTTTTTTTTTAGAGTCTCTGCCAGTAACTATTCATCGATAACCCTGTGTATTAGTTCGTTTTCATGCTGCTGATAAAGACGTACTTGAGAATGGGCAATTTATAAAAGAAAGAGGCTTAATGACTCACAGTTCCACGTGGCTTGGGAGGCCTCACAATCATGGCGGAAGGTGAAAGGAAAGGCACATCTCACATGGTAGCAGACAAGAGAAGAGAACTTGTATGGGGAAACTCCCCATTATAAAACGATCAGATCTCATGAGACTTATTCACTATCATGAGAATAGCATGAGAAAGACCCGCCCCCATGATTCAATTATCTCCCACTGGGTCCCTCCCACGACATGTGGGAATTATGGGAGCTACAATTCAAAATGAGATTTGGATGGGGACACAGCCAAGCCATATCACCCTGTAACATTTTATAATTTTTTTTTCTCCCTGTTGCACAATCATTACCATTTTTCTTGTTTTCTCCTTCAGGGAAAAAGAAATTTTTTAGCCTATCTTTTTTAATGGTGGTGGCTCACAGCTAACTCTGATTCCTAGGAAGTGTGGAAGAGCTTATAATGGTGGAATAGCCTGAAGGCTAGCATGAACCCCTGAGGACAGGGCCTTGACGTGGTTTCCTTAATGACATAGAACAGGCCCTAAATCAATGCTGTGGACTAAACACATCTTTGGACAAGTCCACAGCAAAGTGCAGCAGCATGGGTCACTCTGTATGATTTCAAGGGATATGAAAGTTATCTTCCTTGGGTTAGAATTCCTCCTCTACCCATTTGCTAATACCTACGATTCCACCGTGAGAACCGTATTTTGGAAAGGCCAACTCTATTTACAAGTGATAAGACTGAAATCCCAGAAAGGTGAAGTGACTTGATAAGCTTTGACATATGTTTAAATATCCAGGGAAGGGAAGTACTTGAAGCTGTCATTCATTAGTCAACACAGTAGTCACAATGATGGTGAATGGGTCTTTCTTAAACACTAAAGGGCAATGGGAAGAGGAGGAACCTGGAGGGCTCAGCACTGGAAGATTAGGGTGGGAGTGGGAATTCAACCAAAGAAGTAAATGCGGATGACTGGAAAGGCAGGTGACACCAACAACTAACTTTATCCTCTTCCCTTCTGGGTTAGTTGTATTTAAAAAGGACACACCTGAAGATTCTACCGCCAATCTGGCCCTAGTTAACTAGTCGACCTCAATACGTAAGATAAAGGGATTGGACCAGAGCAGTGATTCTTTGATCTTAATGTACAACAGCATTACCTGGGTAGCTTAGAAAATACAGATGCATGGACCCTACTCCCAGAAATTCATATTCAAATGGTCTGGTTTACAGCTCAGGTATTGTTTTTTGTTTGTCTTTTGTAATGCTCCCCAGCAGATTCTGACATGCAAGAAGGTCATTTCTGAAGTCGCTTTTTAATTCTAAATTCAGATGACATAGAATTTGAGAACCAAAAAGCCTTGTGTTTGGTTAATTTTCACTGCCAGGGGGGCCACCCAGTCCACCTACACATATCTCTAGCCTTCACAGATGCACACATGTGCACACACATGTATCTGCACACAGTGGGGCTGTGCTCATAGAGAGCTGGAAGTTTCTGTGATGCCACATTACAAGACAACTTCCAATGGCAATACCTGCATGCTATCCTTATTCTCTCTTCATCTAAGGGTTGAACAAACAAAGTGGAGACAAGGGAGTCCCTCATGGGTAAACTCTTGATTGACCTTTTGAGAAGATACAGTACATTTCCCTCCTAGTACCCACCAAGAGTTCATTGATTTAGTAAAACACTCTATGTGTCATCTATGAGGCTGTCTCTTTCTCAGATGACTAGAAATTTGTAAAACATTGAAAGGACATTTTTAAATGTAAAAAACAAAACAAAAAAGAGTTGGAGGGGGTGATAACAGTAAATGCAATCATAATTTATCATATTGCCAACACCATAAACCTCATTTTGATGCAGTAATGTCAGCTAATGAAGAGAGTAGGCTCTGTCTTCATCTGAGTTTGGAAACAGCATTATCAGCACGAGCATAATCTACTGATTTTTCTGTTGACCTCTGAGGATTTTCTGTGCATATGTCTACCAGAACCCTAACAGAGCACATGCATTTATACAGTTAGGGAAAAATGAGTCACATTCTCAGAGAAGTCAGCCTTGTAAGTATTTGGGAAATACTTTATCCATCCCTGCAGGCCCTAAAACACCCAAGAGCTTTCTTAAGTTTATGCAAATTTATATATTCTCATGTTGCCTCTGAAAGTGTCCATTTCACAATAATTAGCATCTTAGCCTGAAGGCACAGGCATCTATTGTTGTTATTTTCCCATCTCTTAAGTAAAACTCTATTGGCAAACTACCACTTATGACCTCAAACTCCATCTGATTCTCATCAAATGTACCCTTTGCAGTGAAAAGAAAAGCCAAGCTGAACTTTTACAAAGTCAGCACAGATATATCTTTGCAGGTGCCACATCTTGTATATGGAAAATAATAGAGGCACAATTTCTAGAAAATAGCTGGTTTTTATAGCTGCTATGAGTTTTATAGAGGAATGAGTAAAAGAAGGCAGCCCCTGGGCCATCTCAACATCTCATCAGCCACAAATAGGAGACCATGAGCAGTGCAGATGTTTGAAACATACAAAAAAATTCCAATCCAGGAAAAAGGAAGAAGGACGTGGGCTTTCTGCACACCTGACCATATGGAAAGTGAGTTAATTTTATTCCAATTGCATTACAGTCAAATGAGAGTGTGTTTTTGCCAATGTGAAAAGCCAGAATCTCAGTCCGGGTGCAACAAAGCTATTGATTTATTACAAACCTTTAAGACTAAAGGGGAAAAGTAATCTAGTTCTGGGACCAGAGCCATCCCTTCGTTACTGCAGGGGCAGCCGACAGTTGCCTTCGTGGTCTAGTTTGATGAGCACTGCAGCCTGCCACCATGCTTGAAGCTTCCACCATTAGGAATCCTCCATCGTATTCAGATATTGTATCTCCCTGGATTCCAAAAACCTTCTCTGCAATATCCCTGGTGGACACTTCCAGGGATGGGAAGCTAACTGCTATATAAGGCATGAATTTTGGAGACTTCTTCCCTGTATTGAGTTGAACTCTCCCTGTAGTCTTCATTCATACATCCTAATCTTGCCACTCCAGAGTTCCATAGAATAAATCTACTACCCTCTCCCTGTGACAGCCCTTCAAATATTACAGGGCAGCCTGCAAGTCTCCTCTAAGCCTTCTCTTTCCAGACTCAAAACCTTGAGCTTTTTCAGTCCTAAATGATGCCATTTCCAAAGTCATTATCATTTGAACCACCTCTCTCTGGACCTGATGGTTAAAATACAAAGCCAAAATGCTAGTCTTCCAGAAGGTGTCTGACTATAGTAGGACTGCTAGTACTTTCATTGATTTATTGGCTTTATTTCTCTCAATGCATTCTAAGGTCCTGTTTATACTTTGGAGTAACTATATTGTGGGTTCACACAGAGCTTAAAGTTAACTAAAAACCCCTCAAGGTTCTTCACACAAATTCCTATTAAGCCAGGTCTCCCTGCTTGCATGTATAACCTAAACTTGTATGTACATAACATATATATATGTTTATGCAAATTTATATATTCTCATGTTGCCTCTGAAAGTGTCCATTTCATAATAATTAGCATCTTACTTTAAAATCCATTTTAAATTAGCCATTTGAATTTAGAATTTTATGTATGTATATATACATATATATACATATATATACACATATATATACATATATATACACATATATATACATATATATACACATATATATACATATATATATATATATATATATATATACAAACACACATACACTAATGACAATTAAATTCCCTTTGTTGTTGTATTACATTCTGCCAAGATCCATCTTTTTTTCCTTTTTTGAGATGGGGATCTCACTCTGTCACCCAGGCTGGAGTGCAGTGGCACATGCCATCACGGCTCACTGCAGCCTCCCATTCCTGGGCTCAAGAGATTCTCTCGCCTCAGCCTCCCAAGTAGCTGGGACTAAAATTGCATGCCAACACATCCGGCTAAATTTTTAAAATTTTTTGTAGAAATGGGGTCTTGCTATGTTGCCCAGGTTAGTCTCAAACTCTTGGGCTCAAGTGATCCTCCCACCTCGGCCTCCCAAAGTGCTGGGGTTCCAGGTGTGAGCCACTGAACTCAGCCTATGATCTTCTTGAATCTTGATTCTTCTACCCGGGTATCAGTGATCCTTCCCAGCTTCATGTCATCTGTGCAGTGATAAGGATAGTTTCAATTTCTTGATCCAAGTTGACAATAAAATAAGGAATTTAAACAACCAACAGAGGAGCCCTCCAGGTGGACACCTTTGAGCATGGTGCTCTACAACCAGATGTGACTCTCCTGCCAATTCTCTCTCCTACTTTACGTTTCCCCGTCTTACTCTGAAAAGATGCAATAAGGGAGCTTTGCAGATTCCCAGCCAAATTCAGATGGGCTGCAAACATTTGACCTTCCCTCCTTAGCCTCTTGCTCTCTTTGGCTCTGATTTTCTCATAGCTTTGTTGCTTTTCTAACTGGGTAAGTGACCAGATACCTCTACTTCGTGGAGCTTTCTGGGGCAAGAGAGCCAATTTCCCACAGTGCTGCATCACACCATCACCCAGAGAAGACCTTTCTTGGTGTTTCTTCTTGGAATGTTGCTAAAAAGCCCATTTTGGGCCAGGCCTGGTGGCTCACACCTGTAATCCCAGCACTTTGGGAGGCCAAGGCAAGAGGATCACTTGAGTCCAGGAGTTCGAGACCAACCTAGACAACATAGCAAGACTCCATCTGTACAAAAATTAAAATTAAAAAAAATAGCCGGGCATGGTGGCATGCACTTGTAATCCCAGCTTGTAGTCCCAGTTACTCAGGAGGCTGAGGTAGGGAGGATCACTTGAGCCTGGGAAGTTGAGGCTGCAGTGAGCCATGATCATGCGGCTGCACTCTAGCCTGGGTGACAGAGCCAGACACTGTCTTTCCCCCTCCCCGCTAAAAAAAGCCCATTTGGGCTGGTGCTTTTCACAAGCCTTAGCTCATCCTGGCTTTCCCAATATTCTCCCTGCTAAGCACTGCCATTTTTTGCATCTCTTCTTGGACTGGGGTTCTCCTTCCATTTCTTCCATCTATTTAAATGTAGACTCCTTGGAGAGTTCAATATGCAGCCACATCATTTCTTCTGTTGTCTTGCTCACTTTGGGTTTATGTCAATCATTGAGAGTATTTCTGATCAATATCATTCTAGAGCTAGGCAGGAGGGGCGCAACCCTGGGCCCTGGGGAAGTGAAGGATTAGCCTTCCTGAAAGAGAAGTTTGGCCTTTGCTCTCGGCTACTGAGTGGTGATCTCCAAGCCCCTGGAATGTCCTGCCCAATAAGAGGGACTTTGTTTGCCTGGGGACTTTAGCCACTGGATAGTCTAATGATATGATTTATGATGGGGTTTTGGAGACACATCATATCAGTTCCAACTTCCAGAATTATTAGCCTGAGCCTCTTAAAAGGGGCTGCAGACTGAAGGTCACCCACATGAGCAGTATGCGATAGACCCCAAGCAAAAACTGTGGACAGCCAAGGCTCAGGTGAGCATCCTCGGTTGGCTGTACCCTGTGTACATTGTCCTGGCCAGGAGGAGGCAATGCTATCTGATATGGTGTGGAGCTGCCCAATTACAATTCATGTCAAATTGTAATTCCCAGTGTTGGAGGTGAGGCCTGGTGGGAGGTGATTGGATCATAGGGGTGGTTTCTCATAGTTTAACGCCATGCTCCTTGGTGTTATTGTGGCAATAATGAGTGAGTTCCTGTGAGATCTGGTTGTTTAAAAGTGTGTTGCACCTCCCCTCTCTCTCTTCCTCCTGCTCTGGCCATGTGAAGTGCTGGCTCCTTCTTTGCCTTCCGCCATGACTGTAAGTTTCCTGAGGCCTTCTCAGAAGCTAAGCAGAAGCCAGCATCATGCTTCCTGTACAGCCTGCAGAACTGTGAGCTAATTAAACCTCTTGCCCTTATAAATTACCCAGTCTCAGGTATTTCTTTATAGCAATGTGAGAATGGACCAATACACTGATCATAAATGCATGGGAAGAGAACCAAAGGATCTTCTTCCTTTGGATCCCAACTGGACTTTGTCCTGTGTGTCTCTTCCCTTGATTGATTTTCTTGTGTAACTTTCAACTGTTAAAACAAACACACACACACATTCTCATGCTATGTATAATGCTTTCTTGGGTTCTCTGAACCATTCTAGAGAATTATTGAACTTGAGGGTGGTCCTGGGGACCCCTAAACTTGCAACTATTGTCTGAAGTAAGGGACTATTCCATCAGACTTTGCAGTTTGCTAAACTGTACTACAACCCCTAACTCTAGGGAAATAAATGCTGACTCTTATCCAGTTTTGTGCCTCCCTCCAGGACAAGGCATCCCCAGAGCTAGAGGGACATAGCTTTCCTCTTTCTGGATCATACCCCTGAGTGTGCTGGTGACTGGAGTTTGGTTGTTTGTGCTGGGGTGTCCACGTGGATGAGAATGAGTCCTCCCACAGCACAGAAGGAATGAGAGAAGAGAGGGTGAGCTATGGAACAAAGGCCTGGAGCCAGGGTTAGCTCTCCCCACACCACCATATTCCACTGCGGAATTCCAGACAGTTGAGAATTCTAAATTTGAACTTGGACTTCAAGGTCATCATGACAGTATTTTTTTCAAAGCAGCAAGCTACAGCATATTTTGTTTAATAGGTTGTTAGCTTGATTTACAGCCTTTAAGTATCTAAACATGTGGTATGTAGGTCTCTATTCGTACTCTTGCCTCATCCCCCGAAGTGTCAGGAGCCAGCCTGTTGCTGATTGTAAAGATTCTGTTTTTAGAGGCTTCTGCTCGACGATAGTGTCTTTTAAGACAGGCTGTTAAAGGTTAACAAAGCATCACATGTACATTTTCACAGATGATCTTGAAATATATGTAACAGGATGTTAAAATGGGATTTTACTTGTCTCATTTTCTGCTGAGGTTTCAAAAGGCTAAGAATAAAGCAGTAAACTAAGTACTCCCACATTCCAAAATGAAGTGCTAGACCACTGCTCTAGGTTATCTATTGCTACATAACAGCATGCACCAAAACTTCACAGTATAAAATAGGTCTTTTATTTTCTCAAAATTATTTGGCTCAGAAATTTGTACAAGGCACAGAGGGAATGGCTCACCTCCATGACTAAATTCTGGGACCTTACCTGGAATACCACATAGCAGGGAACCTTACCTGGAATACCACATAGCTAAGGTGGCTTAACTGGGTCATATGGCTGGGGACCTGATGCTTCTGTTGGTTTCGTTCCTCAGCTTTCCTTTGTGTGCCATTTCCATGTGGCTAGCTTGGGCTTCCTCATAATATGGTGGTCTGATTCATCAGCCTTCTTACATGCCTGCTGCATTCTCTCCTGAGAGAGAGCTGAAGATGCCAGGCCTCTCAAAGGCCAGGCTAAGCACTGGCACAGTATCACTTCCTCCATGTCCAATTGGTCAAGGCAAATCACAGGACTGGCCCAAGTTCAAAGAGGAAGAGCAGGAATCGCCTCTACTTCTTGATGAATGGAGCCAATAGAGAAGGAAATCACATATAGGGAGAGAAGGAAATGATGGTGGCCACCTTTGGAGATAACATACAACTATCCACACAGACTTGCAAAGGAGGGAAGTGACAATGTTCTCCAACCCTTAGCTCTATGCCAATCAAAGTTTTAAAAGGTTTAAAGTTGGAAATGAGAAAGAGGGCTTCTTTGGAAAAAGTTGTTGGAGCACTGAGGCACTTTTCTTCCTGTGCTTCTCCTTCACCTCAAGCCTAGTAGGAGGGGCTTCAGGGAGACATCACGCTTTGATCCATCTTTCCAGTTTTGACTTTACTGTTTCTCATAATGCAGCTTTTGGCATTTTCCCTCCAGCTACATACACCATGGTTGAGGAGAACTAGCCTTTTGTCCACCCATGTTTGTAGCAGTGTTGATGTTGTCCACAACACCCTAAAGGTGGAAGCAATCCAAGTGCCTGTCAATGGGTGAATGGATAAATCAGTTATGATAGGAATCTCTCCAGCCCATGTGAAGAGTGTGAACCTTGAAAGGCCGGCTCTCTCAAGGTTCACACTCTGGCTAACAGGGCCTAAATTCAATTTAGAGCCAAGCGGCAACTTGCTGACTAGAAGTCACACATGTTTTTGAGTTCCCAGAAAACCCACATCTGCTTAACTTTGGGACTTTCATAGCTTCCTGTTCTTGTTTATGTTGCCGGAACCAACCAATAGACTATGACCTGTGTCAACAAATCAGAACTCAGCAAGCATCAACCAATCAGATTAAGCAAGTTTGAATCCTTTATTTGCATAAGTGGACCTGAGTGGGAACAGGGCAGGAACTTTCTCTATAAAAGCCCAGCCCCTCCTTTGTTGTCTGGAAAGCACCTTCATTTTACACTGAAAGCTGCATTCCCCTAGTTTGAAAACTGTTTACAGGAATAAAGTCTCTTTCCTCCAAATACCTTTTCAGAGAATTATTGTTCACAAGGGTTATCCACCAAATCAGAGGATCCCAGATCTGTGTGCTCGGAGCCTTCAATACTAACAAGGCTGAGAGCTGGGGCACTCCCCTATGCACTCCAGGTCTTATTTATGTAACATGAATTTCCTGCTGGACCTCAGTTCCCTAATTGTGTTTTTATTTCTTGTTGCACAATTAGGCCTCTGGGAAATATCAGTGTAAAAAGTTGGGTTTTTCATGAGGGTTCTGAGTCAGACAGCAGTAGGAAGTGGGGAGGTTAGGGACAAAGGAGAGAAAGGACCCGTCCTCCCCCATTTCACTTTTGGCCCAGGCCCAGCACCATCTGGATCCCTTCCCACTGGGGCTCCCCCAGGCCTTGCAGAGCACAGAATGGCATCCTTCATTAGGTTACGATACTTATCAAGTCCAACAAGGTATGGATGAGCCAGCATGGCAGTCTTGAGAACACCGCATTCTGCCCTGGCTGCCTGCAAGGAAACACAAGGCAGTCTTTGTTTTTTGTTTGTTTGTTTGTTTTGTTTTTTGTTTCATTTTTTTGAGATGGAGTCTCACTCTGTCACCCAGGCTGGAATGCAGTGGTGGTAATCTCTGCTGACTGCAACCTCTGTCTCCTGGGTTCAAGCAATTCTCCTGCCTCAGCCTCCCAAATAGCTGGGATTACAGGTGTGCACCACCACACCCAGCTAATTTTTGTATTTGTAGTAGAGATGGGGTTTCACCGTTTTTGCCAGGCTGGTCTCGAACTCCTGACCTCAGCTGATCCATCCGCCTTAGCCTCTAAAAGTGCTAGGATTATAGGTATAAGCCACTGTGCCCAGCCTCTTGAAGAGCAGTCATCTGAGAGCTGTATTTGAAACCCAGATGATAGATCCATTTGTGACAAACGCTTAGAATGACTGAATCTGGGCTTCTTCAAGACTCTCCTCCTCCCTTCACCCATAAATCTCCCAGAAAGCCATTCACTAGCCTGTCATGGTTTTAAATGTGGCCCACAGTTCCCTGTTACTGACTCCACCTTGGGAGGTGAGGTCTATACCCCTCATTTGAATCTAGGACGGCTAGGGACTGCTCCCTCCAATAACATATAGCGGAAAGTAAGTCAAGGTGATGGTAGGGATACGGTCTATAAGGCAGGCAGTGGGCACCGCCTCCCCCAAGGACTGCCCCTCTGGGCTCTTTAGCTGTCAGTTTGAGCTTGGCCCTCTGGCTGTCCCTGTTCCTGCCCGGTGCATAACCACGTGCATGAACAAGCAAGCCATCTGGAAGTGTGTCCTCCTTCCTCCACTCTCTCAGCCCCCAGCCCTTTGAGTTATCCAAGAACCATAGAGCAGGGACAAGCCACTCTTGCTTTGGCCCTTCTGAATGCCCCAGCCCCGATCAGCCAGCATCTTAAGATAGTTGTTTCACCTACGACCTTCTGGGGTGCTTTCTCACACAGCATTAGCAACTAGAACACTGTCTCTGCATCTCCCCTTCAACTAGAATTAATAGAGCACTTAGTTGGCTAAATAAATGTTTAAAATCGAGAACAAGGACTTACCCCTAGTGAAGATCCAGGTACAAGTATTCTCCTGAGAGAGAGCTGAAGATGCCAGGCCTCTAAAAGGCCGGGCTAAGCACCGGCACAGTATCACTTCCTCCATGTCCAGTTGGTCAAGGCAAATCACAAGGCTGGCCCAAGTTCAAAGAGGAAGAGCAGGAATCACCTCTACTTCTTGATGAATGGAGCCAATAGAGAAGGAAATCACATATAGGGAGAGAAGGAAATGATGGTGGCCACCTTTGGAGATAATGTACCACCTTTGGAGACAGGCCAGGTACAAAGGCAGGATCCCTTGTTTTGTTTTGGGGTTTGTTTGCATGAGAACATGTGTTTCTCCAGTCCTTACATAGCTTCCACAAAGGCAGCCTGGCCCTGGAAAATTTCCTGAGCCTGGTTTGGATGGGGGTGATGGCAGCAGATTCCCCCACCTTTTTTTTTTTTTTTTCTTTTGCTTCCTGGAGCTGCCGGGAGATGAAAGAGTCAGCAAGAGTCAGGTCTGACAGGCTTCCTGCTACTAGGACACAGATCACAGCCCATCATTTTTGTCAAAGGCTTGGGGCGGGAGAGGGGGAAGGAAAGCAACAATATGAGGAAATTTACATGGCAGCCTTGGGATTTAGCTCAGATTTCCTTTACAGGAAGGAGGGGACAATATTATTACTGATTCATTGATTTTTCCAATGGGAGAGAGTTGAAGACACACGGGCAGGAGCTGATGGTGCCTGTCAGCATTCATTCTGCAGTTGGAATTGATTCTTTATACAACATACATCTTTAAGGAGTCTCCAGAGAGTGTGTGAAGCAGCGTAAACTCAATCCATCTCGCTCGCCAGATTGGGAATTTCCTATTTGCCAATTTGTGTGATCAACTCCATAGGACAGGTTGTGTCCTGTTTGTTTTAGGGTTGAGTGAAGTGAGTTTTCAAGACCACTCAGCTAAGGCGTGGCAGCCCCAGGGTTTAGGCTTCAAGTTCTTTGATGGCAAGTAATAGACAGAGAGTCTAGCTAAGTTAACCACAAAGTCACAGGGGAATTTATTGGAAGAGTTTGAGGGGGCTCCTAGGATTTTAGAACCAGGCTTACAGAGGACAGGGACCGGGTGCTTTCTTGGGGTTTTAGGATATGGGGGCAGTCTTATCCAAGAACCACCACTCGAATGAATGAACTCTGATGGCTTTCTGTCTTTTCATCACTCTGTTTCTTGTCTTCCTCCACACAAGGAGGGATTGTGATTCAAATCCCAGAGAGGCTCCTGGGTTAGGAAGAGCTCACTTGGTCTTGCTTGTGTCAAGTGAATATCCCTTAACCAGAGAAAGGCATGGAGCCTTGAGTAAAAATCTCCTCCAAACTCATCTCATAAGGGAGGAATAATTCTATCCTCCGTCCCCCAAATTGGAATGCAACTACCAAAGAAGGAGGAGTGGATGCTGAATGACCACAAGAACAAAACCTGCCCACTCCGTCAGCACTATCCAATGCCCAGTCCAGTCTTCTCACTGCCTTAGCTCCATAGGGTACTTTGTACTCCTACAGAGCTCTGTACCTAAGATGATATTACCCTGCCCCTCCTTGAAATGTATTCCAAGAGGGAAGAATGCCTAAGGGAACAAACAGAGGGGCTTCTTCTCTGGGTTACATGTGGACTCAGCTGGAATAAACTTTCGAACCCCAGGCAGATTAGAAGTGCATCTTATTTATTACCTTCTAGGCTGCTCTTTGTAAGGCATTTTTGCCTGAGCCACAGGCTTGATAACAAATGCAGTAAAAGTGGGGAAAATGCTGATTTAATGTAACAATATGGGATGGTGATGTATTCTATGTAGTAAACAAGAGTAGCTATTGAGTTATAAATAATCATTTTATAGCAATCTTGAATATCTCTGATACCAGATGTGTAGTAAATACAATCACTTTATAGAACTTCCTTTCCTTTGAAAATATGAGGAAATGATTTATAATATAAAGTTACATGTGTGCCGTGTGCCGCTCACATGGGCTTTATTTTGTGCTTGTGGTTGGATTTGTTTAACTCTTCTTTGATCACCCCAGTAGAATAGGCCTGGTTAAGTGTTCCCTGGTTTTGTGTCCCTAAACCATGGTATAGAAAATTGGGGTCATTTTGCTACATCTAGTCAGTCCCAATGCTGGCCTATTGCTTTGGGAATCTAAGTTGCATATCCACTGAATGAAGTGTCACCCTAAAAACTAGCTTTGTGAATCTAGATTGCATACTCAGTGAATGAAGTATACGAAGCATATTGTCCAAAAAGTTCATTGTTTTTTTTTTGTTTTTTTGTTTTTTGTTTTTTTTGAGACAGAGTCTTGCCTTATCACCCTGGCTGGAGAGCAGTGGTGCCATCTCGGCTCACTGCAACTTCCACCTCCCGGGTTCAAATGGTTCTCCTGCCTCAGCCTCCCAAGTAGCTGTGATTACTGGCGTGCACCACAGCCCCCAGCTAATTTTTGTATTTTTAGTAGAGACAGGGTTTCACCATGTTGCACGGGCTGGTCTCGAACTCCTGACCTCGGGTGATCTGCCCGCCTTGGCCTCCCAAAGTGCTGGGATTACAGAAATGAGCCACTGCGCCAGGCCTCATTGTCTTTTCTTAGACCTGTGATTTTTGAAGAGCTCAAGAATTTTCCCCACCTGGGCTTTAAGTCTTTTAGAGGAAGCCTTCATAGAATTTTGAAGGCAGAATTTCTAACAGATTTTGATTCATGACACCCTCTAAGAAGGCTAAATCCTGGACATTCCCTCTAGCTCTGTGATCCTTTTTTGTTTCCTTGCTTTTCCACTCAGCATAACCACCATCCTGAAGTCTGTGTTCAGGATTCTCTTACTTTCCTTTTTATGTATTGTTATTTCATCAAAATGCCTTCCAGGAATTTTTTTTTTTTTTTTTTTTTGAGACAGGGTCACACTCTGCTGCCCAGGCTGGAGTGCGGTGGAGCAATCGATCATGGCTCACTGCAGCCTCCACCTCCTGAGTGCAAGCCATCTTCCCACCTCAGCCTCCCGACTAGCTGGGGCTGCAGGTGTGTGCCACCACACCTGGCAACTTCTAAATTTTTTGTAGAGATGGGGTCTCCCTATGTCACCCGCCGGTCTTAAACTCCTGGACTCAAGTGATCTGCCTGCCTCGGCCTCCCAAAGTGTTGTGATTACAGGCATAAACCACCTCGCCCAGCCTGAAAAATATGTTTATATTTATTGTTTTTAACCCTATAAAATTAAACTGGTTAACAGCTACATGGGTGTATTCATTATATTATTTTGGCTCCTTTTGAGTATCTTAAATATTTGATACATTTTTACCATTTGCATATTTCTAAAAAAATTGTTTCTAAAAATTCTTCTAAATATTTCTATGGTTTAAGAAAGAGAAACAGTGGTTTTGAAAGTTGATGTCCAGGAATATCTGTGGACATATGTTTTTCAAGATAGCATCACATGGTGAAAATTTGGCTCCTTGTAAAACTGGGATTTCCACTGAGATCATTTAGAAAGTCTTTATAAAGTATAACGGCCAGTGTGGGAAGAGATTCCACTATAAATGTATCAGGTTTATCATCCACCAAACAAATGGTGTGACATCAGAGAACAAAGCCACGCCAACTTTCCGAGGCCTGTGCCTCGCTTTTCTGACTTCTTGTCTTTCCCCATCTCCTCTCTCATCCATCAGCATTTTATCCCTAGCTCCGCTCAGTCTTCTCAGGAAGTCAGGCACTTCCAGGGATTAGAAAAGCACATCCCAGACATGCATCCCTATGTGGCGCCGGGAACTCAACATTCTTTTTCTCCTAGGAGAATTTGCACTTCTGAAAGAAGACCTAATTCCATTAGGGAGGTTAGTGCTCATAGCCATGATTTTCACAAAGCTGGATAAGGACTTGGGAAAGCATGTCTCATTACCCGGCTTGAGGCACTTGGGAAGTTGGGAGGACAGTTAGGTAGGTTTAAAAAAAAGTCATTGCGAAGGGCCGGGCGCAGTAGCTCACACCTGCAATCCTAGCACTGTGGGAGGCCGAGGTGGGCGGATCACTTGAGGTCAGGAGTTCGAGACCAGCCTGCCCAACATGGTGAAACTCTGTCTCTACCAAAAAATACAAAAAAAAAGTTAGCTGGGAGTGGTGGCATGCACCTGTAATCCCAGCTACTCGGGAGGCTGAGGCACGGGAATCACTTGAACCCTGGAGGTGGAGGTTGCAGTGAGCCGAAATTGGGCCATTGCACTCCAGCCTGGGTGACAGAGTGAGACCTTGTCTCAAAAAAAATGGTGAAGCCCTCCTTTCTCTTGCACATCTCCGTGGAGAATCTTTGATGCCAATAAAGAGAGAATACTTCCCAGCACCCAACACCATGGCAGGCACAGAATTAGGAGCTTTTCGGATGTTCCCATATGAAATCAACAAACTTTTGCAGTGGACTTTGCTATTTCCGTTTTACAACTACAGAGGCTGGGATTCAGAAAGGATAACTTCCTTACCCAATCTCACAGCTTGCAGGTGGCAGCATTAAAATGCCCACTTAGCTGTCCCTGTCTCCCAAACCCACGTCCCTGCCAGTATGCTGGGATATACTGCATTTCCTTTGTCTAGAGGTTGCGTGAAAAACACCTTGCTCTGCTTCCAAAATAAAGAGAGAGATGCTTATCGCTTCTGGCCAGAATAGCCTTCTTAACAGTGAGGGGCGGAGTAATCTTTGCTTTGCCCTTCAGAGAACCATTGAGTTCAGTTTTTGCCAGTTATCAAGGTTCTGCCAGCAGGTGAGTGAATGACAGGTAGCAAGTTGAAATACTTAGCGGCTCAAGCCAGTAGCTTCTGGGCCCATTAATCTATCTTGGTCTGGACCTGGAATGATGTGTCCACACTTTGTAGGACCCTTTCTTCAAGAAAGCAGCTAGAGGCCGGGCACGGTGGTTCACACCTGTAATCCCAGCACTTTGGGAGGCTGAGGTGGGTGGATCACTTGAGGTGAGGAGTTCGAGACCAGCCTGGCTAACATGGTGAAACCCTGTCTCTACTAAAAATACAAAAATCACCCAGACATGGTGGCGCATGCTTGTAGTCCCAGGTACTTGGGAGGCTGAGGCATAAGAATTGCTAGAATCAGGGAGGCGGAGGTTGCAGTGAGTTGAGATCATGCCACTGCACTCCAGCCTGGCTACAGAGCAAAAGAAAAGAGAAAGAGAAAAAGAAAGAAAGAGGGAGAGGGAGGAGAGAGAAAGAGAGAGAGAGAGAGAGAGAGAAAGCTAGAACTTGCCTATTATTCATTTAGAATACACCTCTGAACCTCCAGAAATGTTTCCCTCGTTGCAATAGTATTTTACCTCTTCATCAAATCCAACTGTACTCAACAACCTTGGATACAATTAAAATTGGATGACAACAAAGGAGTTCAGGAAATGCCACCCCAAAACATGATGCTTTGGTATGCTGAGTACTTTCAACTGAGGGCTCTTGGGGAACAGCAGATGCCGGCAGACGTTTCCCTGAGCTCCCCTTATCTGCCAAGAGACAGATCCTCCCAAAGGAACTCGAAGGTCATGAATCCCCTCTGGGAATCTTACCAACTAGAGAAGAAAAACTCAAATCATGAGAAAGGAGAATGAAGGTTGTGTTACCACCACCCTTAAGAAGCCCCAAGCCCCTATTCCTTTCAGTCGCTCAGGATGCTAAATAAAAGCTTCAATCATCTGACCCTTTTTGGAAGCTCCTAACTTTGGGGACTCCCAGGCATAATTAACTATGGTTTTTCCCTGTTCATCTGGCTTACGTCAATTGAACTCATAGCCCAGCCAGGGAACCTAGAAGGGTAGAGAAAGGCATTTTCTGCTGTTCTACAATACTTACCTCTGTTATTTTAGACAGACTGGCAGAAGTCTGTTGGATAAATTTAAGGTGCTGGAGAGGCTGTATCCTTGGAAGCTTTGTCTTGACAGCACTGTCTGTCCCAGTTAAAGAGTCAAGTTTCTGCAGCTCAAGACAGACACACTGTAGCCCAGCTCGGCCCTGCTTCAGGCTAGATGGGATGAGGACTGCAGAAGTAGGGGGTGGAGAGACAAGGAGAGCAGAGCTACTCCCTGAGCCCTTCAAGTGACAGAGTCGTCGCGCCCCTATGACTCACTGTGGCCCTGCCTCCCTGTGGGCATTGGGGGCACCACCCCAAGGAGACACTGCCCTGGGCCCTGCCCGGGAAGATTGGCCCAGCTCAGAACCCTGGCCGAGGACAGTGTGCATTCGCGCTCCATTGGAAAGCGGCAAGGAGCTTACAAGCATGACTCGGGCTTGGAATCAAGGCCTTGTTTTCCACTCCTCCCTGCCAGGGCCCCTCAATCATGATCCTGGACACCCCTGCACAGCCCGTCCCAGCCCGTCTGTGAAGAGCTGGCAGGCAGCGGCCGATTTCATGGGGCTCTAGGAGTGTGGCCAGCAGAGAGGAGGGAGAGATGGCAGCCTTCTTTGTCCCTGGAAGCCGAACTGTGCTCTAAGCTACTTCCCAAATGGAAAACACCCCCAACCAGGTGGCTTCTCAGGGCCACCCAGCCTTGCTCAGGTGCAGGGTATGAAGGGTTAACGGCCTAAAGAGGAGGCCTTCTTGCATTAATCCTGACCATCCCAGTAGAGGCTGAAACCAGGCAAAGCAAAAGGAGAAAACGGAGGATCAGTCACAACATGAAAACTCAGATATTTTATCCTTGATTTAAAAAAAAAAAAAAAAAAAAAAAAAAGACAGCAAAAACCCTCCAAAAAATCTCTCCTTGCTGGCAAAATTTTGCTTTTGCTCAGAATGTCCTCTTCTGGTCCATTCTCAAGCAAAACCTCGAAATCCTGTAATTAGGTACCAAAGAGGTAGAAAAAAGCATTAAACCCAGAAGTTACAAAAAAAAAAAAAAATAGCAAGGCTGGACGCGGTGGCTCACTCCTGTAATCCCAGCACTTTGGGAGGCCAAGGTGGGCAGATCGCTTGAGGTCAGGAGTTCGAGACCAGCCTGGCCAACATGGTGAAACCCCATCTCTACTAAAAATACAAAAATTAGCCAGGTATGGTGGCGTGTGCTTGTAATCCCAGCTACTTAGGAGACTGAGGCAGGAGAATCGCTTGAATCCAGGAAGTGGAGGTTGCAGCAAGCCGAGATCATGCAACCGCACTCTAGCCTGGGCAACAAAGTGAGACTCCATTTAAAAAAAAAAAAACGGCAGCCAAGTACTTCCCTCTGAAGCAGTGCCTTCTCACACTTTCCCATGCATAAGAATTCCTAGGGGTCAGAGACGAGTACTGATCTGATTCAGCAGCTGAGGCTGAGGGTGACATGGGTACAGTCATAACAAGATCCTGCCTTTCTAAGGAGCTCTTGCATGAGACCATTGCTGCTGGTCCTCAGACCACACTTGGATAGAAGGGTCTAACATATGATGGTTTTGAATGTAGAACATTTTAGCAAACACAAGTGTTTTGAAAGATATATGGATATTTACTCATTAGTTCATTCATCCATTCATCCAATATTTACTGACTATGTGCAACATGACTTCTGCGCTAAGCACCAAGGAAATAGATGACCCAAATATAGACCTCAAGATGCCCAGAGTTCTGCTGTGAACCCTTCCACTAACTTACCTTGAGCACTCAGGTGTCTTAAGCTCTCCTAATTAATAGGTAAAGCGGGCACAGAACAAGTGTTGTTAATCAAACAAATGGCGCAGTCCAAAGCAGGTGTGTTAGCAAGCATCGCTGGAGCAACTTCTCAGTCAGTTAACTGCTATTTGATACTCCATTCTTGATGTTATGCTGGGAACTCTGCAGGATAAAGAATACCTATGGGGCAGGCACAATGGCTCACATCTGTAATCCCAGCAATTTGGGAGGCCAAGGTGGGAGGATCATTTGAGGCCAGGAGTTTGAGACCAGCCTGGGCAATGGAGCAAGACTCCATCTCTATAAAAAATAAAAAATTAGCTAAGCATGGTGGTATATGTGTGTAGTCCCAGCTACTTGGGAGGCTGAGGCAGGAGGTCTCTTAATTTTAATTATATGAAATTTTATTTTATGACTATAAAAATAAAGTATATTCAGTGCAAAATAACTTAAACAATGGCACATAGAAAATAAAAGTAAAAGCCCCCCAAAATCCCATATACCAAAGAACAGTAAGTTTTGTGTATATTATTCTATAATTTTTATATACATATGTGTATATATGTGTATATTATAGATGCTAAATACTCTACATACTGAGTGAACTTACTTTATTCTCTAAACAAGATACAGTAGACTTTTTCAAAGTCAATTTTTTGCTCCTTATATTTTAGTCCATTTGTGCTTCTTTAACAAAATGCCTGAACTAGGTAATTTGTAAATAATAAAAATGTATTTATCACAGTTCTGGAGGCTGGGAAGTCCAAGGTCAACGGCCAATAGGTTTGGTGTCTGGTGAGGGCTGCTCTCCACTTCCAAGATGGCACCTTGAATGCTGTGTGTTCTCACCTGGCGGAAGGGACAGAAAGACAAAGAGGCCTATCTGGTTCTCTCCAGCCATTTTTAAGTGACCAATCCCATCCTGAGGACAGAGTCCTCATGGTCTAACCACCTCCTAAAGGCTCTACCTCTTAATACTATCACACTGGCCATTACGTTTCAATATATGAATTTTGGGCACACATTCAGACACACAGCAGTCTCTATATGTTTAACATTTTGCATTGAGTTTCATTTTGTAGTTTATATAATTTGTCACCAGTGCCTTATTGGTGGACATTTGGACAGTTTCCTTTTTTCTATAATAAGGAATGTGATGACAAAACCTTTGAATGTATATCTCTGCATGTTTCATTTCCATTAAATACATTTTAAAGAGGAATTATTGGGTAAAAGGAGATGACCTCAAATATTGCCAAATTGCTCATTACAAAAGCTATAGCAGTTTTAGCCAGGCATGGTGGTGGGCACCTGTAGTCCCAGCTACTCAGGAGGCTGAGTGAGGCAGGAGAATCGCTTGAACCCGGGAGGCAGAGGTTTCAGTGAGCAAAGATCAGATCGTGCCACTGCACTCCAGCCTGGGCAACAGAGCAAGACTCAGTCAGAAAAAAAAAAAAAAGGTGTACCAATTTAAACTCTGACAAAGTGTATGACAGCAGCAACTCTCAGTACGTTTTTAATCTTCATGAATCAAATAGGATTTTATTATTTTTGTAATTTGCATTTCTTACATCCTAGTGATGCTGAGAATCATAGTTTTAGCCATTTGTATTTCCTTCTTTAGCGCCTTCCCTGTTTGTAGCTTCTTGCTTATTATTCTGTTAGGTTCTTCCTTTCCTTATTGATTTATAGGAGCTTTTAATAATCCGTGCATATTCAGTCTTTTAAAATTGCCACATATGTTGTAAATATTCTTTCCAAGTTGGAAGAAGCATTATAACTTAGTAAAAAATATGAACTTTTAAGTTCAAATCTTGTACCTATAGTAAAGTACTATACAGAGGATTAAATCAAAATAATGCTTATAAATTTCTTACTGCAGGGCTTGAACTTAGTAAGTGCTTTGAAAAGTCATTTATAAAATAAGTGTTTGCTTGCAATTTCCTTACAGTATCTTTGGCGTGTGTGTGCATATACACATATGTATTTAGTTTAGCTGAATAGCTCTCTTAATACTTCCTCCCACTGTGACTTAGTTAAGAAAGGTTTTGTTTGCCCAAAAATTGTAATTATACTCTGGTATGTTTACATCAGACTTTTCTCTTTTTTGTTTTGTTTTGTTTGTTTTTGTTTTTAAGAGCCTGTGCCCTTTGCTCTAATTATTTCCCTACATATTCCATGCAGTCCCTTGCCTTCTCGGCCTCCTTTCTAGTTGGGTCAGCTGTGTCTGCAGCTGCAGGTGGTTGGGGACACATGCCACCCTGCAGTGGCTGCAGATCTGCAGGGAGCCCACACCAGCCCACACAATCCCACATTTCACTTCCCACTCTATAGATCGCTACGTCATCCTTTCTCTTCTTTCCCACCTCACGCTTCCCACTCTCAACTAATAACCTGGCTCTACAAGAAGCAAGCGGTGGAGAGCCACGCCCTTCCCACCATTCACCAGCCTCCTGGCCAGTGACCCTCTCTCCTCTCCTTCCTGGCAACTCGGCACCTGGGATCTGCCCTCCCTCCTGAGCCATCCATTTCTCCCTCACTACTGGATCATTTCCGCATATAAGAAGCTGTATCTTTTTAAAGATTGCCTGTCCCAACCAGGGACAGCTAACCCAAATCCAACTCCTCCTTTTCTCTCTTACCCTTTTGATCCCAACATCTGAAAACGGCTGCCTCTGTTTTCTTCTCTCTCCCCAGCCCTCTCTGCTCAGCCACCCACTCCGTTTCCAGCACCCTGCGCCCCAGCATCTCCGTCTTGCCAAAAGCTCTGCGCATCCTCATCTTACTCCAACTCTCACCAACATCCCACGGAGCCCATCTCTACTGCTTAACACATTTTCTCCACTGATTTCTAGGTTGTTACTTTCCAGGTTATCCTCCTATTTCACCAACAGCTCTTTCTGGGTCTCTGTAGCATTTTCTGCCTCCTCCTACTTACTAAATAGCGAAGTGTCTCAAGCTTCATTGTCAGCCCCACATGCGTCCTCATCCACACTCACAAAAAGATCACCTCCGCCAGGCGCGGTGGCTCCTGCCTGTAATTCCAGCACTTTGGGAGGCCGAGGCTGGTGGATCATGAGGTCAGGAGATCAAGACAATCCTGGCCAACATGGTGAAACCCTGTCTCTACTAAAAATACAAAAATTAGCCTGGCATGGTGGTGTGGGCCTGTAGTCCCAGCTACTTGGGAGGCTGAGGCAGGAAAATCGCTTGAACCCAGGAGGCAGCAGCTGCAGTGAGCCAAGATTATACCACTGCACTCCAGCCTGGGTGACAGAGCAAGACTCTGTCTCAAAAAAAAAAAAAAAAAAAACTCAAAAAACAAAGAGTACCTCATCCAGTCACCTGTTAAGCTCCACATGCTGTTAGGATTCCTAAATTTATATCTCTAGCCCCATTTCTCCCTGACATCCAGACCCATATACTCAGCTATCTAATTAACATCCTCATGTGGATGCCAAGTAGGCATCTCAGACTTAATATAGCCCAGACCAGGGGCACCACGTCTTGTTGTCCAACCTGTGCACTGCCTAAAGGCGGCAGCCATCCATGGAAGGAAGAGGGGCTGAGATCCAGCCCATATTAGGTTTGCAAAGCCATGAGCTCTGGTGTGGGGCTTTATCCACACTGTGGAAAAGGTACCTTTTGATATAGGGAGTGCCTTCTCTAATTTTCAGGAAGGTGCCATAAAGGCTTGCTGTAGTCCTGGCCAAAATACATCTTTTGATTTTCTTTTTTCCCTACCCTGTATCTGCTACGGTCAGAATATGGCACCATTCCATTGTGAGGAGGAAAAGAGACAGAAAAGGAGAAGAAGAAAGAGGAGAGAAAGCGGAGGGGAAGGGGGACATGGGGGAAGAAGAGAAGGGAGAAGGGAAGGGAAGGGGAGGGAAGGGTGGAAGAGGGGACAGGAAGGAAATTTAGCTTCTTTATTTTCATTACATCCAATGTGATTCTCAAAGGTAGACTGGGTCTGATTCTTCCCCCATCTTCTGCTACACTAATGGTTTAAGCCACCCTCACCTCTCCCCTGCAAAGTCTCCCTCTCTGCAATTCTTCTTCCACTACACAGACAGATGCTTGCCATTTTTTTTTTTTTTTTCTGAGATGGAGTCTTGCTCTGTTGCCCAGGCTGGAATGCAGTGGCATGATCTTGGCTCACTGCAACCTCCACTTCTTGAGTTCAAGTGATTCTCCTTCCTCAGTCTCCCAAGTAGCTGGGTTTACAGGCATGTGCCACCACACCCAGCTAATTTTTCACAATGTTGGCCAGGCTGGACTCAAACTCCTGACCTCAGGTGATCCACCCGCCTCGGCCTCCCAAAGTGCTGAGATTACAAGTGTGAGCCATGGCACCTGGCCTTTTTTTTCTTTCTTTTTGAAACAGGGGTCTGCTGTGTCACCCAGGCTGGAGTGCAGTGGTGTAATCATAGCTCACTGCAGCCTCAACCTTCTGGGCTCAAGCAATCTTCCCATCTCAACCTCTCTAATAGCTGGAACTATAGGTGCTTGCCAGCACGCCCTGCTAATTTTTAAATATTTTTTGTAGAGACAGGGTCTCTTGGTTGCACAGGCTGGTCGGGTCTGGAACTGCTGGCCTCAAGCAGTCCTCTCACCTTGGCCTCCCAAAGTGCTGGGATGACAGACATGAACTACCATGTCTGTCTCACATGCTTTCTCAGATGCAAATAATAGCTTACCATTCATCTGCTTGAAAACCCTCAATGTCTTCCATTTAAACCAAACCAAACCCAAGCCCTTTCCTACAGATTATAACTTATCCAACTGAATCTTCTACCACTGTACCCTAGGCCATCTGAGCTCCAGCCACACCAGCCTCCTTCCTGTCTCAAATGTGACAAGCCGTCACTGCCTCAGGACCTTTGCACTTGCCACACCTTCTCCCACATCTTCACAGCCACCTTCTTTTCAATATTCAAGTCTGAAGTTAAAAATAAACACTTTGGCCAGGCACGATGGCACACGCCTGTAATCCCAGCACTTTGGGAGGCCGAGGCGGGTGGATTGTCCGAGGTCAGGAGTTCGAGACCAGTCTGGCCAACATGGTGAAACCCCGTATCTACTAAAAATACAAACAAATTAGCTGGATGTGGTGGCATGTGCCTATAATCCCAGCTGCTCGGTAGGCTGAGGCAGAGGAATTGCTTGAACTAGGGAGGTGGAGGTTGCAGTGAGCCGAGATCGCGCCACTGCACTCCAGCCTGGGCGACAGAGCAAGACTCCGTCAAAAAAAAAGAAAAAAAAAGCCTTATTGACCAAACTGGCTAAAACAGTGATTCCCTCTCCACCATCACTTTCTGCCCCATTTCTCCATTTTATCTTCCCTACTGCACTACCCAGCTCTGAAATTACCGTATCTACCTCTTTGCCTCCTTATGAGCAGTCTGTCCCAACATCTCACCACATCAGTGGAAGTCCACGATCTCTTTGCCCTGTTCCCATTCCGTCCTCCAATGTTGGGAACAGGGTCTGGAGCTAGGTGAGTTGATTGAGTCAGTGGCCTGGGAGGCAGAGATGGTGCCGGCTAGAATGATCCCAAGTACACAGAGGGAAGGAGGAAAGAGAAGGGGAAGGGAAGGAGACAGGAAAATGAAGACATGGAGCAGGTTGCAAGGAGCCTGTGGTGGGGCAGGACCAGAAGACAGAAAACCCAAGCAGAGGAAATGAGCTTGCACCTTGGCACCAGACGGTGAGATCCACTGAGCCTACATCTGATGCCCTTCTGCCAAGGCCCTGCCACCCATGTTTACAGAGCTAGGGGCTCTCGGCTCTACCGCTATGGGGTACAGTCTTAAAGCCCTGGAAGGCAAGTGGTTGGATGCACCTATGATCGCTAATTCTTTTATTTATTTATTTATTTATTTATTTATTTATTTATTTATTTATTTTTGAGATGGAGCCTCACTCTGTCACCTAGGCTAGAGTGCAGTGGCACGATCTTGGCTCACTGCAACCTCTACCTCCTGGGTTCAAGCAATTCTTATGCCTCAGCCTCCCAAGTAGCTGAGATTACATGCGAATGCCACGACACTCGGCTAATTTTTGTATTTTTAGTAGAGATGGGGTTTCACCATATTGGCCAGGCTGGTCTCGAATTCCTGACCTCAGGTGATCCGCCCACCTCGGCCTCCCAAAGTGCTGGGATTACAGGCGTGAGTCACTGCGCCCGGCCCTATGACCACTAATTCTTAATGCTGCCTCCAGTCCAGGTGAGGGGCTGCTAACAAGCTCAATGAAGTCAGCAGAAAGCAAGCTATGAAGGGCTGAGTTGCTGCTGGGCCTCATGACCTCACCCCACCTGATGCTCTGGGGGTGTTGGAAGCAAGCCTCAGTCTCTCCTTCCTTTCATGTTTCCCTGGGCCCCTGAGACCTACCAAGAGCTTGGATAATAGATGTCAATGGCAATTTGAGCATTTGCGATGCAAGACGATTGTGAAGGCTGCCACGGCTAGAACTTACCTCTTGCAGGAGGACAAAGGTAGGGCAAAAAGTCTAACTGTGAAGTCTCCTGACAGCTGTTTTTCTCAAGATTTTCATACCTTCTTCTTATCAGTTCAGGAGTGGAGGCTTTTTGCCGGCTGAATGTGCATCTTCTGCTTTCAAAACAAAAACCCTTTCCCAGTAATCTTCAAAAGTATTATATTCCCGACTGGACAAAGGAGGGGATGGGGCCTCTCCCTAAAGAGACCCCCAAGGCCTGGCGTGGTGGCTCATGCCTGTAATCCCAGCGCTTTGGGAAGCCAAGGTGGGTGGATCACCTGAGGTCAAGAGTTTGAGACCAGCCTGACCAATATGATGAAACTCCGTCTCTACTAAAAAAAATTAAAAAATATAAAAATAAAAAAATTAGCTGGGCGTGGTGTCATGTGCCTATAATTCCAGCTACTCAGGAGGCTGAGACAGGAGAACCGCTTGAACCCAGGAGGCAGAGGTTGCAGTGAGCTGAGATCGCACCATTGCACTCCAGCCTGGGCAACGAGAGAAAAAAATTCCGTCTCAAAAAACAAACAAAACAAAAAAAGATACCCCCGAGGTAAGGTCTGTGCCACCCTGGCTATCATTGCTATCTCTGCAGTGACTTCAGCTCTGACATTTGACCAGTTATAACCTATTCCACCCTGCCAGTGCTCACATTTGGGCATTTATTTTGATGAAGGGGGACCCAGAAGGGAAGGAGAAAAGAGACAGATACAGGTCGCAGAAACAAAACTGCTCGAGTGATGCTCGAAATTCATCCTACCCCCACCCAGGGAACTTTTCTAGGTGCTGTTTTCTCCCTAGGTTTCCACACATCCCTCCCCACCTCTGTGGCATCATGATCACACACACACACACTGCTTGCAAGTCAGCACGCCCTGAATGTGCTTATCTTCAAAGCCATCTCAGACTTGTTTTTGCACCCTCAGAAGATAGATGGTTGTGGCAGGTGTAAAATGACATCAGCAGCACAGTCATTCAGGGAGGCTCCCAGCCAACTTTCTGTCTGTTTAAAATATCAGGGCTTGGCCTGAACACAGGATTTTGGAGCAAAGTATGTTGTAAAGCCCACCTGAGTAAACTCACAGAGATTCTCACTGTTTGTCTCTTCTGCACGTCAACCAGGGGTTTTATTTCCCCACGTTTCTTCTCCTGGGAACATCAGAACTCTGGGTTCCTTTGAATTGTCTGTGAAATCCTGCAGCAGTAAGTTAGCTGAACCTTGAAAAGAAGTAGACAAAACTCTAACCTTGTATGGTCTTAAGCAAGAGGAATGACTTGCAGAACACTGAGCAGTGACAGCCCGTATAAAAATTATTTTGTTGGCAGAGACTCAAACAAACTGTGCAGTCAACCACATGGTTTACAAAGGAAAGATCTGCTAATTGAACAGCATTGCTCAGCACATGGACGACAGCCCAGAGCTTAAATTTAGCTAGATGCTCAATCCTCAGTCTACACTAGTACCCAGCTGCATAGTGGAGGATTCTTTCCATCCCAATGGGAAGATGAGGAGAAAAAGAGATGAAAGTTGCGTGAAAGGTAATCTGCTGTGCTGAGTGAGGGTCTGAACGGTGAAATCAAACCTTCATCTTCCCTTACCCATCTAGAAAGTCCATGTCGCATCTCAGAAGAGCTCTGCTTCCCTGGATTCCTAGTATTCATTGATTCAAAAACTCCATTGGCAATTGGTTTATTGACATTTATAGTTTGTACGGATTTCTTCTTGCTCACATTCAGGGGAACTTGGCGTGAACATTTCCTGGTTCATTCATTGAACCAGTTCATCTGTCTTTCCAAAGGGCAGGAGATTGAAGTCACAGACATCAGGGGACCTGTCTGTGGTGTCTGTCCCCACATTGATGGTGTGGGTGTTCTCAGCTGATCTTAGCCAGGGGATCCCCTCCTCTCTCTCTGCTGAGAATCCTTCTAGAAGCTGTGTTCTCCTCTAAGAGGGTGACATTCCCAGAGAAAAGGGGACAGTCTTTCAGGGCTGACATCCACATTTTGATCCTTGCCCATGAGTCTCACTGCTCCTTGGCCTCTGTGCCCTGTGAGCTTGCACTCCCACATCTCTCTTTGACTAGCTCGTGCCTTGGTTTACATCTCACTGCATCTGTCAGTTCTCAGACTCACAGCTGTGTTAGGGAAATACTAAGAATAAAATCATTTACACATTTGGAATGCAAGAGGCTTTATAAGGGGACCACAGAACCTCATTCATTCCAGATCTTTGGGATGAAGTGGAGACAGCCACCATGTAGGAGGCTTTGGAGTGGAGTTGTAGACATAGGTGTCACCTTTCAGGTCAATGCTGATGCACATAAAGAGACACGTACTTCATATTTTAAAATATAATCAACAGGCCTAGTAGAAGCAATCAGGGCTCTTGGAAGGAATGACTGCTTTCAAGTCTAGGAAAAAAAATACAAGAGGAGCTGAGACATCTTGTTGGGCCGTGAAGCAAGGAAGCCACTGGAGACTGACGGGTCGTGTGAAACCGACACAGACACCAACATGAAAGGACCCCCATGGGTCAAAGAAGAAACACTGTAAACATGAAAAGGATTGTGAATGCAGTTGACTGAAACACACTGAGGACATAAAAACCATGAGTTCATCATTGTATTAGTCTCTTCTTACATTGCTATCAGGAAATACCTGAGACTGGGTAATTCATAAAGGAAAGAGGTTTAATTGACTCACAGTTTAGCATGGCTGGGGAGGACTCAGGAAACTTACAATCATGGCAGAAGGTGAAGGGGAAGCAAGGCGCCTTCTTCACAAGGTGGCAGGAAGAAGAAGTGCTGAGAAAAGTGGGGGAAAGTCCCTTATAAAACCATCAGATCTCCCGAGAACTCACTCACTATCACAAGAAGAGCATGGGAGAAACCGCCCCTGTGATCCAATTACCTTCACCTGGTGTCTCCCTTGACACTTGGGGATTACAATTATAATTCAAGGATTATAACTCAAGATGAGATTTGGGTGGAGACACAAAGCCTAACCATATCAATCATCATCATCATCATCATTTGAGAGATAGTCTTTATCCCCCACCAAAAAAGAGCAAAAAAAAAAAAGCAAATAAACAAGAAACCTCTCTGGACACTACTGCAATTAACTAAGGCCTGAATCCCTACTCTGAAAATGAGCAGTTAAGAGGAAAGAATTAAGCACCTCCCTGGCCCTTCCTGGATGAACTGTATTTGAGAGTATCCAAATAGCCCTCACTGATGCGGACACATTCACTGTGTGGGAGGCATCTAACCTAATAAATGTGAAAGGGTAATGAATTTCTAAAAGCAACCTTTTACAACCTCTAAGAAAATAATTCGTTCGAGCCACATCATCAATGATAGACAGGTGAGGAATTTTACAACAGAAGACTCAGGCTGTCACTACCTGTCCCCGAAGCTTGATTGAGCTTCGAGCGTTGTGGGCGAGAGGACGTCGTGCACGTGTTCATGGAATGGGATAGGAAGGATTCTGCACCACCCATGAAATCTCTTTGCTTAAACAGTTGAATCTAAACTAAATCAAGCATCTAGAGCTAACTTCTGTGGACAGGAAAGACAGAGGGAAAGGAGAACGTAAATGCCACAGCAAAGAAGGAAATAGACCAGTTAAGAATGTGGGACATTCTCTAGAGCAAATGACCCAGTTTCTGCTATCAATCAAAGGCGTAGGGGAGATATGGGGCTTCTCTAGTTTGAATGAGAATTAAGAGACACAACAACCAAAAGCAATTTGTAGACCTTATTTGGATCCTACTTAGAACAAACCAACTTCAAAAAATTTTTTTAACACAATTGAGCAAATTTTATAACAGACTGGCTATCAAAGGACAACAAGCCCCACATGTATAGTTTTTAGAGCATCACACAGCTAGTAAGTGGCACAGCTGGGATTCATACTCAGGCGGTCTGGCTTCAGAGCCTGAGCTCTGACCTCCACTACATCGTCTCTCCTCCTGGCTGAAAAATGGAAAGAATAATAGTACCAGAGAGGGCTGCTGTGAGAATTAAATTATTATTATTAGTCCTCCGGAGTAGGGTAATCATTTTCTGACCAGTGAGCTGTGTGGAGAGTGCATTTTGCAAAGTAAGTTCCAGACATGATCCTCAAGCTGAAACAAGCATTTCCATTTATTTTAATACATTCAAAGTGAAGATCTACATACACAGAGTGCCCTAATAATGCATTTCAGTGGAAAGAAGCTCTCTTAACGTGGTTACATTTAATGAAACACAAGAAGGGTCACTCTGACCTCATTTCCATAGCTGACTCCGAAATGGGACCTATAGGCTCTCAGCAAAGCTTACAGATTCACCTAATAGCATTTGGAATAGGTTATACACGCGAATGTGTGCATACCTTGTTCCAAAGTGCCCTTCACCCTTCTTTAGTGGTGTCAGTATTAGCCAACACAGATTTGCTGGCTGATTGTTCTCTAAGGTGTGTTGGTCTGCCGTGTTCCATCTCAACTCAGTAGGCTCCATGTGGGAGAGAAGAAATCTAGGGGAACCAATTCACTGCAATAAGCAATGTTCTCCTACACAATGCCAGGAGCATGGAGCTATCAGAAGAGCTGCAGTAAGTTCCAGCCATCTTGTTTTATGGGAATCGATGCTGCCCAAATAAGCGTTCTACTCACTCACACAAAAAAGATGACAATAGAAATTATTATGTGTGATAACAGCATTGTGGCTATGTAAGAAAATATCCATGCTTTTTAGAGATGGATAAAGAAGAATGCAGCAGTGAAATATCAAGTCTTCATAAAAAGGGATTTCACTGCACTATCATCTCTGCTTTTCAGTATGTTTGACATATTCATTCTATTAAAAAATTTAAAGCTGCTCATGTTGGCTCACAACTGTAACCCAGCACTTTGGGAGGCTGAGGTAGGAGGATTGCTTGAGCACAGAAATTCGATAACAGCCTTGGCAACATGGAAGACCTTATCCCTACTGAAAATAATTTTAAAATTAACCAGGCTTGGTGGTGGCCACCTGTAGTTCTAGCTACTTGGGAGGGTCAGACAGGAGGATTGCTTGAGCTCAGGAAGTTGAGGCTGCAGTGAGCTATGATCACTTCGCTGCATTTCAGTTTCGGTGACAGAGCAAGACCCTGTCTAAAAAGAAATAAAATAACAATAAAAATTGAGGGGATTTAAGATGAATCTTAAAAGGTAAAAATTAGCGAGCCCTGGTTACTAGAGTGCCTAGCTTTTCCTTTGCTTTAAATGTTACATTAGAAATTGTTGATCAGCTCCTCAGCATTTCTTCTATGAATTCCAATGGTGAGGACCTCATTGCGGTCAAAATTACAGCAAAAAATTAGAATTCAAGAATATCACTAAACATACTGCTTATTGAACAGTATTACTGTATAGTCATCAGTAACTTAAAAAAAAATCTTCCAAAACCACCCAGATTACAGGCAGGACAGAAAATAGGGATGGCCCTAAGAGGTCATTAGTAGAGGGTGTGTCCTTTGTCTGAGAGGGAGACTCACTTCTCACTTATGTGCTGAGACGCAAAAATTGCCTGAGGAAATTCCAGAGAGGTTGATCTGTGTTTCTGGGTGTGTGCTTCTCATTGTTACTGTCCAATGTCTGATTCCCATACTTCTAGGCAGAGGGTGAATTTCATATCCCCACTTCCCTGAAGTTTGACATGACCATATGACTTGTTCTGGCTGGTGCACTATGAACAGAAGCCATGTGTTTTTCCACCTCCTTTTTCCTCTCTGCAACTGTGGCTGGAGAAGGTAACCGGTGTCCACCCAGCAATGTGTGCTCAACATGGTTTATGAAGGAGAAATCTCTCTCTCCCTCTCTCTCTCATTCTCTATCTGTCTCTATCTCTTCTCCTTTCTCTCTCTCCATCTCTTTTCTCTCTTCTCCTTTCTCTCTCTCTCTTCTCTCTATCTTTATCTCTTTATCTCTCCTCCCTTCTACCTCTTCTCTTTTCTCTCTCCTCCTCTCTCTTTCTTCCTCTCTCTCTCTTTCTTTCTCTTTCTCTCTCTCTATAACTCTTCTCCTTTCTCTCTCTCTCTCTCTCTCTCTCTCTGTCTCTGTCTCACATAAGCCACTGAGATTTGGAGGGTTTTGTAAGTGAAGCATAGCCTACCTAATAGTTTCTACTATAGGGTGCAAATGCAGTGAACACTGTGTGTGTGTGTGTGTGCACATGCTTTCTTTATCATACCTTATATTTTACTCTGCATTCTGTGTATCACTATATAGTACTAATTAATGAGGGTTTGCTGTGACTTTACCTACATTGTCTGCTTCCAGTCTCACCATAAGTCATGTGTAAAGTTCTAGTATTATCATCTCCATTTCATATTTGAGACAAACAGAGGCTCGGAGAGGTTAAGTAACTTGCCCAAGATCACACAGCTGGTGTGAGGCAGAGCTAGGACCAGAACCCAGGTAGTTGGATTCTGGTGAACAGCGTTAACTATTAAGCTAGGCTATCTTTGTACTGCAGGAGTGACCCACCTCTGACATTTCAGGAGTTCTATTCCCACTTAAATTGGTTTACTAAACGTTGCTTAAAAATAACCTTTGTTTCAGAGGGCAATTCAATAAAACAGGAATTTCAAGGCTGAGTCTGTGAGGTTTACAAATTAGTGTGTTGATTCAGAGTATGGGTCATTGTTTCTCTGTAGCATTAGTAACAATATTGATGTTTTAGAGTTTTTTCTCCAGAACCAAAAACCCTTCACAAATTGCTCTGTTTATTAGAGCAAAATTTGCCTTCTGAATCACTTCTAATTGGCTAAACAATTACATAGAACCATCTGAGAGCTTCCCAGAATGTTTCTGTTTGAGGCTGAACCCATGAGCAGCTCTCTTCCAATGAAGTTGGCTCCGTGGGGAAGGAACTGGCCTTGTCTCAACCCCCAGACTCAGGGGATCCTTCCTTCTTGCTCCCATTCTTGTAGCCACAGCTCCTGAGTGCAGTGCGGGTCAGGCCCTCTTCAAGGGATTCGTGTGAGTTCATCCTGGCAGGAGCCCTCTGAGGTTGGTACTATCAATCCTAATTTCTCAGATGGGGAAACTGAGGCATGGAACAATTAAGGAACTTTCCCACAGCTGCAGACCTCATGGGCAGCAAGGCCAGGGGTTGACCGAGTGGTCTGGCCTGGGATCTAGGGCTCCCCACCCTGCCTCACCCCTGTCCCCTGCCCCTGTTTCCAGGGACCTGCTGGAGGTCTCCTGGGATAAGGTGACATTGCCTCTCTCTTCCACGGCCCCCAATCATCTTCCTTCTTGTGTTTCGCACGGACCTTCCTCCCCTGAGGCTGAATATGGGATTCCTGTGAGATTTTCTCAGCATGAGGGCCTCGGAGAAGATATGGACCACAAAAAGTGTGGACAGTAAACTGATGTCCCTGCAGAATGCACCCAGCAAGCTTCTTCCCTTCCTAGACCTTTCAGAGAGTCCCAAAATGTTTCTTTTGGCATTATGCTTAATTTGGGGTCAAAATTGAGAGACACTAGGGTAAAAGCGGCTTTCTCTGATTATCATGGTTAGGCAATGCCTATGGCATTGACAGTAGGGTGATTTTTTTATCCTGCCCCTCAAATCTTGGCATGCTGTAGAACTCTGATGAAATTTAATATCAAGGGAAGCCTTGAAGCAGAAAACTAGGTTATTAAAGGGCAGCCTTGGGGTGGTGTGGCAGACACTGTGACATGCCTTCTATATCTCCCTTCATGGACAGACTTGTTGCCCCCACCACTGGGCATGCTGGTGGCTGGGTGTCAGCTGTCAGCTGCCCCAACTCAGGACTCATCTTAGCTGAAGAGCGGCTTTACCCTAAACCACAGAGGGATACAGGCCTGACCAGCTTGGTCCAACACTGGAGAACATTCTAGCTCCAGGGCTCCCCACAGGGCTGCCCAAGGCCATCATCAGATTTCATCACAGTTTGACTTCTCCCTCGCACTCTCCTGCCTTCTGTCTCCCTGCCACGGGAGTTGATCTCAAGCACACGCCTCAGACACATGCTACACACTAAACTCTGCTTCAGAGGCCACCACTCCAAGGGCATGAAGCATTGGGACAGCCCCAGTGGTGACAGGCAGTGTATTAGTCCGTTTTCACGCTGTTGATAAAGACATATCTGAGAGTGGGTAATTTATAAAGAAAAAGAGGTTTAATTGACTCACAGTCCCACATGGCTGGGGAGGCCTCACAATCATGGCAGAAGGTGAAAGGCACATCTTACATGGTGGCAGACAAGGGAGAAAATGAGACCCAAGCAAAAGGGGAAACCTCTTATAAAAATCAGATCTCAAGAGACTTACTCACTACCACAAGAACAGTATGGGGGAAACTGCCCCCATATTCAATTATCTCCCACTGGGTCCCTCCCACAACACTTGGGAATTATGGAAGTTACAATTCAAGGTGAGATTTGGGTGAGGACGCAGCCAAACCTTATCAGGCAGGATGTGTGAAGTAGGTAGCAGCCAGCGCTACCACAGGTGGGTGGGTGTGTGGGTTTTTCTCTCTGCAGGGATGCTCTGCTGAGAGGGAGGATGGGGACCTAAATCCAGCCTGTTCTCCACTAACCACATGCTGAGCCCTGTGTGGGGGCTGCACCTGCCAGGAGAAAGCACGCCTTTTGCAATTGCACCACAATACTGTACAAACTCTCACAGTCCTGGCAGCAGCCCTCCTGTCTTTGCTTTGGAGAAATAGTGAGAAGCTTAAGAGAAGTGAATTTTCTCAGATTCCCTGTGGCCTTTCTGGTTCCAGCCCCTGCAGCATGCAGCACAGGGAAGTGCAGCTGTAGCCTAGTTGTTTTTGCTTCACTGGATACCCTGGGCCCCAGGGCAAAGAGCCAACATATTATGCCCTCTGAGTCACAGAATCAAAACAGGATTCTCTGTTTCCAGAACTTAGTCATGGTGGCACTGAGGACATTTAAGGAAGACAAACATTAAGCGTCACATTGTATATCCTCAAAAGCTCTCTGCTTCTTGCATTTTTATTTGACTCCAGAGTATTTCCTCACTTTTCTGTACCCAACTGTACCCTCTGGCACCAACCAGAGACTTTGAAACCCTCAGTTTCAGCCATCATCAGTGAGGACAGAGGACGTCTGAAACCCAGACCATTTCCTGAGCTGCAATCACAAAGTTCTTTATATAATTACATATGTGGCACTGACTTCAGTTTCTATCATTGAGAGCTTCTTCCATGAGACTCAAACCACTGGTCACAGGTAAGCAAAAAGAAATGCATTTCCTTTGCCAACAACAGCTGCCTATGCCCACCTAATAATCACTTCTAGTTGAAGATTACCTTCTGGTAACTCTCCAGACAGACCCCAGGAAGCAGTTGGTTGGAGAGGAACCCTTCAAGTTGAAACTGGGTTTCAGCGTGTCCAGATGACTCATGTAAATACACAAGCTCTGAGGCATCTCCCCGACCCCCAACAAAAATCTCCTCAATCACTCAGTTTGCTTTCCACTCATTTCCTGCCCCTTTCCCTTCCTCTACTTCCTCTTTTTCTACTTCTTTCGCCTTCTTTCCCCATTCTGACAGAGGAAGACTGATCAAAGCTTTGTTTGTTATTTATTTATACACAGTCGTGTTCTAGAAGGGCTTCTTGAAAGAGTGCATAAAACTCAACTAGGTTGTATAAGGGTAAAGTAGGTCAAAAGGAAAAGGACAAACACGTGCTATAAAAATGCATGGCCCAGGAATAAGACAAAGAATGACCAATACAAGCCAAGCCAAGCTCTGGTGCTCCATGTTTCTGTGAGCCAGAGGCACGTTACAGCTGTGGATGAGCACCTCTGTGATTGGTTTCCCTTCCTCTGCCGATCACGTCATCGTCCAATGCCATGGCTGTAAACACTGTTTGCACTGATGACTCTTATAGCCAAGACTGTACCCATTATTTAGAAATCTAATGACAGATGTTATTAAGGGCTGCAAGGCACCCTATGAAAAGGCTACACTTACCACATTCCCTTGCAACCGTGTAATTAAGTTCTGAACAATGACATGTCAGACAGCATGTAAAGAAGGCTCCTCACTCACACCTGTAAGCCCTGCACTTTGAGAGGCCAAGGCAGGCAAATCTCTTGAGCTCAGGAGTTCGAGACCAGCCTGGGCAACATAGCAAAACCTCATCTCTACAAAAAATACAAGAATTAGCCAGGTGTGGTGGTGTGCACCTGTAGTCTTGGCTACTTAGGGGGCTGAGGCAGCAGGATCACTTGAGCCCATGAGGTCAAGGCTGCAGTGAGCTGTGTTCACAACACTGCACTCCAGCCTGGGCAACAGAGGAAAACCCTGTCTTCAAAAAAAAAAAAGAAAAAAAAAGAAGGCTCTTCAAAGGGACCTGCAGCTGCAGCTTTGATCCTTGCCACAGTCTTCCTACTACCTGGGATGTGGAATTAATGATAAAAGCTCCATAGTCCCTACTTACTGGACCATGGGTAACCTTAAGGGTGGCAGACACATGCTGAGGATGATAAAGCTAAAAGACAAGTGCCTGCTTCCTTGCCAATACTGGACCCCCCCCCCCACCCCATATCAGCCCCTACTTGCCTAGCTCCAGATTTTCATTAAGTGGAAAAGAAGAAAAACCTGGGCTTATGTAAATCACTGATATTTAGGATTGTTTGTTATGTGTAGCCATCTGTATTAATCTGTTTTCACCCTGCTGATAAAGACATAACTGAGACTGGGAAGAAAAAGAGGTTTAATTGGACTTACAGTTCCACTTGGCTGGGGAGGCCTCAGAATCATGGTGGGAGGCAAAAGGCACTTCTTGCATGGCAGTGGCAAGAGAAAATGAGGAAGCAAAAGCAGAAAGCCCTGATAAACCCTTCAGACCTCATGAGACTTATTCACTATCGTGAGAATAGCATGGGAAAGACCGGCCTCCACAATTTAATTTGCTCCTCCTGGGTCCCTACTAAAACACGTGAGAATTTAGAGATACACTACAATTCAAGTTGAGATTTGGGTAGGGACACAACCAAACCATGTCACCATCTAATTCTAAATCATTCTTTCTCAAATTTTCATCTGTAACAATAACCTTTTCAGCTACATATTTGAAGTTTCTACTTGAGTGTTGAATTGGAGTCTTAAACTGAACAGGATCCAGACAGAACACTTGATCTTTTTCTCCCCTTTCTTCCCCAAACTTGGTCCTTCCAGAATCTTCCCCCTCTGAACTAAATGGTACCCCCATATGCCCAGTTGCTCAGGACAAACACCAAGGAGTCATTCTTGATTCTGTTTTACTTCATTCCCACACATCAGCAAGTCCTATGGGCTCCACCTCCAAAATACACCCCACACCCATCACCTCTCACCATTTCCCAGGATCTCACCATTGTAGCCGCTGTCATCTTTCACCTGGGGTATCTCAGCAGCCTTCCAGCTGCTCTGATTACACTCATCTCACTGAAATCCTCCCCCCACAGTGGCCAGAGTGATCTTCCAGAAAATGTAAATCAGATCATATCACTCGTCTGCTTAAATCCTCCAATGCCTCCCACTGAAGTGAGGATAAAATCCAAACTACTATGGCTCACAAAACTCCAAGTGAGCCAGTCCCTACTACCCATTACCCTACTTTTTCATGAGCTAGACTCCTAGCCCTTCTTGCCTTTCTTACTTGATATAGTTTGGATGTTTGTTGCCTCCAAATCTCATGTTGAAATGTAATCCCTGGCCACATGTGGTGGCTCATGCCTGTAATCCTAGCACTTTGGGAGGCAGGAGTGGAAGGATCCCCTGAGCCCAGGAGTTTGAGACCAGCTTGGACAACATGGCAAAACCCCATATCTACAAAAAAAAAAAAAATTATCCAGGTGTGGTGATGCATGCCTATAGTCCCAGTAACTCAAGAGGCTAAGGTGGGAGGATTGCTTGAGCCTAGAGTTTCCAGGCTACAGTGAGCTTTGATCGCACCATTGCACTCCAGCATGGATGACAGAATGAGACCTATCTCAAAAAAAGAAAAAAAAAGAATGTAATCCCCAGCTTGGAGGTGGGGCCTAGTGGGAGGTTTTAGGGGAAGATGCCTCATGAATGTCTTGGTGTTGGTGCTGTCCTCATGATAGTGAGTGAGTTCTCATGAGATCTGGTTATCTAAAATGCTGTGGCACCTTCTGCCTCCCTCTTGCTCCTGCTCTTGCCATGTGATGTTCCTGCTCCAGTTTCACCTTCTGCCATGATTGTAAGCTTCCTGAGGGCCTCCCCAGAAGCTAAGCAAATGCTGGTGCCATGCTAGCACAGCCTGCAAAACCATGAGTCAATGAAACCTCCTTTCTCCACAAATTACCCAGCTTCAGTTATTTCTTTTTAGCAATGCAAAATGACCTAACAAAGAAAATTGGTACCAAGAAGTGGGGTGTTGCTAGAAAGATACCTGGAAATGTCGAAGCAACTTTGGAACTGGATAATGATCAGAGGCTAGAAGAGTTTGGAGGGCTCAGGAAAAGACAGGAAGATGAGGGAAAGTTTGGAACTTCTTAGAGACTAGTTAAAATGGTTGTGACCAAAATACTGATAGAAATATGGCCAGCAAAGGCCAGGCTGACAAGGCCTCAGATGGAAATGAGAAACTTATGGGAAACTGGAATAAAGGTCCCCCACATATGGACATTTAGGTTATTTCTATTATTTTGTAATTATAAAAAAATACTACAATGCATCCTTTTACATGTATTTGGTACATACTTGGAAGTATATCAGTTGGACAAATTCCTTGGAGTTGAATTGCTGCACCAAGGCTGTATGCATTTTACATTTTGATAGATATGATGGAATTACCCTTTGGTCCATTTTCCATGGGGTCACCCCTTAGGATAGTTGAGATGGATCATCTAGTGACACAAGCAAAGACTTCCCACGCAGGGAGCTGTTCATCTCCTATCAGGCCAGGGCCTTCCAGAGAGTTCTTAAAATCACACTTTACACTCCTGGTAAGCGAGGCTTCTAATTTCTGCCCTATCTTACCTGGAGCAGGTATCTTCTTGTCTTTTCTGCCCATTTGTATATAATTCATTTCTAATTCTTTTCAACACTTCCATTGTAACGAGAGACTTAAACGTATGCTATTCGGGTCTAGCACGAACATTCTTTACCTACCTTGCATCTATTTTCAAATCTCATCCTTCCTAACCAACTTTATGCTGTATTTATTTGGCCAGTATTCTATGATTTATAAGGCTTAGAGAGCCTGTCATCTTTTTTCATCAATGGATGACTTAAAAAACAAACAAACAAACAAAACCATGATTTAAATTAGTGTTTCAAAAAGTCCCTGTAGGAGTTTTTTTGTTTTTTGAAAAAAAGTCTTGCTCTATCACCCAGGCTGGACTGCAGTAGCGTGATCTCCACTCACTGCAACCTCCACCTCCCGGGTTCAAGCGCTTCTCTCCTGCCTCAGCCTCCCGAGTAGCTGGGATTACAGACGC
The DNA here is from genome assembly GCF_000001405.40 of Homo sapiens. Lineage (NCBI taxonomy): Eukaryota > Metazoa > Chordata > Mammalia > Primates > Hominidae > Homo > Homo sapiens. The sequence goes on along the minus strand of NC_000010.11, from coordinate 29,799,755 downwards.
GTGCCACCATGCCCAGCTAATGTTTTTCTTTTATTTTTTATTTTTTTTTTTTCAGTAGAAACGGAGCTTCACTGTGTTGGCCAGGCTGGTCTTGAGCTCCCAACCTCAGGTGATCCACCTGCCTCAGCCTCCTAAAGTGCTGGGATTACAGGTGTGAGCCACCATATCCAGCCAAGAGTTATTTATTTATTTATTTTTAGCTCATGTGCTGTCCCATTCCTGGCTTCACTTCTGTGCCTCTTCCTCTCCATTTCCTGCCATTCAACAACGCACATGCTTATAAAGTAGATTTATTATCTAGGATATTTTTTGACAAAGAATCTCCATAGTGTAGGAGTTTTCCTAAACCAATGATTTCCTTCAAAGTCACGATAAACAAGCAGAGCTACTCTGCGAGGCCACGGCACTGTCAGCAGGCCCACTGGACTGGGCACTGGGAAACCTGGATGGGATCCCCCACTCTGCCTGCATCTGGCATCTCCTCTGCAAGACCCCTGAGAGGTCTCAGTTTCCTCATCTGAAAAGGTCGGACCAGACCATCAACCCCTGTTAAGACAAAAAGTCTATGATTCTTAAACACTTTTCCAGATGGACTCCATCTGCCAGTAATATTCTTGACTATTCTTTAGCAAAAAAAAAAAAAAAAGTCCCTTTCCAGAAACACATACAGAAACAATTACGAAAATATTTAAAGCACACATTGGATTTGCTCATCTCTTCTCCTCCAGGACTGTATCTTTTGAAGTAAATGAGAAATAAATAAATGGGCCACAGAGTCATTTCCACCTAAAAGCAACAGCAACAACAAACTCCCACCCAAATTTTGAGACCATCTCTGGGGAGTGAGGGGTTTCTAAGGGGTAATAGATTAAGTTGGGGCCCTATAAGAAAATCTTATTCCGAAGTCTCCTTTTAAATGACATTAAGTGGAAAATAAGAATTACTTTAAATAAATGTTTAAGCCTTTAAAAAAAGAAAATAAGGAATCTATTATTGTTTAAACATTTCCTCTGTGGTTTTGCCTAACTTTTCAAGATTTTTATCTGTAGATTGTGAGAAGTTTTTTTCCATGGCCAGAAATCTCAATACATTGCATTCTGTAGAACTATTTGAAAGTAACTGGACAAAGAGACAATAAAGAAAGTATGTTTATCTTTGTAGACTGTTGGAAGCATTTTCTTTCTTGATTTTTTTTTCTTTTTGGAGATGAGATCTTGCTATGTTGCCCAACCTGGTCTCGAACTGCCACACCTGGCTATCTTTCTTGAAATTTAGCAGAAAAAATAGTCAATGGCATGAATGCATCAAAGTGGTTTTGGCTTAATGTAAACAGTACAATCTCAAGAGGAAAATAAAATTTGGAGACAGATTTCTCATTGCATGAAACATCGATTAATGCTACACTCATAAGTCTCTTCTCCTAATCTAAAGGACCGTATTCCACCCTGGCACGGTGGCTCACACCAGTAATCCCAGCACTTTGGGAGGCTGAGGCAGGTGGATCACGAGGTCAGGAGTTCAAGACCAGCCCGGCCAAGATGGTGAAACCCTGTCTCTACTAAAAATACAAGAATTAGCCGGGCGTGGTGGCAGGCACCTGTAATCCCAGCTACTTAGGAGGCTGAGGCAGAGAATTGCTTGAACCCAAGAGGCAGAGGTTGCAGTGAGCCGAGATCGTGCCACTGCACTCCAGCCTGGGTGAAAAAGTGAGACTCTGTCTCGAAAAAAAAAAACACAATATTCCTTGTGCAACATTTTAGTTGCTCTTTGTTCCTGAAACAATGTCCTCATTTTTCACTATCCACCATTTCAAGCTCATTGGTTACCTCTGTGGATATTATCCCCCAAATTGGGTGTTTCTCCTGATAACTGGATCAAAGTTTCCGTTTTACTTATTTTATGTCAAAGCCTTTCCAGAAAGTACTTGTTTATTTACTCAACCACCTAATAAATATTTACTTAGCATCAGCAATGCTCCCAGCTCTAGGACATGTACTGTAGAGGATTTATGTTTGCCTTCCAAGGATTTATGATCTAAAATTTGACTTGGGAAGGCATGTAAATCCAAGACTACATAGTAATATAATTCAATTCGGCAAATATTTATTGAAAGCCCACTATGCTCAAGACACTGGGAAGACAAAAATATATAAGATCCAGTGCAGCTCCCAGTCCAGTGGGGAAACAGATAGGACACAAGCAGGCAGTTCTAGTACTAGGAGGTCAGACCTGTAACAGAGAGGTGGTTGAATGGAGAGAATGTGGGGAAACATGGGAAGAAGCGCTTCCTTCTGCCTGGAGGAATCCGAAAAGTCTACCTAGAAGGGTGTCTGGCTCCATTCCTGCTGCTATAGCAAAATACCACCAACTGGATAATTTATAAATAATGGAAATTTATTTCTCACAGTTCTGAAAGCTGAGAAGTCCAAGATGAAGGCACTGACAGATTTTGTGTCTGGTAAGGGCTCATTCTATGTTTCCAAGATGGTGCTTTGTTGCCGTGTCCCCCAGAGGGGACAAATGCTATGTCCTCACATACCGAAATGGACAGAGGGCAAAATGGCAAAAAAGGGGTAACCGCTCTTCCTCAAGCCCCAGCATAAGGGCACTAATCCTTCCCATGAGGGCAGAGCTCTCGTAGTTTAATCACCTCCAAGGGCCCCACCGCTAATACCATGACCTTGGGAGTTAATTTCCAACATGCAAATTTGGAGGGACACATGTATTCAAACCATAGAAAAGACCTGTGCAGGACCCAAAGACTGGGCAGGGATTTGCCAGGTGGACATGGAGGTGGGTTGGTTACTAGGCAAGAAAAACAGGGCAGGGAGGGAGCATGATCCAGTCAGAGGATGCTCCTTACCAAGGGGTTGGCTTTTATCTTTTAATCGAGGTGACATGGAGCCACTGAAGAGTTGAAGCAGAGATGCAATACAAGACGACAAAAAGAGATGTCACAAAGTAGTATATAAACAGGAATGGTGTTGACTGCAATTGCTTGATGGAGAGCAAATTACAGCCCCACAGCTGAATAGCTGCCTGACCTAACTCAAGTTACCCAAGCTTTTCATGTCTTGATGTCTTCATCTGTAAAACTGAAGACAAAAGTTGTAGAGAGGATAAATGACTTAATACCTGTAAAGTGCTTAGAAAGGGGCTCATCTGATAGTAAGTGTTCATCAAGTGTTATCTCTGGTTATCAGTAGTAATACCATCATCATCACCATCATTTTAATAGTTACATCACTTCAGCATGGTGCTGCTAAGCAAGTGGGATAGGGGTTGGATTTCACACCACAGAAGAAGAGCCTGTCTCTTCCATCTGGGCTTTCAATGCAAAAGTCAAAGCCAAGGCTGCTATTGAGCCTTGACCTCCTGCAGCTTCAGTTGGGTTTCATGATGTTTGGAAGAACCTCAATGTCTCCCATTTCACAGCAGTGGGATGTGGTCCTTGAGCAGGATTCTGGGAGGAACAGCACCTTCCTTTTGCTGGGCTGGGTCTTCACCATGACCAGAGTCATGGAATGTGGATTCAAGAAGAATCCTAGATCGTTGGGTACAACTCCCTCATTTTACAGGTGGAGAAACTGAGTCACAGAGTCCTCAAATCATTTTTCTGTGGCCACACCTCCAGTTTATCTCAAAACTCAACTCTCAGTCATCCCCATGCCCAAGTCAGTTTCCTTCGTGACATTCCATGCTGATCAGATCACAGAGATTTCTTAGTCTCCGTTAGCAAGTTTATTACTTCCTTCTGGGCGATCTTCCACCTGGCCTAACAAATGAATATTCTTTGTGTGATTGAGAATTAGCAAAAGACTTTATTCCCAGACCAAAGTCTTCCTAAGACACCTATCTCTTTTAAGGAAAAGAAAGACAGATGTATTCTTTGCCCAGAGTCTTTGGATCAGAAAAATCTCTCTCAAATCTTTCCAGTAACTCCTACGGAAAGACATTCCCTGCCTGCTGCCTTCTCCAGCATTAATGTCTTACCTTTTCTTCTCTCTTCCTATCCCCAACTACTTTTCCCCTGTCTTGCTCCCTGAGTTCTCTGAGACAGTTGTCCCTTGAGAATTCATCAAACTGCATCACCAAATCACCCCTCTCCACTCGGAGAATGCAGGGAAGGAAAGGGATGGATCTGCATCCTTGAACAACTCCTGGTTTTCATACATATCAACAATGACTCTGGCTTTTTCTTTCTCCTCCAGAAAGACTTTTGACTATAACACTGCAATATATTACCAGCAGGCCCAGCCCCAGTTTTATTATCAAGCAAGCTGGGTTCTGTTTGTACTGGAGTGCATTCCATACTCAATTTAGTTTGGGACAAACCAGAAAGAGAATGCACCTCGAACATAATAAAATGCCACTCGAAGGAGAAAAGAGATTTCGTTCCAGGCCCGTGGCCAGAATAAACTCATTCTTCTGCTACCACCACCTCCAGATGAATGCCTCGCTCATTAACTATTTGTTATCTTCAGCTTTAAAATGGCAAAAATAGGCCCATTTGGAAAGCGTGCTATAACTTTAGACAGCATTGGTGGTAACTTTTGAGTTCCCATGTTTGGTTGGGAGAAATTCAGGCCAGGATCATTACCAAGAGCAGAGCCTTTTTTTGTAAGATGTAAGAGAAGTGATTGAATGGTAGATAAACACTGTTATCACTAAACACATAAATAGATGTTTGTCATTTTGGTGTCGGACATTCCGTGGCATAGAGAACTTGAATAGCTGCACAGCATTATGTGGCTAATTCTGTCTGAGAGTGTGGACGGCCTTATTAGGAAAAGATAGTGCATTGTTGTGGAAGGATAATTTCAGAGAAGTGCAGGCCTCTCTCTGTCTCCCTCTCTCTCTCTCTCCTCTCTCTCTGCCAGAAGAACTGCGGTAAGTTAAAAGGATATTGTTCAGTGAAACGTTTCTAACAATCCAGTGTGGGAGTAGGCTATCACCTATTTTATGGTTTCTTTTTTTTTTTTTTTTTTGAGACGGAGTCTCACTCTGTCGCCCAGGCTGGCGTGCAGGGCACGATCTTGGCCCACTGCAGCCTCTGCCTCCCAGGTCCAAGAGATTCTTTTGCCTAAGCCTCCCGAGTAGCTGGGACTACAGGCCTGCGCCACCACGCCTGGCTAGTTTTTGTGTTTTTAGTAGAGATGGGGTTTCACCATATTGGCCAGGCTGTTCTCAAACTCCTGAGCTCATGATCCACCCGCCTCAGCCTCCCAAAGTGCTGGGATTACAGACGTGAGCCACCACGCCTGGCCTATTTTATGGTTTCTAAACCAGGCCCTGGTTTGAAATAACTAGCTAAGTTTCCCGACTCGAAGCTCTAAAGGAAGACCATGACTGTGAGGGTCATAGGCAGAGACCCAGGAGACCCTCACTCACCTCCTCTTGAGGGAAGATTCCCTTGGCTCTCATAGGTGCTCTTTGAAATTGCTCTCATATCCACAATTGCTGGAATTCCCTGGGAGCATAATATCTTACCCTCTTACTTACTATGTAATGCACAGTGGGATCATCATTAACCATCACGGAGCTTATCATCACTATGACTAAGAATGATCTTTACAGAAAATGTACTAAATAATAATGCATCTTATTTAAGAAAATGCATTTTGTAACCAGAACCTTATTCCCTAGAATTTACTTTGATTATTTGGTTAGGTATTTTTCCATATGAAGATATTTTGATGCCTAGCATTTCTAAAATTCCTAGGGGCTTCTTTACCTGCTATCTTACAATAGAAGGTACAACATTGATAGTTTTCTTGTTTTACCAATATCATTAGTTTCTAGGAAGACTCAATGTCTGCCTTTAGAGGTTCTAACACTGGGTTTGATCATTTCCAAAAAGTCTTAAATAAACTGGAAGAACTGGGTGAGCACAGTGGCTCATGCTTGTAATCCCAACATTTTGGGAGGCTGAGGTGGAGGACCACTTGAGGCCAGGGGTTTGACATCAGCCTAGACAACATAGCAAGACTTTGTCTCTATAAAAATAAAAAATAAATAGCCTGGCACAGTGGTGTGCATCTGTAGTCCCAGATACTCACAAGGCTGAGGCAGGAGGATCACTTGAGCTCAGTAAGTTGAAGCTGCAGTCAGCTGCGATTGCACCATTGCACTCCAGCCTGGGCAACAGAGTGAGACCCTGTCTCAAAAAAAAAGGAAGAAATTTGCATATTTTTTTACTTACATGTTTCTCCTATCCCCAGCCCACTTTCAGTATTCTACTCCATAATGTAACCAATGTATACAATATATCTTTATCTGTAAGTCAACATGTGTATGTATAAAATATCCCAGAGGACCTAGAAAGACACCAACACCTGCTACAAGGTATAACGGCCATACAGACAAAATTTCAACCACAATTTCAAATATGCTTTCTTTTTGAATCATGTGCCAGCTTTTCCCCTCCAAAAATGTAATTTTAAACATGGAAGAAGGGTGAAGGACATGTGAGATTCTCCTTTATTAGGGAGCTATAGAGGTAGTTAAACAGAAAACTGAAAAAGTAGGGACCAATGTGGGACAAGCAGTCATGAAGAAAAGGAGTATGAACCGACCAGTGAAACCTGATCAAACTAGGAACAGTGCGGGCTGCGGGGCAGGAAGAGTTCATAGAAACAGAGCCCAACCCAGAAGGAGACACCACAAAATCAGAGCTGGTCAAGGTGAAGTTGCAAAGAGAATAGCCACGGGCATCCTCTGGGTCCAGGTGGAACTCGGCTAGATTTCTGGCTGAGGCTTCTGCTGACTTTTGTTTTTTCTTCTCTGACTTTTTGTCCCCAAACACACATACTCATGTTAAAGGTATATCTTCAAAATAAAATATCCTGGACTTAGGGGAAGAAGAGAAAATTTATTTATTTATTTATTTATTTATTTATTCACTGAGACAGGGTCTTGCTCTGTGGCCCAGGCTGGAGTGCAGTGGTGCAATCATGGCTCACTCCCGCCTCAACCTCCCTGGCTCAATGGATCTTCCTACCTCAGCCTCCTGAGTAGCTGGGACTACAGGCACACACCATCAAATCTGGTTAAATTTTTGTATTTTTTATAGAGACAAGGTCTCACCATGTTGCCCAGGCTGGTCTGGAACTCCTGAGCCCAAGTGATCCACCCGCCTTGGCCTCCCAAAATGCTGAGATTACAGGCGTGAACCATTTCACCCTGCCAGAAAATGTTATTTTTTATTTCTTTTCTTCTTTTTTTTTTTGTTTTTGTTTTTTATTCAGGATCTTGCTCTGTTGCCCAGGCTGGAGTGCAATGGCACCATCTCGGCTCACTGCAACCTCTGCCTCTCGGGTTCAAGCGATTCTCCTGCCTCAGCCTCCTGAGTATCTGGGATTACAGGCATCCACCACCATGTGCAGATAATTTTTTGTATTTTTAGTAGAGACAAGGTTTCACCATGTTGGCCTCAAACTCCTGACCTCAGGTGATCTGCCTGCCTTGGCCTTGCAAAATGCTGGGATTACAGGCGTGAGCCACCATGCCCGGCCTTTTATTTCTTGTTGACTAAGCAGTGAGGCCAACCAAACTAGAGTCCAGGGAAACACAAATCACAGGGCCATTGAAGCGCTGTGGATGATTATCTCACATGGAAGGGACGGTCTGTCTAGCTTCTTACAGCCAAAGGGGGAATCTGAAGTTTTGTAACCTTGAGTGCAGTTATTATTAAAGGAGATCAAAGTCAGATATTAGGGGAGAGACAACATGGGAAGTGCCTGCTGGTACAGATAAGCACCTCTTTATAGGATTTTGAGAAGAACCCTGAAGTACCTTGGCTTGGACTCTATTGGTAGCTCAAGATAATATCATCAGACTTGCCTAACTCCTCTGGAGGAAGTAAGAGTTTGTTTAGTTCAGGTCAATAGACACATTGTAAGTGGAGCGCCTGTTCAGTCCAGGCATTGTACTAAGCCAGTGGTTCTTAAACCTGAATGTGCATTAGAATCACCTGGAAGGCTAGACCCTACCTCGAGAATCCCTAGTTTAGGAGGTATGGGTAAAGAACTTTCAGTAAGTTCCCACATGATACTAAAGCTGTGGTCTGGGGAACACACTTTGACAACCACAGCTAGAAACATGGTAGCTGCTGCGTGGTCTTAAAGGAAGAGACCTTTAAGCAGTCACTGCACTGCAGTGTAACACGCACAGCAAGCAAGGTGAAATTCTGGCACCATCGTGGCAAGAGGAAGAGGACTCAACTTTGCTTGAGTAAATCAAGGATAGTTTTATAAAGAAGAACATGATTGAGCTGACTATTGAAGAAGTAAGAGTTTGCCAGCCATTCTGAGAAGAGCCTGGAGGATGAGTGAAATAGATGGGCTTGGAACCTCAGAAGAGTTCAGTTCAGTACAGCTGGAGTGAGAAATGTACCTGGGAGGTTGACCAGGGAAGGAGGGTAGAGACCAGGTCATGGAAGGCCTGTCATACCAAGGGGTTAGACTCTGTCCTGTGGGCTCTAGAAAGTCACTGCGAAGTTTTACTAGTGGTGGAGGTATCACTTATTTTGTGGTTTCTGAGCCAGGCCCTGGTTTGCAATATCTAAACAGGTTTCCTGACTCTCGGCCCTAAAGGAAGGCCATGCCTGTGAGAGTCCCAGGAGACCCTCACTCACCTCCTATTGAGGGAAGATTCCCTTGGCTCTCTGAAATTGCTCCCATATCCACAATTGCTGGATTCCCTGGGAGCATAATTCGTCACCCTGTTACTTAGTATGTCATATAGAATGGAAGCATCTTTAATCATCATGGAGCTTATCATCACTATGACTAAGAATGATTTTTACAGAAAATGTATTAAATAATAATCCATCTTATTTAGCAAAATACATTTTGAAACCAGAACATTAAATTCTGAGCAATAACTTGGTTCAACATGCCTAAATGTCTAGGGTACTTTTGTAGAGAAAGAGACTAGAAATCTGTTTTGGAAAATTATGATTTAAACAAGCAGAGATACATCTATCTTCCTCCCTACTGTTTCCCAAGTGTTCGTCCCAAGGTCTGGCACATAATAAATATGTGTCAAATGAATGAATGAGTGAGTGAACCAATGAATGAATGAATGAATGGGCTGCAGTCATCTTTCAAAGGCAAAGCACAGTGGGAGAAACCACTGGATTGTAAATTAGGAGACCTGGATCCAATCAAAAACTAGCTATGTGATGGAGAGGAAGTCTCTCTGTCTCTCCAAATCTCTGCTTCCTGAGCTTTAACCTGTGGGCTTGGATTAGGATTAGGATAATAGATTTCAACCACGAGTGTATATTAGAGTCACTTGAGGAGCTTTTAAAATGTCACTGCTGAAGAACAAGTTAAACAGCCTCGTGGAAGCAGTAAGGCAAGTTTAGAAGATGGAATATTCTATAAACAAATGACCTGATTTCTTCCACAAATGAATGGGAAAAATACAAGAAGGGACTGGCACAGATTAAAAGAGCTTTAGAGGGCTCTCATCCAAATAAAATGTGTGGATCTTGTTTGAATCATGGTTCTAACTCAATCAGTCAAACAATCCAATTGTAAAAAGGCATTTTTGAGCCAGTCAGGGACATCTGAACTTGCAGTTGGGTTATCAGATATTATTAAGAAATTATTCTCCAGCCTGGGCAACAGAGCGAGACTCTGTCTCAAAAAAAAAAAAAAGGAAATTATTGTTCATTTCTTTAGGTGTGATAACAGCATTATATGCGTGCATATACACACATGCACACACAGGCGTAGTCCTTATCTGTTAGAGACGCATACTGAAGTATTAGAGTCAAAATTATAATCATGTTTGAGACTTGCTTTAAAATCCTAAAACTCTAACAACCACCACCAAAAAAGCTGAGGGCAGTAAGCAACATAATGGATTGGAGAAATGTTGACAGTGATTGAGGCTGAATGATGGGTGGCTACGTGGGGGCTCATCACATGTTTCTCTTTACCTCTGTGTATTTTTGAAATTTGATTTTTAAAATTACTTTAAAGATACTAACACTTGGCTTTACAGCAGACTAAATAAATTAATATTCTGATTGAGGAAGAGAGAATAAAGCCCTTGGTGTCAGTATTCTTTAACCTTTCCCCCAATTCTGGTGATTCTAATATTGCAGCTAGGATTGAGAACAACTAGATTATTACAGGATACCTTTGATTCTACCAGAATAATTCATCCGTGATAAAGCTGGCATCCATATAGTTTATCTTGGGCACTTAAAAAGACTGCCTGAAGAAAGGGACGGATCTCTGGATCTCAGATATCAGCACCCCATGAGGTTTATTTTCCCCTTTATCTATCTATCTATCTATCTATCTATCTATCTATCTATCTATCTATCTGTGTAAATCTATCTATTTACATTTATATTAGCTGGATATATGTTCATATATATTATATTTTCCAAAACAGATACATCTTCCAATATGCTTATACCCATCCAATATAAATATATATATGATGGATATATATATATGATGGATATATATATGATGGATATATATATATATGATGGATATATATATATGATGGATATATATATATGATGGATATATATATGATGGATATATATATATATGATGGATATATATATATGTTTGGAAAATATAACATATATGGATATATATATCCACCCAACATAAATATAAATATATATATATACACATACGTTTATATTGGATGGATAAATATATCTGTTTTGGAAAAAGTAACATATATGGATACATATATATCCATCCAATATAAATGTAAATAGATAGGGTATATTAGATGGATACATATATCTGTTTTGGAAAATGTAACATAAACATATATATATATGTTTATATATTAATATATAATTATATATGTTTAGAGACAGGATCTTGCTTTGTTGCCCAGGCTGGAGTGCAGTGGATATTCACAGGCATGATCATATCACACTACAGTTTGGAACTCCTGGACTCCAGTGATCCTCCTGCCTCAGCCTCCCAGTACCTGGGACTATAGGAGCATGGCATATTTTTAAAAATCAAACTTGTTATTTGGAGATAATTTTAGATTCACATGTGATTGTAAAAAATGATAGAGAGATTCCCTATACTCTCTAGCCAGATTCCCCTGATAAAAACATCTTGCAAAACTATAGTAGAATATCTTATGATACAGTACAATGTCATAGCTGGCATATTGACATTGATACCATCGAGATAGAGAGCATTTTTACCACCACATGAAAATTTCATGTTGTACTTTGATAGCCATGCCCACTTCTCTTCCACTGCCACCCCCTCATTAGCCTCTGGTAACAACTAATTTGTTCTTCATCTCTATAATTTTGTCCTTTTCAGGAACATTATATAAATGGAATTATAAAGCATGAAACCTTTCAAGATTGGCTTTTTCACTCAACATAATTCCCTGGAAATTCATCCAGGTTTTTGCAAGTGTCAAGAGTTCAGTACTTTTTGTTGCTGAATAATATTCCATAGTATGGATGTACCACAGTTTCTTTCACCATTTGCCTGTGGAAAAACAGAGCAATATCCAAAGTGAGTATAACGTTTCAAAATTTGTGGGACACAATTAAAGCACTCCTGAGAGGGAAATGTTTAGATCTAAATTTTACCTTTAAAAGAGGAAATGTCTCAAGTCACTAATCTAAGCTCTTATGTTAAGAGCTTCTTGTTGAGGAAGGAGTATTGAAGACTCCAACTATTCTTATGGATTTATCTACCTTCATTTCACTTCTATCCATTATATCAAATGTTTTGCAGCACTGTTGTTTTGTGTGTATACATGAAGGATTGCTCTGTCTTCTTTGTGGATTGACCCTTTTATTATAATTTTCTTCGCTGTGAAGTCTTTTTTATCTGAAGTTGATATAGTCACTCCTGCTTTCTCTTGAATAATATTTGCATGATATATCTTTTTATATCTTTTAAAACCTGCCTATATCTTTATGATTGAAGTAAGTTTCTTATCAACAACATATAGTTAGTTCATGCTTTTTGATTCACTCTGCCAATTTCTGTATTTTAATTGCTGTATTTAGACCATGGGCATTTAATATAATTATTGGTATATTAAAATTAAGACTACCAGTTTATTTTTTGGTTTTTGTTTGTTCTCTGTTTTTCCTTTATCTATTTTCTTTTTTCTTTCTTCTTACGGGTTCCTTCAACACTTTTTAGAATTCCATTTTGATTTTGATTTATGTATGGTGTTTTGGGTATATCTCTTTTGATAGTTTTAAGTGGTTGCTCTAGGTATTATGTTCTATATATATTTATATCTATATAAAATAAATTGCCAGTCTACTAGTGTCATCATTTTACCTGATTGAATGAACTGTAGAATCCTAACTTCCCTTGACGCCCCTTTTACCTTCTCTTTTTGCAGTTGTCTGGTTTTATTTTGTTTTGTTTTTCTCTAGAGACAGAGTTTTGCTCTGTCACTCAGGCTGGAATGCAGTGGCACAATCATAACTCACTGTAGCCTCGAACTCCTGGGCTCAAGTAATCTCTCGCCTCAGTCTCCTAAGGAGCTAGGACTATAAATGTGTGCATCACCACCCTTAGCTTTTTTTTTTTTTTTTTTTTTTTTCTAGAGACAGGAGCCTTCCTATGTTGCCCAGGCTGGTCTTTAACTCTTGGCCTCAAGTGATTTTCCTGCCTTGGCTTCCCAATGCAATGGGATTATAGGCATGAGCCACTGCACCTGGCAAGTATAATTGTCTTAAATATTTCCTCTACCTAACAAATCAGCCGACTATAATTTTTGCTTCAACCATCAAAAATAATTTAGAAAACTCAAGAGGAGAAGGAAAACCTATATAATAACTCATATTTTTGCTTACCATGTTCTTTGTTCCTTCCCCCGCTCTAAAATTCTTTCTTGTATTATTGCCTTTCTGTTTAGAGCATTTCCTTCAGCCATTCTTTTCAAGTACCTCTGCTTGTAACAAATTCTCTTGAATTTCCTTCATCTGATTTGTCTTGATTTCCCTTTTATTCCCGAATATTTTTGCTGGATGTAGGATCCTGTGTTGACCAGTATTCTCTTTCGACATTTGAAAAATGTGCCATTTTCTTCTGGCTTTGATGGTTTCTTATGAGAAATCTATCATTCAATTGTCTTCCCCTATAGGTAAGCTGTTATTTCTTTCTCATTGCTTTCAAGAGTTTTCCATTGTCTTCAATTTTCAGAAGTTTAATTATGATGTGACTTGTTCATTTCTTTGAATGTTTCCTGTTTGGAGTCATTCAGCATCTTCTATCTGTCACTTTATGTCTCTTGCCAAATTCAGGACATTTTCAGTCATTATTTCTTCAAGTATATTTTCAGCCCTTCCCTCATGATATGATACAGATGCTAGATCTTTTGCTGTAGTCCCACAGGTCTCTATGACTCTGTTCATATTTTTCAGTGAATTTTTTCTCTTTTGCTCAGCTTGTATAGTTTCTATTGCTCTGTCTACAAATTCACCAATTCTTTTTCTCCTCCATTCTGCCATTGAACTCATCCATTGAATTTTTTTTTAATTTTGGTTATTGTATTTTTTCATGCAACATTTTTCATTTGGTTTTTCTTTATATCTTCTATTTCTTTGCTGAGATTTTGTATTTCTTTGCTAGACTTTCTATTTGTTCACTTGCTTTGAGTGTGTTTGTAACTGCCCATTGAAGCACTTTTATGATGGCTGCTTTACAGTCTTTGTTGGATCATCCTAACATTTCTCTCTTCTTGATGTTGCATCTATAGATTGTTGATTGCCAATTTTTTTTCATTCAGCTTGCTATCTTCCTGGTTCTTGATATGACAAGTGACTTTCTGTTGAAACTTGGATTTTCAGGAGTACCATGTGATGAGTCTCTGAATCTTACTTAACCCTCTGTGTTAGACGACTTCCTCTGACATCTTGTGGCAGAGAAAGGGGAGGATGCCACCTCATTATTGACAGGTAGAAGAAGTCCACACTTCCCATTCAGCTCCCATTGACACCCAAGGTGGGGGAAGTCCTCATTATTACCTGGTGGGTGGGAGAGTCCGGGATCCTCACTGGCCCTCCACTGATTCCTCCCTGGCTGGAGGGTGTAAGAGCCCCTCATTATTCCTCTCCATGTGACCTCCACTGATACCACAGGGTGGTGGCTTTGTGACCTCTGGGCTGAAGCGACAGTCCTGATTTTCCGTTAGGCCTCCTTTGATGTCTCCTCAGTGGTGTGTGGAAGGGGCACCTCATTGCTTCCAGGTGGGGGTTGGGGTGGAAATTCAGGCCTCCCATTTGATCTTTGCTAGCATGGACATGGCTGGCAGTAGGAACATAGTCTTTCCTGAAGTGTTTGACTGGAGCAAAAAGTAATTATTGTCTAAAGGGCTTCTGCCTCTTTCTTGGTCCTTTGGCTAGTGAGAGTAAACTTTTGTTGGTTTATTTATTAATATTTATTTATTTTTATTCTTTTAAATAGAGACAGGAGTCTTGCTATGTTACCCAGGCTAGTCTTGAACTCCTGGCCTCAAGCGATCCTCCCACCTCAGCCTCCTAAAGTGCTGGGATTACAGGCATAAGCCATTGCACCCACCTATTTATTTTAATTTTCTTATTTTTATCTGTGCCCTTTGGCATTTTCAGGTTGCCAGGTTCTTTAGCTCCAAGTCTGGGACATATGAGATTGACAGAAAACCCAGAGAGCTCATCACTGTGTTATTCCTTGGATCCCGAAATCCCTAACCTGTCTACTTTCTACCACCTTTTAGGTTTTTCTTACGTTTGTTTTATATGTAGTATCCAGGATTTTTAACTGGACTTGGAAGAATAGGGAAAAGTATGGCTACTTTAGCTTCCCAGCAGCACATAATTTTTTGATATATTTGATACATACCAAAGAATGTATGTAAGTATATATGTGTATTATAAAGTAATAGCACTAACACTAAACCTTTTAAAATGGCAAATATATAATAGACTTTTTCCTAATGAAAAATGAAAACTACACTACTCAATCCCACACTAAACCACTTGAGGTATCAATGTAAGTTTGGCCTTCTAGGACTCTGAAATAAACATCCTTTGCCTCGAGAACCTGCCAATGAATGAGTCTTGATCCCATGACTGGGTTAGCATACCACTGTTGGTGGTTGTTGTTATTTAAAAGCCACCTTTCCTCTATTCTGAAGTTTCCTGCCTCCGGGCTACATGTCAACATCAGGAATGACGCAGCCTTACAGCTGGCAAGACTGTGAAGCCGGTGACTCAGGATAACGAAAATAAACACTCTCATTGCTGAGGAGTCCCACAGTCTCTGGCTACTTTGCCCTATTTTCTGCCCCATCCTGTGCCTTCTTTCCTTTTGTCCTTCTCCTGGATGCTTTCTGCATCTCTTTTGCTGCAGGATGTGGTGGCCATCCCCATTCTCTGCGATTTTAATGAACATCAGCTGTCTGGGAGAAGACTCCCAACATCTGTCTTTTTTTTTTTTTTTTTTTTTTTTTGAGACTGGGTCCAGGCTGGAGTGCAGTGCTGCGCCCTGCAACCTCTGCCTCCTGGGTTCAAGTGATTCTCCTGCTTCAGCCTCCTGAGTAGCTGGGATTACAGGCACCCACCACCACACCCAGCTAATTTTTGTATTTTTAATAGAGACGGGGTTTCACCATGTTGACCAGGCTGGTCTTGAACTCCTGACCTCGAGTGATCCACCCACCTCGGCCTCCCAAAGTGCTGGGATTGCAGCCATGAGCCTCCATGCCCGGCCCCCAACATCTGTCTTGTTCAAAAAAGAGCCAGCATGTAGACAGGGACGGACCACACCAGGCAGGGCTGGGGATGCTGGCCAGGAGATGGGATCTGATCATCAACTGAAATGTTACCTGGGAGGTCTTCAGATTGGCTGCCTCATCTCCTTTCTCTCCAGGGGATGCTTGCTAGCACATGGATCTTACTTCACCTCTTCTGGACAGTTTCCCTTCCCCCTGGCAGCCCTCACCAGGCTTCTGGGAAGTGAGGGGACATAGGAAATGGACTTCACACTATTACTGAACAGATGAGAGTCCCTGAAGTCATGGATTCATTTCCTTCCTGAGTAGCCTTGTCACCCTTGTTGTTTCTCTCCACAGGTTTCAAGTTGCCCTAGCATGCAGGATGAGATGGCTTCAGAGAGGATGGGCAGCCCGGTTTGTATGTTCTGTCTATAATATGCTGTTTGGGTTGGTTCTGGAAAAAGATCTAAGCAAGTCTCACAAAGAACAAAGGATTGCAGCTCAGTTACCTGCTGAGAAGCACCCCAACTGGATCTTGCCTCTAAGGCTCATTGACTTTACTCTCCATTTCTTCTGCTTCTCCAGCATCAGAGTGACAGTGGAAAGTACCTTGGGCTTTGTGGTCAGAAGAGCCCAGCTCCAGGGCAGTGTGTTTCCTGAAGCCATGTGACCTTGAGCAAATCGCTTTTGTCTTTGACCCTCTGTTTTCTTCTGGGTTAATGAAAATAGGGTAAGGATACCTTTTCTACAATCGACTATTTATTAAATGATATGATGAAATGAATTATGACATTGCTGGAGATGATAATAGCATTGTGGAAACCATATGTTATCTAGGGCTTGCTTTAGAATATCCTAGCAAAAAATAAAAAGGAGGAAGAGACAGGATAAATGAAACAGGCTTGGCAAAATATTGATAACTATTAAAGGAGGATGCTAGGTTTGGGGGGTCTAGTCTAGTATGCGGTCTATTTTTGTGTCTGTTTGAAATTTTCCACAATAAAATTTTTTTTTAA
Source organism: Homo sapiens (assembly GCF_000001405.40). Taxonomy (NCBI): domain Eukaryota; kingdom Metazoa; phylum Chordata; class Mammalia; order Primates; family Hominidae; genus Homo; species Homo sapiens. Next base: position 29,783,001 of record NC_000010.11, on the reverse strand, counting down.
ATTAACCATTTTGTATCCCAATAGGATCAATAAAATAATGGATAGAAATACCCTTTATAAATATGAATACCCTACAGAAAAACAGTGTCTTGCTGTAGAAAAGATTATCACACACTGGTTCTCTAACTAAATAACTGCAAGGATGCGCCTCTCTCATTGACTGAATTTGTCTGTAATCGCTGTAATGCATCCGACTGGCAAATACATGGAGAAGCCCATTCTCTCTGCCCTCATCCCCAGCTCTCCAAATACAGGGAAGATCCAGAGCCTCTTGTGGGGCAGAAGGCAGAGTTGCTTGACCGCCCCAAACAGGTTTGAATTGCCTCTCCCTCTTTTTCAGGGCGATGCTTCTTTGCCACAGGTTCATGACTGCCTGCCACTTCCTCTCTGTTCTCCTGCCTCCTCTGTCTGGAAGACATGTCCAGTTTCCTCCACTCCTGGATTCTCCTTGCTTTTGTCCTCAGACCATCAGATTCAAGAGAGGCAGTGCAGGTGGATGGCAAAGGGACCCGGATACAAAAAGCTGAGTCAGGCCCCGGGCCAGGGCTAACCATGCGCAGGGCAGAGTCCCTGGGGCTGCAGTTGGTTATCATTACTGTTTTCTTTTTCTTTTCTTTTCTTTTTTTTTTTTTTTTTTTTTTTGAGACGGAGTCTCGCTCTGTCGCCCAGGCTGGAGTGCTGTGGCACGATCTCTGCTCACTGCAAGCTCCGCCTCCCGGGTTCACGCCATTCTCCTGCCTCAGCCTCCCGAGTAGCTGGGACTACAGGCGCCCGCCACTACGCCCAGCTAATTTTTTGTGTTTTTAGTAGAGATGGGGTTTCACCGCGTTAGCCAGGATGGTCTCAATCTCCTGACCTCATGATCCGCCCGCCTCGGCCTCCCAAAGTGCTGGGATTACAGATGTGAGCCACCGCACCCGGCCTTAATTTCTGTTTTTAAAGACAGTGTCTCACTCTGTCACCCAGGCTGGAGCATAGTGCTGCGATCACAGTGACACAGGAAAATAGGGTCTGAAGGCAGGGAACATAAGGCCGATTCACACTTCAGCTATAACAGGAAATAACCTCTCCATAGGGCGTACGAGGTGAATGACTTTGTAATTTTACTTCATCGTCTCCGTTTTACATAGGACATACCTGAAGTAAGCAATGGAGTCCTCTAGGGGATATTTAAACTCCCAAAAATTCTGTAAAGGGGCCTCTGAGCCCCTATGCTCAAGCCTGCTCCCACACTGGAATATGCTTTCATTTTCAATAAAACCCTTCATTCCTTCCTTGCTTTGTTTGTGCATTTTGTCCAATTCTTTGTTTAAGACGCCAAGAACCTGGACACCCTCCACCGTTAATAATAGTTCACTGCAGCCTCAAACTCCTGGGCTCAAGTGACGCTCCAGCCTCAGCCTCCCAAGTAGCTGATACTACAAGCGCCTGCCGCCATGCCCAGCTCATTTTTCAGTTTTTGTACGGAGTCTGGCCATGTTGCCCAGGCTGGTTTCAAACTCCTGGGCTTAAGCCATCCTCCTTCCTAGGCCTCCTAAAGTGCTGGGATGACTGATGTGAGCCACTGTGCCTGGCTAGCCCAGCATTACTGTTTTTGAGCTCTGGGAGCAGTGGATGTTAGGTACTGGTTCTGCAAATATGACAAACACTGATTGCTGTCCCAAGGAACTCATTTGTGTCTGATAGTAGAGAAATGCAGATAAACAAAGAGTTGTGAAATGAATTAAGTTCCGGGGATAGACACATGTAGAGAAAATGAATACAATCTCAGCCAGTGCAGTGGCCCACCCCTGTAATCCCAGCAATTTGGGAAACTGAGGCAGGCGTATCGCTTGAGGTCAACATGGTGAAACTCCATCTCCACTACAAGTACAAAAATTAGCCAGATGTGATGGTTTGTAGCTGTAATTCCAGCTACTCAGGAGGCTGAGGCAGGAGAATCGCTTGAACTCAGTGGAGGTTGCAGGCAGAGATCGCTCCACTGCACTCCAGCCTGGGTGACAGAGTGAGACCCTGTAAGAAAGAAAGAAAGAAAGAGAGAAATTGAGAAAGAGAGAGAGAGGGAGGGAGGAAGAGAGAGAGGGAGGAGGGGGGGGAAGGGAAGGTAATGGAAGCGAAGGGAAGGGAGAAAGAAAAGAGAAAGAGAGAAAAGAGAGAGAGAAGGAAAGAGGGAAAGGAAAGAAAGGAAAGGAAAAGAAAAAGGAAAAAGGAAAGGAGGAAAGAAATTAGGACCTCAGAGGAGATGCCCCACCCTGCCTCTGGGTATTTAAATGGTGGATGGAGTGAAGGCTGTGTCGCAGTCACAGAGTGACCTGAACTCCTGAACTCAGCATTAAAAGATGAGTAGGTGGCATGAAAAAAGGAATTGCAAGTCTGTGCCACAGCACAGAGAGGTGAGGGAGTGGATGGAAAGACACACGCCCTTCCTCCTCCTCTGTTTGTGAAATCCTTCTCTTGGAAGAATTCTATGATAGAATCGTGAATCCCTACATCAGAGAGCAAGAGGACTAACTCACTTGCTTCCTCCAGATGAAACACTTAATAAGAGCTTATTAACAAGTGACAAATGATTGTGGAACCACAAAGGGACCCGGGTAGATTTGCAGAAAGAGGAAAGAATACTTTTTTTCCTATGCTGATCAGGAAAGAACCAAACAGCCCTGGGACCATACCCTGGCTGTCATCCAGGAGAAAGGATATTTTTCAAACATTGAGAAGTTCTTTTTGTTACTGTCTTCCATTAACAGGAAACCCTGTTTGTTTTCTAGGTCAAATTCAGTGCCTGCTCCTCATGATTCCTGTGTTGAGTTTGGATGATTAAGGCTAATGTTTCTCCTCATTCTAATGATCTATTTTTCATTGTGGAGTCTATATTGTCCACAATTAGTCATATTAGTTTATTTTGCATTTTGCATAAGCTTTTTTTTTTTTTTTTTTTTGAGACGAGTTTTGCTCTTGTCTCCTAGGCTGGAGTGCAGTGGCGCAATCTTGGCTTAGTGCAACCTCCGCCTCCCAGGTTCAAGCAATTCTCCTCCCTCAGCCTCACAAACAGCTGGGATTACAGGTGACCGCCACCACATCTGGCTAATTTTTTTGTATTTTTAGTACAGATGAGGTTTCGCCATGTTGGCCATGCTGGTCTCGAACTCCTGACCTCAGGTGATCCACCCGCCTCGGCCTCCCAAAGGGCTGGGATGACAGGCGTGAGCCACTGCACCCGGCCTGCATAAGCTTTTTAAGAGACAAATAGAACAGTGTCATTACAAGTATTAACACTTAATACCAAAAGACGGCACTTCTCTAAAGAATCGTAAGCATTTTAAACGTGCTTTTTATCATGCAGCAGAATGCAACGTGCTCACAGCTAATGGCTTCACTTTCACTCCTCTTCCCAAGAGGTCTGTCCGTGGACCTCTTTCTTTCTATGTTCAACGGGGGTGGCCTCATCCACCCTCCTGCCTTCATGTTCATTGATGTCTCCCAGTGACGTGTCCTTGGCTTTTACCCCTCTCCCGAGCGGCAGACCTTTCTGTCCAACCAATACTGGGCATCTCCATTGGAATGTTCTGTGGGATCCCCAAACTTAAGGTTTTCCACCTCCAACTTGCTCCATTTCTTATATTTTCCAGCACCAGGGGCTCAGCCCCATGTAAGAGACCAGAGAGCCACGCTGAGCTGTGCCTGTGGCTTTCTAATCTCTCTACCCCTACCCAGTTCTTCACCAGTGCTGTCCAGTGTTTCAGAGGGAAGCAGCTTTCCCTCAGGTCCTTCTCTCACTTGCTTCAGAGGCACCTCTCACTTCTTGAGTCAAGCACTGCCACTGTTTCCAAAGCAATTCCTTTAACATTTTGTAAAATTCTTTTGCTTTAAATAAACCCATTGGCTTTCCACTGCCTCAGAATCCAACCAAATTCTTTTTTTTTTTTTTTTAGACGGAGTCTTTCTCTATCACCAGGCTGGAGTGCAGTGGCGCCATCTCGGCTCACTGCAACCTCTGCCTCCCAGGTTCAAGCAATTCTCCTGCCTCAGCCTCCCGAGTAGGAGTAGCTAGGACTACAGACACACGCCACCACGCCCAGCTAATTTTTGTATTTTTTGTAGAGGTGGGGTTTCACCATGTTGGCCTGGATGGTCTCAATCTCTTGACCTCGTCATCTGCCGCCTCCACCTCCTAAAGTGCTGGGATTGCAGGCATGAGCCACCGGGCCCAGCCGCAACCGACTTCTTTACCAATACGCAAGGCCTCTCACACTCAGGCCCGAATGCATCATTCCAGATTCACATTCTTCCTTCCCACCCCAGGCAGCAAATGCCGCCATCTGCCATTGTCCCAACAGCTTTCCTCTTTGTGACTCTCGGCCTTTGCACACCTTTATTGGTTCCTCGCCTTGGAACGCCCTCATCTTTCCTCTCAGTTTTGTCCCTTCTAAGAAAAGTTATATGAGACAATCCCCAGAACTCCTGCCTATTTCATTCTTTCATTTATTCATAAATTCAGAAAATATTTACGGAGCATCTACTGTATATATGCCAGGCATCATTCTAGGCAGCAGAATGCAGCAGTGAGCAGGACAGAAAGTCCCTGCCCTCAAAGAGCTTACACTCTAGCAGGAGGAGAGACAGAAAACAAGCAAAAGGAAAAATAATTCGTGTTTGATTATGATTGTGATGAGTTCTATGCAGGAAGTTAAAGCAGAGGAGACCTACACAGAGTGAAGGAGGGCAGGAGTGTTCCTTACTTCTCCCCTTTCCATAAAGGGCAGACAGGTTGTATTTTCCTGTCTCTATCAGTTTCCCAGGGCTGCCATCACAGAGTACTACAAACTGGGTGGCTTATAACAAAAGAGATTTATTCTCTCACGGTTCTAGAGGCCAGAGTACAAAATCAAAGTGTCGGTGGACCCTGCTCCCTCTGAAGGCTCTAGAGTAGGTTATTTTCTTGCCGCTTCCAGCTTCTGATGGCCTTGGGTGCCCCTTGATGTGTGTCAGTGTAACTCCAATCTCTGCTTCCATCTTCACAGCTCCTTCTCTCTGTGTCCCTCTGTGTTTTCTCCTTGTCTTATAAGGATCCCAGTCATTGGATTTAGGGATGATTCTAAAATACAGGATGATTGCATCTCAGAATCCTTAACTAAGTACATCTGCAATCACCTTATGTCCTACTAAGATCACATCCTGAGGTTCCAGGTGAATGTGAATTTGGGAGAACACTATCCAATCCCCAAGACTAAGCAGCAAATGGAAAGTGGCTTGCTCTTACCTATGTAAAGCAAATCCTTTTTTTTTGAGACAGAGTCTGGCTCTGTTGTCCAAGCTGGAGTGCGTGGTGTGACCTTGGCTCATTGCAACCTCCGCCTCCTGGGTTCAAGCGATTCTCCCACCTCAGCCTCCGGAGTAGCTGGGATTATAGGTGCCCGCCACCACACCCGGCTAATTTTTGTATTTTTGCTAGAGATGGGGTTTTGCCATGTTGGCCAGGGTGATCTCGAACTCCTGACCTCAGGGGATGCGCCTACCTCGGCAGCCCAAAGTGCTGAGATTATAGGCATGAGCCACTGCACCTGGCCTATAAAGCAAATCTTAACTTTAAAACTAAATAAAGCATAGAGATTGTGAAGTGAAACTCATTCCTGCCTCTATGTTTGATCTTTTCTTCTTATTTCTAGAGGTCAAAGGGAGAAGAGAGAATCAGCTCAACAGCAAGAGTGGCTGGCGGGACATCATCATTACACGGCCCCAGAAAGGCCCTGAGTTCTCCGGCTTCCTTCAATATCACCAGAAGGAGCACATCTGTCACGACATCAGCACTTTCCAGAGCAGTTGGAGCAGAGGGTTTATGGTGACTTGAAGCTCATTTTTTAAAACATCTCTTCAATTTTTCTTGGCTCACACCTGTAACCCCAACACTTTGGGAGGTGAGGTAAGAGGATCACTTGAGCCCAGGAGTTTGAGACCAGCCTGGGAAACATGCTGAGACCTCGTCTCTACATAAATTTTTTTAAAACTTAGCCAAATATGGTGGTGCATGCCTGAAGTTCCAGCTACTCAGGAGGCCAAGGGAGGAGGATCACTTGAGTCCAGGAGTTCAAAGCTATAGTGAGCCATGATTGTGCCACTGCACTCCAGCCTGGTAACAGAGCAAGAGTGAGAAGAAAGAAAGAAAGAAAGAAAGAAAGCAAGAAAGAAAGAAAGAAAGAAAGAAAGAAAGAAAGAAAGAAAGAAAGAAAGAAAGAAAGGAAGGAAGGAAGGAAGGAAGGAAGGGAGAGAGAGAAAGAAAGAAGGAGAGAGAAAGAGAGAAAGAAAAGAAAGGAAGAAAGGAAGAAAACTTTTATTCCAAACAAGAGTAAAATATCGTACACAATAATAGTTAGCTGATTGAGCACACTGACTGATCACAGTGCTAAGAGTTTTTATACACATTATCTTATTTAATCCCCACAACACACTTCTGAGGGAGGTACTATTAATATTTCTATTTTATAGATGTAAAAATATACTGAGGCTCAGACAAGAGGTCATGTGATCACCCTTACCAATGAATATGCAAGTATCCAGGGACCACCATGGCTGCTAATTTACAAACTGCTGACACGTGGGTAATAATTCTTTAGAGGAATTGCATATATCGCAAGGCATTTGTTTATTTCATCTTCTTAAAATTAAGTTTAAAATTTCTACAACACCTATTTTCAACATAATGAGGCTCATGAAAGTGTTTATAAGACTTTTACTTGTTTCTGAGCACTTAATTACTACATTGATGACTTTTACACATTTTTCCAGTAGTTGTTGGCTTAAACGTTTAAAAGTTTTTAAAAAACATTAACATGACTAAATGAAGTGTAAGACTTTGAAGAACCGTAGAGGAAATGCTTATGAAATAATAGCGAAGCAAAAAATAGAGACCCAAACCAACAGAGGACACTGAAGAATGAAAAGAAAAACCAGAAATGAAGGAAGAAGAACAGAACGAGGTGACACTTATCACAGACAAGTTCCAGCCAGTAAGGAAGAAGCAGGCAGGAAAAGCTCATACTCAGGGAATATGGAATCTACATGTGAGACCGCAGCGTGATACATTAAGGTCAGGAGATCAAGACCATCCTGGCTAACATGGTGAAACCCCATCTCTACTAAAAATACAAAAAATTAGCCGGGCATGGTGGCGGGCGCCTGTAGTCCCAGTTACTCGGGAGGCTGAGGCAGGAGAATGGCGTGAACCCGGGAGGCAGAGCTTGAAGTGAGCCGAGATTGCGCCACTGCACTCCAGCCTGGGTGACAGAGCGAGACTGTCTCAAAAAAAAAAAAAAAACAGAAGTCAAATCTGGCCAGGTGGAGTGACTCCTGCCTATGATCCCAGCACTTTAGGAGAATGGGGCAGGAGTATTTCTTGAGGCTAGGAGTTCTAGACCAGCCTGGGCAACACAGTGAGATCCCATATCTGCAAAAAAAATTAGAAAATTAGGTGGGCATGGTGGTGTGCACCTGTAGTCCTAGCCACCTGAGAGCCACCTGGGAGGATTGCTTGCACCCAGGAGTTTGAGGCTGCAGTGAGCCATGATTGTGCTACCGCACTCCAGCCTGGGCTACAGAGCAAGAGCCTATCTCTGAATAAATACATAAGTAAGTAAATAAATAAATACACGTTTTAAAAAAGAACAGGAGTCAACTCTGTTTCAGACACTCATTAGAGTGTCATGATGGAAAGGTTGAGCCCAATCCCAGTGTGACAACTCCCACGAGAGCTGTGTAAGCAACAAAACTGCAGCATTCTGTGGGAGAGTCCACTGAGCACTGGCTTCTGCACCAAAGACACCACTTTTGGTCCCTGTAGTATTTCAGTGTTTTATTTGAGAAAAACATAACTGCTTACTGTGCTTGCAATTAAAACATGAACATAAATAAGGAGCACTAATACCTTTTTTTTGAGACACGGTCTTGCTCTCTTGCCCAGGCTGGAGCGCAGTAGTGCAATCATGGCCCACTGCAGCCTCTAACTCCTGGGCTCAAGGGATCCTCCCACCTTAGCCTCCTAAGTAGCTGGAACTACAGACATGCACCATCACACCCAGCCATTAAAAAAAATTTTTTTATAGAGATGGGGTCTCACTATGCTGCCCAGGGGCTGGTCTGAAACTCCTAACCTCAAGCAATCCTCCCACTTCAGCCTCCCAAAGCTCTGGGATTACAGGCATAAGCCATGGTGCCCAGATGGCATTAATACTTTATTAATACCTGCTCCACCATCCTATGCTAATGTAGAGTGGCTAAGAGTTTCCATTTGCCTTTGACCGGGATGGCTTGAACATTTGGGGTGACGTCTGCTGACACTGAAGCTGGGAATCCTCTGTTGCTGTGTCTATTTTTGATGTTCTGTTAAGTCTGTTTCCCTTCCTAGTTAAATGCAGTCAGCTTGATTAAATAATCTCCAACCTCCACAATTCAGATACCTGGCAAGATTTTCTTAACTCCTGAAAGTATTTAAGTTTTTTTGTAGGAGTGTTTCTGTGGCAGAATAAAAAAAAAGAAAAGAAAAGAAAGAAAAAGAAAATGCACAAATTTCCCCAGAGCGAAGCTTCCTGATTTTAGCTACCTATGCTAATCTACTTTTTCTTTTCTTTTTTTTTTTTTTTTTTTTTTTGAGACAAAATCTCACTCTGTTACCCAGGCTGGAGTGCAGTGACACCATCTCGGCTCACTGCAACCTCTGCCCCTCTGGTTCAAGCGATTCTCCTGCCTCAGCCTCCTGAGTAGCTGGGATTATAGGTGCCTGCCACCATGCTCGGTTAATTTTTATATTTTTAGTAGAGATGGGGTTTCACTGTGTTGGCTAGACTGGTCTTGAACTCCTGACCTCAAGTGATCCGGCTGCCTTGGGTTTCCAAAGTGCTGGGATTACAAGGGCGAGCCACCATGCCTGGCCAGTAATCTATTTTTTAAGTTTCATTTTGCAAAGAAGAAAGCATTCTACATGATAGGTTGTATTAGAATGCATCCAAAGCCATATAAAATAAAGCATCCACTTACTACAAGAAGAAAGAAATACTGAGTTAGCAATATCAAACATTTTTTTAAAATTTCACACTATCATAATATCACAATATTTGAAGGATTCTGCTGAGTCACCTCATTCTGAGAGGAGACAGGGTAGCAAAAGACATACATGTAGTCCACTTTCTCTGTTCTGCCCATACCTCCCTTCTAGTGCACATGCTTGACTTCCAGTTGGAAGCATCTGCATCACTTTGCCTGAGGGCTTCTCTGACAGCTGGAGCCCTCGCTATCAATCTACAAAGCACCTGGAAGTTCTGGAGACTTAACACTCCCTGGTACCAGCTCTCACCCAACCACTGTTAGGAATGGGGGTATAAATACCCCAGCTCCCTTGCCCCTTGGGTGCAATTAATCTGAGGAGTGTGTCTAACGTTGCTCCCAGAGCCCCAGCAGTGTTATGTCCAGGTATCCACAGTGATAATTTGCCCAGTAACATACCCTTTCCTGCCTTCTCTCATTCCTTATTCTCCACTGGTCTCTTATTCACCTTGTAAATAAACTACTTGCGCTCAAATCCTTGTATTACGGTCAGCTTCTGGAGAGATCCAAAAACTAAGACAATGTAAATGTCACTGATGATTCATATTTAAGCTTGAATCCAAAAAAGCTTAATTCCTGCAGATCTGTAAACCTAAGTAATTTTCAGTATCCTCAATCCTTGGCAAAATTCTTGACTTAAAACAGTCACTTGTGGCTCTTACTAAAATTTAACTGTATCTGTAATGGAAGTATAAACATTTCCATGTTGTCTTGCTGACCGATTCCTTCACTAAGTATCTCTGGGCGCTGGATATTATCATCATGCTACCTGATGTTTTAACTGGTACTGCACAAACCAATAGGACAAAATCTTGCAGTTCAGAAAGTGGTTTAGTAATAACCAGGAAATGAGAGTTAATGATTGTTTGGGACACAAACTTCTTGAGATTTGCTCACTTCTCTCTCTCTCTCTCTCTCTCTCTCTCTCTCTCTCTCTCTCACTCCCTCTCTCTCTCTCTTTCTCCCAAGCACCTCTACTTACTTTTAGACTTAGACAAAATACCACAACACAGGGCCTGGAATCTGACTTCTTGAGTAGCCACCAACACATGGGAAAAGTGGGGAAGTAAGCTCCCTGTAGGGTGAAATTGTCCAATAGGAGGGAGGGGATAGAAGCGAGCCAGCCCTCCTCTGCCTCTCTTCCACGGACCCCTTGGAGATGTGGCTTGTCTGCAGAACACTTCCCCAGGAGTCCCCTGTGCCCCACGAAATGGCTCCTGAGCCACCTCTGTGTCCTGGAGGTGTTGTGAAGCCAGCTCCACCATGCATCACATCTCTTTGTAATGTACGTTTCCTGTCTCACTTCCCTTTCATCCCCCCTTGAAACATTTCCGTTTGCACCTCCAAAAAAGTGTCAACACTTTATTAACCCTCAGGCTCTGCTTTCCACAGCAAGGGTCTCCAACCTCCCAGTACCACTAGCAGTCCACAGCCTGTTAGGAACCAGGCTGCACAGCAGGAGGCAAATGAGCATTGCCTCCTGAGCTCTGCCTCCTGTCATATCAGTGGCAGCATTAGTTAGATTCTCACAGGAGCACGGACCCTACTGTGAACTGCACATGTGAGGGATCTAGGTTGAGTGTTCCTTAGGAGAATCTAATGCCTGAAGATCTGAGGTGGAACAGTTGCATCCCAAAACTGGCCCCTCACCCCAGTCCATGATGCCAAAAAGATTGGGAACTGCTGTTCTAGAGGTTTCAGACAGGCTCTGAGGATGGTCCAATCCTTTTGCATGGCTGTTTCATGTCTGTTTTAGGCATGTATTGTCTCCAGAATTAACTTGCAGCAGGCCCACTTTTTCTTCTGGAATATTTCCTTGGGAACACATGTTTACTTGGTTTGATGTATGGTTGGAAGGTCCTTTAGACACTTTAAGAAGGTTAGTAGTAATTCCGATTTTTTTTTTTTTTTTTTTTTTGAGACGGAGCCTCACTCTGTCATCCGGCCTGGAGTGCAGTGGCACCATCTCGGCTCCCTGCAACCTCCACGTCCCAGGTTAAAGTGACTCTCCTGCCTCAGCCTCCCAAGTAGCTGGGACTACAGGCATGTGCCACCACATCCAGCTAATTTTTGTATTTTTAGAAGAGACGGGGTTTCATCATGTTGGCCAGGATGGTCTCGATCTCTTGACCTTGAGATCCTCCTGCCTTAGCCTCCCAAAGTGGTGGGATTACAGGCATGAGCCACTGCACCTGGCCATGATTCTGATTTTTAAATCTGACTTCCCTTGCTCAAGTGTTGCCTAGGAGGTTCGGATTGGGACTGATTTCCTAATGGACTCTATTGACAATGGTTTGGATTTTTGCTGAGTCAGCAGGAATCCAGTAGCAGCTTCAGTTTCAGATGTAAAGTGAGAAAGGGGATGATCAAATGTATTGCGGCAACCTCATGTGGTGAAGTTTAAATAAAGTGAGTTACCAAACAGCAATTTCAAAAACATAAAATGACTCACGCCTCCCTCCACACCTGGGGTGTTATTGGCATCATGAAATGGACGGCATAATTTTTTTCTAACGCAGAGTAAATCTTTACACTTTATTATTAAATCTCAGCAACCTAAGATTCAGAAACGTTGGTATCATTACCTTGATAATAGCTAATCATCTCCTCCTGCATCCTTTAGATGCTGTTTTCCTCTGCTCTGCCCTGCTGATCCAGTTCTCACTGGGAGGCTAACACTTGCACCTCCCTGCCCTTTGTGATCATTCTGCAGCCCCAAGCCCTCTCTGTCCCATGGCCCAGCAATTTTTACCTTCCAATCATGCCCTTACTACTTGCTTGGAATTAAAGTGTACCTTATTTCATAAAATGATAAGAATAGCAGATAATAGGTTTTGTTCCTTTCTTTCTTTAATAAAAATTAAGTTAGTCTAGGCAAGGTGCCTCAGACCTATAACTCCAACACTTTGGGAGGATGAAGTGGGAGGATTGCTTGAAGCCAGGAGTCTAAAACCAGCCTGGGCAACCACATTGAGACCCCATGTCTATAAAAATGTTTCTTAAAAAATTAGCCAGGCATGGTGGCATGTGTTTGTAGCCCTAGCTACTTGGGAGGCTGAGGCTGAAGGATCACTTCAGCCCAGGAGTTTGAGGCTGTGGTGAGCTATGATTGTGCCACTGCACTGCAGCCTGGGTGAGAGAGCAAGACTGTGTCTCAAAAGAAAAAAAAAATAAAAGTTACCAACCCTACTCTGTCGTCTTCTTCTTCTTCTTCTTCTTCTTCTTCTTCTTCTTCTTCTTCTTCTTCTTCTTCTTCTTCTTCTTTTGAGATGGAGCCTCACTTTGTTGTGCAGGATGGAGTGTAGTGGCATGATCTTGGCTCACTGCAACCTCTGCCTCCTGAGTTCAAGCGATTCTCCTGCCTCAGCTTCCTGAGTAGCTGAGATTACAAGCACATGCCACCATGCCCAGCTAAATTTTTTTGTATTTTTAGTAGAGGTGGGGTTTTGCCATGTTGTCCAGGCTGGTCTCGAGCTCCTGATCTCAAGTGATCTGCCCGCCTCAGCCTCCCAAAGTGCTGGGGTTACAGGCGTGAGCCACTGTGCCCAGCTTGCCTTCCTTTTTTAAATGAACATTTTATGAGACATTAAAGTCTGACAATTGCACTTCCCACTTTCTTCTTCAAACGATGTCTCAGGCATAGGTTTCCACTGCTATGAACATGCTGGGCTGCTTGTACCCACTGAAGGTTGTTAACTTTGTGACATGCAGGCTTCCTACAGCTGGTTCAAAATTTATCTTTTGTTGAGGGGCACAGTGTGAATCCCTGTCGCTCAGAATGGTTTTCTGTCTCTCATCAAGGAAGGTGTACGTGAGTTTGAAAACTGAATTATTCTGCTAAAAGATCTTCTCACCAAAAAGGTTGCAGAAGTATTGCTGCTGTGAATCCACCCATCTGACAAAGGGCTGATATCCAGAATCTACAAAGAACTCAAACAAATTTACAAGAAAAAAACAAACAACTCCATCAAAAAGTGGGCAAAGGACATGAACAGACACTTCTCAAAAGAAGACATTTGTGCAGCCAACAGACACATGAACAAATGCTCATCATCACTGGCCATCAGAGAAATGCAAATCAAAACCACAATGAGATACCATCTCACACCAGTTAGAATGGCGATCATTAAAAAGTCAGGAAACAACAGGTGCTGGAGAGGATGTGGAGAAATAGGAACACTTTTACGCTGTTGGTGGGACTGTAAACTAGTTCAACCATTGTGGAAGACAGTGCGGTGATTGCTCAAGGATCTAGAACTAGAAATACCATTTGACCCAGCCATCCCATTACTGGGTATATACCCAAAGGAATATACATCATGCTGCTATAAAGACACATGCACACGTATGTTTATTGCGGCATTATTCACAATAGCAAGACTTGGAACCAACCCAAATGTCCACCAATGATAGACTGGATTAAGAAAATGTGGCCCATATACACCATGGAATACTATGCAGCCATAAAAAATGATGAGTTCATGTCCTTTGTAGGGACATGGATGAAGCTGGAAACCATCATTCTCAGCAAACTATCGCAAGGACAAAAAACCAAACACTGCATGTTCTCACTCACAGGTGGGAATTGAACAATGAGAACACTTGGACAGAGGAAGGGGAACATCACACACTGGGGCCTGTTGCGGGGTGGGGGGAGGGGGGAGGGATAGCATTAGGAGATATACCTAATGTAAATGACAAGTTACTGGGTGCAGTACACCAACATGGCACATGTATACATATGTAACGAACCTGCACATTGTGCACATGTACCCCAGAACTTAAAGTATAATAAAAAAAATTTTTTTTAAATATTGCTGCTATGCCTAAAAGACATGCTATTAGAGAATTCTCCCTTACAATTAAATTATACTGGTTTATGGAGTCCAACTATTAGATACAACAGCAATACAGTATTCAATCTACCTCTTAAAAATTTGGGATGAACTTGAACTTTGAATGATGGCCATAACATGAGCAAAGCATATGACAACTGAGCAATTACAAAAAGGTTTTACATTGTAAGTAAACAAAATTTGACATTTAATTCTTGCACAATCATATTTTCCACATGGCAGTGGAGAAAGAAGAATAGACACTAGTCTTGTATTTTGTACTGTCAACCTAAATAACAGACAGAGAGAGGCTCTCTAAAAGAAAATTATATTTATTTGGGAATGGGCATTGCAACAGGGATATACGTGCCACAGTAAATTTTGTGTGTATTCAGGGAAGTGAAAGAAGACAAAGTTGTTTTCTGGTTTTTTTTTATTTTTTGTTTTGTTTTTTGTTTTGTTTGAGACAGAGTCTCACTCTATCATCCAGGCTGGAGTGCAGTGGCACGATCTCGGCTCACTGCAACGTCTGCCTCCTGGTTTCAAGTGATTCTCCTGACTCAGCCTCCTGAGTAGCTGGGATTACAGGTGGGCACCACCATGCCTGGCTAATTTTTTGCATATTTAGTAAAGATGGGGTTTCACCATGCTGGCCAGGCTGGTCTCAAACTCCTGACCTCATGATCCGCCTGCCTCAGCCTCCCAAAGTGCTGGGATTACAGGAGAAGACAAAGTTTTTTAAAGAAAAAATAAGAATGATTACATAATTGTTTTGAGATAATTATCCTTGGCCACCAGGGTTTATAGCAAGGGTGGCGCCAGTCTGAGGTCGGACAGGCAGTTGCTGGGCAGATGTCCTTGCAGAAGTATTTTTTTGTGTGAGGTTGGCCTTTGTGCAAAGTTGTGGTTTTTGCTATCTTTTCTGAGAGTTCTTGTTATCAGGCATTCATGCATGAGTACCCTCCCTTTATGGCCTTCCCAGGCTCTATCTGTCAGGGTTTTTAGCACACATCACTCCATTTTGATTCTGACAACTTTCACAGCAGCCGGCGAGGCTGGAAGGAAGAAAGAGTGCTATCAAGGGAAGCAATCCTGGACAGACTCTTGGACTTCTGCAGCATGGTGGACTTCAGACCACCTGGGCCTGGAGATGCTGGGGACTCAGGAAGGTGTCCTCTTGGTCCAGCCTCAGGCGATAGGTCACCCACAGCAGGACAGTCCTCAAATCAAGGAGGGACAGGATATCAAGAGACTTCCAAAAGGCACCAAAGACTCACACGAGTTCCCAGGTTCATCAACTCTCCTTTCTCCCTACTTCTTACTTTGCAAATTTTCAAACTTAAAAGTTGAAAAACGTACTACAATTAATACTCATAAACCCTCTACCTAGATTCAACTTAGAGCCATCACCCGCACCTATAATAAATCTCCACCTAGATTCAACGATTGCTAACAGGTTCGCCACATTTACTTTCTCTCTCAGGCTTGTTATCCCTCTCTCCGTCTCTCTCACACATTATTGGAAAATTAGCTGCATGCATCATAATATTGGACTTCTAGTTACTTCAGCAAACATCCCCTAAGAAAAAGAACATTCTCTTGATAACTACAATGGCATTATCATGCCCAGAAGAATTAACACTAATTATATTATGCTACCTAAGAATCACTCCATACTTCAATATTCCAATAATCCCCAAATGTCTTTTATGGCTGTGTCTGTTTTCCATTTTTGAACAAGGATCTGATGGAAGTTAGCACCTTGCTTCTGGGTTTTGTGTCTTCTTGGTCTCTTTTTATTTAAGACAGCCTCCCATTTTTTCCTATAAATGTTGACTTTTTGAAGAATCCAGGCCAGTTTTCCTGCAGAACGCTTCGTCTCCAGGAAGTATCTAGTGATATAACTTGGTGTAATTTAACTTCTCTGTTCCCTATGTTTCCCGTAAACTGTAAATGAGGTCTCAGGCATAGACTCTGCTTACCCTTCAATGGCATTGAATCTGCTCTCTCTGTAGAACAGTCTCCCACCGTTGCATTCCCAAATTACACAACTCTTTTGAATTTATGATTTGTTATCTAAACAGCACACATTTTAGCTCTCTCTTTGTCATTCCCTGTCTCTGTGAGTGGATTAACTGCATACACTGTGCTGCAAGTCAGGAACACTTTAGGAATTACTGGGAAACATCATCGATCTTTGCCTCCTCTCACACATTCCACTAACACAAATTAACATGTGGGACTTGGAAGCAAAGGGGAAGATGAGATCCTAGAGAAGTGCTTCTCTGGTCCTTTGTCTTTTGATCTGATCCTGCCCAGTGAGTAGAGAACTTTCCCCACACTTAGGTCCCACATCTAACACAATCAAGTCCAAGCTCCTTCATGGGCGTGGTTGTCCTGAGTCCACAGCCACTTTTGGTGGGCAATGTAGAAGGAACTGCAGCTGCACGTACTGTGTGTAGCTCTACAACACTGCTAAACCAAGCCTGGGCACCTTGCTTCAAGTCCTGATGCTGAAAGAGTGAGTCTTCCCATGAAAAACAAGTAAGGTAGTAAATCAGATTAAGTAGGTCAAGCTGGTGACAAAAAGAGCTGATTTCAGATGAATCCTGGAGTTAGTAATTCACTGTCACTCAGATGTGGAAGTGAAATATAGATTTTTCACACTAGTATAGCTGGTGTGTCACATGCCAGTTGCAATAACACCAGCCCAATATTGATTGAACACATGCTATAGGCCAAGCAGTGGTCTGGTACATTATGGTCCCACATGAACCCTCATAGCCTGTGAGTTAGGTATGATGATCATCCCTAAAACTGAGGAGCTGAGAGGTTATGTAGCTTTCTCTAGGCCACACAGCAATTAATGGGATCAGCTGAGATTTGAACCCCAGCATATCAGGTTATAAGCCTGAGGATTAACCAATATGTTACATGGTGCCTTTTCCGTGTGGCCCAAGGAAAAATATCTGGGAAGGAAGAGGCTGCCACTGAGCTGCTCTGGGCCCAGCCCCGTGCAGGTGCAAGACTCCCAACCTGCCTGTTTTCTAGTGGCCTTATCTGATGCTCTCTGGGATCCCTGATGGCCACCTTTAAACTCCAGGTAGAGCTGGAGGCATGGGGTTGAGAAGTCATTTGCCTGGGAATTTCCGCCATGTGAAAGGAAGCAAATGAGGCCTCTAAAGATGACTAAGGCATATGGTGAGCAGCTGGAAATCTGTGCACGGATTGACAGATCCACTGCTCTTCCCTCTTCGTCCCGTGCCCTAGATCTGCTGCTAAGTCTATACCTGCTGTGATACCCAATAGGATCATTTAAGGGGCAGATGAGCTGAGATAAAGAGAATGAGCTGACTCTTAATCCATGCCTTAACTATAAACCTCTAAACAGCTGTTAGCCCTGCCAACCCCAAAAAAGTAAAAACAAAAGATTGCTTTAGGAAGTTGCTCCTCACATGAGCCTGGCTTTGCTCAGGTTGCAATGCCAGGTTAGCATAGGGATGGCAGAGTGTCCCTGCTGTCACCACGTCTATGTAATCAGTGTCCTGTGGACAGAGCCAGCAAGAGCAGTGAGAGTCTGAGCTGTGTCTGGATGCCAACATCAATGCTTTTTCATCAGCACACTGGTTTATAAATAAGCCATCTTCTGGTCTACCCTGTTGGATTTTTTTCTCCAAAGCCACTTGGTTCGTGAAACTACCTGGATGGTGGAAATGGTGAGATTGAGGGACACTTCAATCCACAAAACGTTGCTGAATTCCAGTCCTCTTTTTGTAGTTGCAGGTATCTTTACACAATGTGATTTGCATTATTTTTGCAAAAAGACTGAGATGGGAACGCTTATGAAAGAAATGCATATTGAAACAAAAAAGGGCGGGGCGAGGTGGCTCATGTCTATAATCCCAGCACTTTGGGAAGCCAAGGGGAGCCGATCACTTGAGGTCAGGAGTTCGAGAGCATCCTGACCAACATGGTGAAACCTCGTCTCTACTAAAAATACAAAAATTAGCTGGGCATGGTGGCGCGTGCCTGTAATCCCAGCTACCTGGGAGGCTGAGGCATGACAGTTGCTTGAATCTGGGAGGCAGAGGTTGCAGTGAGCCAAGATTGTGTCACTACACTCCAGCCTGGGCAAAAAGAGCAAAATTCTGTCTCAAAAAAAAAAGAAAGAAAAGAAAAGAAACAAAAAAGACTTTTCTAAACACAACAATTGTCAAAGACTTAAAAATTTAATAAAACCTCGGGTACATGAGGATGTAGAGAAATAGTCCTTTTGCACAGATTGCTGATAAAATATAAACACCTCTGTGAGGCTGAGCCTGGTGACTGGCACCTGTAATCCCAGCTCTTTGGGAGGCAAAGGTGGGTGGATTGCTTGAATCCAGGAGTTCAAGATCAGCCTGGGCAACACGGTGAAACCCCACCTGTACAAACAATACAAAAATTAGCCAGGCGTGGTGGCATGTGCCTGTAGTCCCAACTACTTGGGAGGCTGACTTGAGAGGATCACTTGATCCTGGGGAGGTCAAGGCTGCAGTGAGCCATGATCATGCCACTGCACTCCAGTCTGGGGACAGAGTGAGACCCTGCCTCAGAAAACCTCTATGAAAAGCATTAGGAAATATCTATTATTTGCATAAGTGTGCAAAAATATATGCATCAAGAATTTTTACTGCAACACTGGCAATTTTTAAAAATCTGGATATAACTTAAATATCTATCAATAGAAACTTATATATAAAGTACATCTATAAAGACAATACTATGCAGCTATTAAAAAGAATCAAGCTGGCTGGGTGCCATGGCTCACGGCTGTAATCCCAGCACTTTGGGAGGCCTGGAGGAGGGTGGATCACTTAGGTCAGGAGTTTGAGATCAGCATGGCCAACATGGTGAAACCCCATCTCTACTAAAAATACAAAAATTAGAGGGGGGTGGTGGTGGGTGCCTGTATTCCAAGCTACTCGGGAGGCTAAGGCAGGAAATCACTTGAACTCAGGAAGGCAGAGGTTGCAGTGAGCCAAGATCATGCCACTGCACTACAGCCTGGATGACAGAGCGAGACTCCATCTCAAAAAATAATAATAAAAAAAAGAATAAAGCTAATCTATATGTGTTGAAATAAAATATGCCAAGATATGTTACTAAATACTAAATGATTATTTAAAGGAACATATAATAGTGAATACATATATAAGGCTATGTTGAAATATGTATTTTCAACATTTGTGTACGTGGAAAACTCTGGAAGGACATGCAAGAAACTATTAACAGTGGTTATTTAGGTCACGGGAGGTATAAGAGAAAAAACTTTTATTTTTTATCTTTTGCATCCTTCTATTTGAAGTGTTTACATGGGCATGTACTTCATTTATAATTTTTTAAAGCTGACTTCAATTTTTTAGAAAGAGGAACAGTGACAATTCCTGGGTCATACTCAGAATTTCCACACATCTCTTTTCTGGAGAACAAACCACAGATGGTTCCCAAGGCTGAAGACAAATAGTTGCACAGAAGAGGAAAGAACTTAAGTCATGTTATCCACTAGGGCTTGTTTTCCTACTGTCCTCAAAAGTCCTTCTAGTCTTTTTCATTTGTTGCAGAAAGTTTTATCATGCATTTATAATTGCCGGTTTCCACGGAATTTCTCACGTGTCAAGTGAATCTAATTGGGAGTTCCATTCCGCCATGGCCCTGGCTCAGCTCCAAGCACCATCAATAATGGGTAGTGGAGGTTGGGGCTGCTGGGCCTCCCTGGACCTCCCCTTTCGAAGGGTTGAAGAACTCTGACACTCAGAAAAGAAGCCCCACTAGTCCCCAAATTGTGCTTCCTGGAGGCCTGTTCATATTGGTTCAAAGGAAAAGCAAGTTTACAACTGAATGTGTCTGAGAGACAGCAGAGCGTGGTGCAGTGGCCCGAAACATCTCCTGGTTTCCTCTCTGTGAGCGGGTAATTGCCTGATTATGTAGCCTGGATGCGCACGGCTCAGTGCATGGCTCAGAGCAGAACGTATCATGGGGTGCGAGTGATGTGTTCTCAACCTCTCTTCAAAAAAACTCTAGGCCAGGCACAGTAGCTCACACCTGTAATCCCAGCACTTGGGGAGGTCGAGGCAGGAGGATCACCTGAGGTCAGGAGTTCAAGACCAGCCTGGCCAACGTGGGGAAACCCCATCTCTACTAAAAATACAAAAATTAGCTGGGCATGGTGGCGGGCGCCTGTAATCCCAGCTACTTGGGAGGCTTAGGCAAGAGAATCGCTTGAACCCAGAAGGCTGCAGTGACCCAAGATCACACCACTGCACTCCAGCCTGGGCAACAAGAGCGAAACTATGTCTTGAAAAAAAAAAAAAAACCTCTAGCAGGAGAAATCACTTTTGCATTAAATTTTGCATTTCAGATATATTCTCTAGTGACCACTGAAACAATTACATATCTTCTTCTTTTTTTTTTTTTTTTTTGAGACGGCATCTTGCTCTATTGCCCAGGCTGGGCACGATCTCGGCTTACTGTAACATCCACCTCTTGGGTTCAAGCAATTCTTCTGCCTGCTTCAGTTTCCCAAGTAGCTGAGACTACAGGTGCTTGCCACCATGCCCAGCTAATTTTTGTATTATTAGTAGAGACGGGGTTTCACCATATTGGCCAGGCTGGTCTCGAACGCCTGACCTCATGATCCACCTGCCTCAGCCTCCCAAAGTGCTGGGATTACAGGCATGAGCCACCGCACCAGGCCTGAAACTATTACATTTCTAAGAGAGGGTTTAATGTTTGCCTTTTCATAGGATTTAACATAATAGTTATAAGTACTAGACAGTGTAATCACATCAGACCAATCTGGTTCAATTTTTATGTAACAAAGTTGTTTTTCAGTTGTCATGGCCCCCAGGTCGAAGGTCACATAACCTGAGCATGCCCAGATGAACCGACTGTGCAACCACAGGAGGAACCTAAGTGCTCAGAGGAGCGGAGACTGAATTAAGAAGCGCACACCACATGGCAGGATCCACAGTCCAATCAGATAGAGCTCTAGTGTCACCGCCTGCCAGATCCAGTCAGATTGTGCCTCCTGGCATCAACACATTGCAAGATCCAATCAGATTGCACCTCCCCACCCTATGTTTATAAAACCTGACCCAGCCACCAGCTGGAGAGACAGATTTGGGAGTTTCCTCCTGTCTCCTTGCCAGTCAACTTTCTTTTCTCAAAAGCCAGTGCCCTGGTATTGGTCTCTATGCACATTGGGCAGAGAACCTATTGATTGCCCAGCAATAATAGCATTTATGTATGTATGTATATATATATGTATTTATTGTTTTTGAGACAGAGTCTTGCCCTGTAACCCAGGCAAGAGTGCAGTGTCAGGATCTTGGTTCACTGCGACCTCTGCCTCCCAGGTTCAAGTGATTCTCATGCCTCAGCCTCCCGAGTAACGGGGATTACAGGTGCACGCCACCATGCACTGCTGATTTTTTGTATTTTTATTTGAGATGGGGTTTCACCATGTTGTCCCGGCTGGTCTCGAACTCATGAATTCAAATGATCCACCCACCTCGGCCTCTCAAAGTGCTGCGATTACAGGTATGAGGCACTATGCCTGGCCAATAATAGTATTTATATAAGTGATAAGTCACCTAGGTGACTTTCCAACTCAGGAAAAGGACCAGTTGGAGAAAACAAGGTAATGAGACCAGAGATCTTCGGACAGGGAAGGGGGACCCTCTGTCACTGGGAAAAGCTCCTTAACCAGGTCCAACACCCTTCCTGCCTACTTCCTCCTGTCCAGCCCTCACCCATCCACCCATGGTCGGTAGATGTGGGAGAATCAGAATTGAGGTGAGGTTGGGGAGGTGAGTTTTAAAAGCTCTAGGCCAGGTGTGGCAGCTCAGGCCTATAATCCCAGCAATTTGGGAGGCCGAGGAAGGTGGATCACTTGAGGTCAGGAGTTCGAGACCAGCCTGGCCAACATGGTGAAACCCTATCTCTACCAAAAATACAAAAATTAGCCTGGCATTGTGGCAGGCACCTGTGATCCCAGCTATTCAGGAGGCTGAGGCAGGAGAATCGCTGAACCCGGGAGGCAGAGGTTGCAGTGAGCTGAGATCGTGCCACTGTACTCCAGCCTGGGTGACAGAGCAAGACTAGGTCTCAAAAAATATTAGCCCGGCGTGGTGGTGGGCACCTGTAATCCTGGCCACTTGAGAGGCTGAGGCAGAAGAATCACTTGAACCTGGGAGGTGGAGGCTGCAGTGAGCTGAGATCCCACCACTGCATTCCAGCCTGGGCCACAAGAGGGAAACTCCATCTCAATAAATAAATAAATAAATAAAAGCTCCTGAGGGCCTCATCCTGGGATTCCTTCCCCTCCTCAGAGCCTGCGGTGAAAGCAACTGACAAAACCACTCCCTGTGGGGCTTGGCACTCTGCTTCCTTTTCTTCCTCATAAATATCTCAAAGACTATTCCTTTCCCCGGACACAGACAGACCAGACGATGTCTCTAAATTCATAGAGCTGGAAGAGAAACCAGGTGACCCTTTCCCCTTCCATTTGCAAAGCTGTATATGCACTTATGATATTCCAATTTTACTTTGCATGAAACCCCCCAGGTATTACTATGAAAAATGTAAATCCCTGAGCATTTTTCTCAGAGATGCTGACTCCATTGACATTGTGAAGGGTTCAGAAGTCCACATTTAAAATAAGCAGGTCAGGGTATTCAGCAGCACACTCAGGAAAATGCTGACCTCAGCACAAAGGAGTTGCTTAAACGACAACAAATTCATGAATGAACTGATAAACTAACATGGATGCTTATGTTGTTAATATTCTTTAATTTGTACACTTATTTTACACATACTATTTTAAATAAATGATATAGTTCACAATTTGTAAAAGCTTTGTAAAAGTTTTTTTTTTTTTTTTTGACTCAAAGTTATGCTCTGTCACCAGTCTGGAGTGCAGTGGCCTGATCTCAGCTCACGGCAACCTCTGCCTCCAGGTTTAAGCAATTCTTGTGCCTCAGCTCCCCAATAGCTGGGACTACAGGCACCTACCACCACACCTGGCTAATTTTTTTTTTTTTTTTTTTTTTTTTTGTATTTTAGTAGAGACAGGGTTTCACCATGTTGCCCAGGGTGGTCTCAAACTCCTGAGCTCAGGCAATCCGCCTGCCTTTGCCTCCAAAGTGCTAGGATTACAGGTGTGAGCCACCGAGCCTGGCCATTTGTAAAAGTTCTTAAGAGTGGTAGATCACAGTGGATAACCTTATAAAACCATCTAACATCAGAATTTCTGGCACTTCCTGACATGTTACCCTGAGCAAACATTAAGCTCTCTGCATTTCCGTTTATTTATGTATAAAATGGGGATGATTATTGCATCTAGTTGTGATGTATATTAAATCAGATTATGCATGCGGAGTGGGTTAGTGTTCACCCCAAATTCATGTCCTTCCAGAAACTCAAACTATTACCTTATGTGGAAATAAGGTCTTGATAGACTTACTTTCTTAAGATGTGATCCTATCAGATTAGGGTTGGCCCTAAACTTAATGACTGGTGTCCTCATAAGAAGAGGGGAGGACACACACAGAGATGTCCACATACACAAAGAAGAAGGTCATGTGATGAAGGAGGCAGCAGACTGGAGTGAACCAGCCACAAGCTAAAGAATACCAAGCAGGGTGGCCACCACCAGAAGCTGGAAGAGATGAGGAAGGATTCTTCTCTAGAGCCCTCAGAAGGGCCATGGCCCTGCTGACACCTGGACTTAATTTGGTTTTCACTCATTTTTATTTAGTGATTAATTGATTGATACAGGGTCTTGCTCTGTCACCCAAGCTGGAGTGCAGTGACATGATCACAGCTCACAGTAGCTTTTAACTTGGGCTCAGGTAATCCTCCCATCTCAGCCTCCTGAGTAGCTGGGACTACAGGTGCATACCATCATGCCTGGCTCATTTTTTATTTTTTATTTTTATTTATTTATTTATTTATTTATTTATTTATTTATTTATTTTGTGATGGAGTCTCGCTCTGTTGCCAGGCTGGAGTGCAGTGGCACGATCTCGGCTCACTGCAACCTCCGCCTCCCGGGTTCAAGCGATTCTCCTGCCTCAGCCTCCCCAGTAGCTGGGATTACAGGCGTGTGCCACCACGCCCAGCTAATTTTTGTATTTTTAGTAGAGATGGGTTTTCACCATGTTAGCCAGGATGATCTCGATCTCTTGATCTCGTGATCTGCCTGCCTCAGCCTCCCAAAGTGCTGGGATTACAGGCGTGAGACAGGTTCTCTCTCTGTTGACCAGGCTGGTCTTGAACTCCCAGCCTCAAGCAATTGTCCCACATTGGCCTCCCAAAGTGCTGGGATTACAGGTGTGAGCCACTGTGCCCGGCCTGACACCTTGACTTTATATTCTAGCCTCCAGAACTATAAGAGAACAAATTTCTCTGTTTAAAGCCACCTAATTTGTGACACTTTCTTACAGCAGTCACAGGGAACTAGTACAGGAGGTAAATATTTAACCTGGTCCTAAAAGAAAAAAAAAATGTTTAACCTGGTCCTTGGCACAGAGAAGACACTCACTAATAATTAGCAATTTTGTTAGGTAAATGCAAACTTCTGTGCCAGTTATTCTAACTTGAATCTTTCTCCCTTGCAGTTCTAGTTCTACCCAATATTCAAACTAGTGCCTCCTACATCCCATTTTACCTTGCATTACACTTATATGAGTGTTTTAGCTCTCCTTCTGGCCTGCAAGTTCCAGGCGATGGAAACACGAAGCCTTATTCAGTTTCTGTGTTTATGACAGTCCCAAGCACTGCAGTAAGAAATATTTGAATGCTTACTAGGGATTGGGAGTAGCACTAGGCACGGGAGTTATAAAAGATGATTATGATGCTGTCTCTGCCCTTCAGAAGCTGGAAGGTTTGTCGGGAGGGTGATGGACAAATGAGTCACTGTGGGACTCCGGTAAATGCTATAACAGCCGCGGTGAGAGCCAGGGGAGCAGAGCTGACTCACCCTCAGGTGGGTGCACAGGTGAGACTTCACCCAGGAGACCACTTTTCAGCTGAGGCTTAAAGTGTTACAAGCAGAGTTCCCTTGGTGGAGAAACAAGAGATCGCCGGGGTTCCAGGCATGTGCAAAGACCAGAGTGTGATGGCCCAGTGGGCACCACTGAGGAGTTTCAACTCTGTCCTGCAGAAATAAGAAGAAACCACAAGTGTAATCACATTTAAATAGATTCTTTTGGGGCAAGGCCAACTGTCATTCCTTGAAGGAAGTGCTTACTGAAAAGCCTTAACACACCAGGCATTGTCTGGTTGGCTGCTGGTTCATTTGGGGTCATCCCCTCTTTCCTGAGTCCTTGAGTCACTCTGAAATCAAAGGGTAGCTCCTGAAACTTCTCATGAGCTGTGCCACGGTGACATTAGGACAGGAATTGGGGGTGGAAGTGAAGAACTGAGTGGGCAGGAAGGTCTGGAAGAGCCCAGCAGAAATAGGACATGACTAGGGGGCCTAGACAGAAAAAGTAGTGAGCAGAAGAGAAAAAGAGGGCAAATGAAGGTAAAAGTTCACTTCTCTCTCCGTGAACTTGGAAAAGACCTGGCCCTCCAGTGAGAAGTGGGCTGGGCAAGAATGAGCTGCTCAAATCCCTAGGAGTTCTGGAAAGGTGGGGGAAAAAGAGATGACAGCCTGAGAAATCATACCAGGGCTGAGAAGAGGAGGGAAAGTCTCTCAACTAAGAGCTGAAACAGAATTCCTAGCTTGTCTCATGACTTAGCACTAACAATGAGGTCTCAAGATGGGTGAGAGAGTGGATGCCGGCCAGGTCTCCCACCAAGTCCACAGGGCATCGGCAGAGGAAAGCCTGTTTTGCAGATTGAGATTTCCCATAAATTGTTACTCCTTATATGTATTTTACTCACAATTTGTCTCATCAACTTTATCAAAGTAAAATTTTAGTGCAATAAAATACCACCATTTAAAATGTATGCTTGTAATCCCGGCACTTTGGGAGACTGAGGTAGGAGGATTGCTTGCAGCCAGGAGTTCAAGACCAACTTGGGCAACATAGCGAGACACCATCTCTACAAAAAAAAAACAAAAATTGTTTTAAATTATCCCTGCATGGTTGTGCACCCCTGTAGTCTTAGCTACTCAGGAGGCTGAGACAGGAGGCTCCCTTGAGCCAAAAAGTTCAAGGTTGCAGTAAGCCACGCGTGACAAAGTAAGACTCTGTCTCAAAAAAAAAAATGTACATCTGATGAGTTCTGACAAGTGTATATACTCAAGTAAGCAACCGCTACAGTCAAGATGCAGAACAGTTCCTTCACCCCAGAAAATTCCCTTGTGTTGCTTCCCAGCCAATTCCCCTCCCACTCTCAGCTTCAGGCAACCCCTGATCTGCTTTCTGTCCATGTAGATTAGATTTGTCTTTTAGAGAATTTCATGTAAATGAAATCATACATTACATAGTCTTTTGTCAGCTTGGCTTCTTTCACTCAGCATAATGTTTTCGAGATCCACCCATGTCACTGTGTACATCAGTAGTTTGTTCTGTTTTTGAAGGCTAACATTTCATTGTATGAATATAGCTCAGTCTGTTTATTCACCTGCTGATGAAATTAGGGTTGTTTCCACTTTTTGGCTATTATGAATTAAGCTTCTATGAACATTTGTCTACACGTCTCTCTGTGGACATGTTTTCATCTCTTTGGTGAACATCAGGAGTAGAATTGCTGGATGTATTTCTTAAAGTGCATCATTAACTTTTCCACAGTATTTCACAATGTGAGTTTCCCACCACCAACGTCCACGAGGTCCATTACTCTGCATTCTTGCCAACACTGGCTTTGAACTTGATATGTCCTTTTAATTTTAAACATTTTAACGGGATGTATCGATGAAAAGAGTCAAACTCTGTAAAATATTCAAAGAGATTTATTCTGAGCCAAATATGAGTGACCATGGCCCCTGACATAGCCCTCAGGAGGTCCTGAGAACATGTGCTCAAGGTGGCCAGGGTACAGCTTGGTTTTATATAT
Organism: Homo sapiens; assembly: GCF_000001405.40. Classification (NCBI taxonomy): domain Eukaryota; kingdom Metazoa; phylum Chordata; class Mammalia; order Primates; family Hominidae; genus Homo; species Homo sapiens. Next base: position 29,756,023 of record NC_000010.11, on the reverse strand, counting down.
TTTGGGGAGGCATGAGACATCAATCAAATAACTCAGAAATAATGTTGGTTTGGTTCAGAAAGGTGGGACAACTCAAAGCAGGGGGTGGCTTCCAGGCTATAGGTAAATTTAAACATTTTCTGATTGACAATTGGTTGAGTTTGTCTAAAGACCTGGGATCAATAGAAAGGAAATGTTCAGATTAAGAAAAAAGATTGTGGAGACCTGAGGTTCCTTCAAAGTCTCATAGTGGCTGCCCTTAAAGACAATAGATAACAAATGTTTCCTATTCAGATCTTTAAAAGGTGCTAGACATTTAGTTAACATCTCAGGATTGGGAGGGCCTGGAAGAAAAAGATCTAGCTATGTTAATAGAGATTCTTTACAGATGCAGATTTTCCCCTACAAAGGACGGCTTTGCAGGGCCATTTCAAGACATGGCAGAAAAACATGGTTTGGGATTAAATATTTTGATTTTTTTCCTTGTCTTATAACGTTATGCCAGAGTCAGATTGGAAAGTAAGTCACTATGTATAGGGTCAAATAAAACCCATCTGATGAGAATTATGGCTTGTGGGGGATGACTCTCCAGACCCCTTAGATAGGAATTTGGGCAAGATAAAAACATCAGAGCTTAGTCGTCAGATGTAATGTGTACCAGTTTCTCTTGTACTTTTAATTTGCGTTTTCCTGAAGATAATATTGAGCGTCTTCTCATGTGCTAATTCGTCATTCACATGCATCTTATATGGAGTATCTGTTCAAATCTTTTGCTTTTTTTTTTTTTTTTTTTGAGACGTCTTGCTGTCACCCAGGCTAGAGTGCAGTGGTGCAATCTCGGCTCACTGCAATCTCTGCCTCCCAGGTTCAAGCGATTCACCTGCCTCAGCCTCCTGAGTAGCTGGGATTACAGGTACTCGCCACCACGCCCAGCTAATTTTTTGTATTTTTAGTAGAAATGGGGTTTCACCATCTTGGCCAGGCTGGTCTTGAACTCCTGACCTCGTGATCCACCCGCCTCGGCCTCCCAAAGTGCTGGGATTACAGGCGTGAGCCACTGCACCAGGCCTCTTTTGCTCATTTTTATTGGATTGTTTGCTATTATTAAATTCCACAAGTTCTTAAATATTCTAGATACAAATACTTTTGTCATACCTATTACAAATACATCCACATGAGCAGCACCATGAAAAGACTATCATTTCCCCAATTACCTTGGCATCTTTGTAAAAACTCAATTATCTTCATATGTGTGGGTCTATTTCTGGGCTCTCTAATCTGTTTCTTTAATCTGCATATCTAGTTATACATCAATACCAGATATCTTAATCCCTATAGCTTTATAGTAAGTCTTATATAATTAGGTAGTATAAATCCTCCAACTTTGCTCTTTCATTTCAAAATTGTTTCTCTCAGCAACATCTTGTAGTTTTCATTGTTTGAGTGTTGCATAAATTTTTATCTTGTTTAATTTGGCCCAGAGTACTTCATGGATTTTAATGCTACTGTAAATGGTGCTGTTTATTGTAATTTCAATGACAACTGCTTCTTGGGAATTCATTAAATGTTTTAATATGACTGTCTCATTTTTTAGTCATTAGCAAAAGTGCTGGGCAAAGGGCATATGCTATCCAGAAGTTCTCTTGAAACTACGTGGAAAAATTCAAGAAAAGTAGGCGCCAATGGAAATTCTACCTAAGAAATGGCTTCCTCTAAGAGGGAGCCCTCAAAGAGATCTTGGCTAAAATCAGAGAAGACCCTACCTGGTAATTTAGTTGAGTTAAGAGACCCCAAAGTCAGTTAGTCTACCTCTTTGGAAGAGGTATTAAGAGTCTTGGAATAGTGGTTCCCAAAGCTGGGAAGTGAGGAAAGAAAGAAAGAAGAAAGAAAAAAAAAAGAAAGAAAAAAAGAAAGAAGTCTGACCCTGATCTCTAAGCTTCTCAGAACCCGCTGTGTGATTTCTTGACTCTCCAGAGATTCTGATACTCAATCCTCAGGCATTTATCCTCCCTCCTTATTCTGCTCTGATGACCACTGTGATCTAGAGCCAACTTATTGATGGGAGAACAGTGTATTTCTCAGCGTGTGAGGGTGGAAAACAGTTCTGAATGACGCGAGCTCATTTGGAAGATGAGTACTTAGTATGGAGCCCTGAAGAAAAGTCAGTCTGAACCTGTAATTCCTGCCCCAAAGCCATCATTCTACAATTTGCAACTGGTTCTGGTGGGAATACTTCATTTCCTCATTTAAATGGAAATGCTCCCAGAGGTGGTGCTCTAAGTAAGTCATTATGAAATAGTTAACTCATGAAACAACAAGTAATTTTTGAAAGAGCCATCACCTTAGACACAGCTTACAGTGCCCTTGTGAATATGGTTTGGGGACTTTCGATAGGAGGGGAACTAAAGAAGAGGGAGATGAAGGTAAACTCTACAGTATTCATGCAACCCTGATATGGCTAAGAATATTCCCAATAGGGAACAAAGCACAGAAAGACCAGTTGGAAAATTGAAAACACACTGCCTCCTTCCCACGCATGGTGGCATTGACGCCGACCTTGTATGACCCCAGAGCTTACATAGTTGGCTAAGAGCTCCCACCTGTTGGCTGGACCTGCCTACCAACTAATGAGATAAAGGAATATTCATGCAGACTCTCTGAAGATTCCTCCACATTAGCCTAACGAGAAAGAAAAGAAACTTTTTTATTTGAGGAACGAGAGCCCCCTTTAATAATCAGGACCTGAGAGGCGTTAAAACAAGATAGCTGGCTACAGCATGGTGGCTCATGCCTGTAATCCCGGCACTTGGAAGGCCCAGGTGGAAAGACTGCTTGAGGCCAGGAGTTTGAAACCAACATGAGCAACATAGCAAAATCCTGTCTCTACAAAAAGTTTTTTTTGTTTCTTTGTTTTTTGTTTTGTTTTGTTTTGTTTTGTTTGAGATAGCAGTAACATCTTACTCCCCACCTTGAGCTAAGTTCAAAACCACCTGCTGTATGGACTCTAGACTAAGTTTTGCCACCAAGTAGCCATAAATTACCCTAACAACGCCACATGCTGGACACCATAGCTCTTACCTTATAAACAATGTATAGCCTATCACTTATCAATATTATTTCTTAAACCAATGAGAATTCTTCACAACTTTTGTAATCACCTTGTCCCCTGATTTGTCCTTTTAAAAAAAAAATTAAGCCTCTTCATTTTTAGAAAAGTGTTTAATGTTTTCTAGGTGAATATATTATCCTTATCAGTTGTCCTGTTATTGCTAATTTTTAATACCATAAAGTTGAAAATATCAATCTGTTCTCTATTATTATACTTCAGCAGATGTTTGAAATTTTCACAGATGCCCTTTAGGACATTGAGGAAGTTGTTTCTATTTCTAGATTTCTGGAAGATTTATCATGAATGAATGTTCAATTTTGTCAAATGCTTTTGCATGTCAATTGAAATAATCATCGTTTTGTCCTTATTCTATTAATATGTATTACATTGATTGATTTTTGATTGTTAACAGGCATTTGCATTTGCAAGATTTTAAAAAATTAAGCCTCTTTTTTGTTTTCTGGAGCACTTCCCAGTATTTTCAGGGCTGCAGTCCTCAATATTGGCCCAAATAAACTCTCTGTATTAATTTTGCTTTAGTTTCCTTCTTCAGATGGACACCAACAAACTTCTACCCGTCCTTCTAAGCTCATCTCAAACAGCACTTCCTTTGTGAAATCCAGTCTCAGCTACCTACATTCATAGCTACTCCTCCTCTCTGCTTACACAGAACTTTATTTGTAACTCAAGTTTTGTATTTTCCAGGATAAATCATAACTATTTAGTTTACGTGTCTTTCTTTCCCCCTCGCTCTGGAGACAATTTGCTACAATAATCGATTTTCATTTCTACTTTGAGCTTTGCCTCTGAGCTTCGTTCTCCTAAAATCCACCTGCCTTTTCTGCCACTGCTATTTGAATCCATCAAAGGGACTTCGAACTCAAAGTATCCAAGGGTGAACTTGAAACATCTCTCCCTTTTCCAGTGTTGGTTCTCTCTCGGTGAATAGCTTCTGTTTCTCTAGTCGGGTAAGCCAGAAATGTATAGTCATCCTCAGCACCCATGCCCCACTATTCTCCATGCCCACGTCACTCAATAACTGTACTTCCTAAATACAGAATGTCTAGAATCTCTCCATGCCCATCCATTCTCCCTCTCATCACCCTACACCATGCTTGCAACTTCCTCTCTCCTGTACTCTTGCAATATCCTCTCACTGATCTCCCCACATGTATTCCAGCCTACCTCCAATGCATTCCCCCACTGCAGCCAGCATTATCTCTGGAAAATGCAAATCTGATCTGTTGCTGCCCCATCTATAACCTTTCAATGTCTTCCTTTACTCTTGGGATAAGGACCCAAGGCTCCAACATCCCTTACAAATCCCCGCATGGTCACCAGCTGCCCACCTGACCTGCCTCTTTTCCTCTCTGTACTCTGTAATTGTCCCTTTTCTTTTTCTTCCTTCTTTCTTTAACTTATTTTGAAATAGCTTTAGACATACAAAACAGTTGCAAAAATAGCACAAAGATCTCTCATATACCCTTTGTCCAGCTTCGCTAAATGTGAACATCTTACATAACCATAGTACTATGACCAAAACCAGGAAATTAGTAGTAATATGCAATACTGTTAACTAATCTACAGACTTATTTGAATTGCTCCAGTTGGCTCAGGATCCAGTCTATGACTTCTCATTGCATGTGGGTGTCATGTCTCCTTAAAATCTTCTCCAACCTGAAGCAGTTCCTGTCTCCTTGACCATCACTGTTTATCTAGTTGGTCTGATCTGGGTTGGTCTGATGTTTTTTCACATTTAAGTTCAGGCTACACAATCTAGGGCAAGAATATCACCAAAGTAACGTTGTGTTCTTCTCATGCATCATATCAGGAAGTGTAGGATATTAATGTGTCTCATTACTGGTGATGTTAAATTAACTTTGAGCCCTTGGTTAGGATGGTGTCTGCAAATTTCTCCACTGTAACAGTTACTCTTGTGTGTGTGTTGGGGTTGGAGGGTGAGACAGATATTTTGAGTCTATGTAATTATTCTGTTTCTCATTATACTTTTGCCTACTAATTTTAGCATCAACTGATGATTTTCTCATGAAATAAGTATTACTGGTGCTTGCCAAATGGTGATTTTCTATTTTTATCATTTCTTCTACATTTATTCACTAGAATTCTACTGTAATGAATAGCCTTCCTTCTCCATTAATTGATTTATTCAAGTGTCTAATATCACTGTGGACTCATGGATATTTATTTTAGTCTATGATTTATAATCTACTCCTATCATTACATATTTTGTTCCTCAATCCTTCCCAAATTTTGGACTTGTCCCTTTTTATTATCCTAAAAGCAATTTGCCACATGGCCTTTGAACATGCTGTTCTTGTAGCCTGAAGTAACTAACTTCCCCCATCACCCTCATTCTACCCCCAACTTCTTTGTGCAGTGAATCCCTTCACAGTTTTGAGATTTCAGCTCCAGTGCCGAATTTTCAGGGAATCCTTCCCTGAGCCTCCTAGAAGTGGTTAGGGACTCTATTATAAGCTTTCACAGCATTATTTACTTTTTCTTCATACCACTTAAGATATTTTGAAATAAAACACTTCACTTTTAAGGGTAGGGATTACATCTGTTTTAGATTAGCACATTAATAAGAATCCAATAAATTTTTCAAATTGAATTAATGAATAGATAAACAACACTTAAAAGTGGATGGGCTGAGATCTTTGCAGAATCCTGTCATACTGACAATTCATTTTTTCTCCAAGAGAAGGTTTTCCCCCACGCATCTCTTAAATTCAGATAATATATGGTTGACAGGCAGTTGAATATGGTGAAGACTCATTTTTAAAAATTCACTGATATCTCATTCAGTGACCTGGACTGGTCTAATGATTATTTCCTGGATGGTCTCAATTCCATGCAGGTTGTTTTAATTTGCCTTTGTTTCTTGCAAGGGGAAAAAAAATTGCACCCATATCTCATGAATGACTTCTTATAACTCCACAGTGTTTTATACAAAATGATTTAAACATCTGATACTGAACTATGTGGGAAAATGTGTAACTCCTCGCAAAGAGCTCTGCAAACACCCTTGTTCTCCAATTGCTGATTGTCTGCAGTGTTTTCTTCATTCAGAACCTGGCAGGTGAAATATTTAGAAGTTAGAAGTTAAAGCTTATCCTAAACTCCTAGGATCAATTCCACGCTCTGTTAGAATAGGATTCTTACTGAGCAGATTTCATTTTCAATTTGGAAACTTTGAGTGCCAAGATTTTCTGATATTTGAAGACAGGAAGGCGGGACCACAAGGACAGCAGACCTTCATTGAGGCAGTTTGAAAATCATGCCCCCTGGGTAGCATTCTGATTTATGCTCTCAAACTGGTCACTAGGATTCTCAGGTGGATGTGAAGATTCCAAAGAAAACTTCTTCTTCTGGGTGAGAGCGGCCCAGCCTGTCTGCAACCCAGGACAAAGGCCATGCCTGATCTTCAGGTTTTCAATCATCTGAGTGTGCCAGAGTTAAGAAAGAACTATAAGAAATAGATGACTTGGAAAAAGATAGTTTTCTCTGGGAAAAGTCCTGACATAAGCACAATTTCTCAACCTCCTCTCTCTCAACTGTATTTGGAACGTGACCTCTCCGTAAACAACCACATGTGTTACAAATTATGAAGGGTCTGAGATTTTTACCCTTCTTGCAAGCTAACAAGGTAGCCTGCCACAGTTTCATGTAGCTGGCAGGAGACACAAAACTCCTGGGTCAGAGTCAAAGAACAATTTATTACTCACAGCAATGGCAGTAGTGAGAATATCAGAACTTTTGCACTACAAGCATCAATTCCTACAGGGCAATGACAGCCACACACACAGTGGATTGCATTACAGGAGAGCTACCCTGGTTTAATAAGGGACCCAAATATTTTATAATGGGCACTGAGCATGTCTGCTTTGCTCTGGAGAGAGACACTGTCTTTACTATACTGGACAGTTAGTATGCCTGCCTTTGCTTCAGAGACAGGTACTATGTACACCTTCTAAAGTGGTGGGCATACCTGCTGTTTGTTCTGGAAGACAAACTATCTCTATCCTCCAAGGCTACCTGCTATATAAACATCTTGGAAAAGGTAGTTTGGCACAAAAGACAGTTGGTGTGGTGATCACAAGATGTGCAGAAACATAGGAGAACCACGGGGAATTTCATTCCCAAAGCATGCTTTTCCCTTTCTCCTCTTACTGAAGTCACACTGCATGTGTACACTTGAATGTTCCTGTATTATTTCTGATACCCCCTACATACACACCCACACAGACGCACACCCCAAAACTCACTTGGTTGCTGCTCCAAAATCCTTAGGACATTTATCTATTGTGTCATTGGGCAATCTGCACTTAGATACATACTTAGGCAAACTAATTTGTACAAATTACCAGGGATAAAGTCATTCTGTGGCTGTGGGTAGATGAGAGGAGCCTCTACAGCTTTTGGTTTCTCATATCTATAGGGAATGGTGATAATGTGTGACCACATGCCTGGAGCACAGCAAACACTCAACAGATGTTAGCTATTGTATCAGTCAAAAGATACTAGGCTTTCACTACCGTAACAAATTATCAAAACATCAAAGTGTATTGTTTCTTTACCATGCTACTTGCTCATTACTCTTCATTGTCTCCCCTCCAGGGCCCAGGGTGACAGGGAGAATTGCTGGCCCCTGTGATAGGGGAAAGAAACTCTCTCTGAAGAAACCAGCACAGGTTATCAAATGCTCTGGCTCAGAAGTCACATACATCGCTTCTGTTCACAGCCCATTGGCCAGACCCAATGATAGGGCTCCACAAGGGAGCCAAGAAGTACAATGCCACCACGTGCCCAGAGAGACAGAAAATGTGGGGAACAGCATAAAGACAGCCATAGCTCTTGTGATTATCATTAAGAATAATCATAGAGGCTCGCACCTGTAATCCCAGCATTTTGGGAGGCTGAGGCAAGAGGATTGCTTGAGTTCAGGAGTTTAAGACCAGCCAGGGCAAAATGGTGAAACTCCATCTCTACAAAAAACACAAACATTTGCTGGGCATGCTTGCATGTGTCTTTAGTTCCAGATACTCGGAAGGCTAAGGTGGGAGGCTGGCTTGAGCCCCACAGGTCGAGCCTGCAGTGAGTCATGATCATGTCATTGCACTCCAGCCTCGGTGATGGAGTAAGACTCTCTCTCTCTCTCAAAAAAAAAAAAAAATATATATATATATATATACATATATATATAAAATAGTGATATGTCCTGTGGACATATCAAGAGGACATCACAACTGCCTCCTTCGTCGACTTTCTATCTTCTTTTCTTTCTTTTTTCTTTGGTAACAGAACCCCAATTTTGCTCATGTTTTCCCTTTCTCCACTCCCCCGCCTCGACCCCTCCCCCCAACTCCCCACCACCACCACCCTCATGGGCCTCAATAGAACACAGTCAAAGTCCTCAACTCCAGGGTGGGGCTGACTGGTCAAGAGGTACTGCCCCCTCCCTTTCTAGTGATTCATTTAGGGAGCAACACATGTAACTAAAGCTAATGGCACACACACACACACACACACACACACACACACACACACACAAAAGCTCTAAGTTTCTGAGGGCTTCGGGGAAAGTTATTTTTCTGTCTCCTTTAAACAAAACTTCCAGGCTGGGCGCGGTGGCTCACACCTGTAATCCCAGCACTTTGGGAGGCAGAGGCAGGCGGATCACCTGAAGTCAGGAGTTCAAGACCAGCCTGGCCAACATGGTGAAACCCCCATCTCTACTAAAAATACAAAAAAAAAAAAAATTTAGCTGGGTGTGGTGGCAGGAGCCTGTAATCCTAGCTACTTGGGAGGTCAAGGTAGGAGAATTGCTTGAACCTGGGAGGCGGAGGTCGCAGTGAGCTGAGATTGCACCACTGCACTCCAGGCTGGGCAACAGAGTGAAACTCTGTCTCAAAAAAAAAAAAAAAAAAAAAAGACTTCCAGAAGTGACTTTTTCTTTCTTCTTATGGACATTCTCAAGCACAGACAGAGGCCTAGGACCAGCAGCCACCAGCCTGGGGGTGAAGCTCACAAAAACAACCTACAGGGAAACAGACCTAGTATCACCGGACTAAGACTATCCTAAAAGGCCCTGGACTTCCCATTAGCTGAAAGGAACCTAACTAATCCTACTGTCTTGCTATTAACTTTGGGAAGAAGAGCAGACTGGAGTGGAGGAGGGGCTGAGTTGGGGACGACAAGGGAGTGGCAAGAACACAGCAGCAGCAATGATCAGAAAGTGCACATGATGTCTAAGATTCACTGCCAAACCTGCCCACCACCCTGGAAAACTGAGCCTGCAGCCCTGGCAACATGGGCATTTTGCTGGCCAGCTCAGCAGCTGTAGTCTTAATCTCTTAGGAAAGATCTATTACACTGTCTGGAGGAAAGCACTATTCTTAAGACCTATGATTACCCCCAGATTTTGATCTTCGGCACAGATTTCCTGCTGATTCTCTTTGAGCCCTCTTGAAGGATGTGCCTGTAGGGTTTAAGTGCAACTTTTAGGTCAAGGTCATGAGCTATTCCTGTAACTTGTCTGCAAATCTCCTGGTTGTATCAACTGAGCTATTGCAGATAGACTTCCTCCAAGCATGACGTGTCAGCCCTGTTGATTTTTATAGGATTCCCTTGGATGGATTCTGATGAGCTTTATGTCATGGCTAAGCAAGTCCTTTGGCTTTAATTTTCTGGAGTTAGTTTTCTTTAAGCCTTTTCTTATGTCATCCGCTCCAAAGCATATCAGGTTAGAGTCAGAAGGCACGTCTTGGATCAGTATCCACAGCAGGAAAAAACTCAGCCAGCCTCTGACTTTTTGCTGGCCTTTTATTTCCTGTGTTATTCTAGTTTCTACTGAAAGGCAGAATGACTTATTTTTTATCCTGCCACATTAAATAAAATCCTGGTTTATAGTTAGGCAAGTTTTTTTGTTTTTTTTTTTTTTTTTTTTTTTTGAGACGGAGTCTCGCTCTGTCGCCCAGGCTGGAGTGCAGTGGCGCGATCTCGGCTCACTGCAAGCTCCGCCTCCCGGATTCACGCCATTCTCCTGCCTCAGCCTCCCAAGTAGCTGGGACTACAGGCGCCCGCTACCACGCCCGGCTAATTTTTTGTATTTTTAGTAGAGACGGGGTTTCACCGTTTTAGCCGGGATGGTCTCGATCTCCTGACCTCGTGATCCGCCCGCCTCGGCCTCCCAAAGTGCTGGGATTACAGGCGTGAGCCACCGCGCCCGGCCGCAAGTTTTTGTAAGGAAGATAAAAGGGCTGTTTTTAATAAACAGGGGTGAACTGATAAGAAAAGTCTTCTCTCTGCAGTAGCTGAGGGACACAAGAAAAGCAGGAGCATCCTCAGCTCCATGAAGGATTATTAGCCTTGGTGTGATCAACAAGCAGCGGTTTGCTGTCTCACCCAGGAACAGAGGAGGAAACGGGCTTCAATTGTTGCATATGGCTTTAACTTACATGAGTCTTTAAAGAATGTCAGGAAACTTTCAAAACAGCATGGATTGTTGTCTGGTAGTAATATGTTCACCACTGTCTGTAATGAGCGCCAAGGAAGGGGAGTATACTGTTCGAGGGGTCACTAGAAGGGGATAAAGCTGGCTCTCCTCTGTCCTATGAAAACAGGGATAAACTTACTGGACCAACGCTGCAGCAGGTAGGGGTGGTACTTTCAAGGTCACTCAGGTGGCTGAGTGCTGGCATAAAAATGAATGTCTGCTATGTGAAGCAAATAATGAATAGAACAAGACCCTTGACATGCTGGGAGAAACTCTTCCTGGAGTTTTTTATTTTTCTTTCTTTTTTTTTTTTTTTTTTTTTTTTTGAGACAGAGTCTCACTCTGTGACCCAGGCTGGAATGCAGTGGCGCGATCTTGGCTCACTGCAAGCTCCGCCTTGCGGGTTCAAGCGATTCTCCTGCCTCAGCCTCCCAAGTAGCTTGGACTACAGGTGCACGCCACCACGCCTGGCTAATTTTTGTATTTTTAGTAGAGATAGGGTTTTGCCTTATTGGCCAGGCTGGGCTTGAGCTCCTGTCCTCAGGTGACCTGCCTGCCTGGGCCTCCCAAAGTGTTAGGATTACAGGTGTGAGCCACTGCACCCGGCCAGGAGTTTTCTTTCTACCTTTCCACCCTTCTTCACCAGCTCACTTCTACTCAGCTGTCACAACTGAGCTCTTTGCAGGGGTCCCCAGACATGTCTCTGTTTGAACTCTTGGCACAAGATCCTGAAGGTCACCTTTGAGGAGCACTCCTGAGGCATTCTGCTGATGGTGTGTGGCAGAATATTAGCTAAGAAACTCTGGGGATTTTGGACACTGCTTAGAAAGGAAATCCAGGGGCCAGGCACAGTGGGTCATGCCTATAATCCCAGCACTTTGGGAGGCTGAGGCAGGCGGTTCACCTGAGGTCAGGAGTTCTAGAGCAGCCTGACCAACATGGTGAAACCCCATCTCTACTGAAAATACAAATATTAGCTGGGCATGGTGACGGGCATCTGTAATCCCAGCTACTTGGGAGGCTGAGGCAGGAGAATTGCTTGAACCCGGGAGGTGGAGTTTGCAGTGAGCTGAGATCGCACCATTGCAATCCAGCCTGGGTGACAAAGCAAGACTCCATCTCAAAAAAAAAAAAAAAAAAAGAAAGAAAGAAAGAAAAAGAGAAAGGAAACCAAGGGCAAAGGGTGAATAATTTCTTCTCAGTCAAAGCACTGGTGGTTGGCTGTTGAGGAACTGACAGTCTATTGGGAAAGGCAATATATAAATATAATGTGGACGTCCTCAGACTTCATCTGGTAGTGACTACAAATGATGTCTATTTCCTTTCTTATCTCAAATCCAAAGAGGCTGATCTATAACTTTCTATTTAGCATCTTGTATAGGCCTAAAGTTCTCAGTAAGAATTTTCCACAACAAACAAGTGAAATGCATGTGACAATGCATGAAAGTCTTGTCCCAGCATCCTCACACTGCTGACAACACTGAAAAAGCCTCAAGTGACTTTCATTCAAATAGGTGACTCCATGAAGGAACAGTGGCTGGAATTTTAATTTACAATAACTAAGAAAAGTCAGTATTTATTAACCACTTGCTATGTTTAAGATATTATCGGAAGTTCTTCACAGCTGTCCTTAGAACGGGGTACTATTATAATCCCCAGTTTGTAACTGATCAATAGATATTATAGATTAAATAACTGGCCCAAAGTGACACAGCTTTGAACCCAAGCTGGCTGGCTCTGTAACCCTTGGAGGATGGAGAAGCAGATAAACTACGGTGCTCAACTAGAAAAGAAATGACAGCCAACAGGAGGCTGGAAGGAGGGAGTGGCAGGTGAGGTAGAGAGCAGGCAAAAGCCAAGTGGGCTGGGCATGATGGCTCAAGCCTGTAATCCCAGCACTTTGGGAGGCCAAGGTGGAAGAATTGCTTGAGGCCAGGAATTCAAGACCAGCTTGGGAAATATAGTGAGACTGTCGCTACAAAAATTAGCTGAGCATGGTGGTGTACGCCTGCAGTCCCAGCTACTTGGGAGGCTGAGGTGGGAGGGTTGCTTAAGCCCAGGAGTTCGAGGCTGCAGTGAGCTATGATTGCATCACTGCACTCCAGCCTGGGTGACAGAGCAAGACTCTAACTCTGAAAGAAAAGCAATGTACTGGTGCAGGGAGATGTCGCATCCTAATGAATGCTACGTATTGTTGGGTTAAGCTGATAAATCCCTTTTCATGGATTTTTGGCCATCTCTTACCATGAGGGCCTAAAAGAGCCTTCTGTGACTTGTGGTATGCTTTTTACAACCCCTTTGGCCAAAGATGGCATTGTTCCCCAATGTAGCTGACTCTGATCCACATTCAGTCATTTCCCTCAGAGGACAAAGGTTTGCCATTAATTTTAATAGCCAAAAGATAGTTGATAGTGCCCGAAGAGGCAGCAGCATAAAGAAATAACTACATGACCTCTAGCTATGACAGCTGCTTTGAAAAGGAGGAGCAACTCCTGCTAAATTAGTTCTGCCCCACCTATACTGTTAATTTTAATTAAAACCTTTGTTTATGTATTCCTCTTACTACCCAAACTCTTGTGAATTTTTAAGATATTAAAGAAGCGTTTATTAATTATACAATTAGAAATCAGGCTGGGTGCAGTGACTCACGCCTGTAATCCCAGCACTTTAGGAAGCCAAAGTGGGTGGATCACCTGAGGTCAGGAGTTGAAGACCAGCCTGGCCAACATGGTGATATCCCATCTCTACTAAAAACACAAAAATTAGCTGAGCATGGTGGCAGGAACCTGTACTTCCAGCTACTTGGGAGGCTGAGGCAGGAGAATCACTTGAACCTGGGAGGCAGAGGTTGCGGTGAGCCAAGATCATGCCATTGCACTCCAGCCTGGGCAGCAAGAGCAAAACTCTGTCTCAAAAAAAAAAAAAAGAAAAAGAAAAAAAAAAGAACAAAAAAAGAAATATAGCTGTTTTAGTCCATTTTGTGTTAGTTTAACAGAATACCTTAGACTGGCTAATTTATAAAGAAAAGAGGTTTACTTGGCCCATGATTTTGATGGCTGTCAAGTCCAAGATTATGCAGCTGCATCTGGTGAGGGTTTTGGGCTGCTTCCACACCTGGCAGAAAGTAGAAGAGGAGTGGATGTGTGCAAAAAGATGACATGGTGAGAGAAGAAGCAACAGAGAGAAACCAAGGAAGCTGGACTCTTTTTTAACAACCAGCTCTCTTGGGAATGAATGCATTCCAGTGAGAGTGAGAACTCAAACTTATGGGAGTCTATTATTCATGAGGGATCTGCCCCCATCATCCAGACATCTCCCACTAGGATCTCCCTCTCAACACTGCCACATTGGAGATCAAATTTCAGCAGGAGTTTTGGTGTGGTCAAACTATATTTAAAGTATAGTAATAGTTAAAAAGTCTTCTCTGTATTTAGAAAAAGAAATTCAACTGACACCCATCTAGTTTAGTTTCAATGGCTGAAACATGGCTGATATTAGAAATAATATCAAAGAATAAGAATATTTCAGCCTCCAGAAATTTTTCAAAACCACTTTTTTTTTTTTGCCAAAGCATCCTGTTTATTTCCCATCCCGAAAACTAAAGAAGTTGAATAATCTGGAACCCATTTTAAAGTTTTGTTAAAATTCATGCTTGTCACAGTCTGATTTCTTTCAGATTTTGTCCATCTTCCAAATTCAAAATATAATTCCATAATAATATTCATGGCTAAGTGTATTTCTTTTTAAAAGTAGGAGAATAGAGAAGCTGTCTTCCAGAATTTTTTTTTATTATAATTTTGGCTGTCTCTGGCCCACGCTATTTGTCTCCCTTTAAAAAAAAAAATTTTTTTTTAAGTCCACATTCCCCTGGCCCAAGTTTCAATTTTTCTAATCTGCCCAGACCAGAATAACTAAAGCAACAACAACAAATGAGGAGCAATAATATGTATTCTTTATTTACATGGCAACCTTCTTTTACAGATTCTAAACTTTAGACTAGGGAGTGAGAACCTTCCCTTCTAAATATTTGTGGGCTGGATCTAGGTTCCTTGGTTAAAGGCTTTTAATATGGATGGAAATACTTGGCATAACTATCAAGGTTATAGTTTTCTAAGGACTGCTTGTTATTTTTCTTTGTTATATAACCCTATCTCATCTCTGCCCCTCTCAATAGGCCTTCCAGACTAGCGGACTATCAGAGATTAGAAAGCTCTGCTGGTTAACAGAACACATTGTTTTGAGTGCTGCAGGCCGCCCTGGGCTTCTTAGATCTCCGACTCTTAACACAGAGAAAGCAGTACTTTTATTTCAGTGAAGGTTAGCTTCATAACAGACTTTTAATCTTGGAAGATTCGTGCTGAAAACTGGATTAGGAAATCCCACGTCCCTGTACCTCTTGCCTTTGTTTGGGAACCTTGGAGAACAACGGCTGCATCTAGCAGCAAACCAGTCTCTCTTCCCTTCTCTGTGTCACTAGCATCATTTCTGCCTACTCCCCAATAGACTCCAGCCAAGGGGACTTCCCACACCCAACTTGTACATTTTTACCCACCTCCAGGCCATACAAGCCTTTACAGAGCACCTACTGTTTGCAGAGGGAGCACTGTGTTTCACTCTCCAAGCTTTGCTTAACTGTACCCCTCTCCAAGAGCTCCATAAATCTGGGCTCTCTGGTGAGCACAGCTCCAGCACTGCCTCAGGCAGTTGTCACTTCAGCTTTTTAACTGTGACCCACAGGGAGGAATACATTTGACAACACAACAACCCTGCACACACATAAATACAATAAATACATACAACTCATAAATACAGTGAACTGAAACAAAAGATTTCATGAAAACAATACTTCCTTTTTTTTGGAGCCAGGGTCTCGCTATGTTGCCCAGGCTGGTTTCTAACTCCCGGTCTCTCGCCTTGGCCTCAGTAGCTAAGGCTACAGGCGTGAGCCACCATACCTGGGTTCAATGCTTTTTCTTACTATGTAGGATGTACTTTCGTGTTTTTACTTCTACTTCTGTTTTATCAAAAAGTAATAATAATAAAGCTGGTCTTTATCCACAAAATTGATTCCAGGACCCACAGTTTGAAAAGCTCTGTGTAAGGAACCCAGAATATTTAGAAGGCATAGAAGCTAATTAGGGATTCTAAAAGATGAAACTATATTTTCACTAGGAGGTGACTTAAGGGAGAATGTTCACAAGTATTATCAAGGAAGTGAGGATTGCCCCAAATAAGGTATTTGCAACAAAAGCTATGTTTGAACAAATCCTCTGACTTTCTAAGAATTCATTCATTCATTAAAGCAAACACACACACACACATAATTTTTTTGGAGCATCAAGTTTAATCTAGACTTCAAACTTGCAAAAATGGGTAAGACCTTTGCCCTCCCCCAACTCACAGGTTAATGAAGGACACAGAGAAGTGACCTGGTGATTACAGTCCAACATTTGATGGCTATGACTGCAACTTAATTGGGTGCTGTGGGAGCAGAAGGGGGTCCTTAGTTCAGAAAGAAGCAGGCAGGCTTCTTGAAGTTGGTGACTCCTGGAGGAGGCTGGAAAGGAGGTGACACCTTCTCTCTAGACCAAGCAAGTGTGTTCAGAGAGCATGGAACCTCTTGAATATGCAGGGCATTGGGCACAAGTGGTCCCTATGGTTGGAGTGAAGGGTGCAGATGAGGCCATAGCCAGAGATGGGCCACGGAGCTTGCGTATTTCTCCTGGAACATCCAGGGAATCCATTGAGAGAGTTTAAGAAGGCCTGCAGGGTCATCAGGTTTCTGTTTTTGAAAGATCACTGAAGATATGGTGTGGGGGATGCTGGCTCAGAAGCCAGGCTGGAGCAGGGATCAGGAGGCTGGCGTCAAAAGCCAGAGGGGAAATAGTAGAAGGGCCTGGACTGAGGCAATAGTGGTGGGAGTGGGAAAGAAGGAGGCCTCTGGGAGGCATCAGGGACGCTGTATGAAACCAATTGAAGCTGGTGAGGTGTAAAGGGTGTGGCAGAGGGTCTTCTCTCAGATGATGCCCGGGTTTCTAGCAGGCACGACTATGGTGGAGCTGGTGCCATCCACTCAGATGGGTAATACAGGGAAAACAAAGTGTGGGGAAGAGTTCAATTATGGCCACACATTACTGTGCTTGGAGTGTCTGTGGTGATCCAGCAGCCACTGGATCTGGAGCTTGGGGAGGGCCTGGCTTGGTGTTAAGAAGTCAAGGGTTCAGCTGGGCACAGTGGCTCATGCCTATAATCCCAGCACTTGGGGAGGCCAAGGCGGGCGGATTACTTGAGGCCAGGAGTTCGAGACCAGCCTGGCTAACATGGTGAAATCCTGTCTCGAAAAAAAAAAAAAAAAAAAAAAGAATAAATCAAGGGTTGGATGAAGCCACAAAGAAAAGTTACAAAGTAGGATCAGTAAGTGCGCTTAATTTGGGGCAATGACCAATTTGTGGAAGATGACTTTTTTCAGATGTCTCTAGGTAGTGTGGGGTCAGCATCGAAGTCCTCATCCTCACATCCTTCCTGTCTACCCCAGCTGTAAATGTGTCAGAGCTCCCATAGATGGCAGGCGGAATGAGGCGTCTTAGGCATATTTATTCACCACAGTCTCTAATTATGGAGCCCATGGGGGATGACAATGACATGGGGAGTAGGCAGAGGGCAGACTGGGCAAGGGTGACTCTGGATTGAATCGCTAACAAAGGCTAAGAGGCCGGTTCTGAAATGTTTGCTGGTAAAGGGTCTCAAATTCCTGATAGATCCCCTATATTCTTTTCCACACTGGAGTGTCGCTGCTACTGCTGTGACCACAAATCGAGTTGAGAGGGCTGTTTCCTTACTGCATTTTCAATCCTCCCAGCTTCCCTTCACAGCACTTGACAATGTGTGAGTCCACAGGTCAGCTTGTCGTGGAGGGCATGAGATGGAGTAGGGGATAGGGGAGGCTGAAGTCCAACTTTTCTTTTCTTTTCTTTTTTTTTTTTTTTTTGAGAAGGAGTCTCACTCTGTCGCCCAGGCTCGAGTGCAGTGGCGCGATCTCTGCTCACTGCAAGCTCCACCTTCCGGGTTCACGCCATTCTCTTGCCTCAGCCTCCCGAGTAGCTGGGACTTCAGGCGCCCGCCACCTCGACCGGCTAATTTTTTGTATTTTTAGTAGAGACAGGGTTTCACCATGTTAGCCAGGATGGTCTCGATCTCCTGACCTCGTGATCCACCCGCCTCAGCCTCCCAAAGTGCTGGGATTACAGACGTGAGCCACCGCGCCCGGCCCTGAAGTCCAATTTTTATTCTAGCATCTTAGGAGCAATGGAGCTCACAGTTATGGACTGAATTGTGCACCCTCCCCGCTCCCCCAATCCCAATTCATATGTTGAGGTCCTAACCCTCACTACTTAAAAATGTGATGTAGGTGACACACATCTTGGTGACAGAGCAAGACTCTGTCTCAGAAAAAAAAAAGGCATGCAATTGGAGACAGGGTCTTTAAAGGGGTGATTAAGTTAAAATGAAGTCATATAGTGTCTTTAGGAGAAAAGATTAAGACACAGACACAGAGGGAAGGCCTTGTGAAGACGCCACAAAAAGCCATTTACAAGCCTAGGAGACTGGCCTCAGAAGAAACCAACCCTGACCACATCTTGATCTCCAGAACAGTCTTCCAGACTCCAAGACTGTGAGAAAATCAATTTCTGTTGCTTAGGCCACCCAATCTGTGGTCTTTTAGAGCAAACAAAAACACTCGCTTTTCTTTTTTGTCTGATGGTGCATATTCAGGAGGAAACATAAAGTAGTCTAACACTCAGAGGAGCACAACTACCTCTACCTACTGAAACAGACAAGTAACATACTTAACAGGTTGAAATTTATCTACTTATCTACTGTTCTGCCGTTTACCAAGCACTTTTACAAGCCCTAACTCTCAATCTTCGCGGCTGCCTCAGCATCACCTGGGAATCTGTTCGAAGTGCAAATTCTCGGGCCCCACAGAAGTCTTACAGAATCAGACACTGGAGGGGGCACGAAGAGGGGCAGTCATGGTGTTTTCACAAACGTTGGAGGACTCTGGTGTAGCTAAAGTGCGAGAACCACCGAGGCAGGGTTCGGTCCAGGTGGAGGGGATTGGGGGGTCCCGCGACTTTTTCACAGGTGCGCGTGGCCAGCAAGGACGGTCTCCTTTGCAACTGGCCCACAGCGTTGGCACAGGTCGCCAGATTTTATTTATCCCTGGAAGGTCTGGAGACTCAAAGGGGCCTCTCAGGGCTCCAGGGTAAGCGGCTGCCTCCGGGCAGCAGAGCCGGTGAGAGCCAGGGAGCCCTGAGCCGCTGGGCGCGTGCGCGTGGGCGCGTCCCTGGGCCGGGCGCGCGCCGAGGGGGTGGGTGGCGCCGGCCCCGCCGGCCTGGCGCGCGGTCCGAGCCACTCAGAGCGCCTGGCGGCCGACACCCGGGGGCCCTACAATTAATACCGGGCGCCTGCCCGCTGGCCGGGACTCGCGCGCCGGCTCTCGGGGACGGAGGCGCCCGGTCCGCCCTGACGAGCTCGCCACTGGCTCTGCTCCGGCGGCGACGGCGACAGTGGCCCTGGCCGACTTTCCCGGGGCCCACACCTCCTCGAGAGCCAGCTTGGGCAGGGGACGGTGCCGCACCACCAAGGCCCCGCGCTAGTGTGCACCCCCGGCCCGGGCCCGGCAGGTGGGCGAGGAGGGCGGGCGCAGTCGGGCTCTGCAGGAGCGCGCGGAGGTGAGACGGGGGGGAAGGTGGGGACGCGAGTGTGGGCGCGTGAGTGTGGGCGCACCCCCGGGAAGGTCTCGGAGATGTCCTCTCTCCCTTCTTCCTGGTCCCCTCCAGAGTTTCGCTCAGGTCCTCAGGGGACAGCCTGAGAGGCCAACCTGCTGGAAGAGTTCACTCGGGCGACAGAGCGAGTTGGACAGCCACACCCCCGGCCGGGAGAGCGATAGGGCGGCCCTGGCCTCCAGCCCCTGGGATCCTAAAGCCCCGCATCTCCGGGGCTGCAGCGGGGGCTAGCCCAAGCATCTTCCCAGCCCTGGGACCGGGGGGGCGTGACTGCCACCACCCTGAGAGCTACTGAGACACAGGACACAAACTTAGTTTCCAAACAAAGTAAAATCTGCCTTTCCGGTGTTTTAAGATAGGACGTGCTTATGCCGATTCATCGCGGTTTCCTTGGGCCACCTCCGAGGACGCGGCTGGACCCGCTGGCCGTGGAGGGGGTCGGCTCCGGGCGCGAGTTCGTGTCCTGGGGCGTGGGGACAGCTCTGGTGCTTCCCCCGAGAGTCGTCCCAGCGTGGTCCCCGCGCACTGGCCCCTGTTTTGGGAAGGGGTGCCCGCGTTGAGAGAGGCAGGGGTGCTTGTGCTTGGCCCCCCTCTGTGTCCCCACCCTCTCCGCCCGATCCTTGCCCAGTCCGAGGGTGCTCCCGCCTGGTGGCCCAGCAGAGGGCGCCAGCTCCCGGCCGCCGCGCGGGTCGCAAGGGGTGGGGACGCGCGAGCCTCCAGGTAAGGAGCGAAGTGAATCATCCCGAGCGGGGACCCGCTCCCCGCGCGGTGGGAACGAGGCGGGGCGTGGCCGCGGCGCTGCTGAGAAGTCGGGGCCGCCGAGCCGCTGTCGGCGGGAAGCGGCGATCCTGCCACCGGGAGGTGTGGAAGAGCCGGGTAGGTGAGCAAAGTCCCTCCGCGCGGTGGCCGAGGGGCGCGCGGAGCCGGGGCCGGCAGACGCCAGGACGCGCCGCTGCGCTCTGCTCCGGGGCGGGAGGCGCGGGTCAGTCTCGCTCTGGCTGCGGGAGGCCCTGCCGGGGACCGAAGCGGGAACGGGGGCGCCTCCCGGGGGTGGAGGCCGGCGGGTGCCCGGGCCGCTGCGACGGGGCGCTGCGCTCGGCCCGCGGGGTCCCCGAGCCGTAACAAAGGCGCGGCGCGGCCGCGGCTCCCACCCACTTCCGTCCCCGGAGCGCGCCTCGGGGAGGAGCGGGCCGGGGCAGGGTTTCTCTCCGCGGAGTTTCGGGAAGTTAGCGCGGCTGCCCGTTACGCTGAGAGCATGGCGGGGAGGCGGGTGGCCCGGGGAGTGGCGCGCCAGTGATCAGAACTACGACATCGCCCGGTTCCTTTCCCGACACCAGCCGCAAGTGGCCGGAGCTGCGGTGGCTCCCGCGCCCCAGCCCGGGGTCCCAGACCGGCGCCTCCGCAGGGCCCGCGCGGGTTTGAACCCGATGCGTGGTGCGCCAGGCCACCCCAGCTGCCCACGTTTCTGCGCGCGTGCGGGCTCCCCGAAGGGAGTGGTTTAGTCCCCGGGTGACAGCCAGCAGTCCCTGGCACCCCGAGTGGAGCTCCAGAAGGCGGTAATTGCATTACAGTGAGTGAGCGGCGGGGAGGCTCCAGTCCAGGCCGCAATCTGGGTCAGGTGCGGGATTAAGAGCTTCAGGCGTTGGCATGAGAGATCTTGTGAAGTCTGACAGTTTATTGCAATGAGAAGTTCCTCACAAGGGGAGAGGCCAGCTGGGGAAATTAAAGGAGCTCCTGTCCGCCATCCCCAGCCCCATCCCGAGGTTGTGATAACTTGTGCCTGTGCAAACCCTAGCACAGGCACGCGTTTTGTCATAGAAATGTCAGAGGCAGCATCTCTACTGCGCCAGATGTTTCTCAGCATCTGAACAGGAGAGGAGGAGGTGGTATTGAAGAGAAACCCAGGACGTTCTGCTTGCTGTGAACCCTAGCCCCTCGCAGTCAATCGATGGAATTCACGTTTTCGTGTCTTGTCTTATCTGCCTCCACCCCCTTCTTCTGTTGGAAGGAAAGGGCAGGCACTGGTTTTTATGAAGGGCTAATGGACCAGGGACTCTCCCCTACACAATGTGGAAGGCTCTTCATTTTCTCTTTAAACCTTACAACCTCTTCCCAGGAGGTTATTTCTGTTTCACAGATGAGGAAACTGAGGCTTAAAGAGGTTAACAGATCCAAGAGTCTGCCCTGTTCCAAAGAGGACTGTTTATTCTTCCAGGTTATTTTTTTATTTTTGACAAAGTCGGTTACTGAAGAGCGCTTTATGGACTGCTGGGTGTGTGCTGTACCCCGGGGTTCAGGTTTGATTATGCTAGGCTATAGGGCTTGATGGACTTTCCACCTATCTCTGGCTTGTGTTAATGCCAGTGCCATAGCTAAACCAACTCATATTTAAAACTTAATGTATATGAAGAGAACTAAGGTTTCCTCCCCAAACCTTTAGAATTATGACAGTTCCAAAGAGAGGTGGAAATAGCTGTCCTTTGCTTTTTGCAGTGTTTCATCAGGCAGGTGGGCCTGGAGTCAGGAATTCTACACAGCACGGAGCTCTGTTTGCCTTTTCTTTTGCAAGGAGCTGCAGTTCCCACCTTGTTTAAGCTGTGTGTGACTTTGCCACTGTGCTGAATGTGCGTTTAAAATTGAGTGAAGTATGCTTTGGAAATAATGGCCCACCTTACTGACTGATAAGTTAAAACCTCAGAATTTCTTTGAGGGATCCAAGGATATGGTTGTATCCACAACTTTTATACAACATTTGAGCTCAAGTTTACAAAATAGGACTTTGGCATTGTCCTGAATGTACTTAAAATGTATTGCCTTCAAGAAAGATGTTTGCAACTCTGGCGTGACAGTCAGGGACTTGGAACGTCCTAGGTAGAGGCAGCCAGGCACGCTGATGAGGGCAAGCCTGGAAAGTCTGGGAAGAATGGCTGGGTTCGGTTGCTGCCTTCACCATTTAGAGGTCTGCAGCCTTGGACAATTTGCCTAGCCTCTGAGCTTCACTTTCTTCTCTTAAAACATAAATCAAAGGCCAGGTGCCGTGCCTCACACATGTAGTACCAAGGCTTTGGGAGGCCGAGGTGGGAGGATGGCTTGGGGCCAGGAGTTTGAGACCAGCCTGGACAACATAGTGAGACCCTGTTTCTACAAAATATTTAAAAATTACCTGTGGTCTTAGCTACTTGGGATGCTGAGGTGGGAGGATCGCTTGAGCCCAAGAGTTCGAGCCTGCAGTGAGCTATGATCGCATCACTGCACTCCAGCCTGGGCAACAGAGCTAGACAGCTGTCTGTAAAAAAACTAAACAAAACAAGCTAGGAATAATAATAGTGCCTCCTGGTTTCAAACCATGAGGACTAAATTAGATAATTCATGAGATACTCGGCACAGTGCCTAGCACATAGTTGCTATTCAACAAATGTTAACTAATAATGATGATGTTTAAGAACAGAATCCTTCCCTTCCTCCCCTCATCCAGAGAGGTAAAGTAGTTCTTAGTTGCCCTGAACTGACTGTTCTTAGTGAATATGGCAATATAGTACAGTTAGTGATTCCTCCTTCTCTCAGCAAGTTGGGGCTAGGGAAAGGTTGGTAGTGATGGAAAACTTGGTCCAGTCGCCCAAGGAGTTTACAAGGAGCTCCAGAACTGTAGAGCTTTTCTCCTGGTTTTGCCACTGTGTAATTTTGTGGTGGGCCTTTCAGCCATTTCCCTTTCTCTTAAATTTAAAGCCCAGTATTCTAATGGCCAAGATGGTAGGAATTAAAAAAAAAAAAACAAAAACCCAAACCAAATGAACTGGTGAAAAGGAAATATGTATTCTCCTTTCTCATTCACTAGCCATCAATGGCACTAAAGAAATGTATCTGCTTCTGTGAAAATGGTGCTGGCCTAATCCTGGGAAGAGGGACCATTTCCTTGGAAAATGTAGTATTTTCTGATAGTCTGTTTAAAGGTGAACCACCAAGTTGATAGAAGAGGAAGGAGAGTTTGAGACATAACATTTCAAAAATATTTCCTTAAACATGGTCAACTATGTATGATCTGAAAATTGCTAAACTAACTTTTAGATGACAGCATGAAGCATAGGTCAGTTAAACTGAACAATTAATGAGCAACCAGTATAGCTATTTCATATGTTAAAAAAACTTGAAAGTTTTTCAAATGAGCAAATATACTCTATATTGTATATACATGCAAGAAATATAAAATCGTATATTGTATCTATATGTATATAGTATATATAATGGATATAATTTCTTATAATACATCTGATCATTTTTTGCTATTTTATACCTCTTGATTTGGGTTTTGCTCTTTTAAACAATTGATATGGACTAAAGCAACATAAAGAAACGTTATAATGTCATTATACACCACCCGATGTGTAGTTACCATGAACATTATCTTCAAGAAAGTGCATGGACAGGAGGACAGAGAGGGATTGTCATTATGTAGGTTTTACATCTGGATATGATATGCAGCTTCTCCCACACTGGAAAATGAGCTGCGTGCATAACCAATTGGAGGCGTGTAAAGAGTTAGGAGCAAGATCCCTGCTTTTGTGCATTTCACTCCATTTGTAGCCACTTGTTGCACTCCATCTGGAAAGAAAGAAGCCGCTGCAGGGCATGCGCCAGACCTGCGCTGGGCCGTCGCTTCCATTGTACGGAAGATGAACAGGCGGCGTTATTTTGGATCACATAGCAGCTTGTTCAAAAGCATCTTGCATTCCCCAGCTGTTCCACAACTTCTTCGCATATGGGAGAGAACTTGCCAGCTGCTGGGGCAACTGTACTTACATTTGCTGCCTTTGTTCAGTAAACAAGGAAGGTAAAAAGACAGGCGCCTTTGTTAAACTGTAGTCATTGTAAAGAGACTTACTTGTTTCTGTTATGTCAATGTTATTCCAGATATAGTCTGTCAGGGGAGGCGGTTTAAAAGGAAATGTCAGAATTAACATTTTTTTTTAATCCAAATAAATGTTATTTTAGGGTAACCGGCATGTATAGTTTTTCCATATGTAAAACCTTAGGCTGCTTTTATATTTCATTGCCTAACAAAGGAATGGATCTAATACCTAAAAATAAGTGTTTATTTAAAAATTGACATATGAATCAGATTTAATTCTATACATTTTTCTATTGCATGAAATGCATAAAAGTTACAATGTGTCTCCAGACAGTGCTTTTGTGTTTTCAGAACATTCTGTTGTTTTTGCATTTGTTGGAGCTGGAGGGTACCTTGCCCACATCCTTTGTTTAATCAATGAGAAAACTTCAGTTTATAAGAAGTTGTTGCTTATCCAAGGTGGTATGGCTAGTGGATTTAATTCAGCAAATCTTCTGTTGAGTGTTTATAGTGTGACAGGCCTGGGAAACCTATAAAGATGAATAAGGGTTGGGCCCAGCCCTGGATGGACTCGCAGTTCAGAAACAACAGACGTAAACAAATACTTCAAGTATGAGGGCTAGAGCAGAGGCAGCACCTTTTTGTTTTCAGAACAGTGTTGTAATCATGTCAGCTCAAATAAAGCCAGAGTAGCAAGTTGATGTGCCAGTAAGAATCGAGGAGCAGAATCTTGGGTACAGGAAGATAGAAGAGGCGTTATATGGTTTATCAAATTTTACGTACATGTCCTTAAAAAAGATTTCGTATTGTGCCTCTACCTAGGCCTGCTTGTCTCCCAGTTCCTGGCCAGCACCCCAAAACATCTTGCCTTCCTAATTATTGTGAATTGTGAATAAATGGCCCTCTAGTAGCTCCAGCATCAATCACAATCCTTTTTGGGATATTCAGTGAGTTTCAATCGCCTTTGTTCTATAAAAGGTTGTAAAATAAGCCATAATTGCTTGGGCATGTATAAAACCCTCTGACTCCAAATCTCCTCGAAATCTTAGGGGTTCCTTGTACTGGAAACTGCTGTTGCTTCAGATCCCCTGATGATTCACGGTTGCTGAGTTGCACCCACAATTCTAAGCCCTTAATCCACTTCTGGCCTCCATTTACACATTCATGTATCTCTTACTTCATCCCTTTTGTGCAGTAATAACAGATGTTTACAGTCTTTCAGTTTTCACTTGGTTTACTGACGTTTTCACTTGAGATGCTCAAGAACCCCGTTGGGTTCTTAGGGCTGGTGACCCAGGGTTTCCATCTTGGAGATGAGGAAACTGAGGCTCCACGGTTGAGAACCTTGCCTGCGCTAAGATTAGAACTAAGATCTCCTGATTGAAAATTCAACACTCCCCTCTGACTGGAAGGGTCAACTTATACGAAGCTGGAGGTTGAGTCTCATCTTCTTCTACAGCTTCATTGTACATGCCCTGACTTCAGTGATCCTCACTGGGTTTTTCACCCAGGACTTTCACTGGGATAAATCTCCCTTCCTTAGTACATTTCTTTGCACATTACAGTTCTCTTAGCATCTTATTCTTCTTTTACTTTTTTCTTTTTTAGAGACAGGGTCTTGCTCTGTTGCCCAGGCTGGAGTACAGCGGTGTGATCATAGCTTACTACAGCCTTGAACTCCTGGGCTCAAGGAATCCTCCCTCCTCAGCCTCCCAAGTAGCTGGGACTACAGGTGTGCACCACCACGCCCAGCTAATTTAAAAAAAATTATAGAGAAATGTTGCCCAGGCTGGTCTCGAGCTCCCTGGGCTCAAGTGATCCTTCTGCCTCAGCCTCTCTAAATGCTGGGATTATAGGTGAGAGAAACAGTGCCCAGCCATCATGTTACGTTTCTAAGTCTTGTCTCTCAAGAGCAATTGCCACCTTTTTTTTTTTTTTTTTTTTTTTTTTTGAGATGGAGTCTCACTCTGCCACCCAGGCTGGAGTGCAACGGTGCAATCTCGGCTCACTGCAACCTCTGCCTCCTGGGTTCAAGCGGTTCTCCCGCCTCAGCCTCCCAAGTAGCTGGAACTACAGGTGCGTGCCACCACACCCAGCTACTTTTTGTGTTTTTAGTAGAGATGGGGTTTCACTATGTTGGCCAGGCTGGTCTTGAACTCCTGACCTCATGATCTGCCCACCTCGGCCTCCCAAAGTGCTGGGATTACAGGTGTGAGCCACCGCACCCGGCCAATTGCCAACTTTTAAACACATACATCCCTCTGTCTTGCTACACACACCACATACATACACACACACACACACACACACACACACACACACACACACACACACCTCCATAAACACAGAGGCCCAGCATGGCTACTGTACCCACTATCCTTTTTCACCCAGCCCAGCTCCTTTCAGAAGATGACTTCACCTTTATACCATCAAACTTTTTCCTCCTGCTTAATGTCTTGGGATGCTACAAAATTCTTGATGGATGTCAGATATAGGTGGGCGGTCAAAGTTAGCCTGTTTCCTCTTTTTCCACAGGGGTACTGTTGGAAAATGATCCAGTTCCCCTTGATAGTGGTGACTATGTTGTCCCCCCAACATCATGGTCCTTGGGGTTAGAAATAAGAGCCATTTCCCTTAGGAGGAAGAAGGTGATGAGCTTAGTTGGGGAGGGGGACCTCCTTTGCTCAGGACTTCTCTAGTATTCCTTATGCAGCCATAGTACCACTCCCCACAAACATCCTAACACCGCCCCTCACCCCCAGACTTTGGCAGCTTTCTCCTCCTTCTAGGACCCTTTGTTTGTTTCCCTCTTTGACATTCTGCCCCTCCTGTTCCTGGTCTGTTGCTGTCGCCCAGCCACCTCCCGGCAGGCCTGGGTTTCAAGTGTCTTAGGGACACATTTGCCTTGGACGTCCTTATCTCCATCTGTCATTGGTGTTTAATTGCTTTCCCTCCACTCCCCAGCCTGCTCTTTGACTTGGGGTAAGTTTCCCCCTTGCGATCCTTTCTGATTACTTCTTTCAGCTTTCCTCTGGCCAATTCAGCTGCCCGTTCAGCTCCTCCATGCTGCTAGCTCACCTTTTGTGTCTGCAGTTTCCCAGGGTTTCCAATACATGGCTTTGTTTCTATCCAAGGCTGCTCTACTCTTTTTCCCTTCCTTCCTTTCCTTCCTCCCCCTTTTTGACAGTGCTTCTTGATGCTTGCATTCCTTTCCCTTTCATTTTTTTCTTCTTAACAATTTGCAAACCCTTCTCCCTTTGTTCTGAGTCAATCTCATTTGGCTGTCACCTTTGTTTAGTATAATAATGATATTGAATACCCTATCAAAGTTTTTATGTACAGGAAATTTCTGCTTTTAAAAAGGGTTCTTTGGAACTGCAACTTGGAAATACCAGTTTTGAAACTGGTTTTGAAAAGGTCTGAACTTTGGGGAAAATTGTTTGAAATTTATTTTGGCTTTCCTTGCCCGTGGCAGTACCTTGAAAGTAACTGAAACATAAGCTTGTTTTGGATAACCTTTCCCTTGCAAATGGAAATTGTACATACACACAGCAGAATTCACGTTGGCTTTTTTTTTCTTTTTCAAATCATATTTCTGGAAAATCTTGGAAGGGAGTTTGTGCTTTGTGGCCAGTCCAGGGTGGGTGTAAGTCATGAATGATTGGTCATATTAAGACTGTGCTAGACCCTTTTGATCAAAAGCCTCGCTAGGGATGCTTTCTACTTATGATCCTCTGTCCATGAGAATATACCAGAGAGTAGGTATTAGGAAATCCTTGACAGATTGACTTGATTAAGGAATCTTTACTTTTCCCCCAAAGCTGTGAACATAAAGGTTTACTCAGGGTTGGTAATAGAGTAGGATGGTAGTTGGAGGTTCTCGCCCTGCCTTGAGGTAGAGCTGCAGGCTACCGTTGGTCCTGAGCAGCCAGGGGGTCTAGCACTGTTTGCAGTGCACCCAGAGCCCTCCCACCTGGCACTTGTTCCCTGCAAAAATATAAAAATATTGCTCTTTTTGTGACTTTTTCTTTTTTTTTTTTTTTTGTGTTCACGACTTAATTCACATTTCTCCTTTCTCTAAGTTCTGCAATAAGTGAAAAGATGTTTACCCATGCCGAAATAGTCTGGTACTTTAATTTCCCAATTAAAAGGGAGCACAATTTTCTTGCCCCAGTAGCAGTGTTACTTATCCCAGGTGGTTTGGCTATTGCATGTAATTCTGCAAAGCTTCTGTTGCGTGTTTACAGTTTGACCGGCCTGAGGAATCTGTAAAGATGAATAATGGTTGGACTCATGGCACCCAGGGAGTTTGAGTCCAGCCCGGACAACATTTCTCTATAATTTTTTTTTTTTAATTAGCTGGTGTGGAGGTCCCCACTTATAGTCCCAGCTACTTGGGAGGCTGAGGAGGCAGAATTCCTTGAGCCCAGGAGTTCGAGGCCACAGTGAGCTATGATCACACCACTATACTCCAGCTAATGTTAGTACAGACTGGAGCACACAGACCAAGGAATCTTTGTTTCAGCAATCTTCTTTAATTGGTGTTACTGGACATAGAATCTTGATGTAACCATCAACTTCAGTTAACCTAGTCAAGTTATCCACCTATATTATTATGTTATTATTAGCATCTGAAGAAAGGTCCTTGAAATTAGAATTGTATAGAAACAAGAAGTAAAAGTAATCAAACTGCTGATTTTGTCTTTCCTTTGTTCAGCTAACATTTGATAACCACGTGGTGTGTGTGTGTATGCTTGTGCACGTGGATGTGTGTACCCATTTAATGCTTGTTATTGAGAATATAGAGTGAATCCTGCCTTCACGGAGCTTACAGTGGCGGATACATTTGTAAATAAACAAGCATAGGTGTTGTGATGGAAGCACATTCTAGATGTCATGGAGACATGAGGGGATGCCATGATGGCGGTGCTGCCACTGGTAGCATCATCTGTTGACTGTCCACTGTTTGCCAGGCCCTGTGCTGAGGGCTTTGAGGGCTTGACATGCTGTTCTTATTTTAATTAGCACTTTTTTTTTTGAGTTAGAGTCTTTCTTTATCTCCCAGGCCAGAGTGCAGCAGCGTGATCTTGGCTCACCGCAACCTCCACCTCCCGAGTTCAAGCCATTCTCCTGCCTCAGCCTCCCGAGTAGCTGGGATTACAGGCACCTGCCACCACAGCTGGCTAATTTTTGTATTTTTAGTAGAGGCGGGGTTTCATCATGTTGGCCAGTCTGGTCTCGAACTCCTGACCTCAAGTGATCCGCCCGCCTCGGCCTCCCAAAGTGCTGGGATTGCAGGCATGAGCCACCGTGCCCGGCCACAGTTAGCACAGCTTTTTAAGTGGAAGCCTTGATAGGTTAAGTACCTCAAATGAGGTATGACAATAAGTAGTAGAGTCTGGGTTTGGATTCAGATCCAAGGTCCTAAAGCTTTTGCCATAAATGACAGGATGTATCAGTAGCTTCCTAGGTTTACTTTTCCTCCTCTAACCATCCCTATCTCTGCACATAAAGAAGGAATAGGAAGCCTGGAGAGCCATTTGATATAAAAGATATATGTGGGGGCCAGGTGCAGTGGTGCATGCCTGTAATCCCAGCATGTTGGGAGGCTGAGGCAGGAGGATCACTTGAGCTCAGGAGTTTGAGACCAGCCTGGGCAACTTAGTAAGACCCCATCTCTACAAAAAATTTAAAAATTAGTCATGCATGGTGGCACACACCTGTAGTCCTAGATACTTGGGTGGCTGAAGTGGGAGGATCACATAAGCCCATGATGTCGAGGCTGTAGTGAGCTATGATTGCACCACTGCACTCCAGCCTGGGCCACAGAGCAAGACCTTGTTTCTAAAATAATTTTTTTATTTTTTAAAAAAGGATGTAGGTGAGGAGTTAGCCCTAGCCCCACTCTCTCCTATAAAGGATGTACCATGGGGATCTAGTCTAGACGGTTCCTCAGTGTCTGTAATTATGCATTTTCTCTGAGTATTCTTCATATTCAATGTTTTGCCAACTCTGTTTCTAAAGAGGCTTTCTTTTCCCTCTGCTGAGCGTTGCGGAAACTGGCCATCAGCCTGACTGAGCCCCAGAGCCCTCTGCCTCCTTTCTCAGTGCTGTGCATCGCAACCAGCAGCCTCTGGTTTCTGCCTTGATCCCCTCAATGGTGCTTGGTGAGGCAAGCAGCTCTATTTCAGGCCTGCAGAAGGGGAGAGTCACTTCCTCTTTAGGATCTGTTCTTTAAATGAACCCCTCGTGGAGGGGAAGCCTGCCTGCTAGGACACATCTGTGTGCATGAATACAGGCTCTCGGAAATCTCATCCTCACTTCAGCAGCCTGCTGGTTACACTGCTCTTATCTCCCCTTTCCTGCCTTTTAAGGATTGCAAGGCTCTGTGGTTCTGATAAGACCCAGTTATGACCTGAAGAATACTGGCTGGACAGATTGGAGGAAACCTATCACTCTTGAAGGGAAGGAGAGGCTCAAAGGGGACACGAGATCCTGCCCTTTTCCAAAAGGAACCCTTGAGGACACAAGAGCGGTCCTCTGCAGGATGAATCACCCTGAGGCTCTAGGAGAAACTTTGATAAGCATGCTCTGCCTTAGGGCTGTGCCTGTCCTGTTTCCTGCTCTTGATAGCAGGCAAGTAGAAAGACGGACCTCTGACCCTGAACTGTGTGCCATAATGAGGAAATTCCACCCTGAAAATTTAGAAATTTAGAGGTGAGCATGCATGCTTTTTTTTTTTTTTTTTTTTTTTTTGAGACCGGGTCTCACTCTGTAGCCCAGGCTGGAGTGCAGTGACATGATCTTGGCTCACCGCAACCTCTGCCTCCTGCAGAGAACCTTCAAGTGATTCTCATGCCTCAGCCTCCTGAGTAGCTGGGATTACAGGCATGTGCCACCACACCCAGCTAATTTTTGTATTTTTGGTGGAGACGGGGTTTCACCATGTTGACCAGGCTGGTCTCGAACTCCTGACTTCAAGCGATCCACCCACCTCAGCCTCCCAAAGTGCCGGGATTACAGGCGTGAGCCACCTTGCCCAGCTGCTCATCAGTTTTTAAGTCCAAAAATAAGGCTAAGAACTTCCTGGAAAAATTGATAGAACATGAACTCAAATGAAGAGACAGCTTACTTCAACCAGTGTTAGATGATGTCCATCCACTTCCTAAAAATGAATTCGGTATTAGACTTTGAAATAGGATTTATATATTTTTTTTCATTCTGACCCCAGAATTATCCAATTATTTTTTAAAAAATAGTCACCATCATATATCCTGACACTGAGTTTCCAGGAAAAAGAAAAATCATATTATATGCTTGAGAAGAAAATTACATGGTTGGAAGATGTTTTGGTTGATTATTTGTATAAACCCAACATCTGTGTGTATGTGTGTGTGTGTGTGTGTGTGTGTGTTTTAAATCCTCATAAAAAAAGAATGAAAAGCTTTCATTGCATGGCTCTTTTTTTTTTCTATACACTTGCTTCTCACAGTGTTGGAAGAAGTCACAAGTTAGTTATAGCAGGCAGTGAAAGCAGTTTATGTTTTTCCATGAACAAATTGGTTCCATGTCTTGTATTTAGGCTTCTTGAAAAAAAAAAAAAGAGAGAAAACAAAAAACTCAGAAGAAACTGCAAGCTTATTGTGGAAAACTCACTTTCATTTTGAGCACAGATACTGGTTCTAGGTTCAAATAGTAGCATCCTTTATCTGTTTGCAGAACTTGGTAGTTCTACAATTTATAAACCCGTTCATACTTCCCTTGCCCCATACCCAAGTCTCTCTAAACACAATGTCTTCTCCATTATTTTCCATTTCAGCTAGAAGTTGGTTTTGAAAAGTTAAGTGCTGTGTTTGCATAATCTTCACCCAACCCTTTTTCTCCTCCAAACTTTTTATCTTGTTTGGTTGCCAAATTCACACGCATTGCTTGTAGTTACCCAACAATGGCTTTTGTTTCATTTTTTCATATGTTCTCAATGGTTTTCCCACAATTTTTGATTCTAGGGACAACTAGGGAGAGTTCATGAGTTGCAGAAACAAGGAAAGTTGCCTCCATTAATTGTAGGCTTACTGAATTAGTTACCATCACCAAGTATAGGTAAATAGGAGAATGACTATTTAAAAGATGAAAAGAATAGATTTCATAGTAAGAGAGAAGTTTCCTCTCTCAAGATATTCCTTCTTCTTCCTCATTTTCCTCCTCCTATTATATAATAATAATTATTATTATTCCCTGAAGCATTGTTCATAGTCTGGTGGGACAAACAGTTGTTGCTAAGAGTAATGCCTTCTTAACAGTGAATACCGAAAGTTTCAGTTCAAGTACTAGAAAGTGACTTGTCATGAATAATCACAGTTTAAATTTAAGTGATGCTTAGTTATACATTTATTTTTTATGTTTTTGAGACAGGATCTCACTCCGTAACCCAGGCTAGAGTGCAATAGCACGATCCCAGCTCACTGCAACCTCTGCCTCCTGGGCTCAAGTAATCCTTTCATCTTAGCCTCCCAGTAACTGAGATACATTTTTAATTTTTTGTTTTTTAACTTTTTGGCCAGTGGCTGGCTAATTTTTTGAAGAGACAAGGTCTCACTATATTGCTCAGGCTGGTCTCAAATTCCTGGGCTCAGCCAATCCTTCTGCCTCAGCCTTTCAAAGTGTTGAGATTATAGGCATGAGCCACCACGCCTACATTTATAAATATTTATGGAGGACTTTTATGTACAGGGCAGTCTGCCGGGATTTTCACTTATCTAATGTCATTTAATCACAAGTACCACGTGAAGTAGGTAGTATTACTCCCATTTCACAGATGAGCAACATCAAGGCTTGAGAGGAAAAATGATTGGCCAGAGTCATGTATCTAGGAGTGACAGGATTGAGATTTAAATCAAGATCTTCTGATTCCAGGGTCACATTCACTTCCCAGCCAATAAGTAAACGGCAGTGATGTCACCATGGAGGTCCTATGTGTGTGTAACAGTGGATTCTGGAACTCAGCTTGAAAGCTCATGCAGTAGAATTTTAAGAACAAAACTGTCCAATTAGGGTTGGAGTTTTTAGTGCCCCTACATTGGATTTAGAGGCTAGAATTCAAGCATCTGCCTGCTTTTTGCTAAAAATGTTTATTGTACAAATAAATCTGTACCCAACTCCTGAAAACACCAGGTTTTTATTTTTAAATGTGCACAACTTCCAAAGGCCGGTTTGGTGCTGAATTGGAAAGGATTCTAGTTCGCAAAACCTGGAAAATGACCATTACTCTTGTTTTCTTTCTTTCGTTCTTTTTCTTTAAACAGTTGTATTGAGGTATAATATTGCCATGTTTTCTTAACCTAGCTTTTTGGAAGAAAGTTTGGGTCAATGTTAAGCCAAAATTTCTTAACTTCTAGGGCTTTTTGATATGGTCTTGCATAAGTTTCTCAAACTCTCACTTTTTTATTACTCCCAGATAAATCTTTTCAGTAGAAATTTGGGAAATTTTTGCATTTTAAAAACTCGTACTTGCTGATGCAGTTTTTTTTCTTTCTTTTCTTTCTTTCTTTTTTTTTTTTTTTTTAAGACAGAGTCTCACTCTGTCACCCAGGCTGGAGTGCAGTCACTGCAACCTCCACCTCCTGGGTTCAAACGATTCTCTGGCCTCAGCCTCCCCAGTAGCTGGAATTACAGATGCGCACCACCACGTCTGGCTAATTTTTGTATTTTTAGCAGAGACAGGGTTCTGCTATGTTGGCCAAGCTGGTCTCGAACTCCTGACCAAAGGTCATCCGCCTGCCTCGGCCTCCCAAAGTGCTGAGATTATAAGCGTGAGCCACCAGCACCCGGCCTGATTTATTTTTAAGGTTAGCTTTCCTGAAAATGCCTTCTTCTCTAACTCCTGGTTAGCCTGCAAGCCAGACAAAATAGCACTAGTTACGATGATACCAGTAAGATGTCAAAATAAAACTTTGCCACAAGTCAACATGGATATGGACTGCTTATTAGTATAAAGCAGGGATCCCCAGCAGTATTGAAATATGTGGCTTTGTAAATTTGTCTGTTTCCTTGTGCAGTTCTGTCAGTTTTTGCTTCATGTATTTGGATGCATAGCTATTATTAAGGTGAATAAACCCTTAGGATCCTTATGTCCCCTTGAAGAACTGGTGACTTTATCATTATGAAATGACCTTCTTTAGACCAGCTGATATTCTTTGCTGTAAATTCTACTTGTTATTTATAAAGCCACTTCAGCTTTTTTTTTTTTGGATTGGTGTTAGCATAGTATAACTTTTTCCATCCTTTTAACCCTTTTGTGGCTTTATTTAAAGTGCTTTTTTTTTGTAGGCAGTATACAGTTGTATCTTTTTTCCCCAATATGAAAATTAGTCTTTTAATTGGTATATTTAGATTACTTACGTTTAATGTAACTATCAATATAGTAATTTTAAATCTGTCATCTTACTGTATGTGTTCTATGTATCTTGTCTATTCTTTATTCCCTTTTCCCTGGTTTCTCTGCCTTCTTTTGGATTGAGGTGTTTTTTTGTTTGTTTGTTTGTTTGTTTTTGTAATGATTCCATTTGTCTCCTTTGTTGGCTAATTAGCTATATGTCTTTGTTTTGTTATTTTGTGGTTGCTTTAAGATTTACAGTATAATCTGGGCATAGGGGCTCACACTTGTAATCTTAGCACTTTGGGAGGCTGAGGCGGGTGGATTGCTTGAGGCCAGGAGTTTGAGACCAACCTGGCCAACATGGCAAAAACCCCATCTCTTCTAAAAATACAAAAATTAGTGGGTTGTGGTGGCACATGCCTGTAGTCCCAGCTACTCAGGAGGCCGAGGCATGAGAATCACCTGAATCCAGGAGGCAGAGGTTGCAGTGAGACGAGATCACACCACTACACTCCAGCCTGGGCACAGAGCAAGACTGTGTCTCAAAAAACAAACCAACAAACTATTTAGAGTATACATCTTTAAGTTATCATAGTCTACCTTTAAGTGATATTATATCACTTCACATATCATATAAGAACATTACAATAGGATACTTCCATCTTGGCCTTTGTATTGTTGTACAGTTTACTTTTACATATGTGATTAACTCCATATAAGTTATTATTGTTTGAGAAGTCACTTCTCTTTTAAAAGCTTAAATAATAAGGAGAAAGCTCTTATGTATTTACCCAGGTAGTAACTATTTCCACTGTTCTTTATTCCTTTGTGTATATCCATATTTCTACCTGATTATTTTTTCTACTTAAAATAATTTACTTTAGCATTTTTTGTTATGTAGGACTTCTGGTGATGAATTCATTCCATTTTTATATGTCTGATAAATCCTTATTTTGCCTTTATTTTTATAAGTACCATGTGCTAACTAGTTGTATAATTGGAGCTACAGTTTTATTTTTGGAAGCTATTTTTGCTGGGTATAGAATTATAGATTGACAATTTTTTCTTCTTAGTTTATGAAAGATTTTGCTTCACTATTTTACACTTGCCTTGCTTTTGACATAAAATCTGCTATCATTCTTACCTTCTTTTGTTTATGTGATATGTCCTTTTTTTCTAATTGCATTTAGTATTTTTATTTTTTAAAAAGTGAAGTCTCACTGTGTCATCCAGGGCAGAGTGCAGTGGTGCAGTCATAGCCCACTGTAGCCTCAAACTCTTGGGCTCAGTCTTCCTGCCTCAGCCTCCCGAGCAACTGGGACTACAGGCACATGCCACCACGCCCAGCTGCTTTTAAGATGTTTTGTTTGTTCCTGGTTTTAAGCAATTTGCAATGTGCTTTGATATACGTTAGTTTATATTTCTTGTGCTTGGAATTAAATGAGCTCCTTGGATCTTTGGGTTTATATTTTTATTAGGTTTGGCATAATTTTTCAGCCATTATTTCTTTAAATATCATTTTCTATCCCTCTGTGCCCCCCATGTGGAATCCAATTACATGTGTTTAGGCTGCTTAAAGTTGTCTCCACAGCTCACTCATGCTTTGTTCATTTTTTTTAAACTTTCTTTTCTGTTTTTCATTTTGGATATTTCTATTGCTATGTCTTCAAGTTCAATAGTCTTTTCTTCTGAAATGTCTACCTGCTATTAATCCTATCCAGTCTACTGTTCATCTCGCACATTGTAGATATTATTTCTAGAAA
Source organism: Homo sapiens (assembly GCF_000001405.40). Classification (NCBI taxonomy): domain Eukaryota; kingdom Metazoa; phylum Chordata; class Mammalia; order Primates; family Hominidae; genus Homo; species Homo sapiens. The sequence continues at coordinate 29,719,646 of NC_000010.11, read as the reverse complement.
TTTGATTTGTGTTTTTATATATTCATATCTCTGCCTAAAATCTTGAATATTTGTCCTTGTCTGCTAATTCTAATACCTTTCTTAACTCTTGGTCAGTTTCAGTTGATTGACATTGCTCCTCGTTGTGGGTTGTATTTTCCTGCCTTTTTGCATGCCTGGTAATTTTTGACAGGATGCCAGACATTGCAATGTTATCTTCTGGGGGGATGGAAATATTGTTGAGCTTTGTTTTGGGATGTAGATAAATTACTTGGAGACAGTTGATTCTTTTGTCTTACTTTCAAGATTTATTAGGTAGGAGCAGTGCTAATTAGACAGGGATAATTATTTCTTAACCCGTTTATACCGAGTGTTCCATAATTGGAACACTAAGCTTGTGGGAGTTATTTATATCCTATTGCTTAAGGTCATCACCAAGGTCTGATTTCTCACACACAAAAAATTTGCAACCTCCAGCATAAATGGGTTAAGCAACATCTTTCTGAGTACCCAGTGCTTGTGAATTATGAGTTTTTCCATTCTTTTTGTTTGTTTGTTTTGAGACAGAGTCACACTCTGTCATCCAGGCTGGAGTGCAGTGGCACGATCTCAGCTCACCGCAACCTCCACCTCCTGGGTTTAAGCAATTCTCCTGCCAGCCTCCCAAGTAGCTGGGATGACAGGCACTTTCTACCATGCCTGGCTAATTTTTGTATTTTTAGTAGAGACAGGGTTTCACCATGTTGGCCAGGCTGGTCTTAAACTCTCGACCTCAGGTAAACTGCCCACCTCGGCCTCCCAAAGTGCTGGGATTACAAGCATGAGCCACCATGGCTGGCTGAGTTTTTCCATTCTATCAGGTGGAAACAGACACTGTTTTGCATCAGTACCAGACACTGTTATCTCCAATCTTTTCTAGTGTTCCCCCACCCCCTCAGGCACATGTAGTTTGCTCAGAAACATGCACTGACTACTCAAAGATAAATCTCTGGACTTCTCTGTGTAGTTCTCTCCTATTTGGTACTTGGTCCTGCAAATTCTAATGGCCTGGGTCTACCCCAGATTCTCGGCTCTGGGAGTCTGCTGGGTGATAACCTAGGGCGGTCATATTGCCTAGAATCTGAAAATTCAGATTCTGTTCAGTAGGTTTTTGCTAGGGTCTGAGACTCTACATTTCTAAGAAACTTTTAGATGCTGTCAATGCTCTGGAAAGACTACTTCGAGTAGCCAGGGTCCCTAGATATTCAACAGATATGTAATGTAAACCACATATGTAATTTTACATTTCCTAGTAATCGCATTAAGAAAATTAAAAAGAAACAGGCGAATTTTTTTTTTTTTTGAGACGGAGTCTTGCTCTGTTGCCCAGGCTGGAGTGCAGTGGCGCGATCTCGGCTCACTGCAACCTCCACCTCCTGGGTTCAAGCGATTCTCCTGCCTCAGCCTCCCGAGCAGCTGGATCTACAGCGATGTGCCACCACGCCTGGCTAATTTTTGTATTTTTAGTAGAAACGGGATTTCACCATGTTAGCCAGGATGGTCTCCATCTCCTGACCTCATGATCCACCCGCCTCGGCCTCCCAAAGTGCTGGGATTACAGGTGTGAGCCACTGCGCCTGGCCACGAAACAGGTGAAATTAATTTAATTATATATTTTCTTTAACTCAGTCTACCCAAAATGTTATTTCAACATGTAATCAATGTAAAAATATTAATGAGACATTTTTTCTTAAATTTTATAGTAAGTCTTAAAATTTGATATGTATGTTATAGCTATCAGATACTACATTTTTATCTGAAATACTTGGTCTATATTTAGCTTTTATAAAATTTATAGTTGAAAAAGTATATTTGTTAACCAAACCCCAAATATACAAGTTCTCCAGCAACTGAACTCAGCATCAAAAAATCATTCTCCACGATATTCGCATTCAACTTGACAAAACTGGTTCATCTTTTTTAGAATAATTAATTTGACTTTTTGAAACAAAAAATATCAGTTTCAAAGCTACATCTGTTCAACTTAGGCAAATTCACTAACTCTTATGCCAGCTCAGAATTGTTGACATTAAATTCAAAGGAATATTGCAAAAATGGAAAAACTAACTCTAAATTTATCAATATCAACAAAGTATTCCCCAACATTTTCTTATGGATTTTGAAGGCAATTTATATAATGCTTTTGATTTCAGTGAAGTCATCCACATATTGATTCAAGTTACAAAAATGTATGAAACCATTATTTTTTACTTCTCTTATGAAAAATGTCAATTTTGACATAAATTCTCCTGCCTCTCTAGCTAGGTCATAAGTAAGTTTTTCCTTTCCTTGAAACTTTAAATTTAGCTCTTTCATATATAGTGTGTGATATCTGTGAAAAAAAACATAAATCACACTGCCTATTTTTTTTTTTTTTTTTTTTTTTTTTTTTTTTTGAGAGAGAGTCTTGCTCTGTCGCCCAGGCTTGAGTGCAGTGGCGTGATCTCGGCTCACTGCAAGCTCCGCCTCCCGGGTTCACGCCATTCTCCTGCCTCAGCCTCCCGAGTAGCTGGGACCACAGGGGCCCCCCACCACGCCCGGCTAATTTTTGTTTTTTGCATTTTTAGTAGACAGAGTTTCACCATGTTAGCCAGGATGGTCTCGATCTCTGACCTTGTGATCCACCCGCCTTGGCCTCCCAAAGTGCTGGGATTACAGGCGTGAGCCACGGCTCCCAGCCCACAGTGCCTATTTTTGTCTTCATTTCTTGCTTCAGCAAGCATTCTTTTTTTGTAAAGAAAATCCTGCATTGTAGTTAACTGTACAGTGAATGTTTGTAAAAATTCTTCTATGATTCAACCAGAGATCATTGGCAAAGAACACATGATCAATCATTTCTGGTTTTCTATTTCTTTCAGCAGTTCCATAAACTGCTTCAAGAATCCAAGATGTTTTATAACTGGCCAGAGTTATGAGCTGAGATGTAAAAAATCATTAAAACAATTTTTTTGGCCATTCTTATTTTGAGTGACTAATTTCATTGATCTGTTTTTGACTGTCGAGGGGAGATGGCATCAAATTCATTATGTTTTTGCTGAAATTGTCTGTTAATATTTTCTGCTTTATTATCTTTGACTTTTTATGTAACACACAGCTTTCTCCTTTTGCTCTGCCACAGCAAGTTATAATTGCCATTGATTATGTTGCTTTTTGCTTACCTTCCTCTCCTGTCTCTTTTTTTCTTGACTGTTCTGATTGTATTATTAATTTCTGTGTCTCCACTGGATTTTGTATCAGTCCTAAGGCTTTGGAAAGTGTCTCTGTGTTAGGACTGCTACAAAATTTTCAAAGTGATAAATTAGAAAAATTGGCCATATTTATTTTATAAACTAGAGAAACAATGTAATTATATCTTAATTAAAACAAGTATTTTGATATAATTACCAATTATGATTTACATAGTTATCACCATAACTTGTGCTGTCTGTGTAAAATATTCATATGAACACATTACAGTGTTACATCAGTGTTTAGAAAAAAACATTTAAATGGAAACACTTTATTGACACCAAGTAGATCAGTGATGCTTTCCTTTGTAGACTCATCTGCTACAATGCACCAAATAATATTTTAAGCAATATAGTATTTAAAGTAAAATGTAGTTCTACCAAAGCAATGCATTAATGTTTAATGGAACATGTTTTACATTGCTTCAGTTTTTACATTTAAATAAAATCATGTGAAATTAATTAAAAGTTGACATTCAGTTCCTCAGTTGCACTCACCAACTTAAGTAGCCATGTGTGCCCATTGGTTCTTGTATTGGACAGCACAGGCCAGGGGCTACTTGCATTTGAACCTAGGAACCTTGTATCAATAACTAGATGGTTGCTCACTTTTCTTGCCCAGCAACTACATCTTCCTTGCCTTGTCCCATGGCACTCAGGAATTTTAGGAGTTTGGCAAATAAAGTCTTGTACAATTAAGTGGTCTCTGAAGGTCTCTTGATGACCATGACTCTTGGACAACTTCCCACTGTGCTAGGCCATTAGGACAAGTCTGGGGACAACTTCTGACTCCAGGGACAGTCTGTGGGATGTAATAGGGATTAGCTTGGGACAAGGCCAAGGCAGAGTTTATAGGTCAACTGCAGCTACTCTTCCTCTTCCCATGGGTTACTAACCAATGACTCAAGAGCAATCTGGCTTGATCTTAGTTGGATGGGAATGTTGTCGGCAGAGGTAGCATTCTCATTGTTCTGGAAGGAGCAGGTTTCATTTTCACACCAATCACGAGAGTGTTAGGGGAAAGCTGTCCCTTAGCTAAGTTGGCTAGGAAGGTTTTCAAAAATCCATCTCAATTAATCATCATAGGCTATGAAATGACACCTGAAAAATATGAAGAAAATGGAATGGGTGGTTTGTGTGTTGAATACAAAATAATGATATAAAGCATTCTAGAATTCAGAAACCAACTTATGAACCAAGATGTTATTTTCAGAGTGGATATACTCACCTTGCCTGGACCCTGATTAAACTCCTCCTCTTTTTTTGTTTAAAGTTCAATTTATATTCTGACCGTTTTCTTTGTTTAGAGTTATATTGCTTTGGTTCATATTTTTGTACTGCCTTCACAAAATATTAGGGGTGTTTACTTAGATCTTAGGTTTCTCAAGTCTTTTTCTTCCTTCCTTCCTTCTCTTTTTTCTTTTCTTTTTCTTCTTTTTTTTTTTTTTTTTTTAATTTCAGACAAGGTCTTTCTTTGTTACCCAGGCAGGAGTGCAGTGGTGCAGTCTCAACCTCCTAGGCTCAAGTGACCCTCCCACCTCAGCCTCCTGAGTAGCTGGGACCACAGCTGTGTGCCACCATGCCCAGCTAATTTTTAATTATTTTGTAGAGATGGGCTCTCACCATGTTCCCAAGGCTGGTCTTGAACTCCTGAGCTCAAGCGATCCTCCCACCTCAGCATCCCAAAGAGCTGGGATTACAGGCATGAGTCACCACGCCCGGCCAAGCCTTTTTCTTTTGTCTCTGATCCTCCTAAACTTTCTTTTATCTCCAAAACTCTTGCTCTGTGCTTTGTACACTGCTGCATGTTCAGATAGAGCTTAATCTGTACTTACTCATCACTGATGATTCATAAAATACAAAGTGTGCTTTAGTAACACTGAATAGTATAGTCTAGAATCCTAAAAAAGTTGAGAAAAAGACTTTGTTCTCCTTATTTTCTATTTTTTTCTATTGCTCCACCTTGTATTAGAAATTAGGAAAGACTCGTGGTGAATGTGTCCAATCAGTTCACCTCACCTCATGTTGTTTCTAAATAAAATAATAAAATCTGAACCCATAGTCTTCGCCTTTTTTGAGGTTTAAGTATTGGTTCATCTATGTCGTTATGTAATTTCAAAGTGCCTTCCGGAAAATCCCTCGGGATGGAGATGACTCAGGATAGCTTTGCACTGGTTTGTTATGGGGCCATCTAAATGAAGGAATGGCCCTCTGAAATGGCAGCAACAACCCTAAGCTGCCTGGGTTCCAGTCCCAGTTCTGACACCGTCTAGGTGAGTAGCCTCAGCCAAGTAACTTCCCACTCTCTAAACCTCATTTTTCTGTCTATACAAGGTAGGAATTAGATGATGACATTGCTTCCCAAGCCTTCCCACCCAACACTAGTGGCCCTTGAGATATCATTGATTGGGTGCTTCTCCAGTATATCCATGGAAATTGGAGAAATGCTGTGTGCTGAATTCTATTCCATATTTGGCTTCCAAAAGCTCATAAGCACATTAGAGACTGCAAGAAGCCTTGAAGTAAAGAAATCTGCTTAACATTTTTAAACCTAGCATTTTCTAAACTCTTTGAACTGGAAACTCTCCCTCTTTTGGAGGAAAAGCTTCAAGTATATTGGAGTATCCTGTAGTACATAGTTTGGGAAATGCTGGAATAGATCAGTGGTCGGCAAATAGCAGCCTGCAGGCCAAATCCCTCTTGCCACCTGTTGTGTAAATAAAGTTTTATTGGAACACAGCTACACTCATTCATTTATGAATTGTCTATTTGCCCCAGAATAGCCAAGTTGCAGAGTTGTGACAGAGACCTGTATGGCCCATACTGCCAAAAATATATTTACCATCTGGTTATTTACAGAAAAAAAAAATTTGCTGACTCCTACACACAGGATTATTTTCAAAGTGATTCATGAACATGGCTGAAAAAATCAGATCGTGGAGGAATGCTGTAAATGAAAAGCAATAGCTTTGTTCCAGAAGCAACACATTTTTAATGGTTCCTGTTAAAATTATTTTAGTGGTTATTACTAATAGTTGTATAACTCCTCACTCAGCCGTTTCTGATGTATGTGCTTTGGGTTGCCTCTGTTTGATAGACCACGTTCACATGCACACACACACACACACACACACACACAGAGGCATGTACAACTTCTTAGTTTTATCAGTACATGAATTCCTCTCTTGATTACCACTGCAGTTTTTTTTTTTCTTTTTTCTTTTTTGAGATGGACTGTCACTCTGTCGCTTAGGCTGGAGTGCAGTGGTGCCACCTTGGCTCACTGCAACTGCCTCCCAGATTCAAGCAATTCTCCTACCTCAGCTTCCTGAGTAGCTGGGATTATAGGTGCCCGCCACCACACCCAGCTAATTCTTTTGTATTTTTAGTAGAGACGGGGTTTCACCATGTTGGCCAGGCTGGTCTCGAACTCCTGATCTCAAGTGATCCACCTGCCTCAGCCTCCCAAAGTGCTGGGATTACAGGCCTGAGCCACCGTGCCCAGCCCTACCATTGCAGTTTTAATGTTCATAAACCTCTATATCTTGTTGCATTTATTTCCTACCTATTAGGTGCCAAATTTTATAAGATGAGGGGACTAGTACCACTAACCTTCCGCATTCCTCTCTTTTCCTGTTGTCCATCTTTCAGCTTTTCTCAGCTATGTCTTTATTTTTACAGTGTTGAGTCTGATAACATTTGCCTTCTCTATCTGGAAATATTTTCCTTGCATTGCCCATTGATTGAGTCTAAAGGTTGCAAGCTGTCTTAGTCCCTTTAGTGTTGCTATAAAGGAATACCTGAGGTTGGGTAATTTATAAAGAAGAGTTTTATTTGGCTCACGATTCTGCTGCTGGAAGATTGGGCATCTGGGGAAAGCCTCAGGCTGCTTCCACATATACTGAAAGGCAGAGAGGAGCTGGCATGTGCAGAGATCAGATAGCGAGAGAGAAGGCAAGAGAGAGAGGAAGAAGGTCCCAGGCTCTTTCTAACAACCAGCTAAGGTCGCAGGCTCTTTCTAACAACCAGCTCTCCTGGGAACTAATAGAGCAAAAATTCACTCACTGCCTCCCCGCCCCCCAGAAAGAGCATTAATCTATTCATGAGGAATCCACGCCCATGACCTAAACACCTGCCATTAGGCACCGCCTCCAACATAGAGGATCAGATTTCAACAATGTTCCAAAGGGTCGAATATCCAAACCGCAGCACAAGCCAATGAGCAGTGTTAATGTAAATACTGTCTGTAGAAGAGCCAAGCAGTGCTTGCTGTGATTATACTTCCCTCTCTATAATTCTAATATCACAACTGCAGCATCACTCAAAATAGATAGTTCTTAATATCTTTTTCTTTAAAATTTTTTAAATTTTTATATTTTTATTAAAATATATAAAAAATATTGAACACGTCATGAATTTGCATGTCATCCTTGCGCAGGGGCCATGCTGATCTTCCAATTTTAGTATATCATTCCAATTTTAGTACATGTACTGTAATCCACCTGCCTTGACCTCCCAAAGTGCTGGAATTACAGGCATGTGCCACCGTGCCCAGCTGCTCTAATATCTTTTCCAATTGAGTTCATTCTGCTAATTTTTACCAGTTGCTCTAAATCATGGCACTTTTTTTTTTTTTCCTTGAGACAGAGTCTCACTTTGTGTCACCCAGGCTGGAGTGTAATGGCGTGATCTCGGCTCACTGCAACCTCTACCTCCCGAGTTCAAGTGATTTTTGTGCCTCAGCCTCCTGAGTAGTTGGGATTACAGGGTGCACCACCACACTTGGCTAATTTTTGCATTTTTAGTATAAACGGAGTTTCACCATGTTGGCCAGGCTGGTCTGGAACCCCTGACCTCAGGTGATCTGCCCACCTTGGCCTCCCAAAGTGCTGGGATTACAGGCGTGAGTAGTGTCACCTGTCCAGTCATGGCGCATTTGAACCATGTCTCTCCTGCTTTTTGTTGGTGGCATTTGTTTTCCCTTGAGGTTTATTTATTTATTGAGACGTAGTCTTGCTCTGTCACCCAGGCTGGAGTGCAGTGGCACGATCTCACCACAGTACAATTTCCACCTCCCAGGTTCAAGTGGTTCTCCTGCCTCAGTCTCCACAGTAGCTGGGACCACCGGCGTGCGTCACCATGCCCAGCTAATTTTTGTATTTTTAGTAGAGACAGGGTTTCACCATGTTGTCCAGGCTTGTCTCGAACTCCTGACTTCAGGTGATCTGCCCTCCTCAGCCTCCCAAAGTGCTGGGATTACAGGCATGAGTCGCCATTCTGGCCCCCTTGAATTTTTTTATTGGTTTGTTTTTTTGGTGTGTGTGCCTTGTTGAGGGAAGAATTGTGCCTCCTTGACTATTTCCCTCAAATCCTCTAGTTTTTAACGCATTTGTCTATTGCCTGAAATAAATGCATTCTTTTTGAAGACATTCTTTGCGGATTCCACTCACTGATGTCCTCATGGCTTCCTAGACTTGCAGTTGTTAATTTTCCTTAAATTCAAGGCTTTGTTCTACCATGTGTTGGATGCCACATCTCTTTGCCTGTGTTTTACATTGATTTTTTTTGAAATATATTTAATAGTCTTAAGTGATTTATTCTGATTGAGGCTCACTTTCTGAGTCTTACGTGTTTGAAAATGTCTTTACTATGATTGGTATGGGTTTCTAGGCTTGAAATAAATTTTTCTTTAACCTTCAAAAATCTTGCTATATTGTTGCAGATTTGAAAAGGCACATGCTGGTCTGTGTTTGTTATTAACTGACTCTTTTTTCCTTTTTGAAAGCTACTAGAGTTTCTTTCTCTTTATTCCTCAATATTCTGCAATAATTATTAATACAATTATATAGTAATTTGACAGTGAGATGTCTAAATGTGAGTCTTTGCTCATTTATTGAGTTTGGTAGTCAGTGGGTGTATCAGTCAGGTTCTCTTCACACAAAAATCACACAGATTTGAACAGGGAAACTTTAAACAATCATTGATTTGTAGCAGGGGATTAACTACTAAAAGGAAAAGAGAGCTGTAAAGAATACAGGAATGGTTGGCTGGGCGTGGTGGCTCACGCCTATAATCCCGACACTTTGGGAGGAGGCCAAGGTGGGCAGATCAATTGAGCCCAGGTGTTTGAGACTAGCCTGGGCAATATAGTGAAACCCTGTCTCTACGAAAAATTAAAAAGGTAGCCGGGCATGGTGGCGCGCACCTGTAGTCCCACGTACTCAGGAAGCTGAGGTGGGAGGATTGCTTGAGCTCAGGAGTTTGAGGCTGCAGTGTGCCATGATCACACTCCAGCCTAGGCAACAGAGTGAGACCCTGCCTCAAAAAAAAAAAAAAATTAAGAAAGAATGTGAGTGACACATACATTGAGCAGCCCCTCCCTCTAGGGCTGAGGCAAGATCGAGTTCAGAAGTGGCTGCCTCTCGCGCACCCCCAAATCTGAAATTCAGATCTCAGGGCATGGTTCCGTGGCCCATTGAGGCAGCACAGTCTGGGGAGGAGCTGCATGCTAGCCCATGTGGGATACCGCCTGCTCTGGTGTTTAAAAAACTGCTAGAAACCACCCACCCACTGGGTGCCTGCAAGCCTTGCTGGGAGCCGGCTGGGTGCTGGGGGTACTCACTGGATACCTGCTCACAGGTTTGCTCTACTGAACCTTGTGAGGATGCTGCCTGCTGGGGTGTCTGCCAGACTTACCGGGAACCACCTGCAGGGTGCTGCCGAAACTCACTGGGGTGACGCCCCTGGGTATTCCACAGGCTGCTAGCTGCTGCAGGCACAAGCTGGTGAGAGCATACCCCATAGGAGAAAAGTCGCTTCCTCCTGCACGACTTCTCCAGCACTCTCAACCAGCAAAGCTTAACCTGATGTCAGCTGGCAAAGGAGAGACATTGACCACGTCCAGCTCCCGTAATTCAAAGGAAGGCAAAGAAGGGTATCTGCAGCTGAGAGGTAACACATGGATAAACAGCAAACATCTTGAAGTCTAAGCTTGTCACCTTAGCTCTGGGGAGTTTTCTTGTACAGGTTAAGCATCCCTAATTCAAACATTTGAAATGCTCTGAAATCCGAAACTTTTTGAGTGCCAACATGACACGACACTCAAAGGTTATGCTCATTGGAGCACTTAGGGTGTCAGAGTTTTGGATTAGAGATGCTCAGCTGGTAAGTACAATGTAAGTATTCCAGAATCCAAAAACGTCTGAAATCTGAAACACTTCTGGTCTCAAGCATTTTGGATAAGGGGTACTCAAGCTGTATTATTTCTTTGATAATTTCTTCCTTTTCCCCCTGCCCCATATTTTTCTGTGGTTTTTAGAACTCTGATTGGTCAAATGTTAGGCTTCTTCGGTTCCTTCTCTGGCTTTTTAATCTTTTCTTCAATTTTTTGTGTTTTTATTCTTTTGCTTTGTGTTCTGGGAGACTTCCCTAACATTATCTTTGTACTGTTCTATTGAACTTTTCATTGTGTAATCATCTTTTAAAATTCTTTCGGCAGGTTTTTTGTTTGATTTTTTTGTTGTTGTTGAGTTTGTTTTTGTTCTATTGGCTGTTTTGTTTTCTTTGCTTTTTCTTGTGTTTTTCTCAGTAGAGCAAACCTGTGAACAGATCTCCAGTGAGCTCCAGTGAGCTCCACCCACACCCAGCAGGCTTCCCAGCAAGGCATGCACACTGTATACTTTTTATAGCATTCTGCATTGTTTTTCTTTTATATTTGCATGTTTTATGGTTATATTCATCTTCCAGAAATGTCAAAATCTTTTGTTTTCTTTTTCTTTTCTTAAATTTTTTGAGACGGAGTTGCCCAGGCTGGAGTGTAGTGGCGCAATCTCGGCTCACTGCAACCTCTGCCTCCCAGGTTCAAGCAATTTTCCTGCCTTAGCCACCCAAGTAGCTGGGATTACAGGCGCCCGCCACCACGCCTGGCTAATTTTTGTATTTTTAGTAAAGACAGGGTTTCACCATGTTGGCCAGGCTGGTCTTGAACTCCTGACCTCAGGTGATCCGCCCACCTCGGCCTCCCAAAGTGCTGGGATTACAGGCGTGAGCTAACGCACGTGGCCAAAATCTTTTGTTTTCTGATGACTGATTATTTTCTCTTCGCTGATGTAAATTTGTACATTTTTTTTTTTTTTTTTTTTTTTGAGATGGAGTCTCACTCTGTCTCCCAGGCTGGAGTGCAGTGGCACAATATCGGCTCACTGCAAGCTCCGCCTCCCAGGTTCACGCCATTCTCCTGCCTCAGCCTCCCGAGTAGCTGGGACTACAGGCGCCCTCCACCATGCCTGGCTAATTTTTTCTATTTTTTAGTGGAGACGGGGTTTCACCGTGTTAGCCAGGATGGTCTCCATCTCCTGACCTCGTGATCCACCTGCCTCGGCCTCCCAAAGTGCTGGGATTACAGGCGTGAGCCACCGCGCATGGCCTGTACATTTTTTTTAAAGTTATTTTTACCATCATTTTAGCAGGCCAGACTACATGAGTTTAAATCACAGCCCTGATATTTACTAGCCATGTGACTGTTCTAAGCCTTCATTTTCTCATTTATGAAATGGGGATGATAATAGTGACCTAGGTTATAAATCATAAGAGTATAAATGAAATAATACACGAAAAGTCCTTAGCACAGTGCCTGGCATATACTCACTGTTTTAAAGATAGCTTCAGCTATTATTATTTGTAAACATACCACATTATTTTAAACTGATTATAATCCATTTAATCATTATTTTAAAAGCACTTCTAGTCTGTAAAATATAATTTCTTTGGTCTTATTAATTACCACTGCTACTGCTGTCACTATTACCACTGCTACCACAGATATCTTCAAGCAAGCAGATGTAGGAATTAATAGAAATTTGGTTTAAGGGCAAATTAATGGCATACAATTTGGAGACATTTACTTAGGATACAAAATCAATATGCAAAAATCACAAGCATTCGAATAAACCAACAATAGACAAGCAGAGAGCCAAATCATGAATGAACTCCCAATCACAATTGCTACAAAGACAATAAAATACCTAGGAATACAGCTAACAAGGAATGTGAAGGACCTCTTCAAGGAGAACTACAAACCACTGCTCAAGGAAATAAGAGAGTACACAAACAAATGGAAAAACTTTCCATCCTCATGGATAAGAAGAATCAATATCGTGAAAATGGCCATACTGCCCAAAGTAATTTGTAGATTCAATGCTATTCCCATCAAACTACCACTGACATTCTTCACAGAATTAGATAGAAACTACTTTAATTTTTACATGGAACCAAAAAAGAGCCCGTATAGGCAAGATAATCCTAAGCAAAAAGAACAAAGCTGGAGTCATCACCTACCTGACTTCAAGCTATATTACAATGCAACAGTAACCAAAACAGCATGGTACTGGTACCAAAGCAGACATATAAACCAATGGAACAGAACAGAGACCTCAGAAATAATACCACACATCTACAACCATCTGATCTTCGACAAACCAAACAACAAAAAAGCAGTGGGGAAGGATTCCCTATTTGTTAAACAGTGCTGGGAAAACTGGCTAGCCATATGCAGAAAACAGAAGCTAGACCCCTTCCTTACACCTTATACAAAGATTAATTCATGATGGATTGAAGACTTAAATATAAAACCCAAAACTATAAAAACCCCAGAAGAAAACCTAGGAAATACCATTCAGGACATAGACATGGGCAAAGAACTTCATGACAAAAACACCAAAAGCAATTGCAACAGAAACCAATCTAATTAAACTAAAGAGCTTCTGCACAGCAAAAGAAACTATCATCAGAGTGAACAGGCAACCCACAGAATGGGAGAAACTTTTTGCAATCTACCCATCTGACAGAGGTCTAATATCCAAAATCTGCAAGGAACTTAAACAAATTTACAAGGAAAAAAAAATACCCATCAAAATGTGGGCAAAGGATATGAACAGACACTTCTCAAAAGAAGACATGTATGCAGCCAACAAACATATGAAAAAAAGCTTGACATTACTGATCTGACATGCAAATTAAAACCACAATGAGATACCATCTCACACCAGTCAGCATGGTGATTATTAAAAAGTCAAGAAACAACAGATGCTGGAGAGGATGTGGAGAAATAGGAATGCTTTTACACTGTTGGTGGGAATGTAAATTACTTCAACCACTGTGGAAGACAGTATGGTGATTCCTCAAGGATCTAGAACCAGAAATACCATTTGACCCAGCAATCCCATTACTGAATATATACCCCAAGGAATATAAATCATTCTACTATAAAGACACATGCACACACATGTTTATTGCAGCACTATTTACAATAGCAAAGACATGGAACCAACCCAAATGCCCGTCAATCTACAGGCATGAGCTGCTATGCCCAGCCAAGTCGATTTATTAAAAGTAGCTCAGTATATACCCAAAGGAATATAAATCAATTATTCTATTATAAAGAAACATGCACACATATGTTCATTGCAGCACTATTTACAATAGCAAAGTCATGGAATCAGCCTAAATGCCCATCAGTGATAGCCTGGACAAAGAAAATGTGGCACATATACACCATGGAATACTATGCAGGCATAAAAAGGAATGAGATCATGTCCTTTGCAGGGACATGGATGAAGCCAGAAGCCATCGTCCTCAGCAAACTTATGCAGGAACAGAAAACCAAACACCACATGTTCTCACTCATAAGTAGGAGTTGAACAAGGAGAACACATGGACATAGGGAGGGGAACATGACACACTGGGGCCTTTCGGGGGTTGCGGGTCAAGGGGAGGGAAAGCATTAGGACAAATAGCTAATGCATACAGGGCTTAAAACCTAGATGATGGGTTGATAGGCACAGCAAACCACCATGGCACACGTTTACCTATCTAATAAACCTGCACATTCTGCACTTGTATCCCGAACTTAAAAAAAAAAAAGATTTGAAGTGGGAAGAACAGTCTATATTCTCCCTCCGCCTCCTTTCTGTATGGACCCTGATGGTTACATGGGGCCCTCCAGAATATCTAGGATCATTTCCTCATCTCAAGATCCTTCAATTTATCACATCTACAGAATCTTTGCCGTGTCAGGTAATATTCACAGTTTCCAGGAATTAGAATGTGGATATCTTTTGGGGATCCATTATTCAGCCAACCACACACACCTTTATCCTTTTGTCCGTGAATAAAGTTAATATTTACATTAACTTTGGCCATACCCAAAATCTCTTTGGGAAAGTTGCAAATTGGAGGAGAAAATGACCCCTTGCATTTTTCCTTTAATTTCCAATATCCAGGGATAAAGAACTTCCAATGCTACTTCAAGGTTTATATTACTATATTTTTAAAAATTGTGAGGCTCTCATTCCTAGTCTCATTACATTTCAAAGGCATTAATACCCTGCTTTAAAAATCAGCACCAAATGTACATGGTTTAGACAGATCCATTGCGTACATCTCAATCTGTTACATAAGCGAGAAGTAATTTTTTAAATTGCTTCTTTAAATGTAGTAGGAGTTAAAGGAGTTCCCTGTTCCCTTCCCCAACCCCCTGAAAATCCCCAGGACTCCTGAGAGGTGTCTGCATGTCTTTTGGTTTGGGAGATTAGGTAGGGCTTGAGTCACTCTGAGTTGTCCGCTAGGATGGAGGGGGCAGTGACGTTGAACAGGTACCTGAATGGCCAAGGAGGGGTCAAGTGTAGAATTCAGTTTCACCAATAAATGATGATCGTGGTTGTGAATGAAGGGAACAATTTGCGGGGGGAAATGATCAAATGATCAATAAACTGAGAAATTAAATTTTAAGCAGAATTTGGTGAAGAAATTATTGAGACCTACTCTACATGAGAACCCATGTTAGATGCTTTGGAGGATTAAAAAAGAAGAGGCCAGCACTTTGGGAGGCTGAAGTGGGAGAATCACTTGAGGCCAGGAGTTCCAGACCAGCCTGGGCAATGTAGTGAGAGCCTATCTCTACAGAAAAAAAGAGAGAGAGAGAGAAAGCATGAGAAAGTCATTTCTGCTAGTGAGAGAGACATGGTATAAACATTTCAAAATTATTTGTAAGACAACATATTTTGTGGCACAGTTTGGTGCATGCTCAGTTCCTCGGTGAACACACATACACACACACACGACACTGCAAGTTTAGGGAGTGGCGTGAGCTCTACAACTTGGAAAACTTATGAGAAAGCACAGACGTGGCTGAGGGAGGAGTGGTTACGATTTTGAGCATGGTAGGCTGAGGCGCCCAGCCCACTGGAGCAGGAAGTACCAGTGAACTAGGATATTAATGAACAGTTCAAGAACCCACCTGAGGCTAGGCACAGTGGCTCATGCCTGTAATCCTAGCACTTTGAGAGGCCGAGGCGGGAGAATTATTTGATGCCCGGAATTCGAGATCAGCCTGGCCAACATAGGGAGAGACCCCATCTCTACAAAAAATTAAAAAATTAGCTGGGGTGGTGTCATGTGGCTGTGGTCCTAGCTACTCAGGAGGCTGGGGTTGGAGGATCACTTGAGCCCAGGAGTTTGAGGCTGAAGTGAGCTGTGATCACACCAGTGCACCCCAGCCTGGGCGACTGATCTAGACCCTGGGCTCCTTCCCCCAAAAAAACAAGAGCCCACCTGACAGGGACTTTGGAGGAGAGACTTGGCCTTTACTGTTAACTTTCCCCAACTGTTTGTCAGGGCCACTGAGGAATCCCATTTGGGATGAGAAACACCCCACATTGCAGGGCACGGCTACCTGAAGGCAATCCTGAGAATCCCCCTGGACGTTGGTGTCTGGATCCTTCTGATGCCTGCCTGCTGGTTCCACGAGTCTGCTGGCCCCAGGCCAGGCCCTTTGTCGGAGCCCCCGCCACAGGGGCTGCTGGCGTGCATCTGGAGAACCAGCTGACAGAAGGCCTGTGTTCTATTCCCCTCCCCTTCTCTGCTTCACTTGCCATGAATGAGCAGAACATGAGTGGAAAAGAGTGATGCATTTGGGGTGGAAGATGCGATTGTCAAGAGCAGGGTTTCTGGCACCAGGTGGTGGAGAAGGAGAAAGGCCTGACATCTCTGGAGCAGTGGGGGGCTGGTCTGGGGAAGGGGAAGCGCAGAAATGCTCAGCATCTGGCGTTTCACCCTCACGGTGATCCAGGTTACCCTCAAATCCAGTGTTAAGAGGGAACGTTAAATAATGAACCCAGAGAAACTTTAAAAACAGCAGAGAAAAATTATGAAAATGGAGGAATAATCCTGCATCTGTTTCAAGGTTAGAATTTTGTTTTTGCTTTTACAGAAACTAAGCTCTCTCTTTTTTCTCTATTAAAAATAAATGCCTAGATCCTTTCACATTGCACCCTCGCTTACATGGGGCCCCTTCACATTTTTGAACTGTCTTGGACGAGAGCCTAAGATCCAAGATGCATTCTTTTTTTTTACAGCAAAGTGAAAGGAAATAAGACTCATTCATTTAACGAATATTTGTGAGGCAGCCTGTGAAGTTGCCTTAGAATCTGGGCCAGGTAGTGAGATCAGTACGATTCTACCCTTTTTCTCCTAAAGTCTGAAGTCAAAGGAGGCAACTTCAAAATAAATGAAGGTATCTATGATGGGCTGAGTGTTGAGAGTTTGCACCAGGGACAGCTCAGAGAACAGCTGCGTGGGGACAGGAACTATCTGGGTGAGCAGATTGTCCACAGATAATTCAAAGTCATCAAAGGTCAAAGGTCTGTGAGCTGTGCTTGTTTAGGGATTCATTTTCAGTGTCTCTGTAATAAGTTTTGAACTGATGGCTGTTAGGGTTTCCAAAGGACAGAACCTTGCCTTCTTTATGAAATGGAATAATTTTATTGATAATTTCTACATCTGATAAACCTCGTGAACGTGTGATCTGAGCTAACTTCCTGATACTGGCTGCAGCTTTGCTCAGTATCCAGGGAGTAGCTGAGTGAGCTCAGAAACACAGAGCCCGTGGCTGCTCTGTGGGTCCATGCAGTTGTTAATCTCACGCAGAACCCAGCGGGGAGGTCAGTGTGGATGGTTTTTGTCTTAGATCCAGTGAGACATATAAATGCTGTAAGACTCTGGTTGCACTGTTGAATGTGGATTTTTTTTCTTTGAATATTTTTTTCTTATTTTGATGGAACATTTATTCAAAATGTAGCACCTCCTCTGTCCTTTATGAAGTTATAGTATGGGACAGTTCATTGTGACACACTTTTAAAGCTCTTTACTTTTTTTTTTTTTTTTTTTTTTGGAGATGGAGTCTCGCTCTATTACCCAGGCTGGAGTGCAGTGGTGTGACCTCAGCTCACTGCAATCTCCACCTCCCGGGTTCAAGTGATTCTCCTGCCTCAGCCTCCCGAGTACCTGGGATTACAGGCACCTGCCACCACGCCCGGCTAATTTTTGTTTATTTTAGTAGAAATGGGGTTTCACCGTTTTGGCCAGGCTGGTCTCGAACTCCTGACCTCAGGTGATCCATCTGCCTCGGCCTCCCAAAGTGCTGGGATTACAGGCGTGAGCCACCGCGCCCAGCCTATAGCTCTTTACTTTTTAACATGCCACCATATCTTGTCTGACATGAGATTATTCATTTAGAAACATTTTATTTGGTCTTCCAAATACATTAGAATGTCAGCCACAAAAGATAGCTTGGGGCCTTATAATTGAACCATTTACTTATAAGATTTCAAGTGTCAAGTTGCAATAATTTTCTGCAAAACATAAGTAACTATTTTATGAATATGTATTTGTGATGAATGATTTCCTACACAAATGAAGAATCTATTTTAATAGAAAATGGTAACTGGATATATTACTAGATACAATTTTTTTTATTTCCCTATTTTCAGTTTCAATAGGGAAAATTAAAATTTTCCCTGTTACTTCCTTATTTTATTTCCCTATTTCAATGAATGAAATCATAGGCAACTCTAAGTCTCTTGAGGAAACTTGGGCGTTATACATCTCTCTCTTCTCCCAAACTCAAACTAGCTTAAGCAAAACATGGAATTTGTTGACATGAATAATAGGAAAATCCAATGATGAAGCTGGCTGCAGATGGAACTCAAGAGTTTTTTGGGTATTGGCCTTATTCTCTCTTGGAGTACAGGGGCCTGAGAGGTGGCCCCTGGAAGCTTTTCCAGCTTCAACCCAAAAAGAAAAAAGAGAGACCATCTTTCTTCTAGTGCTACTAAATCAGGTCTTGTGGAAGGAATCTCTTTGGCTGTGGACAGAGGAGTGGGTCTGTGCATGGTCTATTTTTGCAGTGAGGGGTGGGTGGGGTATGGTTATAAGGAGAGAGGAAGAATTTCCAGATGAATAGAGGGGTATAATGCAGGCAAAAGCCATACATGTCCACTGTAACATGCAAATATGATCCATACCTGTGTGCACACTTCAGCCCTGCATCAGCTCAAACACAGGCGGCAGGGCTGGAGCGTGGAGAGGAAGGTGGCCCTACCAGCTGGGTCTACAGCTTGTCTCCTTCCTTCTGAGAACAGTCAGGTGAGCCTTGAAGCGATGGGCTAAGGTGCAGTGCTTCTCAAGCTTGTTTTTGTTAATACTCAAATAACCAAGAGGACTGAAATCGTGATTGCAGGTGGGGGTAGGGGTGCCACAGGTAACTCCTGGCTCACATAAAGAATGGAAATAGTGGCCAGGCGCAGTGACTCACGCCTGTAATCCCAGCACTTTGGGAGGCCGAGGCAGGCGGATCATGAGGTCAGGAGATTGAGACCATCCTGGCTAACACAGTGGTGAAACCCCGTCTCTACTAAAAATACAAAAAACTAGTCGGGTGTGGTGGCGGGCGCCTGTAGTCCCAGCTACTCAGGAGGCTGAGGCAGGAGAATGGTGTGAACCCGGGAGGCGGAGCTTGCAGTGAGCTGAGATCGCACTACTGCACTCCAGGCTGGGCGACAGAGCATATCTCCATCTCCAAAAAAAAAAAAAAAAAAAGGAAATAGTAAGAATTTCTTCTCTGTGTTATAAGCTATGGGAGGGGAGTCACTGAGCAGTGTGCCCAAAATTTTTCCTGTGTGACATTTTCAGGCTGTAGTGGGTGGAAAGATTTTGTAAATGTATCTTCTTGGTGAGAGGGTGTCCTCTGAATCTGCTGGTAGGTTGGAGTGTTTGCAGGGAAATGTTCATCAAAGGGCTTGCTCTGTGAAGAATGTGACTTAGGATGATCTTTATTTTACGTGCATTCCATCATATGTAAACAAAGTTAGGGTCTCAACATTCCCACTAGCACCTTCAGCCAACTCCCAAGCTTCTGTCTCAGCAAAGCGTTTGCTGTAGAAGCCTACACTTTGAACCCATCCTTATTTTAGGTGAAATCATTTATTTCGTCTATGTTTTTACTCTCTAGTGTGTCATATCTTACTTTTTCACTTCTTGAAGAAAAAAACCAATTCTGTCCTGAGTTTGGAAACCTTTCCTTGGTAAGCCAGGGCCCATTTGTGTAGAGTAAGCTTTTCAAATCACTTTACAGTTCCTTCCACATTTGTTGAAAGGGAGAGTTTAGAATACAAATCACTGTTCAGTAGCCAACTGTGTTACCAGCCCATCAATGCCCTGAGGACACTGCATAGCAGACATTCTCCCGCTGGTGCCTTCAGGTGCCCGGAGGCCTGGGCCTGAACTGGCCTTCCACACTCTTGGCTGGAGATGTGGCTCCATCTGGCTTCACCTTCAGTGCCTCCTAACTCGTCAGTAACACTCAGTAAAGAATTGAGCAGAACTTACTGAAAAAGCAAAACGTCTTTGTGAGTTTTTATGGCTTCAGCGTGTCCTGAGCTATCTTTAAAAATAGAGCAACTTGGGCTGGGCATGGCGGCTCACACCTGTAATCCCAGCACTTTTGGAGGCCAAGGAGGGTGGATCATCTGAGGTCAGGAGTTGAAGACCAGCCTGGCCAACATGGCGAAACCCCATCTCTACTAAAAAATACAAAAATTAGCCTGGTGTGGTGGTGCACGCCTGTAATCCCAGCTACTCAGGAGGCTGAGGTGAGAGAATTGCTTGAACCCAGGGAGGCAGAGGTTGCAGTGAGCCAAGATTGCACTGCATTTCAGCCTGGGTGACAGAGCGAGACTCCATCTCAAAAAAACAAAACACAAGCAAACAAAAAGAGGTGGTCATGGTGATGCATGCCAGTAGTTCCAGCTACTTGAGAGGCTGAGGCAAGAGGATTGCTTGAACCCAGGAGTTGGAGGCTTCAGTGAGCTATGATCACACACTGCATTCTAGCCTGGGCAACAGAGCAAGACCCTGTCTCTAAAAAAAATAAAAAATAACATACAGCAACCAAACAGCAGTTCAGTTATTAAAATCTGTTCATGTATTCAGCTATTAGACAAAGACAAGGACCGAGTTAGATCCAGCCTGTGGACCAGTTGTTCCAATTTGTCTCTGAGCACACTGAAATACAGTTTTATAGTGTCATTCGATGAGGGTGCTTTATGCAGCCCGCCGGCTCCTTTTTGCTGGAAACAGGTGTAGTCACAGCCGGAGGGAGATTCACTGCAGAGTCACCAGTTGTGTAGTTTTTCCATTCATCTTGATTCTGAAAAGAGCTTAAAGACAACTTTAAGCAATTGTTACTTTGTTTGTATGCATCTGCTTCCTAAGGTCTATACCTAGCGCCTAGACTTCTTTTTAGATACAAAATGTGTGATTTATTTTCCTTCAAAATTTGCTTCTTTTTTTTTTTTTTCCTGGAGTAATATGACTCATGCAGCAGGGTTTTATTTTATTTTATTTTTATTTTTATTTTTTTTAGATTATAAAAACTTCCTCTTTAATCAAGGCTTTTAACATGAACAGATTTCTTGAATAAAATGGAAAGTTTCCAGTACACTGAAACATAAATCCACAAGTCACCATACATACAACACCCGGCAGGAAAAAACAAAAACAGCAAGTTTACATGATCCCTGTAACAGCCATGGTCTCAAACTCAGATGCTTCCTCCATCTGCCAAGTGTGTTCTGGATACAGAGCACATCGTGGCTTCTGGGGTCACACTCAGCTTAGGCTGTGGGTCCACAGAGCACTCATCTGGCTGGGCTATGGTGGTGGTGGCTCTACTCAAGAAGCAAAGCAGTTACCAGCACATTCAAACAGTGTATTGAACATCTTTTAAATATCAAAGTGAGAAACAAGAAGGCAACATAATAATGTTATCAGAAAGATGTTAGAAAGTAAGGACAGCTGTGTAAAGCTTGAGGCTGAAAAGTAGCTTGCCAGCTTCATTTCTTTGGTTTCTTGGGTAGTGGGCGCCGGAACAGCAAGATGTGAGGTTCTGGTTCATGGATCATATAATGGACCCATCCCTGACTCTGCTGAACGCCAAGATTCCTCCATTCAGATTCAGACATCAGATGGGTTTTAGGGACCAGCTTGGCTATGTCCTTGGGCAGCATGACATGTCGATACTCAAACTCCTTGTCATCGTATTTGTCCGAATAGTAAATTTGTTTGTGCGACATAAATGATTTAACTTTTATTCTGAAAAGCCTCCTGAATATTTATATCCCTAGAACGATACATAAGAATTGATCATCTTTCCTTATGGGAGGACTTTTTTTTGTTGTTGTTGTTGTTTTCTTTTTAATTTTATTTTTTTTTTAATTGATCATTCTTGGGTGTTTCTCACAGAGGGGGATTTGGCAGGGTCATAGGACACTAGTGGAGGGAAGGTCAGCAGACAAACAAGTGAACAAAGGTCTCTGGTTTTCCTAGGCAGAGTGTTTGTGTCCCTGGGTACTTGAGATTAGGGAGTGGTGATGACTCTTAAGGAGCCTGCTGCCTTCAAGCATCTGTTTAACAAAGCACATCTTGCACCGCCCTTAATCCATTTAACCCTGAGTGGACACAGCACATATTTCAGAGAGCACAGGGTTGGGGGTAAGGTCATAGATCAACAAGATCCCAAGGCAGAAGAATTTTTCTTAGTACAGAACAAAATGAAAAGTCTCCCATGTCTACTTCTTTCTACACAGACACGGCAACCATCTGATTTCTCAATCTTTTCCCCACCTTGCCCCCTTTTCTATTCCAGAAAACCGCCATCGTCATCATGGCCCATTCTCAATGAGCTGTTGGGTACACCTCCCAGACGGGGTGGTGGCCGGGCAGAGGGGCTCCTCACTTCCCAGTAGGGGCGGCCGGGCAGAGGCGCCCCTCAGCTCCCGGACCGGGTGGCTGGCCAGGCGGGGCGCTGACCCCCCCATCTCCCTCCCGGACGGGGCGGCTGGCCGGGAGGGGGCGCTGACCCCCCCCACCTCCCTCCCGGACGGAGCGGCTGGCCGGGCAGAGGGGCTCCTCACTTCCCAGTAGGGGTGGCCGGGCAGAGGCGCCCCTCACCTCCCGGACGGGGCGGCTGGCCGGGCGGGGGGCTGAGCCCCCCACCTCCCTCCCGGACGGGGCGGCTGGCTGGGCGAGGGGCTGACCCCCCCACCTCCCTCCCGGACGGGGCGTCTGGCTGGGCAGAGGGGCTCCTGGCTGGGCAGAGGGACTCCTCACTTCCCAGTAGGGGCGGCCGGGCAGAGGCGCCCCTCACCTCCCGGACAGGGCGGTTGGCCGGGCGGGGGGCTGAGCCCCACCTCCCTCCCGGACGGGGTGGCTGCCAGGCGGAGATGCTCCTCACTTCCCAGACGGGGTGGCAGCCAGGCGGAGGGGCTCCTCACTTCTCAGACGGGGCGGTTGCCAGGAGGAGGGTCTCCTCACTTCTCAGACGGGGCGGCCGGGCAGAGACACTCCTCACCTCCCAAACGGGGTCGCGGCCGGGCCGAGGCGCTCCTCACATCCCAGACGGGGCGGCGGGGCAGAGGCGCTCCCCACATCTCAGACGATGGGCTGCCGGGCAGAGATGCTCCTCACTTCCTAGATGGGATGGTGGCCGGGACGAGGCGCTCCTCACTTCCCAGGTGGGATGGCAGCCGGGCAGAGACGCTCCTCACTTTCCAGACTGGGCAGCCAGGCAGAGGGGCTCCTCACATCCCAGACGATGGGCAGCCAGGCAGAGACGCTCCTCACTTCCCAGACGGGGTGGCGGCCGGGCAGGGGCTGCAATCTCCGCACTTTGGGGGGCCAAGGCAGGCGGCTGGGAGGTGGAGGCCATAGCGAGCCGAGATCATGCCACTGCACTCCAGCCTGGGCACCATTGAGCACTAAGTGAATGAGACTCCGTCTGCAATCCTGGCACCTCGGGAGGCCGAGGCTGGCGGAACACTCGCGGCTAGGAGCTGGAGACCAGTCTGGCCAACACAGCGAAACCCCGTCCCCACCAAAAAAACACGAAAACCAGTCAGGCGTGGCGGCGCGCGCCTGCAATCGCAGGCACTCGGCAGGCTGAGGCAGGAGAATCAGGCAGGGAGGCTGCAGAGAGCCGAGATGGCAGCAGTACAGTCCAGCTTTGGCCCGGCATGAGAGGGAAACCGTGGAAAGGAGAGGGAGAGGGAGACGGGAGAGGGAGAGGGAGAGGGAGAGGGAGAGGGAGACGGGAGAGGGAGAGGGAGACGGGAGAGGGAGAGGGAGACGGGAGAGGGAGAGGGAGACGGGAGAGGGAGAGGGAGAGGGAGACGGGAGAGGGAGAGGGAGACGGGAGAGGGAGACGGGAGAGGGAGAGGGAGACGGGAGCTGTTTGTACATCTTATTTTTTATTTTATTTATTTTTTTGAGAGGGAGTCTTGCTCTGTCGCCCAGGCTGGAGTGCAGTGGTGCAATCTCGGTTCATTGCAACCTCTGCCTTCTGGGTTCAAGCAATTCTCCCACCTCAGCATCCTGAGTAGCTGGGATTGCAGGCTCATGCCACCACACCTGGCTAATTTTTGTATTTTAGTAGAGACGGGTTTCACCATGTTGGTCAGGCTGGTCTGAAACTCCTGACCTCAGGTGATCCACCCACCTTGACCTCCCAAAGTGCTGGGATTACAGGCGTGAGCCACCACGCCTGGGCTATTTTTTAAATTTTTTAAAATTTCAACAGCTTTAGGGATACAAATGGTTTTTGGTTACATGGATGAATTGTGTAGTGGTGAAGTCAGGGCACTTAGTGTACCCCTCATTTAGTGTACCTGCCCCCTGAATAGTGTACATTGTACCCAATAAGTACTTTTTCATCCCTCACTCCCACTACCCCTTCTCATAGGAGACGTCAAGGTGAGTCAACCTTCAAAATTACTAATTGGGAATCAATTAGTATTTTAAATAAGCAGCTCGTACATTCCATACTTTCTGGAGTGGCTGCTGCTTCCGGCTGCAGAAGCCCTAGTGTTGGTGGTGCCACATCTTCATTCCTAGTTTGTCTTCATTGCTTTGGGACCCGGAGGTCTCTCTTGACCTCAAGCAGAAATTGTTCTCCAAGGCTCTGGAACCCCAATTCACTAGAATTGCCGAATTTCTGCCCTCAGAAGTACCGTGCATTGTGCGAGGCATGCAGAATGGAGGAGCGCTCAACCCTGCAGAGAGAGATAACTCAGGCCCCTCCCTTCCTCTAGCTGCCTTTCCTTAGGAATTCACAGTTTCCTTATAATTCTGTCCCTCGGGCTGTTTAGGTCCAACGGCTTATAGCGTATGAATCTCTCACCTTGAGCTTTCCTATAAATTCCAAGTTCTTCCTTAGTTTTCCTTTTCCCCTTTGGTTATATTAAGAGAACGTTAAATTGTATTTTGGGGCCAGGCCCAGTGGCTCACGCACTTTGGGAGGCCGAGGTGGAAGGATTACTTGAGGTTAGGAGTTTGGGACCAACCCGGCCAACATAGCAAAACCTTTTCTCTACTGAAAATACAAAAATTAGCTGGATATGATGGCACACACCTGTAATCCCAGCTACTGGGGAGGCTGAGGCAGGAGAATCACTTGAACCCGGGAGGTGGAGGTTGCAGTGAGCCGAGATCATGCCACTGAACTCCAGCCCAGGTGACAGAGTAAAACTCGATCTCAGAAAAAAAAAATTGTATTTTGGGAAATGCTTGTAATGTAACCATGCTCACAATAACTGTATCAATTTATTTTTTTAAGAGACAGGTTGTACTCTGTCATCCAGGTTGGAGTGCAGTGGTGTGATCATAGCTCACTGCAGCCTCCAACTCCTGGGCTCAAGTGATCCTCCTGCTTCAGCTTGGACTATAGGCATGTGCTACCATGCCTGGCTAATTTAAGAAAAGATTTTTTTTTTTTTTTTTTTTGGTAGACACAGTGTCTTGCTCTGTTGCCCAGGCTGCTTCAAACTCCTAACCTCAAGCAATCCTCCGGCCTCGGCTTCCCAAAGCACTACCCTGCCAATATCAATTTTTGTTATTCCTTTCTTTGTTTACATCTTCTGACTTTGTTCGTTCATTACAATTCTGGGTAGGGGGGCTGTCTATGGGATGGGAGAGGACACTGGGCTCCTTAGCCCATCATAGGATCTAGAAGATGGAATTGCAATTTTATCTATGTATCTATCTATGTATCTATGTATGTATGTATGTATGTATATATGTATCTATCTATCTATCTCAATAACTATGTCTTAGGCCAAAACACTCCATTTTTTAGGCTTGCCTCTAAAATGAGGATAATGATCTAATGAAGAAAGAAGATTTGATTAATGTGGGTAAGGAACTTTTATAGGCCAAACACGTATTATTTTTCCACTGTTTTGGTAGTAGCTATTAGTATCCTGGCTTTTCTCACATTTGAGTAAGGCATTCCTATTTAAGAAGGTGCTTTGAAAGACGTTTTTTCGGGAGAAGGAAAGGGCTGGCACTTGCAGGTGTCTTGTGTGTGTGCAGTTGTGATGCACACAGCGGCTTGGCTCTGGAGTGCAGTGAGGTCTGGCGCCCACCTGGCTCTCCAGGGGCAGCTTAGTCCTGCTGGGTGCTCAGGCATCTATTCTCTCCCATTTTTCCAGGCATCTCTAGGAACTTACTGCCCTTTCAACGCAAAGTTTAAATTTTTTATTTGAAGAACCAGCCAATGAGAATGTATTTGGTGATGTCTTCATAGCTGCAACCTTTTCTATGTATGCGTGCCTGTGAAGGGGTAGGAGGGAGAAACCTTCTAGATTGTTTTCTTTTTTCCTTCCTCTTCTCTCCTTGCCTTTGCTCCTCTCCCCCACCCCCCATCCCCAAATAAATACACAAAACAGAGGTCCTATAGTGTCATGCTTGAGAATTATGGATTCGGGCCACCCTGCCTGGTTTGAATCCTGACTTGTCTCTAACACCTGGGCAAGTTGGTTAGCTGTTCTGAGTCTCAGTTTCCTGATCTGTAAAATGAGGATGAAGACAGTTCTTACCTCACAGGATTATGATGAGGGTTAGGTGAGTTAACATATGGAAAACACTCGGAGTGCCTGCCATTAACCCATTTATGCCTGAGGTTGCAGTCTTTTTGTGTGAAAAATCGGACCTTGGCGATGACCTTGAGGGGTGGGATATAAATAACTCCCACAAGCTTAGCGTTCCAATAATGGAACACTAGGCATATATGGTTAAGGACTATGTCAGCGTCAGTGACCATGAGACAAAAACCATATGGGTCATAGCTATTTGGGAGTAGTTGTTAGGAAAAAGAATTTTAGAATGGAGCATTCTGAAATACTAGTGTTTCTATATTTTTACAGTAATAGGAAAAAAGTCCCGCCTGGGCACAGCAGCTCACGCCTGTAATTCCAACACCTTGGGAGGCTGAGGCAGGAGGATTCCTTGAGCCCAGGAGTTTGAAACCAATCTGGGCAACATAGGGAGACCTTGCCCTTATATTAAAAAAATATATTTTTATATATATATCATATATACATATAAATAAGCATTTATATGTATTGTTATATATATATAAGGTTCAGAGAAAGTAGAATGTTATTGTATTCCGTGTGTAGCAGGAAAAATAATCATCACAGATCTCTCCTGAACATTTGGTGTATGCCAAGCACTATAATGAGTGCTTGACACTGATGATCTCATTGCAGGCTCTTATGAGTTTGTTCCTGTGCTTATTTTCCAGAAGAGGAAAGAGGTTTTGAGAGATTAAACTTGCCCAAGTTAGGAAGTGGCTGAATGCAATGGGATTCCTGAGCTCACCTGCTCATACGGGGTGGAATGTTCTGTCTCCATCCTTCTGCTGAGCAGAACCAGGGAGAGTTCATCGGCTTTGTCATGAAAATCACATCGTCTCATATGGTTGTTAGTGAGTCTAGTAATGCATTTCCTTTAAAAGGCAGTTTTCATGTTGACGAACCTCTACTTGCTTCTACTTGTAAGCCAGAATGCCAAAAACAAGAAACCAAGTTCACGATTCTTTGTTTTCTATGATTTGACGAAGGTTTCTGGCATGAGAACCTTCTTTTTGTAGCTGTAAAGCAACTGAGGTTCTTCACTGAGGTTGACAGTGTCTTAGCTGAGTGAGCTGCGGCAGGGATTCCCCTGTTTCCTGTGTTTCCAGTTGCTTATTGGCTGATCCAACTTCCAGATGGGTGCTAATTTCATTCCAGGAAGGGGACCAGAGCTGAGCAGCTCATCTGTTTTCCTTAGCGTGCTGCTCAGTTATTTGAAAGGGTGATTTGAGCTTATTTTTCTTCTTGTTTGTAGACAACAGTGGTGAGATAATTCGAGTGTCTACCTATAACAGAGTGTTACAGGGATTCCGTAATCTTTGCTCTCCAGCATCTGTTGGCCGGGGTAGATGGGGGGTTTGTTGTCCTTGGAAACCTGGAAGGAACTATTAGTCATGTCTTAATCCTGAGCCATAAATTTACACTCATTTGAGAGATAAGCAAATTTGGCAGAAAGACTGAGTCAAAAATCTTTGTCTTGATCTCTGAGACAGGATTAGTGGACAAACTAAATCATAAATTATTTATTATTTTGGTCACAGAAGCTGGAGCGTCGCCAAGAAAAGAATCTTTAAAAATTATTCATTATTGGGGCTGGGCGCGGTGGCTCACGCCTGTAATCCCAGCACTTTGGGAGGCCCAGGTGGGTGGATCACGAGGTCAGGAGATCGAGACCATCCTGCCTAACACGGTGAAACACCGTCTCTACTAAAAATACAAAAAATTAGCCGGGCGTGGTGGTGGGCGCCTGTAGTCCCAGCTACTCGGGAGGCTGAGGCTGGAGAATGGCGTGAACCTGGGAGGTGGAGCTTGCAGTGAGCCGAGATCGCACCACTGCACTCCAGCCTGGGCGACAGAGTGAGACTCCGTCTCAAAAAAAAAAAAAAAAATTATTCATTATCCAACATACTTTACATTGTTCATTATTGGTCATTTAGGCTCCAAATACTGTTACAGATTGAAAAGTAAGAGAAAAAAAAATCTTTCTACTATAGAACATTGCAGTTTTATTTAATGGGAAAAATATTCTTTTAGTCTTTTTACTCTTCCAGAAGAAAATGTTCCACTGAATAATTGATGCTTCTAAAATGAAGCTTTGCGTTTTATGATACTAGAATAGCTTTCATTATCTGAACGAATGAATGTTAGCCCTGAATATTAACTATCTTCATATAAAAAACATTTGAACGTAAGAAAAATCAGCCAACTTGATTGTTCTCAGGTAAAGTTCAGACCATGAATTATACAGAACCCCAGATAATTGCAGATGATGGAACTAATCACAATATGCAAATCAGCAATGATTAACAACCATATGCAGGTGTTCTCATGGGTTGTGTTCGAATGAAATAGGATATTAAAACTGGAAACTTAATTATGTAATTCAGGATGATAAATACATTATTATGCTTTCACCTTTTTTAAAAGAATTGAGACAAATGTAGTCATTTGTGATTTTGTAATCTTTGTTTTTATTTTATATAAATTAAAATATAAAATTCATTATTTTTTATGACAGACAGGTGAAATAAAAACATAGGGCCTTCTAGTATTGCATATTCTGATCTGAAGTTCTGCTTCTGAAATGTATGCTTGGTTCTAAATGATATAAATAGCCTCCATATTACTGACTTATACTTCTAAAACTTCTTTCTGAAGATTCAACAGCAGATCCTTGTTATCCAAGGATAATGAGAACCAGAAAAAAGGCCATTTAAGGTCAATCCACTTAAATGGGGACCAACATTTCATATAATGAAAAAAAGCTTTGGGACTTTATCATGAAAAAAATTAACTGAAAACTATGAAAATAAGTTATTTTAGCATACATTTATCAAAATTTAGGTGATCATTGTGACTATGGCTAGCTCTTAGAATGAGCAGTGTGAAAGTCAAGTGTTGATTATTTTGAAAGGAGTAAATTTTTTGTATAAAATGAGGCGATTCTACATTTTGGTACTTTTTATATCACAATTGACATTTACATCACAGCATAAAGATGACCAGTGTTACAAAGATATTCAAGGTCTTGGTCATTTTCCTCTGGAGCCGTTTAGATTTTTAAATACTAAAATCACTGTAGAAAGTTCTATCTTGTCACCAACGTTAGATTTTTCTCTGAAGTGATTGTTTCCTAATCAAACTGCTCAGCTCCCACTGGCCATTGTTTTACCTGTTATTGGGGAAATTCTCTAATGCCATTTTGATTAGCCTCATGAAATTCTGTATTTGGGGGAAAGTTTTGCAGTGTTGCTCTGCAGTGGACATACATCTGTGGGAGGTACGAGACAGTCACTAACAGAATTAGGGATAGAGGCTGACTTTGAACAATGATGGATTTTTAAGAGGGACTCAAGTCAAAAAAATGGCTATTTGGAAATATTTTAGTATTTTGAAGGTGTGCTTCCCTGAACAAGCCCATCATTTGTAGGGATTTGGGTCATGAATACTCCAATAACAAGGGCTCCCTGACCTGTGTGTATGAATGCATTGCAGTATGCAGTATGAAAAAGAGACTCGGCTGGGCGCGGTGGCTCGCGCCTGTAATCCCAGCACTTTGGGAGGCCGAGATGGGCAGATCACGAGGTCAGGAGTTCGAGACCAGCCTGGCCAATATAGTGAAACCCCATCTCTACTAAAAATACAAAAAGTTAGCCGGATGTGTTGGTGTGTGCCTGTAATCCCCACTACTCGGGAAGCTGAGGCAGGAGAATCACATGAACCCGGGAGGCGGAGGTTGCAGAGAGCTGAGATCGCGCCAGGGCACTCCAGCCTGGGTGATAGTGCGAGACTCTGTCTCAAAAAAAAAAGAAAACAAAGAAAAGAGACTCATGAGTCGGGGAGATACCAGTTCTAGCCTCAGTTCTGCCAGTGGGTAGCTGTATACGCATGGATGAATCACTTCCTTTTGGCATAAATTTACTTATCTGTGAAAAGAAAAAGTTGAGCTAAGGTCCCTTCTACTCATTCTGTGATTCTAAATTGGATATTTTGAGTTGGGGAAGAGCTATATCACTGTTTGCATAATTCCTAGAGCTTAGCAAATATCAACAACTCCTTCTTTTAGTTTATTTGCACTGTATATATATGTGCCTTTTATGATTTCAGTATCTTCATCCATATGTAATTATGCTCTGGGTAAAGTTGTAAACAGCACTTTGGTAAAATTTTAAATTCTGCTCTTTTCACTAGTCTTATCTCATAAATGTTTGCATATATATTGTAAACTTAACATTTTTCTCTGTTTTCACATTTACCTTTCCTAATAGCTGATAGCACATAATAAGTGTATTAAAACATATACTTAAAACATATTTAAATATATTAAAACATACTGATACACATCCTGATCACTGGGCAACTGAGCATCTCCATACTTCAGAGATTTTTTTATGTTTTTTTGGGCCGTGTTACCCTAGACATTTTTGTAGATAGATAATTTTTTAAAAAGAGCTCCTCACACTTGTAGCTCAGTTCTGTGTGCATTTCAGTGCTCAAATGACTTTTGCCACTGCTGTAAACAGGAAGAAACAAACTAAGGCAAAGAGCCCAGCTAAGTGAAACAGAGAGGAACAAAAGAAAATTAGAACTTGGCTTTTGCTGCTGCCAAGCTGGGCAAATAGCGATCCCAGGGAGCCTGGTGTTAAATAACAAAGAAAGCAGGGAACGAGGCAGAAATCCCAGTGGGATCTGAACGGCATCTTCAGATGCTTGGCTGCCCCTGCCACACTCTAGGGAGCATCTGATCACCTGGGAGGTATGGTGACCTTTGGCTTCTGACGTTGCACTGGTCAGACCAACCGTCTCCAGAGAGCTAAGCCATCAATCATCCCCTGAGGGGAGACAGTCAGGCTCACTGCCTCACCGCCTCGAAGCATCCACAAACTGAATTAGCTAATGCTACATTATTAGACATTTCTGCACTTTTCATTTATATTCAGAAGCTTGGAAATTTTCAATGTGTCTTTGGGGGAAAATAGTTTGTTCAACCATTATAATTAGATTTTCTACCCCTTATCTAGATAAATGAAGCGTAATTGACACTTTCCCCTTCTACCGGGGAAAGTGTCATTGCTGCTTCTGCATATGTGTGTGAACTATTTGCAATGCTTGTTTCTCATGGCTTACCCCAGAACTAGGGCGGTTATTGGGCAAGAAAGGGAACTATCCATTGCTGAAACTGGGAGTAACTTGTGATAACCAAATTAGTGACTGAGGCAAAAGTCTCAGTCGATGAGTTTATTAAGCCATCTTAAGGGCATAATCCAGGGGAAAAACAAATGCCATAGACAGACCTGTGGCTGTTATTCCAAAGAAGTTTTCAGGAGGTTTAGTATTTATACCTTTTCTTAAAGGGGGAAGGCATTGTAGAAAAAGGGGCAGGTAGGTGGTAAAGCAAATTTACGGGGTTTTTGTTTGTTTGTTTATTGAGAAAGAGTCTCAACTCTGTCACCCAGGCTGGAGTGCGGTGGCGCGATCTTGGCTAACTGCAACCTCCCTTCCCAGATTGAAGCAATCCTCCTGCCTCAGCACAAGTGTGCACTACCACGGCTGCCTAATTTTTGTATTTTTGGTAGAGACGGGGGTTTTGCCATGTTGGCAAGGCTGGTTTGAAACTGCTGACCTCAGGTGATTCACCTGCCTCAGCCTCCCAAAGTGTTGGGATTACAGGCATGAACCACCTCACCTGGCCAAACTTGACATTTTTGGGAGATTTTATTTAGTGCCCAGTAAATCTACATTTTGCATACGGTAAGGTGAATGTTTGAAGAGAAAAAAGGGAATAAAGGAAGAATCAATTATGCAGAGTTTTTGGGTAGGTGGAGGAATGATTGATCTGGTCTTGTCTTTGTTCTATACCAGGGAAGATAAGCTTGTAATTGACATTATCAGTGCGGAATCGAATAGACTTTAGTTTTAAGAGCTAGACTTAGATTGTAAACATAAAATTACAATTGGCATGTCCTTGTTTATGGGAGGGCAGCAAAAAGTTTACTTACCTATGGAGGCAGTCCTGAGGCCTTCTCCTCTGGATAATGCTAGTAACAGCTCTTCATTTGAAAGAGGGTGTTGCATGACTCAGCCTCCAGGCTTAATCTTTTATTTTGCGTAAGGAGTTTGGGGGTCTTGAGATTTTTTTAAATATTCCCTTGCACGTGGTTGTTTGCAAGAAGTAATGGCAAAGCCTGGTTAAAGTGGATTCAATCAAAACAATTTTAGTCATGATTTAAATTACCAAGTAGGAAAAATCTAGAGGATTCTAGAAATTGTGTGTCAGTTTCAAATCCTACTGTGCTGGTCATATGGAAGTGAGGAATATTGATAAAGTAAGAAGCAGTGCGGTATTTCCAGAGGTTAAATGCAAACCGATTCATTCCATTTCATTTAAGTATATATTTCTAGGCTTTGGAAATTACATCCTATGATTTTTTTAAAACTTTTCTCCCCCAGATTCTGGCTACATTGGAGATTGGTTGCTTTCTAAAACTGAAGGAGAAGCCCATGAAGAGATGGTGGATTCTCACTG
This sequence comes from Homo sapiens, assembly GCF_000001405.40. Classification (NCBI taxonomy): domain Eukaryota; kingdom Metazoa; phylum Chordata; class Mammalia; order Primates; family Hominidae; genus Homo; species Homo sapiens. The sequence goes on along the minus strand of NC_000010.11, from coordinate 29,686,575 downwards.
AGTTTTGACTAGCGGAAGAAAAGGTAATTATTGATGATTTCGGAATATGTTTGCAGTATCATGTGGAGTTCAGCTGCAGTAGCAGCAAAGACAAAACTGAGAGTTTTAGACATTTTCTGTTATAATAACAACTGGTACCACTCTAATTTCATTGTGTGAGATGGACTTTTTAAAAACAAAACTTAAAATGTTCTTCTTAAATAAGCTTTTCCAGGTAGGTCTACCTGAGGATTAAGGTGTTACCATCAAAGCAGTTGACTCCTTTCCTTAGACCATGTTCCTGGGCCTGATTCCCAGCTTGTTCTGTGTGACAGCCTCACATTTATAGGGATTATGAAAGAATTTCCAAGATAGAGGTTACAGGAAGACCACTAAAGTGTAGGAACTCATTTTAATCACAGGTTCCTTGCTTGTCCATTCTGAAAGTATCAGTTTATTTTTTCTCTCTACTTCAAGTTGCTCTGCCTAATGATTGGATTTATAGTTAAAAATAAACCATATTTAAATTCATATTGATCTACTTTGTTAGGCAAATTGGTCCTAGGGCCAATGGGTGGAAGATATAAAGAAACAGATTTGAATTCAGTATAAGGAGGATTTTTTGAACATCTGACTGACTAATGAATGGGTTGCCTGGCCTGGACGAAGCTCTCCATTGATGGAGATATTTCTATTGTAAACCAAAGATTAAATTCTAAGCCAAGTGACTGAATGGAACATCCTCTCAGCCAAGGGACCCAACAAAACCTGAAAAATTAGTTCAGATCATGATGGAAAGGGAGGGTCAGGCATGCCTCATTACACTCTCCTCCCTTTGGAGTTCAGGCAAACAACTGACCAGCATTAACTTTTCAAAAGAAGACATACACGTGGCCAACAAGCATGTAAAAAAATGCTCAGCATCACTAATCATTAGAGAAATGCAAGTCAAAACCACAGTGAGATACCATTTCACACCAGTCAGAATGGCTACTGTTAAAAAGTCAGAAAATAACAGATGCCGGCGAGGTTGTGGAGAAAAGGAAATGCTTATACATTGTTGGTGAGAGTGTAAATTAGTTCATCGTGGAAAGCAGTGTGACAATTCCTTGAAGAACTTAAAGCAGAATTAACATTTGACCCAGCAATCCCATTACTGGCTATAGACCCAAACGTGTATACATTGTTCTGCCATAAGGGCACATGTACACATATGTTCATCACAACACCATTCTCAATAGCAAGACATGGAATCAACCTAAATGCCCATCAATGGTAGTAGACTAGATAAAGAACATGTGGTGCATATACACTATGGAATACTACACAGACATGAGAAAGAACGAGATCATGTCCTTTGCAGCAACATGGATAGAGCTGGAGGCCATTATCCTTAGCAAACTAATGCAGGAACAGAAAACCAAATACCGTATGTACTCATGCATAAGTGGAAGCTAAACAATGGGAACACCTGGATACTAGGAGGGGAACAACAGATACTGGGGCCTACTTGAGAGTGGAGGCTTGGGGGAGAGAAAAGATCAGAAAAAATACTCATTGGGTACTACGCTTCCTACCTGGGTGATGATCTGTACACCAAACCCCTGTGACACACAGTTTTACCTACGTAATAAACCTGCACGTGTAATACCCCTGAACCTAAAATAAAAGTTAAAAAAAAATAAAGGTCCTAAGACTGACAGAACAGTAAGATACCAAATTCCAACCTGACTCTACTGTAGCATCATATGGTCCATAGCAGGCACTGAAAACAAATCACAGTATTTTATCCCTTTGACATATTTTGAAATAGCTTTGTAAAGCTGTTTCTTTTGGGAGAAATTTACATTCCATAGAGAATCCTTTCCCTTTCCAGGTCTTTTCCTAATACTGAAGAGATTGGCTGAGAGTCTAGCACCTTTTAACGGTCTGCATAGGAAGCATTGACCATCTATTGCGTTTGGGGGCAGCCACCTATGAGACTATGAGACTTCATCTACATAAGAACTTTTGCCTCCACAACCCCCATATTAACCCAAACACTCCTCTCCTTTCTGTTTATTCCAGGTCTTTAGACAATAACTTAACTCTTTCAACCAATTTCCAGACAGAAAATCTTTGACTCCACCTATGACCTGTAAGCCCCCACCCCCCAAGTTGTCCCGCCTTTCTGGATCGAACCAGTGTATACCTTCCATGTATTGATTAATGTCTTCTGTCTCTGTAAAGCACATAAAACCAAGCTGTAACCCAACCGCCTTGGGTACATGTTCTCAGGAGCTCTTGAGTCTGTGTCACAGGTCATGATCCATAACCTTGGCAAAATAAACTTCTAAATTGACTGAGACCTGTCTCAGATACTTTTTGGTTCACACTATAGAAACTCTGTGTTTGTCTGACAAGGATGTTGCTGCAGAAGAGCCTCCCTGAACTGGAGTTGGTCAAACTGAATCTTCCTAGGTCTATTTTAACCAAAAGGAATTCTACAGTTTCTCTATTGATGGCCCAAAGGAAGCAGAGTTTTTTGGAGTTTTTTTCGGTGGGGGTGGTTGGCTTTTTGTTTTCACACATTAAAAAAATTACGCAAAGATGTTCAACTCAATTATGGCACTTGTAATTTCTGGTGCTTCTGTCATGATTTGGGGTGACTTTCATGAAATGCTTATTCTCAAGCATATTTCCTGACCAGTGTGCCATGAGGTTAGAGAGGCTATTCAGAGTGAGGATGATTTTGTGCTTCCATGGTGAAGTGCAGCACAGAGGGGTTCTCTGGGGCAAGTTGGGGGAGCCCAGAGTGCATGGAGAGTGAGGGCCTGGCACAGGCTGTGTTTGGATCCTAAGGAACCTCTTAGTGCAGGTGAATCAGGGTAAATGACAATGAAAATCTGCCCGAGGGAGAAGATGTGATCAAAGTATGTGCAAAGCAAGTGTGTGTGTTTTGCTAGGTTGGGAGGGAGAAGATTGCTGTAAGTTGATTATAATAAGCCTGTGTAAACCAAAAATAAAATTCTAAGCCCCTCAGCCATCTGAATGAACCCCTCCTCTTGGCCAAGGCCATTCCAAAATTAACCTGAATAACTAGTTCAGGCCCTGATGGGAAGGGCGAATCAGACATGCCTCATGATACCCTCCTCCCTTTTGGAATTCAGACCCAGCTGACCAGCATTAAGATGAACACAGACCTTAAGACTGATAGAACAGACTCTTTAAGTCTAATAAGAAACCTTTACAATCAGTTTTCTGAAGCCTGAAGCCTGCTACCTGGAGGCTTCATTTGCATACTAACACCCTGGTCTCCACAATCCCTTATCTTAACCAGACATCCCTTCTTATTGATTCTAAGTCTTCAGACAGTAATTTAACTCTTTCAGCCAATTTCCAATAAGAAAATCTTTGACTCCATCTATGACCTGGAAGCCCTCACCCCCACTCCCAGCTTCCAGTTGTCCCACTTTTCTGGACCAAACCATTGTACATCTTACAAGTACTGATTGAAGTCTTATGTCTTTCTCAAATCTATAAAGCCAAGTTGTAGCCCAGTCACCTTAAGCACATGTTCTCAGGATCCCCTGAGCCTTTGTCATGGGCCCTTGGCCACTCATATTTGGCTCAGAATAAATCTCTTCAAATGTTACAGAGTCTGACTCTTTTTATCAACACCTGACTTAGAATCTCAGCACCATCTTTGGACCCACCTGCTCTGCTACCTTTGAGCCCTTAGTTTCTGCCTCCCTTGGCCAACTCTCCCCATTAACCATTCTATGAGGACAGGTGAATAGTCATTAAACATGAGGTGAAGCACAGTGTTTTTTGAGAACATCTGAATGTCCTGTGACCATTCCTGTAGCTAACATACACTTGAACCTAGAAAAGCATATCTGAATTGTAACAGAATTTGTATACTCCTCTTTCTTCACCAAGCCTGTCTAATTCCAGGCAGAAATGTTTCTCCTTCTTCCTTCTAAATGCAACATCATTTTGTCCTTTGCATGTTTCATTGGTTTGGTTCCTTTTATTAATTATGTAATAATTATGGTTTGGTTCCTTTTATTAATTGTGTGTAAAGGGTATCTCCTCACTGATCACTAGACGATAAGCTCCAGGAGGAAAAGGATTTCTTTCTGTTTTGGTTGCTACTTTATGCCAGGAACCTAGAGCAGTGTCTGGAACTTAGTAGGTGCTTCATAAACATTTACTTAATGAGATAACAAATGTGTCTCTCTGGCTAAACTGAAAGCTTCTTGGGGACAAGAAGAGTCTCTTCGTCTGTGACTTCATCATTGGGCTGACGCAGCAGCTGCCTTCTCCTCTGGCTATGGGACTGTGGGCTGAGATACCTACACGTGGGCTACTCTCTCAAAAGGGCTGAGGAGGGGGCGTGGTATTGGAGCTGTGTTGGTGACTAGAGGTTAAGATCTGCCAACCTGCTGCTTAAGGCGTAGAAGATTCTTTCCAAGATGCATACAAATGAGATTTGGAAGAGATGCAAAGCCCAGAGCCAGCATGGGTGTCCATGCTAGGACCTTTTACTAGCTAGGATCACCAGCCCCTCCCAGGAAACTCTCTGATGGGCTGAGGGAGTGGGGACAGGAAGGGCGTGTGCTGGGTGTCACAACAGAGCCTTCCCTTCAAGACAGGTCTGAGCGGAAGTGTGTGGTAAGTCACATGGAGGCAGAAGGTCTGTTCCTGATCAGGGTTAAGGTGCCCCTTTGGTCTCCCTTCCTAGCCTGTGTAAGAAGCCCTGCATCTGTTGAAATAAACAAATGCGACAAGGAAGCGCAGAAGCAGCAAGCCTTATTGCAATGTGCCTAGTGTGGTTTGTAGCAAGGAGGAAGTCCTGCTGGTGGGAGCATCCAGCCCAGCTCTGATGATCTGAAACCATCTTTGAGTAACTGGTGCCCAGAGGGAATGTTTTACTTTTTGGCTGCTTTTCTGACGTGATCATTAGGAAAGAGATAGGCACACTTTTGCACAACTTCTATGCTAAGCTTCTTTGTCTGGAAAGGAAATTTTAGTTGCAAGGACTTAAAATTTCCTTCTTGTGAGCTGATACTTTTGAGACAGTCAAGAGGATGTTAATTTAATGAAATCATGAACTTATGCTTCTTATCTCCTCCTCCTCCTCCTCATTCTTCTCTCTCTCTCAACACACGTACACACACACACACACACACACACACACACACACACCATTCCATCTTTAGAGGTCATCATGCCTTTGCATGTCATGCTTTGTGCTGTGGTGGCTGGAGACTCTCTTTCCATCACCAGCTATTCCCTGGGCTGTCATTCTGTGTAAAATCCTTTCTGCTGACTTCTCATCCTTCCTTGCCTGCACGTGCCCTAAATCTCACTTTTCTGCCCATCCTCTTTGGCTCATCCTCTTCTCTTCCCACACAATTCCCTTCTCCCAGTGCCATCCTCCTTCCCAGTTGTACCAGTCACAGCCCCATTCCCTACCATGCCAATTACAAATGCAACCCCTTTATGACAGCTTCCTGCCCCACCTCCACAGGGAACTCACCTCTCTTCCGCCCTGCAGTGCTCTGAGCTTCTCCCATGGACTTTCCGTCTCCTGCCCCTGAGCCAGTTGTTTGTGAGGCAAGCCCAGCAGGTAGTGTCCATGCCTGCTGGTTGCCTTCTCCTTCCCTCCCACTTTCTTTGCTATTTTTTTTTTTGAGATGGAGTCTCACTCTGTCGCCCAGGCTGGAGTGCAGTGGTATGATCTCAGCTCACTGCAGTCTCTGCTTCCTGGGTTCAAGATATTCTCCTGCCTCAGCCTCCTGAGTAGCTGGGATTATAGGCACACACCACTACGCCCAGCTAATTTTTGTATTTTTAGTAGAGACAGGGTTTTACTATGTTGGCCAGGCTGATCTTGAACTCCTGACCTCAAGTGATCCACCCGCCTCGGCCTCCCAAAGTGCTGGGATTACAGGCGTGAGCCACTGTGCCCAGCCTCTCTTGCTATTTTTGATTTGCCCTAAACTCCATCACCCTTCTTAAATGCATGGTACACTTTTTACAGCATAAATATTTGGTGATAGCCCTGAGGCTAAAGTGCAAGATCACAGCACGCATCGGGGCCCATTTGGTGCAGGCTCCCATCCCACGGCCCCCTGCCCATGCGCCATGCTGTAGCATGTGTAATTCCTATCAACTTTCTGAAAATAGCAGGCTCCAGGCCTCGTGTTGCATACTACCTGGAACACCTTCCCTCTTCCTTCTCAACTGGCTGCATCTGACTGATCACTAAAGATGCCATTCAGGTGCCTCCTCCAAGAAGCTAGCTGGGTCATATGCACCTCCACTGGTGGGACGGGGAGAGTGGACAGAACGCCTATGAGAACATGTGCCAGTCTGTATGTTTCTGGTGCTGATCTCCTTGACTAAACAGACTTTTATTATTACTGAGATAGGATCTTATTCTGTCACCCAGGCTGGAATGCAGTAGCACAGTCACGGCTCACTGCAGCCTCAACCCCTTGGACTTAAGAGATCCTCCCACCTAAGCCCCCCAAGTGGCTGGGATGACAGGCACATGCAACTATGCCGGGTAATTTTTAATTTTTTATTTTTAGGAGAGATAGGATCTCGCTATATTGCCGAGGGTCTCGAACTCCTGGGCTCAAGCAATCCTCCTGCCTCAGCCTCCCAAAGTGCTGGGATTACAGGTGTGAGCCACTGAGCCTGACCTGGACTTTTTTTTTTTTCTAATTTTAGATTCAGGGGGTACATGTACAGGTTTGTGACATGGATATTCTGTGCAATGGTGTAGCTCGGGCTTCTGTAAACGAACTTCTGTAAAGGTGGAACTGGATCCCTGACCTCTAGCAGTGCCACCCAACAGAAAGGTATTTAGAAAGTGGCTGGCTTGGCGGGGCATGGTGGTGTGTGCCTGCGGTCCCAGCTGCTCAGGAGGCTGAGGTAGGAGAATCTCTAGAGCTTGGGCAGACGAGGCTGCAGTGAGCCGTGATCAGCGCCACTGCACTCCAGCCAGGGCAACAGAGTGGGACCCCCATCTCAAAAAAAAAAAAGGAAAAGAAAAAAGAAAAAAAAGTGGCTGGCTTTCTAATCATTCATCTTCAGACTTTCCAATCTGTACTCAATGCTTTTGGTTTTAGGTTTTTGTTTTTCTAATAACATATTTGATGAAGAAGTCCCATCTGATGCAGAGGAGACTTGCATGTGGAAAGGAGTTGTCACTATTTCTTAAATTGTGGCTTCACTGGCTTCATTACCTGCACCTTCTCTTCTCACAAATATATGTCATTTTTATTTACCATGACATTTGAGAATTTAGTAAAAGTTAGTGGAGCAAGTTAGTCCCCTTAGTTGCCTACAAGCAGCTCTAAACCCAGGTGTTTTTTTGTTTTGTTTGTTTGTTTGTTTGTGACGGAGTCTCTCTCTGTTGCCCAGGCTGGATTGCAGTGGCACAATCTCTGCTCACTGCAGCCTCTGCCTTTCAGGTTCAAGTGATTCTCCTGCCTCAGCCACCCAAGTAGCTGGGATTACAGGCGTGCGCCACCATGCCAGGCTAATTTTGCATTTTTAGTAGAGATGGGGTTTCACCATATTGGCCAGGCTGGTCTCGAACTCCTGACCTCTGTTGATCCACCTACCTCAGCTTCCCAAAGTACTGGGATTACAGGCATGAGCCACTGTGCCTGGCCACCCAGGTGTTTTTAATTTTATACACAGGCTGCTACAAGCAAACCAATGCTGGGAGATGGTCATGCAGCTCAGGTCAACTCAGGGTACCCTCAACCTAAAATGTGAGAGGAGAGCTGCAGAAGCAATGGACGAGAAGGGAGCAGGGGTTTTAATATCCCCCACACATCTTCCAGCTTCTACTCTGCTCACTAATTTCATTTTGGACAAAAGCTTGTTGATTCTTCTTACTCAGGCTAGTTACCTGCATTATACTGAACAGAATTCCTCCAGGGAACAGCCTCTTGGCTAAATCAACATACACCTGCCATTCACAGATGCAGGGTTTCTAGCAAGATTCTAGAGCAGGGTCCCCAACCCCTGGGCCATGGATCAGTACTGGTTTGTGGCCTGTTTGGAACCTGCACAGCAGGAGGTGAGCGGCAGGTGAACGAGTGAAACTTCATCTGTATTTGCAGTTGCTCCCCATTGCTTGCATTTCCCCCTGAGTTCCGCCTCCTGTCGGATCAGCAGTAGCATTAGATTCCATAGGAGCATGAACCCTATTGTGAACTGCGCATTTGAGGGAGCTAGGTTGCATGCTCCTTATGAGAATCTAATGCCTGATGATCTGTCACTATCTCTCATCACCCTTAGATGGGACTATCTAGTTGCAGGAAAACAAGCTCAGGGCTTCCACTGATTCTACATTATGGTGAGTTGTATAATTATTTCTTATATATTACAATGTAATAATAATAAATTGCACAATAAATGTAATGCACTTGAATCATCCTGAAACCATCCCCCTCAACCCCTGGTTCATGGAAAAATTGTCTTCCACAAAACTGGTCCCCAGTGCCAAAAAGGCTGGGGATTGCTGTTCTAGAGCCTTTGTCTTTCAGATAAGGTAGACCCTGGCTTCACTTCTAAAAGGAAGATAAATGACTTTCTAGTGATATTTGCCCATTTTAGACAAATGTTTCTGCACCTTAGACTGAGGGCAGGTAGGCAGGATCATTGCTGGGGTGGCTTCCTGCTTGAACATTGTAGTTTCTTTGAGTTGAAGGTAGAACATTAAGATGTGATCACTGAAGGAGGAGCATCAAGCACAAATGAGCTCCTGATGTAGTTTACACAGCACTTGGGTGGAAAGGGCCATCCCTTTCCCTCTTTCCTTATGGAATTGGGAATCCGACAGTAAGTGGCCAATGAAAATGTATCCTCGCTGGTCACAGTGGCTCGTGCCTGTAATCCTAGCACTTTGGGAGGCTGAGGATGGAGGATCGCTTGAACCCAGGGGTTGAGAGAAGCCTAGGCAATATAGTGAGACCTGTTTCTATAAAAAAATAAAAATTAGCTGAGCATAGTGCTGCACAGCTATAGTCCCAGCTACTTAGGAGGCTGAGGCAGGAGGATTACGTGGGCTCCATTGCATGGAGTCCAGGAGTTTGAAGCTGCAGAGAGCTATGATTGTGCCACTGCACTCCAGCCTGGGCAAGAGTGAGACCCTGTCATTCTGACCCAGGTGTTATTCCGAGCAGCACTGACAGCATTCAGGGCTAGGTCATGCTTGGTTCTCTTGGCAGAATTTTTTCTTTGGTTTGGGGATATCGCCTGTACATGACAAGACAAAGGGGCAGGAGGAATGGAAGCCTTCCAGCATCGTTCACATTGCATGCTTGGAAACACTACTTGGGGGTGGAAAGTGAATGCATCTTTGTGGCATCTGAGTTCCCAGCAAAGGGTGTCTGCTGAGCTGAAGGCAAAAAGGGAAGGGGGAGAATTTTATAGAATAGGACATCTGGGGCACTCACATGGAGGGAGATTTAATACTATTTAGTCCCTGGCATTATTTCTCTTTCCTTAAGTTTACACTTTTTAAATTTGAAATTGAGAAATGATCACATTTAAATAGCAATGATTAAACATGTAGTTGATCCAGTTACTTTGTCATCCTTTATTTAGAAATGTCCGTAAGTAAGTGATCTCTAGTCTAGGAGGCAGATGGGTTCTGATGACCTGGGAAGAACTCTGTTGTTACCAAGGCTAAATCTCCACAGGTGTTTCCAAGACCCAAGGGTCACAGCTGTGTGCCAGTAGGAAAAGAGGGGTGGAAAATCGACTCCAAACGGCCAAATGGGCGTTACATCCTAGGCAAATGCCAACCTAAATGTAGCCCTTTGTGTGGTCAAGGCTGTTGTCAAAAGCAGAAAAAGCTAGCTCTAATTTCTCCAAACCAATGTCCAGCTCAGTGTTCCAACTGCCAGCTGCTCCGGCCCCTTAAGGTGATAACTCAGGGCCCAGAGTGACCTCTCTTGCTCCATTGGAGCCAGCCAAACCCTTGTGGATTTTTTTGTACTTACCTTTGACAAGAGGAAATCTCTGCAAACCTCTGTGTGCAGTTCCAGAAACATGTTTTACTTTATCATCATGCTCAAAGACTGCTTTGTAAGCTCTCTGCATTGGGGGTAAGCTGGTTAGCATTTACCTAGTATTTGTGTTTATTAAGTTAGTCTTTGCTCTCAAAGAGTTTATATTGTGCGTGTGCGCACACACACACACACACTCTTTTTTTTCCACTTAAAAACAGAAGAATGAATGAGTGTGTATGTGTTTAGGTGACACTGAGAGGTAATGTTACCAAAACACCAGTGGTTCGGTCTTGATCCTGCTGCTGTTCACCACACAGAAAGCCAATCACTGAGATAATCAGTACTGCCAGGGAAGAAGGCTTTATTCAGGTGCTGCAGGTGAGGAGATGGGAGATCAGTCTCAAATCCATCTCTCTGACTGACTAAAATTAGGGGTTTATATAGCAGGGAAGAAATGTAACCATGCATGGGAAACAGGAATTAGAGAGAGGTAAGGATGAGGAATTGGTCAACAGGAAGCAGGGGGTCAGTAGTTATCATGATGGGTGAGGGGTCTGGTGTTTTATTGCCCAGATGCAGTAATCTGGTAAGTTTCAGCTCTGTGATACTATCTCAGAGGACTGATGGTTGGTTTCCTGAGAAAGGAGCTCAGATAAGACAAATGTAACTTTCTTATGTTTCAAGACTGGGAAGGGTCAATTTCTATGTTTATTCAAAAGAAACCATAAACATCAGTTCTATGGGCAATTGGACTGATCAGTCATGTAGCAATAAGATACCCATGAATACATCTTTACTATCATGAACAAGTCTTTGTGTAACACTTGGGCGAAGACTGGAGGAAACGGTATGGTTTTTCTATTGGGAGGGTGGATAAGGGGGAAAAAATCATTAGTTTTATTCTTAGAACAGATGAGGGTGAAGATGTAACACGGTTTGATGGACAGGAAATGGAAACTTGCTACAGTGGGACTGGTGGAAGAGCAGAGGTGTGCTTTGTGAGGTTCTGGGGGTCTGTGTGGGTGGGAGTAACATCCTAGCCTGGAGAGGGCTGGTTTCTTCTTGTTCTTTTTGTTTTGTTTTGTTTTAGAGACAATTGCAGTGCAGTGGCACAATTGTAGCTCACTGTAACCTTTAATTCCTGGGCTCAAATGATCCTCCAGCCTCAGTCTCCTGAGAAGCTAGGACCACAGGCATGCACCACCATGTCCAGCTAATTGGTTAACTTTTTCTTTGCAGAAATGGGGTCTTACTGTGTTGCCTAAGCTGATCTCAAACTCCTAACCTCAAGTGATCCTCCCACCTTGGCCCTGCAAAATTCTGGGATTACAAACATGAGCCATTGTGCCCAGCTGAGGGCTGGTTTCTAGAAATGGTGGTATGCCAGGCTTCATACTGGGGTCATGCATGTGGACTGGGCTCATTGGCCTGATTGCTCTAGCAATATGTGGGGTAGGAAGAATCATGCCCCCTCTCTCCTCCTCTTCGAAAAATGTCCACATCCCAATCCCTGGAAGCTGTGAATATGTTCAGTTATATGGCAGTTGGGAATTAAGGTTGCGAGTCAGCTGTCCTTGAGATGGGGAGATTATCCTGGACTATCCAGGTGGGACTTTTGTAATCGCAAAGGTCCTCGGAAGTGAAGAAGGAAGTCAGGAGAGTCAGTGTCAGAGTGATGCCGTGGGACACAGTCTTCAGGGCTGTTGCTGCCTTGAAGATGCAGGAAGGGGCCGTGAGCCAAGGAATGCAGGTGGCCTCTAGAAGCTGGAAAAGGCAAGAAAATGGATTCTCCTTGAGAGCCTCCAGCAGAAATGAGGCCCTGCCAACACCTTGACTTGTAGCCCAGTGAGACCCAAACATCTAACATCTAAAACTATAAATAAGAATTTGTGTTGTTTTAAGTCACCACGTACATAGTCATTTGTTACAGCAAGCTATAGCAAACAATCCAAATGGAGACCTGTCTCTGGTTTGGAAATGCGAGACATTCTTATTTATTTGTGGAATATAATATAATGGAAAATTTATGGAATATAAGTAACTCCAAGAAGATTCTTGTCAACATTAATTCTGAGATTTTTCTAAGCTAATTTATTTTACTACAGTAAGGCCAGGAACTTTATTGCTTTGCTGTTGTCTCCTCACTGCCTCGATCAGTGCCTAATTCATTCCTTTTTGAATGAATGAATCTTTTCTAACCAAACTCATGAAAAACCCTAAGAAACACCCCCCACTTTTTTTGAGACAGAATCTCATTTTGTCACCCAGGCTGGAGTGCAGTGGATCACAGCTCACTGCAGCCTCAACCTCCCAAGTTCAAGTGATCCTCCCCACTTGGCTTCCCAAGTAGCTGGGACCACAGGTGCACACCACCACGTCTGGCTAATTTTTTAATTTTTTTTTTGTAGAAATCAGGTCTTGCTATGTTGCCTAGACTGGTCTCAAACTCCTGGGCTCAAGTGAACCTCCCGCCTTGGCCTTCCAAAATGCTCTCATTACAGGTGTGATCCACTGTGCTTGGCCCCACCTTTTCAAAAAAAAATTTATGCTAAATTGTAAATGTTAAATTGAGGCTCTTGTTATAGACAAGGCATATCATACTTCGCATTATCATTCAAAGATGAGAGGCTTAATTAGAGAATTTTCTACAGTTGGGTTTTAACAAGAGCCATTCTTAACTTCCTTGGGGTCTAAGAACTTCTTGGTACCTACACATGGTTGAAATGTTAACCCTGTACTTTGCTGCTTAGCAAGACTGCTGTAATGCTGATATGGTTTGGCTCTGTGCCCCCACCCAAATCTCATCTCGAAATTGTAATCCCCACACATCGAGGGAGGGACCTGATGGGAGATGATTGGATCATGGAGGCGGTTTCCCCCATGCTGTTCTCGTGATAGTGAGTTCTCGCGATAGTGAGTTCTCGCAAGATCTGATGGTTTAAAAGTGTTTGGCAGTTCCCCCCTAGCTCTCTCTCTCTCTCTCTCTCTCTCCCCCCTAATGCCATGTAAGACGTGCCTTGCTTCCCCTTTGCCTTCCGCCATGATTTTAAGTTTCCTGGGGCCTCCCACACTATGCAGAACTGTGAGTCAATTAACCCTCTTTTCTGTATAAATTACTCAGTCTCAGGTAGTTCTTTATAGCAATGTAAAAATGGACTAATACAAATACATAGCAAGTTAGGACCTTAAGTCAGTGATTAAAAAAAAAAAGTATTCATTATTTGTGAAACTCAGCTTGGAATATCTGATATTATTTACTAACATATAATTAATAATCATTGCATGGCATCTTTTAGAATAAGAATATTTCTAGTGTAGATTTATTTCTTTACTCATTCTCTAAAGAAATCTTTGCTAAGGCAGGTCACAGTAGCTCACGCCTGTAATCCCCGCACTTTGAGAGGCCAAGGTGGGTGAATCACCTGAGGTCAGGAATTCAAGACAAGCCTGGCCAACATGGTGAAACCCCATCTCTACTGAAAATACAAAAATTAGCTGGGTGTGGCGGTGGGTGCCTGTAATCCCAGCTACTCGGGAGGCTGAGGCAGGAGAATTGCTTTAACCTGGGAGGCTGCAGTTGCAATGAGCCAATATCACACCACTGCACTCCAGCCTGGGCAACAGAGTGAGACTCTGTCTCAAAACAACAACAACAACAAAACAAAACAAAAACTTTGCTAAGATCCTGCTGTGTGCCAGGCACTGGAGAAACAAAGATAAATAAACAAGATATGGAATTTTTTCCAGAGGAAGCCACATTCTAGATGCAAAGAAAGATAAGTGAGTAGCTCAAGAGAACATGGAATAGCAGTGCTAAAATAATTTAGGGTGCCAAGAGGAAGGAACTTCCCACTCTGCAGGAAGAGTGCAGCAGAGAGGAGGAGATATTTGAACCTAGTACTGAAGCACAAGGAGGAGCATAGCAAATGAAAGAAATAAACATTATTAATTGCCTACTGAATACCAGGCACCATGCTGGGCACTTATGTGCGTAATTTTATTATTTAATTTTTACCCTAAGGAAAATTGGATTTAGTTAAGTAACTTTGCAAAGCCACCCAGAGTGGCATTTCTATTTTTTTCTTTTTTCTTTTTTTAGAGACAGGATCTTGCTCTGTCGCCCAGGCTGAAGCACAGCGGTGTGATCACGGCTCACTGCAGCCTCAACCTCCTATGCTTAGGTGATCCAGGATGGCATTTCTGGTTATTGTCTTAGAAATCATTGGTTTTAACACTCTAGAGGAGAGACTGGCAGACTTTTCTGTAAAGGGCCATATTATAAATGTTTCAGGTTTTGTGGACCATACAGTCTTTGCTCTAATTATTCAACATTGCCACTGGAACATGAAAACAGCCATAGATAATACAGAAATGAATAAGCATGGCTGTGTTCGAATAAAATTTTATTGGCAAAAATTGGCAGTGATGTGGCCCACAGGTTACAGTTTGCTGACCCCTGGTCTAGAAGAGCAATTACAGGTACCATTTTGTTTGGAGATATTTCTGGAGAGGGAGCCTATAGGTTTCATTAGCTTCTTAAGTGGGTCAGCGACTACTGGGATTTCTGGTCAGTGACAGTTTCAGAATGTATTATAGAACCTCACAGAGAAATGATAGCAGGCTGGATTAATAATAGAGATTCAGACTGACCCAATTTTCTAGCATTTTACATCATAAGGATTAATATTTTACAGACCTCTGAGAATCCAGATATAATACATCTTTAGGTCATTAGAGAGGAGTCCAAAGAGAAAACCACACTAGTTCAGTGTTGGCAGAGGATTTGACATTGTGTGGCCATGTGTATATTTTAACTTGGAGATTTAAAAAAATAGGAATAGAGATGATATGTCTGGAGCCATTGGAAAGAAATAAGGTAAATATCTGAATGGATGACCTAGGAGAAGCCTAGAGTATACAGCCTCAATCCTGCTGTCTTCTGGAAAGACGCAGAAACAGCTGGTTAGTGTAGCAAGGAAGGGGATATGTGATCGGAAGTCCCAGCTTCAGTTTGGAAAAGCAGAATGCATCCTTGACATCTTAAAACAATAAGCCAGAAAAATCTGTCTTGAATAGTTGATACTGTGGGAAAAGTCACTAAGTTCAGAGATTCGAGTAAGGAATACTTTAGAGCAACACAGCGAATTTTCTTTTAAGAACGGATCTTTCCAAAGCATATCCTAAGAGATGTAGTGTGGTGGGAAAACACCTGGGAAAACCAATAAAGGACTTCCAAAATGTTATTGAAAGGAAACATTGGGAAGCTGTTGAAGGCATCTATCCCGGGGCTACGTGACTAAGAGGAGATTTTTCTCTTGGCTGATAATGGAAGGGTGGATAAGTAAGGTTACTTTGGGGAGCTAATTTCTTTTGAGTAAAACTTCTCAAAAATGAAAAGCAGATGAAGTTTTAAAGGTGGGTTCAAGGTTTGGACGGTTCCAGCTGGATTGAAACATTTTCTCTCCAACAGAGGAAATAGATGAAAAGTGAAGTCGGTGCCTGCAGTCTCTGGGGTCTCTGCGCCTGGTGTTCCAAGGAGGATTTTGATCTGGTCCCTCATCAGACTCTGTTGTTGCTCTTAGGGTTGGATGGGAGGAAAGAGGAGGAAAAGATGGAAAATAGAGGAGTTGTTGGACTCCTGGAAGAAGCACATGTTAGCCAGCCACAGTTACTCCAATCAAAACAATTTAAACTTTCCCTTCCATTTTGAATCCTGGGCACGATTCCTGTCTTGGCTGAAACAGATGTGATTTTGGGACATGTACAAAATCTTATAATATGGAGGCTGAGCCTTGCTGGCTTTCCTGCCACTGCACTTCACTCTAACTTGCAGGGATCAATTCCATACCGTTTTACATTCTCTTGTTGTTTCTGGCCTCTTTCTAGATGAAATGCAGCTTCATAAAAACTCAGAGTTTCCTGAACCTATAAATCTTAGAGCAGCTGAAGAAAATAATCTATAAAGCCGATAAATGCTTTGATATGGATTATGTCAAACAAACGATGTTTACACAAAAGACTTTAACATGTAGACCAATTAAAGATTCTTGTAATTTGACTTCTCTTTCCCATCAGACTAAGCCTTTGTATCACAGAAATGTGACAGAAAATACCCACACTCTGCAACCTGGCTGACATACTTTTGTTTTAGCAAGGGTTAAATAAAGGGGCTCTTCAAAGCATTGTTGATCTATTTTATAAAGCTTTGAAGCTTTTATTAGCTTTGCTGGAAATCTTTGTTTCCTGGAAAGTTCTCTAATGGAATATATCGCTTCTCACAGAAATCCATTTCTTAGGTGTATATAGTCAGTGGCCTAGTTGGTGGAGATGCTATTACAAGATTAAATTAATATCTAAACTGGTCCTGAGTCAACTATTTCCATTCTAAAATGTTTAAAGTCTTAAGGTTTAAAACTATTGGGGTCAAATTAACCTTTTCTTTATCTTTTTTTTTTTTGAGATGGAGTCTCACCCTGTCTCCCAGGCTGGAGTGCAGTGGTGCAATCATGGCTCACTGCAACCTTGACCTTTTGGGCTCAAGTGATCCTCCCTGCTCAGCCTCCCAGGTGGCTGGGACTACAGGTGCACACCACCATGCCCAGCTAATTTTTAAATTTTTTTGTAGAGATAAGGTCTCCCTGAGTTGCCTAGGCTGGTCTTGAACTCTTGGACTAAAGTGATCCTCTCATCTCAGCCTCCCAAACTGCTGAGATTATAGGCGTTGCCACCACAGCCGGCAACTTTCCTTTATCTTAAATCATGTCACTAACTCCCAGACAGCAATATCAATACATTTTCCAGCAATTCAGGTGGCTGCTAACCTGCTTCGTCCCAACATCTCGATCTCCATCTCCATCAACGGCACCTTCGTTCACTCAGCGGCCCAGTCTGGCCACTTCTCAGTGCCTCCACTGTGACCTCCCAGCCCAGGGCCATCATCTCTGTCAGGATGGCTGTGGGGGCCTCCTATAGAGCTCCATGCTTCTTCTCATCCACCTCCCTGTCTACCCATTCCCCAAAGTCTGTTTTCCTCAGAGCAACTACAGTGAGTCTTTAAAACTAAATTGAGATCATGTCACTCTCTTGTTTTTATCCAACTGGGGCTTCTAGAAACTCTCAGAATAAACTCCAAAGTCCTGGCCCAGAGCCTGTGTGGCCAGCACTCAGCCATCACTGAACAGCACTTCCTGCTGGTTATCCGGGCTCTCTTCCTTTCACTCACTGCACGCCAGCCAAACTGGCCACTTTGCAAGTTTCGTGCACAGACCAGTCATACTCCCATCTCAAGAGATGGGAGTTGATGCTTGTTCTTTCCTCCAGCAAAACTCTCCCTGCAGATGTGCCCCAGCCTTCTTCCCCAATTCTTCTGGGGCTCTGCTCAAATGGTAGCTCCTCAGAGACACAGACCACTTTATCTAAAACAGAATCCCCCATCCTCTTAATCTACTTCCCCTTCCCTGCTCTTATCAGCTGACATTCAGTCTCTTAGGGATCAATACATGTATTTGTCCATTCATTTATTTATTTGTCAGTTACTCCCAAAAGAATGTGAGCTCCATAGAGACAGGGACATTGGTTTATCATTGTACCTATAGTGCCTAGAACAGTACTCAGCACACATGGGCAACCAGGAGTATTGACTCTAGAAAAAAACTGGAATCCTTCACATTGTTTTTGGTCTGGGTGTGTAGGCTGAATCATAGTGCAGTTATGTTTTTTCAATAGTACAGTAATTTGAAAAAATCTTTCTGCTCCACTAAAGGTTTGCCATTTGACGGTCAAGATTTATCTTAGATTTGGCTGGGCGCAGTGACTCACACCTGTAATCCCAACCCTCAGGGAGGCCAAGGTGGGTGGATCACCTGAGGTCAGGAGTTCAAGACCAGCCTGGCCAACATGGTGAAACTCCGTCTCTACTAAAAATACAAAAATTAGCCGGGTGTGGTAGCACGTGCCTGTAGTCCCAGCTACTTGGGAGGCTGAGACAGGAGAATTGCTTGAACCCAGAAGACAGTGGTTGCAGTGAGCTGAGATGGCGCCATTGCACTCCAGCCTGGGCAACAGAGTGAGACTTCATCTCAAAGAAAAAAAAATTATCTTAGATTTTACTTCTTGCCTGAAGATTTTAGCAGTAACCTTGGCTTACTTTCAACATAATTAAACATTTGGATTGCAGTAGCTGAGTATTTCAGTGAGTTAGTGGTTTTGTAGGCCTCATCTGTGTAGACAGACAGCTACTGGATCCTTTCTGCCTTCTTTCCTTGGTGATGAGCAGGTGCATACTTAGCATGAGGAGAAAAAGCCCCATATTCCTCTGTTTTTTCTTTTTTTGAGACAGGGTCTCACTCTGGTGCCCAGGCTACAGTACAGTGCTCCTCTATTTTTAATACAAGAGAGTTCCCATTATTATCTAAACACTCAGAGGTAGCTTTAAGAAATTTTATATGGCTAAGGGAGCTTTATTCTCTAAAAATAAGCTATTAATAGTCGTCCTGTAAATATAGGGTGAGAATAAATTGGACCTGGGAGTTAGTAAAGGAAGTTAGACACATGGTTTGTAGAACCTTGTAGAAGATGACAATAGCCCTATTCCATGAGATAATTTTATTGGCATCATTTCTCTGAGCTGCTTTTAGAAAGTCAGATTTATTGGTATATAACTCATATATAATAACGTTGCCTCTTTTTAGTGTACAGCTTATTTTTTTTTTTTTTGAGAGACAGGGTCTTGCTGTGTCACCCAAGCTACAGTACAGTGGCACAGGCATGGTTCCCTGCATCTTTAAAGTCCTGGGCTCAAGCAGTCCTCCTGCCTCAGCCTCCTGAGTAGCTAGGACAGTAGGCGCACACTGCACCACCACACCTGGCTTATTTTTATTCTTTGTAGAGACATGGTCTTGCTATGTTTCCCAGGCTTGTCTTGAACTCCTGATCTCAAATGATCCTTCCCTCTCAACCTCCCAAAGTGTTGAGATTACAGGTGTGAGCCACTACACCTGGCCCAGGTGTGTTTTGAGAAGACCATACCATTGTGTAGCCACCGACATAATCAAGATGTAAATATCCATCATCCTGAAAAAGTTCCTTGTTGCCCCGTGTCATCAGTTCCCACACTCAGCCCCCAAATTCTGGCAACGACTGCTGTTTTCTATCCCTACAGTTTTGCCTTTTCCAGAATGTTATGCAAATGGAGTCACACAGGATGTCTTTTGAGTCTGGCTTCTCTTAAGCTGATCCACATTGTTGTGTGTCAATAGCAGTTCCTTTTTGTTGCTGAGTTGTGTTCTATTGTATTGTTGTAGAGTTTGCTTATTCACTCACCAAAGGACTTTGAGATTGTTTCCATATTTTAGTGATTATGAATAAAACACCAGTTCCATTTATGAGCAGATTTTTATGGAAACATAAGTTTTCACTTTTTCTTGAGTAAATACATAGGGTGTGGAGTTGCTGGTTCATAAGGTAAGTTTAACTTGATGAAAAAAAGAAGAAACACCTGCTAGGCTGTTTCCCAAAGTACCTGTGCCACTTTTTTGCATTCCAACCAGCAAAATGTGAGCGCTCCTACCTCCTTCAGAGCCTTCAAGCACTAACACCCTGTATTAGTCTTTTCTCATGCTGCTAATAAAGACATACCCAAAACTGGGTAATTTATAAAGGAAAGAAGTTTAATGGACTCTATGGGAGCTACAATTCAAGATGAGGTTTGGGTGGAGACACAGCCAAACCATATTATGCCCAGTGTGATTTTCCTCCTTGAAGAGAAACCTCGGAATATGACTTTCCCTTTTCTTCCCCTCAATTTTGTGTTCCAATCCCTTCTACTTAGAACTTTAAATTACTTTTATTTAGAAGTCCTTCTAGCTTCACTATTGCCGGAGTTTCTTTTTTCCTTCTCTGCACATAACACAGTGTGTTGTACTCAGGAGATGCTAAGTGCACATCTGTTTCTCTTGGGTGTAGTAAACTAAGTAAAACTGAGCTCAAGGGTAATACCCACCCTTAGTGAGACCTTGGCGTAAGTGTACCAGGCTCACGGGTCGTCTGTACGAGGCAGTGGACTCCTATCCCAAGATCTAGGGAGAGATCCCTATCACGTCTTTCCAGGCAAAAAGGTATCCTTAGGTGTGGGATATAAAACTATGTTGGGACTTTTGCAGTGACAAAGATCCTTTTTGCCCCAGGCAGAGAAGTCAGATGCAAATCTCTATGGTTATTAAAAGGCATATAGATTTATCTTGGAGATACTACTTAGGATGTCGTGAAATCTTGTGAAAACCTTTTTACCTCTCTCAAAGCTGTTGTATTATTTTTTTAAAGAGTGGAACATCAGAGCATAATGGTTAGGAGTAGGCCAGGTACACGGTGGCTCACGCTTGTAATCCTAGCACTTTGAAAGGCTGAGGCAGGAGGATCACTTGAGGCCAGGAGTTTGAGACCAGCCTGGGCCACATAGTGAAACCCTGTCTTTATAAAAAATAAAAAAATTAGCCAGGCATGATGGCATGTGCCTACAGGGCTAGCTACTGTTGAGACGCTAAGGAGGGAGGATCCCTTGGTAACATGCATCCAGAAGGCATCACTTAAACCTTGAGAAAGGAGGTGAAAGTCATCCAGGATCAATCAGGACCCATCCCCTTTTTTCCCCCGTTATGGGGGTTGATAGGCAGAGAGTATGAAGAGTGAACTGGAGCCCTTAGTGTATGTTTGTCTTACCAAACATAGTTTGCATAGCAGTAGGGTTTTTTGTTTGTTTGTTTGTTTGTTTGTTTGTTTTTGAGATGGAGTCTCACTCTGTTGTCCAGGCTGGAGTGCAGTGGCGCAATCTTGGCTCACTGCAAGCTCCGCCCCCTGGGTTCACACCATTGTCCTGCCTCAGCCTCCTGAGTAGCTGGGACTACAGGCGTCCGCCACCATGCCTGGCTAATTTTTGTATTTTTAGTAGAGATGGGGTTTCATTTTGTTAGCCAGGATGGTCTCGATCTCCTGA
This sequence comes from Homo sapiens, assembly GCF_000001405.40. NCBI lineage: Eukaryota > Metazoa > Chordata > Mammalia > Primates > Hominidae > Homo > Homo sapiens. The sequence goes on along the minus strand of NC_000010.11, from coordinate 29,665,581 downwards.
CCTCGTGATCCACCAGCCTCGGCCTCCCAAAGTGCTGGGATTACAGACGTGAGCCACTGTGCCTGGCCAGCAGTAGGTTTTTAAGTCTGGTATTAGTTGTCCACCTAGACAAAAAAGAGCAAGGCCTAGCATAATAATTTATTTTCATGAAAATGTGCACCTATGAAGTCAGTAGAGAGCAACAGAAAATATTTGCCTTCGCCAGGTGCTGAATTGCATGGATTGCAACTGTATGGGATTCAGGAGTCCAGAGAGGGATCAACATATCTTGAGACACCACGATTGCTTTGACTCTACTGCAAGCTCCTGGGAAGACCATCGTTTGCCTCCTTTTTTTTTTTTTTTTTTTTTTTTGAGACAAGATCTTGCTCTGTCACCCAGGCTGGAGTGCAGTGGTGGCAATCACAGCTCACTGCAGCCTCGAACTCCTGAGCTCAAGTGATCCTCCCATCTCAGCCTCCTGAGTAGCTGGCACTACAGGCTTACTTAAAAAAATTTTGTAGAGATATACATAGGGTCTCACTATGTTGCTCCAGCTGGTCTTGAACTCCTGGCCTCAAGCAATTCTCCCACCTCAACCTTCTAAAGTGCTGGGATTACAGGCATAAGCCCTTGCCTCTTTCTTAGTTCTCTTTTTATTGAGGTGCCTACATGAATAGTGTCTCCTGGACCTTTCTGTAAAAATACACTTATATGATTGTATGATTTGCAAACTTCTTCAGGTTTGAGGACAGTTGGAGGAAATCATGGTGTTCTTTGAGGCACACTGAAATGTTGAAATGTTGCATTCTGTTTTTCTGTTTTACGACTTAGCTCATTATATGCTTTATCATCATATATACAAATGTATGCATCCATATATGTATGTGTGCATGTGTGTGTGTGTGTGTATATATATATATATAAAATTACGAAATATAAAATTGACTCTTCTCTAATGGGTAGATGGTTTTGTTGATTTGACATTTTATTTATTTACTTTTTACAAATGTTCAAATAACAACAGTTATTATTATTGTTATTCCTGTGGCTAAACCAACCCTGGATGGCTGAGAATTAATTAGCTGTAATTGTTATTTATAATCAAGATCAGGCATTTGGCATGAATTAAGGAGACAGGGAGAGGTCGCTGAGCTTGAATCCAGGCAGCCAGAGGTCTCCTGCTATAGACAATATTACATCATATTCACACATGCATGTATCTGTCACACACCAACCTGAGTTTTTCTTCAATGTTTGCTACTTATTTATTCATTTTGTGTTTGCTATTAAGCAAGTGGTAGGAGCCATCAAAAAAAACATACATTTAAAAAAAATTATGAATATACATTTTGAAAAAGTGTATGAGAGATTCTTAAAGTTGAGAATTCTGCCCATTAACTCAATTTTTCCACTTGTGATTTTGGTTAATACCATATCCTTGAATCAGAACATCTCCCAGGGTTTTGCAGGAGTGTACTAAAAAATGTATGAGGACCTGATGTGTCCTTTTAAGAACCTGTGCTGTCATGGGATACACGGGAAGGTCATCCAATGGCAGCATAAAGACCATCAAATGGGGAACGTGTCCCGTAGGAAGATATCCCCAAGGACAGAGGGGTAGTGGAGTTTCTGGATCTCACCAGGGAGGATTGTGGTTCTTATTTTAGCTCCCTCTCCTTGATGTGCCCTTGGCGTCAGTTGCTATTTTGACTGTGAGCATCTTCTTGCAGTTGCCGATGTGCTGATTGCCAGCAGCACTCACCGGGAGAACCAGCGGCTGCTCTGCCCACTGCCTCCCTGTCAGTCTTTCCGCATCTCTTTGTTGAGCATGGGGCTCATGCCCATGAAACACTGAAAACATACAGTGCAGGAGAAGAGTCCCGCTGATAAAAAATGAGTCTGATTTTAGAGGGAAAAGTCCATATGGAATATAGGCGTCTCTCAACCAGGGCATGGTGGCTCACGCCTGTAATCCCAGCACTTTGGGAGGCCAAGCAGGGCAGATCACTTGAGGTCAGGAGTTCAAGACCAGCCTGGCCAACATGGTGAAACCCCGTCTCTACTAAAATACAAAAATTAGCTGGGCATTGTGGTGCACACCTGTAATTCCATGGACCTGGGAGGCGGAGGTTGCAGTGAGCTGAGATTGTGCCACTGCACTCCAGCCTGGGCAACAGAGGGAGACTGTGTCTCAAAAGAAAAAAACAAAAAAAAGAAATATAAGTATCTGTTGATTGAGAGGTAAAGTACAGAAAAGTTGTCACCATCAAATCTAATATGTTCTTCATAGTGGAAACTACCGATGTTTACTTACTGAAAAATCCAGTATTTGGAACAATATTCACCATTCTATAGATACTGTCTTACTGTGTAAAAATATTACAAGTCTAGGATCACAAAGTCTTCTATAGTTTTCTTGACAAATAAAATGGGCCATTGGTTAGTGCTCTTAAAATGGTCTATTCTTTTATTATTACTATTATTTAAGAGACAGAGTCTTATTCTGTTGCCCAGGCTGGAGTGCAGTGGTGTGATCATAGCTCACTGCAGCCTCAAATCCCTGGCCTCAAGCAATCCTCCAGCCTCAGCCTTCCAAGTAGCTAGGGCTACAGGTGCATGCCACCACACCCAGTTAATTTTCTTTACTTTTTTGTAGAGATGGGGTCTTGCTTTGCTGCCCAGGTGGGTCTCAAACTTCTGGCCTCAAGTGATCCTCCCGCCTTGGGCTCCCAGAGTGCTGGGATTACAGGCATGAGCCACTGCACCTGGCCTATTATTTGTCCTTCGTCCAAGTGTTCCGTGTGTGTGTGTGTGTGTGTGTACGCGCGCACATACATCCCTGCTGCCCTGTCTTCTAATGCCAGCTTCCCACTTTAATTGTTGCTCATTGCTTCTAACTTGCCTCACACATGTGACAGTCCAGTCACTTACTAGTGGCTTTCCCATCCATGTGTTTGCTTCTGGAATTATTGCTGTCAGAATGGCAAGCCTTGGGCACTAATGTGGTAGGCAGCTATCTGAGGGGTGATGGATGCCTGGAACTACTCCAGACACAGTGATGTCTGCAGGTCACTGTGCAGTTCCAATCAATGGGGACCTTCTCTAATGGGGAGATGGTCTTGTTGATTTGGCATTTTATTTATTTACTTTTTACAAATGTTCAAATAACAATAATGATTATTATGCTTATTGGTATTATTATTCCTGTGGCTAATCCAACCCTTGATGGTTGAGAATTAGCCATATTGTTATTTATAATCAGCATCAGGTGTTTGGCATGAATTCAGGAGACAGGGAGGTCTCTGAGGATGGATGAAGGCAGTCAGAGAAGCTCTCCTGGAAACTGGGGGCATCCAGGCTGAATCCTGAAAGATTTGTATGAGACCGGGGAGGAAGTGCCTAAGGCTCTGTGAAAATGTCTGGAAGAACCAGGTTTCCTTGCTAAAGGCATCTAGGGAAAAAGGTTGGAGAAAGAAGCCAGAATAAAAGTTGGGTCTCATGGCAGCATCATCCCTGAGGTCTGCAGTGGGGGTTGTTGGCTGCTTGGTGAAGAGGGATAAGTTGCTGCTCAATGCCCCAGAACTAGAGGCACTTGCTACTCTAGTAGTTTGGTAGTATGTGAATAAAACTCACTGGGGCCGGGCATGGTGGCTCACTCCTGTAACCTCAGCCCTTTGGGAGGCCAAAGACGGAAGGATCACTTTAAGCCAGGAGTTTAAGACCAGCCTGAGCAACATAATGAGACTCCATCTCAAAAAAAAAGAAAGAAAGTTTATTTGATTTTCAGTTCTAGAATTTGGAAAATGAAAATAAAAACTCACCAGAAACATCCATTCACTGTGAGCACCTCCATGGGCACCATCTGTCAAAGCACAGGCTTGAAACATTAACCTAAAAGGATGCCTTTGTCTGGCATATCTCTCTTCCAGATGCAATTGGTCTAGATTTAGTCCCAGAGTCTAGTCAGAGTTTTTGCACAGGGGGTTGGTAACCTGGTGAAAGTCAGTAACAGTTTGTTTTGTCCGGAAAGAAATGCCTTGGAAAGGTCAAGAGAGCCCCGGAGAGAAGAGACAAGCCCTCCTGGTCTGGCTCCAGCTTAGCTAGCATCTCCTCCTGCTGCATTAATCATGCTCATTCTCCTTTCTCCGGTGCCCTGTTTTCCTCTGGAATTCTTTTCTGCTTTTATTCCGGTTTGACTCGTTTCTCGAACTTCAACCTGTCCCTAAATTTGGACCTTTTCCTGTTTGTATTCTTGCTTTTTTATTTTTCCTAAATGATCCTGACTGCATGAAAGCTGGTTGATGGTGGGGTTTTCCTGTCAATATATTCTGAAGTTTTACTCTCTAGTGACTGAGGTTTTCCCTTTGTCTTTAAGCAAACCAGATTTCTAGGACTCAAGTGTTTCAGGCACAGGCTTTTTTTTTTTTTTCTTGTGAGACGGTGTCTTGCTCTGTCGCCAAGCTAGAGTGCAGTGGCGCAATCTCGGCTCACTGCAACCTCCGACTCCCTGGTTCAAGCGATTCTCCTGCCTCAGCCTTCCGAATAGCTGGGACTACAGGCATGTGCCACCACACCTGGCTAATTTTTGTATTTTTAGTAGAGACGGGGTTTCACCATGTTGGCCAGGATGGTCTTGATCTCTTGACCTCATGATCCTCCCATCTCAGCCTCGCAGAGTGCTGGGATTACAGGCGTGAGGCACCACACCCGGCCCAGGCACAGGCTTTTTAAACTCCTTCTTTGTCCCTGAGCTCATGATTTCACTGCAGATTTTCTTCTATCTGGACTCACAGTTGTAGAGCCCCAAGGCGATTGCTGTGCACACTATGAGTTTGAGAGCCCATGCTCCAGAGGTCAGGAGGGGAATGAGCCAGGGGAAGACGTGAGCGTCTGGGCAGAGATTAGCACTCTCTTTAAGAAGAGGGAGGGATGAGAATGTTTCTATTCTGCCCTTTCTTCTTGGCTTCTTGTGATTCTCTTGGCCCGTTCCCCCCACCAGAATTTTGCTCTGTGGCCTAGGCTGGAGTGCAGTGGTGAGACCATGGCTCACTGCAGCCTCCACCTCCCAGGCTCAAGCGATCCTCCCACCTCAGCCTCCCTAGTAGCTGGGAGGTGTGCAACACCATGCCTGGCTAATTTTTTATATTTTTTGTAAACACAGGGTCTTGCTATGTTGCCCAGGCTGGTCTCAAATTCCTGGGCTCAATTGATCCTCTCACTTTGGCCTCCTAAAGTGCTGGAACAATAGGTATGAGCCACCCCACCCTGCCTTTTTAATTTTTTTTTTGAGTCAAGCAAGGTGTTGCTTTGTTGCCCGAGCTGGAGCGCAGTGGTACAATCGTAGCTCACTGTAACCTGCAACTCCTGGGCCCAAACAATCTTTCTTCCTCAGCCTGTTGGGTAGCTGGGACCATAGGCAGGCCCAGCTAATTTTTAATTTTTTTGTAGAGACAAGGTCTCACTGTATTGCCCAGCTTAGTCTTGAACTCCTGGCCTCAAGCCATCCTCCTGCCTCAGCCTCCCAAAGTGCTGGGATTACAGACATGAGCCACTGTGCCCAGCCCCTGTTTTCTTTTTGAGTAGTTTTCTTTTTCTTTCTTTTGTGGCTGGTTCAATAAGAGGGTCTCCTTTTCCTAAGCAGGCAAAGGATTTTTTAAACCAGTTTGGAGCCCTAAGGAGGAGTCCCAGGGGAAAAAGAGAGGCTTACATTGATCTAGCCCAGTTCTCAAGGCATCAAAGCTTTTTAGTAATAAAGAGATTTGTGGAGGAAAGGGAAAATGATTTTTTTTATTGTTGGAACAAAAAACGGTCTGCTTAAACCCAATAATTTGTCTGTGTTTACCGCAACCATCTCTGTGGCTTACAAGAATGAGTTCATGACTGTCTGAATTCCACCAGGCAGTGGTGACAATAATTTATTTTTTAACCTTGTGGGAACTTCACATGGGCTGACTCCCCTTTGACCCCGCACCCATCACAAGATGATTTTTTCCTAGAAGTTGCCTCTGGGGCTGGGCTTCTGGAGATGAACCCCATTCTCTCTATGCTGGATAAACCAGGCTTCTGACATCCTTCCTGTGGAATATTTATAAAAATGAGCGCCAAGGAATTCAGCTGTGGTTTCTTGCAATGCCTGGTGTGGTGCCAGCTGTTGCCCAGTTCAGAGCCCTCTGTGCTTGAGTGAATTCTTTTCTGACTTTTTCCGGCGGTAAGAATACAAGGAAGTGCTGAGTAGACAACAGAGAGGAGATGAGAAGATGGAACTCAATAGCCTAAGACAAAAGACTTCCCAAAGCCACGCTTGTTAACCACTAACCAGCTGATAAACGAGGGGCTTTCCTCTGTAGTCTGGGATTGCAGGGCTGGAGCCTTCTGTGTTGGGGACCTCTCCCAGGCTGAGTCATTAAGAACCACACAGAGTGTCAACCCTCGAGTCTAAAGAATGACTCTGTAACCTTGTGAGTCATCTTTCATACAAATTGCACCTCGTCAGGCAAACCACAAGGGGAAATGCATGTTTGCCTTAATTCTACTCTGGTACATTCTAGCATAGGTGGGGTTTCCCCTCACTCTTTGAGGAAAATAAATGCAGAGATTGTCTCTGCCTGGAATGCTTGACATAGACCAAGTCATAGCCAAATCACTCACCCTGATGCCTTCGGTGAGTTATTCCAGTCTCCTAACTCTCCACCCAGCATGTCTTTTTCTGTGGAATTGGGTCTTTGTTAGTTCCATCCAACTTCGTGATGAATTTCAACCCATTTCTTATTTTCTCAGTTGTCCCTTTGTGGCAAGGCTGCTGTTCCCAAGCCTCCATATTTGTTCTTTTGTTTTTAATTTTTTTAAAGACAGGGTCTTCCTTGTTGCCCAGGCTGAAGTACAGTGATCCAAACATGGCTCACTGCAGCCTTAACCTCCTGGACTCAAGTGATCCTCCTGCCTTGGCCTCCCATGTAGCTGGGAGCACAGGAGCACACCTCCACGCTCAGCTAATTTGTTCAATTTTTTGTATAGACAGGGTTTCACTTTGTTGCAGACTGGTCTTGAACTCCTGGCCTCAAGCAGTCCTCCCACTTCAACCTTCCAAAGTGCCAGGATTACAGGTGGGAGCCACCATGCCTGGCCATCCCTATATTTGGATCTGATTTTAAATTTGAATTTAGAAAGTACTCATATTTACCAAAAATGATTCTTGCTTATAGACCAAATAATACAATTTTAGTCCTCCCAGAAAAATAAGAGCTTTGGAGAACCATTGCATAGAAATGACTTTATTCACTGAGTTTACGATGAATGGGAAAAATGCATTCTTTTATTGAGCACTTTTTATAAGAGGTTTAAAAAGATACTTTAACCACTGCCTGTAATCTGTAGTTGCTGATGTTGATGAGTATTTGAAAGGGAAAAAGCTCTTTGGAGGCAGCAGATTAATCACAGCAGAGTATCCAGTTTCATTCGTACGTGTGGTTGTCTTGTATTGTTTGCTATTTTCTTTCTCAGATTTTTCAGTAGAGACTTTGTCCTTTTTCAGAGAGAGTTCAAGTGGATGGCCTTGAGGACTTGAAAAGCTGAGATATGATGATTTTGAAGTCATTTCACATCGAAGCCATGATTTAAATATCGGCGTTAAGGTAAGTATTGAGGAAAGAAATATGACACTTTTGTGGTTAACACATTATTGGCTTTGCTTGCACTGTTAGAAGAGATTAAAGCACATTGTGAAGGGTGATTTTGTTTGAATCATGTTCAACAAACCAGAGCTCGAAGAAGATTAAAGCGGCCTCTGTGATGCGGTGTGGAACCATAGACATACAGGAGAGCTGAGCCACTGTGATGGTTGGAAATGTCTTCATTTTTCCTCGATGGTCATGTGTCCCAGTGTGCCCTTTATGAACTTCAGGAAAGAACAGGAAAGCTTACAGCTGTGGTTTTCTTTCTGAGCTGAGCCGTGGCTATTAGGGAGCTTTCGGGGAGTGTGAATTAGATAGGACCTTTACATAGGAGCAGAGCCAGCCAAAGGAGTGAGAACAGGAGCACCCTTCTGGAAACTGTGCTATTTGACCTGCCTCTCTGGAGCAGGAGTTCTCAAAGTGTGTTCCCTGGAACACAGCTCCCTACACCACTAATACAGTGGGGACCTGGGTCAGAGGATGGGTCTATGCCTAAGTGCGTTTGGAAAGCATTGGATTAAAGTTAAATGACCTTCTTCAAAACTAATGAGCTTTGTGAATCTTGATGGGTGTGAGTAGTGGGCAGTGCTCACCAGAGTTCCATGGAACTATTTTCTTGTGAGGCATCTTAAGACCAGTGTTCCATTTGTTCATTAAATATTGATTGCGCACCAGCCATGGATGGTGTTAGATGCTAGGGATGCAGCAAAAACTGAGGTTGACAGTGCTCATGTTTAGATAATAAATACATTAACAATTAAGGAAAGGTAATCATTGAGAGACACAATAGCAAATGTTTAAGAGCCTGGTATCTGCAGCTCAGTGGCTTGGGTTTTAATCCTGGGTTTGACACTTAATAAACTGCATGATCTTGGAAAAGACATGTAACCTCTCTTTCAATTTCCTTATGTGTAAGATGCTTATAATAGTATTCACTTTGTAGATACTATTATTGCAAGGACTAAAATTATGAATATGTGCTGGCAAATACCAAACTTTATATTAATACAAGTGTCATCAGAATATGTACATATATTAATAGTAATTGTTACCAAAACACCAGGGGTTCAATCTGGGTCCTGCTGCTCACTGCACAGAAAGCCAATGCCTGAGACAACAAGTGTTGCCAAGGAAGAAGGCTTTAATTGGGTGCTGCAGCCGAGGAGATGGGAGCTCAGTCTCAAATCCATCTCTCTGACTGACCAAAACTGGCTATATAGCAGGGAAGAAATGTAATCATGTGTGGGAAAACAGGAACTCAGAAGGGGCTTGGAAGCAATCATGTTGAATCAGCGTCCACATTTTATTGTCTGGATGTGATCTGGTGAGTTTCATTTCTTTGATACTTTTTTTGAGAGGCCTGAAGGTCATTTCCTGAGGAAGGATCTCAGATAAAACAAATATAAGTTTCAAATGTTAAGACCAGAAAGTTCAATTTCTATGTTTATTTATTCTTTTTTTTAAAAAAAAAAGCTATATGGGACTGTTGGGTTGGTTTCATAATGGCTGAGTACTTTGAAGGTTCTGTGGTTGCATGAATGGAGAAGATAGAGTGATGGGTGGGGACTTTAAAATAGGATGATCCAGGAATGCCCTGAAGTAGAGACTTGTAAGAATGAGAAATAGCAAGTTATGCGGGTGGCATAGAAAAAGCTTCCAGATTGAAAAGCAAAGGCAAAGAGGATGTCTTGTGCAGAGAAAGCATTTGACAAAATCGAATGCCTCTTCATGTTTTTAAAAAAAAAAAAAACACTCACACTCGGCCAGGCACGGTGGCTCACACCTGTAATACCAGCACTTTGGGAGGCCGAGGCAGGCAGATCATGAGGTCAGGAGATCGAGATCATCCTGGCCAACATGGTGAAACCCCATCTCTACTAAAAATACAAAAATTAGCTGGGCGTGGTGCCACATACCTGTAGTCCCAGCTACTCGGGAGGCTGAGGCAGGAGAAGCACCTGAACAGAAGTCTAAGGTTGCAGTGAGCCAAGATCATGCCACTGCACTCCAGTGACAGAGCAAAACTCCAAAAGAAACAGAAAAAAAAAAAAAAAACCCACACATACACACTCAACAGACTAGGAATAGAAGGGAACTTCTTCAACCTGAAAAAGACATCTATGAAGAACCCACAGCTAACATGACACTGAATGGTGAAGGGCTGAAAGCTTTTCTCCTAAGCTCAGAGACAAGACAAGGATATCCATTCTCACCACTTCTGTTCAGTATTTGTGAACAGTAAATTTTAGGTGCTGTGATGGTTAATATTAGGTGTCAACTTGATTGGACTAAGGGAGGCTTAGATGCCTGGTAAAGTATTTTTTCTGGGTGTGTCTCTGAGGGGCTTGCCAGAGGAGATTGACATTTGAGTTGGTGGAGTGGGAGAGGAAGACCCACCCTTGCTGTGGGTGGGCACCATCCAGTCAGCTGCCCAGCATGGCAAGAGCGAAGCAGTAGAAGAAGGTGGGATAAGCAGCTTGCTGGGTCTTCTGGCTCTGTTTCCTCTTCCTGTGCTGGATGCTTCCTTCTACTCCTCCTGCCCTTGGACATCAAATTCCAGGTTCTTCGGCCTTTAGACTCTGGGACTTGCACCAGTGGCTTGCCGGGGGGTCTAGGGCCTTTGGCCACAGACTGAAGGCTGCACTATTGACTTCCCCAGTTTTGAGGCTTTAGGACTTGGACTGACCACTACCAGCTTCTCTCTTCCCCAGCTTGCAGACAGCCTATCATGGGACTTACCTTGTAATTGTGTGAGGCAGTTCTCCCTAATAAATTCCCTTTCACATGTATATGTATCCTGTTGGTTCTGCCCCTCTGGAGAACCCTAATACATTTGTCAACCTGGCTGGATTAAAAAACACCTAGATAGCTAATAACACATTATTTCTGCGTGTGTCTGTGAGGGTGTTTCTGGACGAGATTGGTGTATGAGTGGTAGACTAAGTGAGGAAGATCCACCCTCCATGTGGGTGATCACTGTCCAATTGACTCCGGGCCTGGATAGAAAAAAAGACAGGGGAAAGGTCTTTGCTGGAGCTGCAACACTTCTTCTACTGCCCTTGGACATCAGAGCTCCAGGTCCTCTGTCCTTTGGACTCTGGCATGTGCACCAGTGGCCCCAGGATTCTCAGATCTTGGGCCTTAGATTGATAGAGTGATGCCATTGGCTACCCTGATTCTGAGGCCTTTGGACTTAGATGGAGACAGGCTGCCAGTCTTCCTGGTTGTCCAACTTGAGGACAACCGGTTGTGGGACTTCTCAGCCCCCATTATCCTGTGAGCCAATTCCTCTAATACATTTCCTGCCTACTTCTATATATCTATCCTATTCATTCTGTCTCTCTGGAGAACCCTGACTAATACAGTATTGTGCTGGAGGTTCTAGCCAGAGCAGTTATACAAGAAAATGAAATAAGAGGCTTCCAGATTGGAAAAGAAAAGGTAAAACTATCTTTACTTGCAGATGGCGTGATCTTGTTTATAGAAAATTTTTAGGAACTCACCATACTATTAAAACTAATAAGTTCAGCAAGATTGCAGGACATAAGATTAATATACAAAATCAATTTTGTTATATATACTTGTAATGAATAATATGAAATAAAATAGAAACAATAATTTGTTTTCTAATAGCATGAAAAAGATAAAAAACTTAGGAATAAGTTTAACAAAAGAAGTGTAAAACATATACCTTAAAACTATAAAACATCATTGAAAGAAACTAAAGAAGACCTAAATAACTGGAAAAACATTCCATGTGCATGGATCAGAAAACAATATTTTAAAAATGACAGTACTCTTCAAATTGATCTACAGATTTAATGCAATCTCTGTCAAAAATCTCAAATGAATTTTTTTAATTGACAAGTAGATACTAAAACTAATATGGAAATTCAAGGGACCCAGAATAGCCATGACAATCCTGAAACAGAAGCACAAAATAGGAGACTCAGCTTCAAAACGTATTACAAAACTACAGTAATTAAGATAGTGTGGTACTGGTATTCTATTCTATTCTATAGAATAGAATTGAGTCTAGAAATAAACTCATACATTATTTGTGGTCAATTAATTTTCAGTAAATCAGTGGAAACAATACAAAACAATGCCAAAACAATTCAATGGGGAAAAATAATCTCTTCAACAAATTGTACTGGGGAAACTGTATATCCATCTGCCAAAGAAAAGCTGGACTCCTACCTCATATCATAAACAAAAATTAACTCAAAATTAATAAGAGGCTTAAAGGTAAGCCTTAAAACTCTCAGAAAAAGCATAGATACAAATTTAATGGCCTTGGATTGGATTTTTTTAAGATATGATACCAAAAGGACAAGTGACAAAATAAAAATAGATAAATGTATCAAAATTAGAAAACTTTGTGCAGCAAAGGACAATATCAAGAAAGTGAAAAGGGCTATGCATTAGTCCATTCTCGCATTGCTATAAAGAACTACCTGAGACTGGGTAATTCATAAAGAAAATAGGCTTAATTGGCTGATGGATCTTCAGGTCATATAGGAAGCATGGTTGCAGAGGCCTCAGGAAACTTACAATCATGGCAGAAGGTGAATGGGAAGCAGACACAGCCTGCATGGCTGAAGCAGGAGGAAGAGAGAGAAGGGGGAGGTGCTACACACTTTTAAACAACCAGATCTCATGAGAACTCACCATCACAAGAACAGCAAGGGGGAAGTTTGCCCCCACGATCCAATCACTTCCCACCAGGCCTGTCCTCCAACATTGGGGGTTATAATTCAACATGAGATTGGGGCAAGAACACAAATCCAAACCATATCAGGCTGGGCACAGGGACTCATGCCTGTAATCCTGGCACTTTGGGAGGCCAAAGCAGAGGATTGTTTGAGTCCAGGAGTTTGAGACCAGCTTGGTCAACATAGCGAGAACGACTCAGAAAAAAAAAAAAAAGGAAAAGGAAAAAGGCGATTCACAGAATGGGAGAAAATAGTTGCAAATTATATATGTCATAAAGGACAGTATCTAGAATACATAAAGAACTGTTAAGACTCAATAATAAAAAGATAATTTGATTAAAAAAGGGCAAAGGATTGGAATGGATAGTCCTCCAAAGAAGATATGCTAATAACTATTAAGCACATGAGAAGGTTTTTACTATCATTAGCCATTAGGGAAATGCAAATTATAACCACAATAAAAAACACTTCATACCCACAAAGACGGATAATGACAGTTGTTTGTGAGGATGTGAAGAAATTGGAATGCCCGTGTTTCCAAAGCAACTGTTTTGGAAAACAGTCCAGCAGTTCTTCAAACAATTAAACACAGATTTACCTTTTATAACCCAATATATCCACTCCTAGGCATATCCCCAAGAGAAATAGGATACATACCTATACATATACCTATACCTGTAGTCCCAGCTGTACAAAAATAATAATATTTCTAGCAGCATTATTCATAATACCTAAAGAATGGAAACAACCCAAATGTTTGTCAACTGAAGAAGAGACAAATAAAATGTGGTATATCCATACAGTAAAACACTATTCAGCTTTAAAAAGGATTGTAGTGCTGACATATGCTAAAACATGGATGAACCCTGAAAACATGCTAAGTGAAAGAAGCCAGACACCAAAGAACACAAACTGTATAATTCCTTTTATGTGAAATTTCTAGAACAGGCAAATCCATAGACACAAAGTAGATTAATGGTTGCCTACGACAGGGGGTGTATGGTGGCAAATTACGAGTGACTGCTATGGGTCTGTGGTTTCTTCCGGGAATGATGAAAGTGACTAGAATTGAGTTTCTAATGGTCGTACAATTCCGTGAATATATTAAAAACCATTGAATGATACATTTTACATTAGTGAATTGTATGGTATGTGAATTTTATATCAGTAAGCCTGGTGTGTGTGTGTGTGTGTGTTTGTGTGTGTGTCTTACATATATTGGACGGTTAACTGTCAGCACTTCATGATAGATGAGACTTAGGGAGTGAGGACAAGTGAGGAATTAAGAATGACCTCTAAATTTTGGTCTTGAGCAATTTCTCAGAAGGAGATGAAAGACTGAGATTAGGAGGGTTTCTTTTTGCTTTGTTTTGTTTTTGTTTTATGGAGAGGGCCAGCTTTGAGAATCAAGAGTTCTATTGTGGACATATTAAGTTTGAGGTGTCTATTAAATATCCAAACAAATCTTAGGCAGACAGTTGAACGTGTGTCTAGAACTCCGAGGAGTAATCTAGACTGGAGATAACATTTAGATGATAGGTGAATCTGCAGGAAAGGATGAAAACAGAGAGAGAGAGAGAGAGAGAGAGAGAGAGAATGCATGTGGCACAGGATGAGGTAGAATAGGAGAGGGGAGTTACAAAGCAAACTGAGAAGGAATGGCCAGCCAGGGAGGAAGGAGAAGTAAGAGAGTGAGCACAAGGTCACTGAACTCAGGCACAAAGTAAGTCCTACCGAGAGGTAGTCATAGGAGGACAGAAGGATCTATTGGAATTGCCAAGATGGATGTTGCCCATGACCATGATAAGAGAAGTTCAGATTGGAAACTCCAGATCCGAATGGTTTGAAGAGGGAATGTGAAGTGCTACAGTGGAGACAATTTGGCACCTGTTTTCAGAAGTGTTGCTGTCACCAGATTCTGATGAAAAATTGCTCTTGGATCTTTACCTGCTCTGCTGAAATGCCCAAAAAGGTGCTGGTTGGGTTTGGAGGTCGTGTCTTCCTGGGAGCCAGCCCTTCTGGGTATGAATGTTGCATCTGTGTAGGGAGTTGCTAACTTGTAGGCAGGGTTGGGGCGCGAGGGTGGTGTGAGGCTGGGGTTCGGAGAAGAGTGCCATTCTTTGCCTTGTTCTCTGATGGTTTTGATTTTGTTTAGTTATTTTGATTGGGAGAAAATGTAAAGAAGGGGTTTACTAATGTGCTTTTTCAAAGTCTAGGTCAAATTGATAAAAAGAAATCTCTGTTTGAAATCAGAATAAAGAGAAAAGACATTCCATGCTCTTGTTTTGGAGACAGGGTCTCCTGTTGCTGCCCAGACTAGAGTGAAGTAGCACAAACTACTGGCCTCAAGTGATCATCATGCCTCAGCCTCCCATGTGGCTGGGATTACAGGCGTGTGCCACCATGGCCAACTTATGATTTTTATTTTTGTAGAGACAAAGTCTTGCTATGTTGCCCAGTTGTTCTCCAACTCCTGACCTCAATGATCCTCCCAGCTTGGGCCTCCCAATGTGTTGACATTACTGGTATGAGCCTGTGCACAAACTTCATTCCAGGCTTTTTTTTGTAGTGAAAGTCTTTATGAAACACAGTCCTAACTGTTCATATATAATTTATTATATATGCATTTATTAATACATCACTTGGTTGTATTAAATACAACCATATTTATGGTAATAAATGTGGTAATAAATACATATTATATATGCATTTATTAATACATCAGCCTTGCATTTATTAATACATCAGTTGGTTGGGGTTTGGACCCTGAGACTGTAGCAGTTCCTGGAGTGAACTGAAAGGCAAAGTGGTAACTTTCTCAAAATGCACACACACAGATGCTTTTCAGAAACCTCAAAAGTGCATTGCCCACGGCTCTTACCATTTGCATCAGTACATTCTTTCCCCACGCTTCTTTACTAATTTAGATTATGTGAAAACAACTTTTTAAGACAGATGTTCCTTCAAGTAACAACCCACTCTTTCTCTTCTCTTGAGAAAATATTAGTTGGAAATGGACTGTTACTTAGGCTAGAAAGTCCATTTGAAATGTTTTGAGCAAACATCATTGTCTAAGTCCACTTCGTGCTGCCATAACAGAATACCACAGACTGGGTAGTTTAGAAACAATAAAAGTTTATTTGGCTCATGGTTCTGATGGCTGAGAAGTCCATGATCCAGGGGCTGCATCTGGTGAGGGCCTTCATGCTGTGTCATCCCCTGGCAGAAGGCATCACATGGTGAGAGCAAGCAACAGAGAAATGTACGCACTTTTATAGCAAATCCACTCTCGTGATAAAGAACCCACTTCTGTGATAATGATATTAATCCATTCACAAGGACAGAGCACTCATGACTTAATCACCTCTCAAGGGTCCTACCTCTCAACAGTGTAGCATTTGGGATTAAGTTCCCAGCACATGAACTCTGGGGGACGCATTCAAACCATAGCAATCATATTTTGAGCACATGACTAGGGACTGCTCATCTTGGATGAATCCAAGCTGTGTTTGTTTTTCTTTTACCAGATGTGTGTGTGTGTGTGTACGCCCATGCACTTGCATATTTTGGTAAGTCAATTGTTTGAAGTTATATTTGAGCTTCAATTTTTTTGAAGCTAAAATTTTTTTCTTATATGGAATACAGATGGCCTACCATAACACAATATTTTTAAAATGTAGTGTTTTCTAGCTGGCTTGGCATGAAATTAGAGAATGCCCTTATTTCTCTAACCTTAGGTAAAGTCTTCTTGTAGCAATTTTCTTATGTGTGTGGTTTAAAAAACAAAACTTTGTGGTTGTAATTGCTTGGTTGTGTTTTATTGTATATGAAAGAGGCATGCCGTGGGGGTTCAGAAGAAAGAATTGTTCAGTATTACTTTCATAAAACATTGAAAGAAGCATCTTCATTTGTTCTAGAGTGCAGATTCACAGGATTTTTAAATTTATTATTCTGAGAAGATGATATTAGTAGTGTGTCCTATGTGATTAGAAGGTAGAATATCACCCATGAAAAAATTTCTGGCTTAAAAGAAACCCTGCTTTTATTTATTTATTTAGACAGGGCCTCGCTCTGTCACCCAGCCTGGAGTGCAGTGGTGTAATCACAGCTCACTGCAGCCTTGACCTCTTGGGCTTAAAGGATCCTCCTACCTCAGCCACCCAAGTAGCTGGGACCATGGGTGTGAGTCACAATGCCTGGCTAATTTTTAATGTGTTTTTTGTTTTTTGTTTTTTTTGTGTGTAGACGGGTGCCTTAGTGTGTTGTCCAGGCTGGTCTCAAACTCCTGGGCTGAAGCAATCCTCCCCACTTGGCCTCCTAAAGTGCTTGGAATATAGGCATGAGCCTCTATGCCCAGCCCAAGAAACAAACCCTGCTTTTAGAATCTTTTTTTTTTTTTCCCAGCTGTCCTGTGTCCTAGGTTTATAACTTTGACTAACTTCTAGCAACTTCCAATCATGGGAGAATTAGAGTGGTTATCTGGGATGAATTGTTTGAACTTCAACCTGTTATCTTGGCTGCAGGGCTTTCTTGGCCACAGGGCCGTGCTAAAGGGCACTTTGATTTCTTGATTTTAAAAGAGCAAGAGAAAGTGATTGCCAAGAGGAGAGGTTTGGTTGGCTTTTCTTAGAACTAACTGCCTCTCCAGAGAAGCCTGCATTGGCTGCTCATCATGATGAGGGTCGGGCAAGGTCAGTTTCCACTGTCTTCTAATTGTTTTCAGAGAATTGGACGGTACAAAGCAGGTGCCACTGACAACATTTCCCATCATTTTATGGAAGAGTACTGATTCCGTCTTTTCTGCTCAGAGTGGATCTGTGCAAATAACTTTTGTTTCTCAAAAATTTCTGGTTTGTCTTGGGATGCAGCCAGGCCTCTAATGTGGTGGTGTGTGCTGTGTCACAAACCTCGGCCCCAAAAGCCTGAGCTTGGCTTTGTCAGATCTGATGAGTGTGCATGAGCAGGAAGCCACCCTTCGGGAGAATTCAGGGGCAAACGTACAAGTAACGTTTGTGAACCTGTGCAGACAAAGGCTTTGGGTAGATGCCTGTGAGATGTGGGGATCCAGGTGACATGAAGGGAGAAGAACAGAAGACAGGTAAGGGACTTGTGGGTTTTCTTAACTCCATGTGGCTGCATTGAGAAAACTAGTTAACATTTCATGGGCTGGTGGGAGCGTCATCTTATCATTCTCTCTTTTTTTTTTTTTTCTGGTAATGATTTTTTTTGTTTTTTTTTTTTTTGATATTGACAAAAGTTTAATCATTTCAATTAAAAATGCCACTAATTTGACTTTTTAAGTAAAAAATGTAGGGGGTTTTAAAACTACTTTCCTACTACCAAAAAATCAGAAAGTATCTAGCTTTCTAAATTGGGAAAGCAAGCAATGTTATAAAAACACTGAAGGAATCTCTTTCTTCGTGACCTTTTGTTAAACTCGGTTTAAGCTGTAGACCTTATTTAAAATAAAATTTACCACAGAACAGGAAATAGAAGCTGTGGAAGACTCGAAATACACCTTTGTACTTCTCTGTTCTTCACCTGCTCTCTCACTGTCTCTACACACACACACACACAAACACACACACACCTATATTTGCATTAAAAATGGGTAGTAAAAGCAGTGAAGGGCAAACAGAAGGTACAATACAATCAAGTAAGAGGTTGAATATAAACTGGAACAAGTCTTAATTTTTTATTTCACTTTCATTCGGATACGTTTACTAATTTTCTTTGCTAGCTTTAAGACTTTTAAAACATTCTTTGGCCCTGGGAGGGAGTTGTATAACCATAAAACTTGAGAATCCTGGCCCTAGAATAAATGTTCCTTTTAAAACCCCAAGGACAGAAAATTGAATACAGCTGTGCAAAAAAGAAAAAAAAGAAAAAGAAAGCAAGAAAAGAAAAAAAAGCCAAGTGATGGTTTAGGCTTGCAGGCACCCTGACCAACTTTCCCAGTGCACTTGGGCTGTGGTTTCCTGGAGATGGGAGATCGGGAGCTTTGGTGTACTTCTTGAAGGTTTCAGAAAAAGGCCAAGACTTCTTCAGAACTGTATGTTCCTGGGATATGGTTAAGAGCGCATTCTTTTTGGCATGGTTATCTATCATCTTGCTTGTCCTAAGCATGTCCTCTTGTTTTCCCCTGCAGAGGATTGGGGTTTCTAGGTCATTCTCTGTGATGCCGTGATTCTGCAAACCTTATAGTTCCTACCTAAAAGTAAGCTTCAGAGTTTAAGCAGTTTCCACCAGTCAGAAGGTGGAACGGATGAGTTTTTAAGACGCAATCTTGCTCTTCTCCCTCAGTCACTGAATTTGCCTCAGTATGGCCAGTTTTCAGACATGGTCCTGAGAATACGGCATTGCTACTCCCTGCTTCTCCTCTCCCTGGATGGAGACCAGGATGTTGCTTCTCTGATGTTTGCCTCGTGGGTTCCCATGTTAGGTTTGTGACCCACGGGGAGCTGTCACTGGGGACCCTACTGCAGCCTGGCATTAATCACTTTGCTCTTTGTCAGGCAGTGTCATGATGATTCATACTTCTTCCTCTACAAGATTAGATTACTGTAATTTTCATATCCTGGACTGCCCACGAGGGATTTGAATTAATACTTGTTGGTATAGAAAGCAGGATCATGTTTCTGGGGAGAAAGGACTGAACTTGCCCACTTGGCCATCATCAGAAAACATTAGGCAGGGCCTGGCTGAAAAATAATCCTGCCTTCAGGGCTTACCACATCAATTAGCTTACCATACGGGCCAGTAAGCCGTGTCTTTGTGAACACATGGTCCCTGGGCAGCGGATTTGTGAAAGTGATGCCAAGCCCAGGAGATCAGAATGCACGGAAGATTTTGCAAGGGAGTCCTATATTGAAATCAGACACTGCTTAATGAGGAAAATCTTTCCCAAAGAGGTATTTGAGAAGGAGGTAAACCAATTCAGGCATGTGGAACAGCCTGCACAAAGCCAGCAGAAATTACGATCACAGATTGCAGGGCAGGGGGGTGTCTGTGAGGGATAAAGTTGCCTTTGGAAAAGAACTCATTGCCTTGTCATTTTCCCTGGAGCATACGCATTATTTGCCTTATTCGTTCAAGAAATATTTATCGAGCACTTAATATATCCTAGGCACTGAAGATGAACAGCAGTTCACAAACCAGACAAAAGTCTCTGTCCTCACACAAGTCACATTTTAGGGGGCCCATGTCACTAGGGGTACAAGCGTAAGCTGAAGGGAGCTGTAGCAAGGAGTTAGGAGTACCTGGAAGAACTCCTGAATAACTATAGTTGTTTGAAAACGTATTTGCTTATTTATTTTCTCTCTTCCCTTTGATGCAACTTGCACCCACTATCCCACTAACGAGATTACCAGCCATCTTTCGATAAATCCTTGGGAGGGAATTACTTGTACTTGCTAATGAATAATCCACTTTAGTAGTCCAACAGATAATAACTTCAGGGTCTTCAAAGGGTTATCTGATCTGCTTTGGCCTGAGTCTCTATGGGAGGGAAGTTGAGGCATGATCAAAGGATTTTATCTTTGCTTGCTCTCCTACTGTCTAATAATTTTTTATTTCAGAATGCTTTGCTTTAACATATTTTATCTCGCTTGGAGCGCTTTATTCCTTCCTTATTTATTTATTTTTTGAGACGGAGTTTCACTCTATCGCCCAGGCTGGAGTTCAGTGGCACAATCCCGGCTCACTGCAAACTCCACCTCCCGGGTTCAAGCAACCCTCCTGCCTCAGCCTCCCGAGTAGTTTGGACTACAAGAGCCCGCCACCACACCTGACTAATTTTTGTATTTTTAGTAGAGACATGGTTTCACCATGTTGGCCAGGCTGGTCTTGAACTCCTGACCTCAAGTGATCCTCTCGCCTCGGCCTCCCAAAATGCTGGACTTACAGGCATGACCCACCACACCTGGCCCCTTCCTTCTTTTTTTCCCCCTCATTGTTGAGGCTTTTCTTTGGAGAAGGTGAGATGGTGCTATGCCTCAGAATTGTAGAATTTCAAGTTTTTAGAATTTGATGGCACTGTAGGAATCTTAATCCAGACCAGCGATTTTCAGTCCCCAGACTAAAACCAAGCCCTTACCTGAGGGCAGTGCGATGAGAAACCTAAGAAAATGAAGTGAATGTTGTATTAAATATAAAGCTAAATTTATTCAGTTGATTTCTGCATCATTCTGTTATTTTCTTTTCTTGAATTTTTCAGGTTTTTTTTTTTAGTGTCCTCCACCTACCCCAGAAATCAGTCTTCCTGATCTCAGCCTCCCACCTCCCACCATTCTGTCCCCACAGGCTGACTCCTGTCAGACCCCATCCTCCCACGCCCCAGTTTTCAGATGGGACCCTCCTCCTCAGTCTTGTAGCCCCTGCCCTCAATACAGAAGTCACTGGCTAAACCTTAGGGTAGGAAGTTCCCACTCGTGCTGTCAAGGAGACATGGCCCAGGATCCACAGTTGGAGCCAAAGATACATTGTAAGATACAACACATAGTGTTTCTGGTTTCTTTCTTTCCCTCTTTCTTTCTTTCTTTCTTTCAGGTGGAATCTTGCTCTGCCGCCCAGGCTGGAGTGCAGTGGCATGATCTCGGCTCACTGCAAGCTCCGCCTCCTGGGTTCAAGTGGTTCCGTTTTATAGAATTATTGGGACTGTGGTTCCACTCTATTACAAGCTTATCGGGCTTCTGTGGGTTGGCCGAGTGCATAGCCATTACGTAGAGCTCTGTTTCTGGAGGAAGATGAGAATGGAACCTTCACTGGGCTACAGAGTGCTTGGCCCAGGGGATGTGGGGTTTCTCGGTCCTTGGGGCTGGGAGAACATGCTCAGAGAAGGCTCCTCGCTCCTGTGTGTCTCTAAGGTATAGATGATGCTCCCTGAGGAGCACAGTCTCCTGGAGTTTTTCTTTCAGGAATAAGAATGATCCATTCCCTCTTGGTATTTGGAATCAGCCAAACAAACCACATGTGGTGCTGAGCTTTGTGATGTCAACAACAGCAGGGAAGGGAAGAGCCTCCCAGGTCCTCACTCCACTGGTCACATCACCGTCAGCTCATGTCCCCATTTGAGCAGCAGCCTCCATGGTTCTGTTCGTGCAGTGAGCTGCTGCTTGACAGCAGACAGAAATCCCATATTTTTAGATATCTAGTGGCCCAAACGGAGCATGTCACACTTTGTACATCTCTGATTACTCTCAAGACTCTGAGCCTGGTGTCCAGGAACGCGATGTTGCTCCAGCCGTGTGAGAGGCTGGGTCTCTGGAGCCAGGACTCATAAACCACGGTCCAGGCTCACCCCTGGCAAGTTCACATCTCATTTTGACCACGAGGCCAGCAGTTCTCTTTGTGTTGAGCTCTGCTACACACCCATTGCTCTGAAGCTACAGCCCGGGAGAGAAAAGTTGGCTGGCTCATCAGTGGTTCAAGCCAGTGACTTACAGATGACCTTGGAGCTCAAAGATTTTCAGCTAAAGCCAGTAAAGTTCTCCAAAAGCTTTGAGAAAAAGCGAGACCAGACAGACAGAAAGACAGACTCAATTGATTGAATTATTGATTGATTCAGATTTCCGGCAGGGGTGGGGGGTTGTTGGTTGAAAAATATTAACTGAAAATAATATCCCCTTTTTGTCTTTAAAAAGAAATTTATGCACAAACAAAATGACTTGCCCATGGTACAGAAGGCCACAAGCTCGATTCATACAGGTGTATCGGTGTACATATCAGTAGACTACAGCATGTCTCTGTCTTCTCCCATAGAGGTCAAAATCCTAAGCTTTTTGGGAAAAGGAAATGATTCCAAGTCTGGTTCCATCGTGGCAGAAAATAGGGCAAAATACAGGTCCTGGTTGCCTAGCCTTTTCATCTCCTGGAAATGAGCTGCTTAAAAAATACCTCCAGTGATTGATCAAGTTCATTGCCCTGTGGAAAGCAGAACTTTTCAGAAGGCAGAAGCAAGGAGACAGAGAGTGTTGTTGTCTTACTTTCCTGCACTGACAGTCCTGGCCAATGCTCTGACATCATCTTGAGTCCAGAAATAGGAGTGAGAAATGGACAGTGAGGCCACTACACAGAAACATTTGAGCTGGTGATGCATGTTTTCTTTTCTGCCTGTGAGCTGAGGATCCAACTTGTGACTGTTTCTCCAGCTCTGGAGGGATATTGCAAATTGATTAATCCACCCTGACAAAAGGGAGAATGTTGTAGCTGCATTAAAATGAGAAGAGAGCGGCCGGGTGCAGTGGCTCACGCCTGTAATCCCAGCATTTTGAGAGGCTGAGGTGGGCGGATCATTTGAGGTCAGGAGTTCAAGACCAGCCTGGCCAACATGGTGAAACCCAGTCTCTACTAAAAATACGAAAACATTATTCAGGCATGGTGGTATGTGCCTGAGGTCCCAGCTACTTGGGAGGCTGAGGCAGGAGAATGGCTTGAACCCAGCAGGTGGAGGCTGCAGTGAGCTGAGATCATGTCATTGCACTCCAGCCTGGGCGACAGAGTGAGACTCTGTCTCCAAAAAAAAGAGAGAGAGAAGAGATCTAACTGCAGACTATTTTGATATTTTCAGTCCACATCACAAACATTTATTAAATTTACTGAGTGGCACATGTTGCTAGGTCCTGGTAATATGAAAATGTCATGGAGTCTCTGCTAACAGCCTAGAGATTGGGAATCAGAGACCATGTCTAGGAGAGATTTGTAGGGGAAATATTCTCAACTAAGGCTTGAAGTATGATTAGGGGTCGGTCTTTCTTTCTTTCTTTCTTTCTTTCTTTCTTTCTTTCTTTCTTTCTTTCTCACTCTCTCTCTTTCTTTCTGTTTTTGAGGCAGAGTCTCACTCTGTTGTCTAGGCTGGAGTGCAGTGGCACAATCTCAGCTCACTGCAACCTCTGCCTCCCAGGTTCAAGCGCTTCTCAGCCTCGGGAGTAGCTGGGATTACAGGCTCGAGCCACCATACCTGACTAATTTTTGTATTTTTAGTAGAGACAGAGTTTCACTGTGTTGGCCAGGCTGGTCTTGAACTCCTGACCTCAGGTGAGCCATCTGCCTCAGCCTCCCAAAGTCCTGGGATTATAGGCATGAGCCACCGCACCTGGCCAGATTAGGGGTTTTCTAAGTGAGAAGGGTGGAAAGGCATTCTGAGCAGAGAGAACAAACTAGACAGGAATAGGAAGGATGGCCAGGGTGGCTGGTGTCTCATGGTTGGGCACAGGTCACCTGCTGGTGGGAGGGAGGATAGGAGGTTCCAGCTCAGAGAAGTGGGACTTTGGAATGTACCCAACAGGCTGGACATCCTTGAGTTTTTTGTTTTCTTTTGTTTTCTGTTTTCCACCAACACAAGTAATCGCATCCCTCCTGGGTTTATCTAAATGTGGTGCTGGTAATGAAGCTAAGGCATCACAGTCCTTGTAAGCCTCACAGCTTGTAGGAATACACCTGCACAAGTAAGTCACTGCAGGTCTTAGTCTGTATGAGATAACCTAAGGGTTAAGTGTCATTTCCAAACTATTTATTTGTAACTGGATACCTTTTTTCTCCTACTGATGAGTATCTAAATGCAAGAGAGTGACAATGATTCTAAGTATAGTCTTACATTTGTCCTTTAACAAATTTATTTTTATTTTTTATTTTTTATTTATTTATTTTGAGATGGAGTTTCGTTCTTGTCACCCAGGCAGGAGTGCAGTGGCGCGATCTCGGCTCATTGAAACCTCTGCTTCCTGGGTTCAAGCGATTCTCTTGCCTCGGCCTCTGCAGTAGCTGGGATTACAGGCTCGCACCACCATGCCGCTAATTTTTGTATTTTCAGTAGAGATGGGTTTCACCATGTTGGCCAGGCTGGTCACAAACTCCTGACCTCAGGTGATCCTCCCACCTCCGCCTTCCAAAGTGCTGGGATTACAGGCGAGACCTACCACGCCCAGCCTATTGTTTTAAACTTTATTTTTTATTATATTCATTTTACTATTTTTTTAAAGAGATGGGGTCTCACTATGTTGCCCAGGCTGGTCTCAAACTCCTTGCTTCGGTCCTTCCACCTCGACCTCCCAAAGTGCTAGGATTACAGGCATGAGCCACTGCACCCAGCCCCCTTTAACAAATTTAATTTTATAAGTTTGCCATATGGGCCAGGATCTGGGACGATTTGCTAGATTAAAAAATAAAAACATAAAATATAAAAAAGACAAAAAGTTTGCCATGTGGGCTTCCATGGGTAAGAAGCAAGCGCTATCCACCTGTCTGTTGGAGGCAGCACCTGCCAGGCCTATGCTTGAGAACTGCTGGGGGACTCTCCAGGAGGGTTTTTATTGGGAGTGAGCAGGCAGGGTGGGGCCGTTTAAAGGCCATTCTGGAAGTGGCGGAGAGGATGGGTTTAGAGAGGTGGAAGTGAAGTTTGGAGGCTCCAGGCATAAGCCTGACTCAGGCCCATGAGAACATCAATGGGGTGGAAGGAGAGAGGAAGGTTAAAGGCAGGAACCGAGGCTTAGTGACTGCTGAGATCTGAATGATCACTCAAGTGAGGCAGGGCCCTGATTTCTGGTTTGGGTGGCCAAGTTGCCGATGGGGAGGTTGCGGTCAGGTAGGAAACCAGGTACAAGTTTCCTGATGGGAGATGGGAGATGACGGGTGTAGCTTGATTTCTCTTGAGTTCCATGTTCCCGTGAGATGCTCCTGGTTTGCTGAACTTCAGGGAATCAATCACCAGTCTTCTGACTTCTGCTTTAGGTGTGGCAGACGGAGCTCACTCTGGGAGAAGGTAGGATGATACCAGCAGGCTCGGAGTCCTGGGAAACATATGGACATTTGAGGGAGGCAGAGGTGGACACTCAGTGAAACAACTGAGGAGTGATCAGAAAGGCATGGGAGAGCTGAGGAAAGGAGTGTTGGAGACATTTTACGAAGAGGACATTCCATGGAGGCGGAAGTGGTCAGAAAGTGCCAGATACCATACAGGCCACATCTAGATGAAGCCTCAGGAGAGTGTGTTGTTGGGAGAGCAGTTTCTGGGTTGTAGGGGAGCCAGAATCCAATGACAAAACTTGCTGGGAAGCACATGGGGCTGGGGGAGAGGAGACAGTGGTTCTGGAACATTCAGGGTGATAAAAAGAAGAGAAGGTAGGCAAGAGCTTGAAGACAGAGGTGGGGCCCAAGGGACTTTGGGGGCAGAAGATGAGTCGCTGGAGCATATTCTGGGCTTGTGCTGCCTCGTCAACGAACTGAAAAGAAGCCTCATCTCTTCTGTGCATGACCTGGCATTCCCCAAAGCGCCAGAAAAGTCCAGCATAAGTTAGACTGGCCTCCAAAGTGGGAATTCAGGGAGTTTGGATCTAGGTTTTATGTTATGGAAACTGAGAAGATAAAGGGCCCTGAAACCTCCATCTGCCCATTCCACTTCTGGGAAGGCTGAACTGTTATATCATCTATTTATTTTCAAGAATAAAGAGTTCAGCTGGGTGTGGTGGCTCACGCCTGTAATCTCAGCACTTTGGGAGGCCAAGGCGGGCAGATCACGCGAGGTTAGAAGTTCGAGACCAGCTTGGCCAACATGGTGAAACCCTGTCTACTAAAAATACAAAAATTAGCCAGATGTGGTGGCATCTGCCTGTGATCCCAGCTACTTGGGAGGCTGAGGTAGGAGAATCGCTTGAACTTGGGAGGTGAAGGTTGCAGTGAGCCGAGATCGTGCATTACACTCCAGCCTAGGCAGCAAGAGTGAAACTCCATCTCAAAAAAAAAAAAAAAAAGGGCCAGGCGCAGTGGCTCATGCCTGTAATCTCATCACTTTGGGAGGCTGAGGTGAGCAGATCACGAAATCGAGAGATCGAGACCATCCTGGCCAACATGGTGAAACCCCGTCGTACTAAAAATACAAAACTTAGCTGAGTGTGCTAGCGCACACCTGTAGTCCCAGCTACTCCGGAGGCTGAGGCAGGAGAATCACTTGAACTCGGGAGGAGGAAATTGCAGTGAGCCAAGATCGCGCCACTGCACTCCAGCCTGGTGACAGAGTGAGATTCTGTCTCAAGAAAAAGAAAAACAAAAAAGAAAGGGGAAGAGTTCTAGAGAACAGATTTCAAAAACTTGTTTTCTATTATATTTATAGCAGTATTCACATTGGAAGACCAGTGCAGTGACACACTTTCGTTATCCCAGCTACTCAGGTGGCTGAGGCAGGAGGATCACATAAGCCCAAGAGTTCAAGACCAGCCTGAGCCAAATAGTGAGAACCTGTCTCTAAAAATGAAATATAATCAAAAATTGAGATGACCCGATCTCCTCCCTTTCCAAAAAGTTGTTTTCTTGCTATTTCTCCAGAGTTGGTCAGGTTTTAAAAATTAATAATCTGGGGCAGTAGATGAAATTTCTGAAAATTATGTGCAGGTTTCCTTTTTTATTTTTGGATGGGCCCTAGGTATTAGAGGTGCTCTTTTTAAGTATCTACACAGCCTGCTAAATAAACACATTCAATTGGAAAGCAATGCTTTCCATTTCTTATTCTGTATCAAATATTTTACTTTCGGATTAACTTTCATTCTTATAGGGAAAAATAAATATTTCCAGTTTGAAATTCGTAAGATGGCATTGATAATAAGTAAATCTCTATAGATTTATGTGAAGTACAGTTACAGTAAGTCACCCATTTACAAATGGATTATATTTGAAAGTTTCATTTGAAGTAGGTTTGTTTTTTGGGGTTGGGATGCTTTTTCCTTGGAAAAAATACTTAATTAAACTTTTTTTTTTTTTGAGACAGAGTTTCACCCTTGTCACCCAGGCTGGAGTGCAATGGCATGATCTCAGCTCACTGCAACCTCCGCCTCCCGGGTTCAAGCAATTCTCCTGCCTCAGCCTCCCGAGAAGCTGGGATTACAGGCACATGCCAGCCACCATGCCTGGCTAATTTTTGTATTTTTAGTAGAGACAGGGTTTCACCACGTTGGCTAGGATGTTCTCAATCTCCTGACCTCAGGTAATCCATCCGCCACAGCCTCCCAAAGTTCTGGGATTACAGGTGTGAGCCACCCCGCCCTGCTTAAACTTTTAATTTTGAGATAATTATAGATTCAGATGTAGTTGTAAGAAATAGTACAAAGTGATCATGAGGGCTTTTTACCCAGTTTCTCCAGTGATAACATCTTGCAAAGCTATACAATAGTATCACAACCAGGATATTGACACTGATGTGGTCAATCCAATAGAAGAGTTCCAGAACAGGGGTCTCTCATGTGGCCCTGTTAAACCACCTCATCCCCATCCCTAACCTCTAACAACTCCCATCTCTTCTCCATTTCTATAATGTTGTCATCTGGGAAATGCTATGTAAGTGTACTCGTATAGTATCTAACATTTTGGGATTGGCTTTCTGTCACTCAGCATAATTTAATTCCCTGGATTCTTATCCAGGTCGTGGAACGTACTAATAATTTGTTCCTTTTTATTGTTGAGTAGTATTCCATGGTATGGATGTACCACAATGAGGATTGGGTAGAAGCTCATTGCTTTTGCCTAGGGGTGTCTAATTGCTCTAGCACTGTTTGTTGAATGGCACAGAAATCAGTTTGGCATATTCATGTGGGCCTGTCTCTGGGTTCTCCAGTCTGTTCCACTGATCTATGTTATGTGTCTCTCTTTTTGCCAATGCTGTGTTGTCTTGATTACTGTAGTTATCCAGTAGGCCTTAATATGGGATAGATTCATTGCTCTAACTTTTTTCTTCTTTTGAGACGGAGTCTCACTCTGTGGCCCAGGCTGGAGTGCAGTGGCATGATCTTGGCTCACTGCAACCTCTGCCTCCCAGGATTGGGTTCAAGCGATGCTCCTGCCTTAGCCTCCCTAGTAACTGGGATTACAGGTGTGCACCACCACGCCTGGCTAATTTTTCTGTATTTTTGATAGAGACAGTGTTTCACCATGTTCATTAGGCTGGTCTCGAACTCCTGACCTCAGGTGATCCACCCGCCTCGGCCTACCAAAGTGCTGGGATTACAGGCATGAGCCACCACGCCCAGACTAACTTTTTTCTTCTTTTTCAAGATGGTTTTTAGCTATTCTAGGGCCTGTACCTTTACTATAAATTTTAGAATATCTGCCAAAAATCACTGTGAGGCCAGGCAGGGTGGCTCACACCTGTAATCCTAGCACTTAAGAAGGCCGAAGTGGGAGGACAGCTGGAGCCCAGGAGTTCAAGACAAGCCTGGCCAACCTAATGAGACTCCATCTCTACAAAAACTAAGAAATTAAAAAATTAGCCCAGTGTGGTGGTGCACATCTGTAGCCCCAGATATTCAGGAGGCTGAGGCAGGAGGACTGCCTCCTGGGGAGGTTGAGGCTGCAGTGAGCCATGATTGCACACCTCTACTCCAGCCTGGACAACAGAGCAAGACCATGTCTCAAAAAAACAAAACAAAACAAAACAAAACAAAAAAACCTTGCAAGATTTTGATAGGAATTTTGTTAATCTGTAGATCAGTTTGGGGACAATTGACATCTTTTGTGTGTTGATTTTTCTTCCAATTCATGATTATCATCATTGGAAAGAAGTGAGTATGATGAGTCTTCTAAGCCAGGCAGATAGCAAAAAAATTAGGAAAGTAAATGGATTGCACAGGAAGAATTAACTGGGATTTAAATAATCAAAGACAGAAAGGATATATAAAAGAAGTGACGAAGGAGATTTACCCTATTAGACTCCAGTGTATTAATCTAGGACAGTTTGGTTGCTATGGGGAAGCAGTGTGCAAAAACTTAAGAGGCACACAAAAGACTGATGTTTATTTTGTGGGAGTGAATCTTTTTTTAGGAAGGAAATAGCACTATTGTGGTAACAGTGATTCATTTTCTCCTCCTATCTTCTCTTTACAGAGAAGACCCAAATAGTGAACTGTTTCATGTAAGTTTTTATTTATTTTTGCCCTACTTTTCTCTAGGGAGGGGCTTACCACAGCTTATAAAAATACGTAAAACAAGATCAAATAAACTTTAAAATGAGGAAAAAGCCAATATGGTCCAAGGGAAAAGAAGATCAGGGTCAGGACTGAGATTAGGATGCAAAAGCCATGCTATGAAATTTTGTTTGTTTGTTATCTTGAGATGGGTAAAAAAAAAAAAAAACAGTTGACTGGGACAAATACCCCTAGCACAAAACAGTCATGAAGCCAATGTTTAATTATTATACCTGTCATCTTTTCACCTGGCCTCAGGACTGTCCTCTTAGGGAGAGGCATTGTTCTGTAGGGTTAATTAGTAACAGGAATTTAGATCCTGCTTTGAGAGGCCTCCTGTGCTGGCCGAAGCAGCTGGTGGTCTGAGAACCCTGACACCCAGAGGCATACCACTGGGAGGCCCCGCGCAGCACACAGCTTTTGCTGTACTCCAGCCCAAGTCTTATGGGGTTTGTGGTTTATACTGAAGTTGGTGCAGACAATTAAGACTCTCTGTTCTTGGTACCGACAGGGACAGAGACCTACAATTGTAAGTATTTTGTAAACAGGGTTGTGATATTTGTTTGAGTGTATTCAACATGTCAGTGGCCTTTTAATGTTTAAAAAAATGCATATGGCCATTTAAGAAGTGGTTGTGCTTCATAGTTAATATTTTTTTCATTAGGTTAGGTTCATCTGGTTTTTCAGTGAGGTGAGCTACCTGAGAGCCATAGGAAGATAGATCTTGCCAGTTCAGAGGACTGACTTTGGCTTTAAGAGAAAATATTTGTGTCATTTTCGAGAAAGTACTTCCAGCACAATGCTTTCTTCTGATGATTCATTTTCTACAGTTATTGGAAGTGGGAAGAAATCCACAGAGGTTACAGAATTTGTAAACTTGTAGAGACATGTGCCATTATATCATGCTGTTTCATAGATGTGTATGTCTGTTAGTTACTTTTCGGGCATTCATTGTATATATGTCTGTTACTTACTTTTGGGGTGTTCAGTGTCTGAGCTTTGTCAACGATTGTGTGCTCTTTTTTTAGCCTAAAAAAACTAAGTTAGAGAAATGTTTGCTCATCCAAATCTGTATTGTTGTAGCTTATTCAGTAGACTGCTGTTGTATTTTTAATTTCTCTATACAACAAGCTGAAAGACAGTGTGGACAACCTAATTGCATTTGAAGTAGCTGCTGGCCAGGCCTGCTGCAACAGCTGATGGGCTCCTCTGAATTTCCAGGGCTATTTCTGGTAGATGAGCTGGTATCAAGGCTCTCGAGTTCAGGCCATAAAAGGCCCGTCCCATGTGAAGTTGCTTCACTGCTCTGACTGCGTCCTCCCCAGGCTGAAGTGTCCTCAGGTTTCATGTGGATTTGCCCAGTAATGGATGGCTCCACCGAGGCCAGGTTGGGGAAGTTCAGCCTCGAGGACACTAGGGGACGAAAAACTTCAAAAAGAAGACTCTTTTTATTAATATTTTGGCGTTCTTTTTGGAGAGGAACTTTTGGGATGTAGCCTTTACCTGTTTCCTGAATTTGACATCCAAAAAGCCTTTTGGAAAACACCATTCTAAATTTATCCTGTTCTGAATCATCATCGCTTCTGATAGATGCAGTTGCTTGCTGACATCGTGATCTTTGATTTTGTACAACGCTATTTGGGCTAACTTTTGGGATTTTACTTTGTGCTTAGAATTTGAAAGTAGTATTCATTGGAAAGAGACTCCAAGAAAATACTCGAAGACATCAAAAGCTGGATTCGAGGGTATAACGTGTTTTGTTTTGTTTTTTAAATTAGAAAAATAAGGAATTGCAGTGTGATTTTCTTTCCCCCTTTAACTTAGAGGAACGAGGATTATACAGAAATTTGAAGTAAGTGAAAAATCTTCCTATAAATCTAAATGCAGTAGGTTTTTTTTTGTTGTTTTTGTTTTTGCTTTTTTTTAAGTGCCATCTGTCTGAGCATGTTTCCTGAGGATTTGTTGACTTCAGTCATTGGAAAATTCCTGCCAGCGTTTGCCAGTTACTGCAGCCATTCCTGTAGATACCCTTGGGCATATTTCTTGGGTTGAGAAGGATTGGACTTTTTTTTTTTTTTAAAGGATTTACTTTATGGTAGAGAAAGGTTTAATACTAAAAATTTGATTAATATAACTTAGTACATTCTGTCTAAATGTTAGCACTTAAAGTCTTGGAATTAAAGTATATTCACAATGCAACGTACTTTAATAATCGTAGCACAAGTATGGGGGTGGAGTTCAGAAGGGCAAGTTTTATTTCACTGCCATTATAATTCATGTAAAAATAGAAAATCACCAGTGATCCTTTTGCATAATCTTTGTTCTGAGGGTTCTTTGCCTTGGTACTCTCATTCTTCAGGGCTTGATTTCTAGAACTTGCGATGTTCCAGAATTTATGAGAAAAACCTCACTGTAGGTTCTAGAGTTTGAACTGCATTTTATTTTTAAATTCTCCAAGAAAAAATACTGCATCAGCCTTTTAAAGCCCTGGAGATTGCTATGGTCTCTTTGTAATTTAGCTCAGTGATTTGTTTCTGCTGAAAAACAGCAGTGAACTCTAGAACATAGAAGGCTTATTTGACGTGTTGCTTCTTTGAAAAAAAAAAAAGATTATTTCTTTATACCACATCAGATGGACAAGTACGGGCAGTCATTATTTTTACCAGGTAGGAAAACAGAGTATTTATAGAGAAGAACTTCATCGGTGAATACTGCGAGGGTTCTTCACCGGAGATAGTGTGGCAACCCTAGGGGGCGTTTGAAAATGCATGGGGGTGTTTCAGGTTTTCTCAATGACTCACTGGCATTTGGGAGGATGTGGTTAAGAATTGTAAATGCCCAATTTACATGGTGTAGGGGACAGTCCCATACAGCATTACCCTGGCCAAACTGCTGGTGGTATCCCCTGTTGAGTAAAACTGCAGGATATAAATTGTACCCTCTGTCTCCAAAGAAGAGCAGCCCAGTGCCAGGCAGATGTGTGCTGTCTCTTCTCACCAAAACCAGTGATGTCTTTTTTTTTTTTTTTTTTTTTTGAGATGGAGTCTCGTGCTGTCACCCAGGCTGGAGTGCAGTGGCACGATCTCGGCTCACTGCAACCTCCACCTCCCAGGTTCAAGTGACTCTCCTTGCCTCAACCTCCCAAGTAACTGGGATTACAGGCACCTGGCACCATATCCAGCTAATTTTTTTTTGTATTTTTAGTAGAGACGGGGTTTCACTATGTTGGCCAGGCTGATCTTGAACTCCTGACCTCGTGATCCGCCCACCTTGGGCTCCCAAAGTGCTGGGATTATAGGCGTGAGCCCCTGCACCCGGCACCCGGTGATGTCTTGAGGATCCAGGGCATCAAGTGTGCACTAGTGTCAGAGAATTTGTCTTACAATGGAAACTTTGGAGTCTATACTCTGTGTGTGTGTGTGTGTGTGTGTTAAAGATAATTTATTTGGTCACCTTGATCACTGGATGAGGCTGATGTTATACAAGCTATTGTAGTACATTAGGTGCCTTCCTGCCTACCTTTATTTAGTACTATTGGTGCATTTAATTTTGCCACATGCATAGTCTTCCAAGTGAAATTTGGTTAATGCGCTCAGCTTGCAGTGGACATCAGTCAGCCATTCAACAAACAGTTCTTTATCTTTGCTTCTACTTTGGAGACAGACTGTTTTGTGATAAACAGACTTCTGGAAGACTTTGGAGTTCAATTCAGAGTGAACATCTTTGGCAACACCTGGGGTTATATAGTATTCTTTTTTTCTTTTTTCTTTTTTTTTTTTTTGAGATGGAGTCTTGCTCTGTTGCCCAGGCTGGAGTGCAATGACACAATCTCAGCTCACTGCAACCTCCACCTCTTGGGCTGAAGTGATTCTCCTGCCTCAGCCTCCCTACTAGCTGGGATTACAGGCATATGCCACTGCGCCCAGCTAATTTTTGTATTTTTAGTAGAGACAGGGTTTCATCATGTTGCCCAGGTTGGTCTTGAACTCCTGACCTCAGGTGATCTACCAGCGCTCGGCCTCCCAAAGTTCTGGGATTACAGGCATGAGCCACCACACCCGGCGAGTTATTTAATATTCTACAGTTGAGGAATTGCATCCAAAGGAAAGGGCCCTTGGGATTTTTATAAGGATGTCTGGTGAGCTCCAGCATGCAGGGCTCTCGGGCTACATGGAGCGTTATGGAGAGTAAGCTGCTAGGAGCCTTGTGATTGTTAGGGTACAAAGGCAGCCTTGGAATCATCTCCTGAATCTGCAGCTGCCTGGGATTTTAGGACACTCATTGCAATTTTATGTTAAAGCGCTGATCTCAGGGTGCCTTGCTGTGACTGGGAGTATCCGTAGGTCTAGAACTTTCCAGCAGTTCTGGGCTTCATTGATTTGTGACTCAACTAGGAATCTTCTGGTCACCCTTGACTCCTCTCCCTTTAGGTCCCCGAGGCCTCTGCCCCACCACCTCCTCTTAAGCCTCGCCATCTTTTTTATTTTTTATTTTTTTGAGATGGAGTCTCACTCTGTCAGCCAAGCTGGAGTGCAATGGCACAATCTCGGCTCACTGCAATCCCTGCCTCCCGGGTTCAAGGGATTCTCCTGCCACAGCCTCCTGAGTAGCTGGGATTACAGGTGTCCGCCACCACGCCCGGCTAATTCTTGTATATTTAGTAAAGATGGGGTTTCACCATGTTGGTCAGGCTGGTCTCGAAATCCTGACCTCATGATCTGCCCACCTCGGCCTCCCAAAGTGCTGGGATTACAGGTGTCCGCCACCACGCCCGGCTAATTCTTGTATATTTAGTAAAGATGGGGTTTCACCATGTTGGTCAGGCTGGTCTCGAAATCCTGACCTCATGATCTGCCCACCTCGGCCTCCCAAAGTGCTGGGATTACAGGCATGAGCCACCGCGCCTGGCCTCGCCTCGCCATCTCTTACCTGGGCTACTGCTTTGCCCTTAATGGATCCCTTGGCCCTCGGTTTCTCCTCCGTCTGGTCTAGCCACAGAATGACCTTCCTAAACAAAGATCTCATCTTGCACTCGGCCAGGGCCAAACCCTCATCGTTCCTCACTGCTTACATGCAAAAGCCTGGGCTCTGTAGCCTCCCCTTCAGGGTCTTTCATGCCCCTGGAGTTCTGTTGGCAAGTCTCCCCAAAATGTTGTCTTCTCTTGCCTGCCAGGGAAGCAATATCAAAGGAGATGTGCCAGAAGCTTCCTCTGACATGCCTCTGGCCTCCTGGGCCTCGACTCCAGCCTGTACTCTAGGGCTGCAGTCACTAGGTCCTGGTGGCCCTTTCCTTGGCAGCAGGGTACCCAGTGAGGTGCTTGGGTCTCACTTCTCTTACCACCCCCAGGGTCTAGCCCAGTGGGCAATCCAGAAATGTGAGTTGTTTGAACGGATTGAATTGTAACGACTTGTGGGTTCTTCATATCGAAATTTGGCTGTGATCCATCCAGTACTTTTGCCCTCATCCTATATTACTCACAGTAGAAGCTGGTGTTCTGTGTTATAAGTTCTCCTTTTTTTTCCTTCATCTATGACAATGCAAGCAGAAACGTTCGTGTTGCGGTAACAAGTCCGATGGGGTTTCTGTATATGGGGTTTCTGTACACGTGCTTTTGCCAACCGGGAAATTAAGGTGTGCCGCATGAAGTCAGTCACTTCATTATTGGAACTTTGCCTAAAATGAAGAAACTCATCTAGTGGTGCAATTTGACCTAAGTGTTTTACCCATACAGTCAACTTCAACTTGGGTCACACATCTCAGGAGCAGTTTGCACTGTTGATCTCAGGGGCTCTTTAGTATTGGTTCAGAGAGATCTCTGTCCCTCTTAGAGACACTCCCTATTGTAGGAGGTTTTGAAAGAGGCATTCTTTTTCCTCCTAATGTGCTTGTCCCCTTCTGAAAGTTGATCCTTTAATCCCAAACAAGTTTATAACCTATGTCTAACTGGTTTTTGTGTAAATATAGTAAAAGAAATAGTTTCCATATTTGCTTTGGGATCATTGGTCTGCCCATGTCACAGCCCTGGGTACATTCATTTCAGTCCATATTTTTGGGGCACTTTCCCTGTGCAGAGCTCCGGGTGGGTCCTGTGGGATGCAGAAGCCTATAGCGTATTCCCTCTCATTGGCAGCCTCTTTCCCAGAGTGTCTCGGACAGGGATGTAATGGAGCTATTTTACCAGTCAGAGTAGAAGGGATGAACAATAATAACATGCCATCCATTATTACTGTGTGCCAGACTTAATGCCACACTCTTTACCTCTACAATATATCACTTAATTATTTTTATTTTTTGAGACAGTCTTGCCTGGTCACCCAGGTTGGAATGCAATGGCATGACCATGGTTCACTGCAGCCTCGAACTCCTGGGCTCAAGCATTCCTCCTTCCTCAGCCTCCCGAGTAGCTGGGACTATAGGCAATCACTACTATGCCCAGCTAATTAAAAAAAAAAATTCTAGAGGCAGGGGTCTCACTATGTTGCTCAGGCTGGTCTTGAGCTCCTGGCCTCAAGCTATCCTCCCATTAAGGCCTCTCAAGGCACTGGGATTACAGGTGTGAGCCACCACGCCCGGACTCTAATTTTTACAGTAGCCCCCAAGAAATATTAGTGCAATTGTCTTCATTCTACTGAGGAAAAAACTGAGGGTTAGAAATGCTTGCCCAAGCTTGGGCACATACCATGTGCCCAAATCCAGCTGGATTTGAACCCAGATCTAGTTGACTTCAGTGCCTGTATTCATAACCGCTGCTTTAGCCAGTGCAGCCCAAACTTTAATAGGAATCACCTGCAGTCTTGTTACTGCAGCGTCTGATTCAGTAGGTCTGCACTGGACTTAGAGATTCAACAAACAGGATCCAGGTGATGCTAATTCCTGTCTGAGGACCTGCTTTGAGCCGCCTTAGGTTAATTCTTTGCCACGTGCCTGAGATGGAAGCAACCAGCTGGGGTGCGGGACTCGAAGGGGGCTTCCGAGGAGGAGAAGGAGTCTTTCAAGGCTCCTCTGTTCCTCTAGGCTTTTCATGCCACCCCTTCCCGCTCTCTACCTACACCATTCTCTCCCGTTTGTCTTATTTTCCACTCTGCTCTTCTCCTGGCTTCTCCTTGTGTTGAAAACATCCTCAGGTTTCATCCATTCTAAATAAAGCTCCCCTTGACCTCAAGCGATCACTTCTTTCTTTCCTGCCCACTCACTCCTCAGCACTGATCAGGAGCTCTTCTGTCTTCTCCTCTTGGACACCTTTCAAGACCTCCTGGTTACTTTGATGTCCCCGCAGCCTCCCTGGGATGGAACCCCTCTCCGTGAGAATCCCATCTCAGGTCTAGTGAGGGTGATGGGGCTCTGACCTCCATACTCAGCATCCACACCCTGCTGTGATCTTGAGGTCTCCTGGCGGCCTTATTTTAAAAATCATTTTCTGTCTCTTTGCTTGCTCAGCTTTCCTTCTTAAGGTCCATTTAAGATTTTTTAAAAAATCCTGGTGTTCCTCTTTATAAGGTGAATTGTTCAACATGTCCATTTCAGGTGGAATGCATTCATTTGGCTTTTAGAACTGATTTTCTGTTTGTAAGTAGAAATTAACTCCCAATTAGCTGTGTGAGAATTTGTATCCTCTGTATCTGCTATCAATAGAAAAGAACAATTCGGTTCTGGGCGAAGACCCAAAGGGCTTTTTATTAATAATGCACCTACGATTTGTGAACTGTGTTTAGGTTCATCAGAGGCCTCTCGTTTCTTTCTGGACTTTCAATTACGTTCTGAGCATGGAAAGTTGGCAAATAACTTAGGCTTGGATGGATAGATACAGTCATTGAATAGAAAAACCATATTGATATTTTTAGGTTTTTAAGATCTCACATACTTTAAATATTTCAAAATTTTAAGTAAATACTCTTTCATACATTCTGAAACATTATATCTAATTTATCTCAGCCAAAAATTTAAGACATATACATGTTGCAGTTGCACACCTGTTACTCCAAAACAAACAAACCGCTCCAGCCAAAACCCAAATGGGAAAGCACTTGATTTTCAGTAGCTTAAAATATGTTGAATTAAGAGGTAGGTTATGAAAGTGAAAATGACATCTGAATGTTTTAGTGGTTTTGGATATAAATTTTCTTAGGAATTTTTTGTTTGAGTTAAGCTGATAGTTTAGTTTACTGTGTGCTATGTTGGTTGCAAAATTCAGCTACATTTGTTTATTTTGCAATTAATTCAATTTGTTTGCAAATATTGCATCAGACATCTAAACCAGCTAATAACTCTATAGGTTTGAGCCAGGTTAGAAAAAAAGGCTTGGCTGTACCGTTAAGAAGCAGCTAGCTCTCTAAATTGTGCTGATAGTCTTAATTTCCCCCGGATGTTCATTTTAGCCACACACACATAACCATTTGGATTTATGATTTCATACATTTTTTATTGGAAGTGCTGAATATTTTAAAATTCTGTGATTAGATAAAATTGGTCATTGTGCTTCAGAATAGGGTGACTCAGCTTCATGGGATGTACTTTACCCAACACAGGATTCTCCCATTTGAGATGGAATTTATTAATTTGGATTTGTATCAGGTCTTCACTCCAGAGGCATCAGAGAGCTTTCAGGCAGCCAACTATTCTTAAATATTTCAAAAGGAAGTTGCAGTGGGCACGTGGCGTGGAGAACACAGCAGAGCAAAGTGATGTAGGGGCCATAACAGCCAACATGCTTTGTTTCCTTCATTCATTCACCTACCTCCCCAAAAGTCCAAAGAAGTGTTTTCCCTGCTCTCGGTGCAGGAGGAAGATTTTATCTGGAAATTGAAGGTGTCAATGGCCAGAGAAAGAAGGAGGAACATTGATTTTCATGAATAACCAGCTGTGTGACCTTGGGTAAATTCTTAACCTCTCTGAGCCTCAGTGGCCTCATTCATTCAAACAAGGGTTGGACTAGAGGATTTTTAAGACCCCTTTTACGTATTGGGATTCTGTAATCCAAAGGTTTCAGAGATCGAGAATAATCTGTCTTCCTTGGAAAGGCAACACCTTGTATCTGGAAGGT
Organism: Homo sapiens; assembly: GCF_000001405.40. Lineage (NCBI taxonomy): Eukaryota > Metazoa > Chordata > Mammalia > Primates > Hominidae > Homo > Homo sapiens. The sequence goes on along the minus strand of NC_000010.11, from coordinate 29,627,230 downwards.
AGTAGTTCAAGGTGGGAGAGCAGGAACAAATTAGAAATGTGTTGAGAAAGAAGATCTTTTTTAAAAAGTCCTCTCACTGTCCTTGCTTGTTTCTGTTGAAATACACAGACTGTTTCTCCCTTCTCTGATGGCTTCATAATCATTCTTTGTCTTTGATTCTTATTATTTATTTTATTTTATTTTATTTTATTTTCATTTTATTTTTTTGAGATGGAGTCTCGCTCAGTCTCCCAGGCTGGAGCTCAGTGGCGCAATCTCGGCTCACTGCAAGCTCCGCCTCCCGGGTTCACACCATTCTCCTGCCTCAGCCTCCTGACTAGCTGGAACTACAGGCGCCCGCCACCACGCCCAGCTAACTTTTTGTATTTTTAGTAGAGACGGGGTTTCACCGTATTAGCCAGGATGGTCTTGATCTCCTGACCTCGTGATCCACCCGCCTCCGCTTCCCAACGTGCTAGGATTACAGGCCTGAGCCACCGCGCCCAGCCTGATTCTTTATTTTGGAAAGTTTCTGACACCTCTTTAAATTAAGCTCTCATAGTTTCTTTTGTGTTCATTTAAGTATGTCTATTTTCTTTTCTCTAACCTAATTTATTTTTATCTTCTTTTGGACATTTGTTTTTTCTCCTGATGTGAAACCCCAAAGTGGTCACAGCAGACTCGCTCAGGGATGCCTGAGACCGTCAGAATCTTCGTGTTCACAACAAGATGGGATGTGCTTGGCTTTCGTTTCCCTTTGAGTTTATTAGTTCACTGCCAGGTATTCATTTATTCTCAACAGTTGTTTTCTGAGCACTTACTGTGTGTCAGGGACTGGTATAGGTGTTGGGGAAAGAGCGGTGGGAAACAAAATTCCTGCCCTCGTAGCGTTTAAGTTCCAATGGAATGGTACTAAAGTACCCTGAGCGATTCTCTTGATCTTCAGCCCTACATCTGTTGTTCAAGTGCTTAGGTTAATAACAAAATGTAAAATACCTACCATGGTTTCACATAGTTATGTGTGTCTGATGTAGGGGCCATAACCGTGTGTGTGTGCCTTGAGAAAACTTAAGATCTACTTCTTGGCAAATTTTAAATATATAATACATTGTTAGCAACTATAGTCACCATGCTATACCTTAGGTTTCCAGAACTTACTCGTAACTACAAGTTTGCATCCTTTGACCAATGTCTTTCCAATTTCTCCTACCTCCAGCCCCTGGTTACCACCTTTCCATTTTGTTTCTGTGAGTTCAGCTTTTATATCAAAACATCATGCTGCACACCTTGAGTATATACAATTTGCATTTGTGAATTATACCTCAAAGCTGAAAAAAGACCCCAAAAAACCCGGCATGGTTCCTAACCAAAGGAGACACTTGTAAGGCTTTGTATCCTCCTACAGTTTGCATTTTGTATCTTCTGAAATTCTCTCTTCCCCTAGAATTCATACTGATAAAGCTTATACGCATTTCAAAATATATGTTTGAGGCTGGGCGTGGTGGCTCATGCCTGTAGTCCCAGCACTTTGGGAGGCCAAGGCGGGTGGATCACGAGATCAGGAGATCGAGACCATCCTGGATAACATGGTGAAACCTCGTCTCTACTAAAAATACAAAAAATTATCGGGCATGGTGGTGGGCACCTGTAGTCCCAGCTACTCGGGAGGCTGAGGCAGGAGAATGGCGTGAACCCAGGAGGCAGAGCTTGCAGTGAGCAGAGATCGCGCCGCTGCACTCCAGCCTGGGCAACAGAGTGAGACTCCGTCTCAAAAAAAAGGAAAAAAAATATATATATATGTATACTTGAGGCAAGTACAAGTCAAGTACCCATCTCTCTCTATTTTTAAAATTCATGCTTTCTCTGCTATCATAACATTCGGTCTATAAAACGTTGATTTCATTACCAAGGCAAAGGTTGATGTTGATATCAAGCAGGATGTTACAGAAATAAATCATTGGATCCACTTTACTTCTTTCTTACTTTCAGACTTTGTCTCAGAACTTTATTAAACTTAGCAAAAGTTAAAAAGAAAGGTAGTCTTAACTGAAGACTTTGAGATGATTTTAGAAGGAGTTTAGTAACATTGGATGAACTATTGTGTGTCACTAATCATGTCAGAGAATGTAACTTACAACTGAAACTTTGGAGTCTGTAATCTTTCTGTGTGTTTTTTTTTTCTTTTTAAGACGATTCACCTGGTCACTTCTATCACTGGGTGAAGCTGATTGTATATAAGCTAGATCTGCCTTCTGCCTACCTTTATGTTAGTACTATTTTTACGTTTAATTTTGCCCAAGTTGAAAGAGATTGCTTGGTTCATGGGGCCTTAAACATTTCAACATTTGTCCTTCACAAGATAATTATTTCATTAAAAGTAAATTACAATTTATTCAGTAGCTCTCCACATGAAAATAATAATCAGATGGTAAATGGATGCCCTAAGATATGTGGAGAACAAATTACCGTGGTATTTTAAAGGAGAGAGTTTTCTAAGCTAACTTTTATGCATGCAGCATCTCCCTGGCTAACATGAGCATTGATGATAATTTCTACCATTAATGAGCTCATTTTTTTTTTTAATGAGACTTTGTTTTTACTTTTAAAAAACAGTAACCTAAGGCAGGTGAAGTCAAATTGTTATTGCTGGGAAGTTGTGTTTCAAATGAGCACTGTAAATGATTTTGTTGAGCAGGCGTTTTTTGTTTTGTTTTGTTTTTGAGACGAAGTCTCACTCTGTCGCCCAGGCTGACATGATCGATCTCAGCTCACTGCAACCTCTGCCTCCCACATTCAGGTGATTCTTCTGCCTCAGCCTCCTGAGTAGCTGGGATTACAGGTGTGTGCCACCACACCCGGCTAATTTTTGTATTTTTAGTAGAGATGGGGTTTCGCCATGTTGGCCAGGCTGGTCTTGAACTCCTGACCTCAGGTGATCCACCCACCTCGGCCTCCCAGAGGGTTGGGATTACATGTGTGAGCCAAGCAGATGGTTTTTAAACTGGGGTCCAAGAACAAGCTTTAGAATGTTAGAATATCTCCCCAAAACCATATGGAAAATGCTAGGGGTTTTTTTTTTTTTTTTGAAAGCTCATTTAATAAAGGAGAGCATCCATTGTTTTCATTACTCTTCTTAAAGGGGCTGTGACTCCCAAAAAGTGAAGAACAAATGCATGTGAGGAAAAGTCACATTCTGATTAGTCATATGTTGCTTAACAACAGGAGTACCTGCTGAGAAATATGTCCTTGGGTGATTTCGTCATTCTGCAACCATCATGGAGTGCATTTCCACAAACCTAGATGGTACAGCCCACTACATACTACGGTTGATGGTGTAGCCATTGTAATCTTAAGGGACCACCATGGCAAATGACTGTGTTTCTTTTGTTGTTGTTGTTTTTGAGATGGAGTCTTGCTCTGTGGCCCGGGCTGGAGTGCAGTGGTGTGATCTCGGCTCACTGCAACCTCCCCCTCCTGGGTTCAAGCCATTCTCCTGCCTCAGCCTCCCGAGTAGCTGGACTACAGGCGCGTGCCACCATGCCTGGCTAATTTTTTTTGTATTTTTAGTAGAGATGGGGTTTCCCCGTGTTAGCCAGGATGGTCTCAATCTCCTGACCTCATGATCCACCCGCCTTGGCCTCCTAAAGTGCTGGGATTACAGGCGTGAGCCTCCGCGCCTGCCTGGCAAATGACTGTGTTTCTATAGAAATGAAGAGCTTAGACGTGCCTGGATGGCTCCAGATAACACCCAGCTGAGCCTTACGGCTCCTAATGGGTCCCATCCTCCACTGAAATGAGATCAGAACAACCCATGGGGCCTGACTTAGTACTGGCCAGTAGAACTGGACAATCTGTTGATGGGTGTATTCTCAAACTGGTACTGTTCTGTTGGGTAGCCCCTAGCCACTGGTAGCAAGTGCCACTGAGGAATTAGACCTTAACCTTGACTTCATGTTAATTAGTCAGAATTGCAGTGGCCCCTTTTGTTGGACAGCACAGGACCAGAGGAAGTGGATTTGCACTTTGCATCTGCTGATAGGAACTGAAAAACTGCCATGCATTGCCTATTGACCTATCCATGTAATTTGTCATACTTGGATAGCAGAGGAAAAATCTAAAATACTGTGTTTTTCAAAAGAAATGGAAGCTTATTGTATTAGGGGAAAATTTCCTGGGGATTCCTTATTTCTTTCACATATACACACACCCAGTGCAAGCATGCACACACACACACTCGCACACACACTGGATACAGTTTTGTAGGTTCTTTGTGTCCCGAAAACATAAAATGTTCATTTCTGCATTTTGAATTATGGATTTGAAGATCCATGCTGTGCAATCTCAGCATCACTAATAACGCTTGAGTTGAATGCTCCAAGCTCACTTCACAAGGCAGCTCTCGCTTAGGGAGCGGTTTGCATGGAGGTGCTTTGAATTCCGGGACAGAGTGGTTTGGGGAACTAGGGGGATTGCAGTCTCTGTTGACAACGTGTCCTTTGGCTGCTTGGTTGTTCTTTCCTACGTTTGTGTTTCGGTTTAAGGTCATGGTGTTGTTCTGGGAGACATTAGCTTAAATAGCGTTTTGTTTGTTTTTGCTTTCGACGTGTTTAAACGTATGGATGGAAACTAAAGTTGTCCTCTGGGAACCAGGGCTGTGATGTGCATGATTAGATCTTTCTGTGTTGATGGCTTGTGTGAGATCTTGTGATTACCCAGCGAACTGTGCCAAAGTTTCATTATTTATTCATTCCTTCCAATGATTTTGGAGTACCTGCTGTGGCTACTAAGGATATCATGTATTTTCCTCCCAAATGTCTGCAACTCATAAACCTCTGACAGTTTAGAATGTGTGTGGAGCCGGGCGGGATGATCATAAGAAGAGATGGTGCGCTTGTCACCTGTACAAGCCACTTAGATTCCCAGGCAGTTTTCTCACCTGAAAAACGAGAGATTGACCTTCAGTGTTTCCAAGGTTCTTTTTTTTTTTTTTTTTTTTTTTTTTGAGACGGAGTCTCACTCTGTCGCCCAGGCTGGAGTGCAGTGGCGCGATCTCGGCTCACTGCAAGCTCCGCCTCCCGGGTTCACGCCATTCTCCTGCCTCAGCCTCCCGAGTAGCTGGGACTACAGGCGCCCGCCACCACGCCCGGCTAATTTTTTGTATTTTTAGTAGAGACGGGGTTTCACCGTGTTAGCCAGGATGGTCTCGATCTCCTGACCTCGTGATCCGCCCGCCTCGGCCTCCCAAAGTGCTGGGATTACAGGCGTGAGCCACCGCGCCCGGCCAGTGTTTCCAAGGTTCTTTGCTGCTCCCAAGTCACTGATGTTTGTGTATGTCTACGTGTATGTGTGCTTGTGTGTGTGTTTCTGTATGTATGCATATTTGTGTCTGTGATTGTGTGTGTTTGTATGTGTGTGTGCGTGCGCATATATTTAGCTTTTCCTCATAAATCTTTATTATTAAAATGAGCTCACAACAGAAGAGGATGAGAACTCTTGGGCTATGTAGGAAATGCAGGGCCAGAGGGTGTATTAGGATCAAGAAGAGGCCAGACCCCCAGGTCGTGGACCTCCTCCTGCCATGGGCCCACAGCCCATGTGGTTTTGTGAGGTAGCTTGAAAACCTGGTTAACCTGGAATGTAATTTTTAAACATGATTGTACTTTGAGGAAAGAGGCTGTTATTTCTTGTTAGAGGGATCTGGTCATCTTTTCTGCTCTGTTGTCTTTGTTTATGCTCTCTTGAGAGTCATGGTTCCCTCTGCACCTTGGGCTTGGCCCGCTGCGGGGTAGCCCCTGTTTCCCAAGCATGGTGGGACCCCTGCTGTGCCTCCACATCTGTGTTCTCCATCTGCTCTGGAATGCCCTCCCTGCCAACGCACAGAGCTCTCCAGCCTCGGGGAACTTGCTGCTTTGGTTGGGAAATTCCCCTTGGGATTAAGCGTTCCTGCCTTCCCGCAGCACTTTCCTAGCTCAGAGCAGGCTCACAGACCGTGTGAGTGTCCTTGGGTACAGAATACCACAGGCAAGTGAGATCATTCTCCATTGCATTTCTTTTCAACTACAATTTGAGTGATTTTTCAGAAGTACAAGATTTACCTGATTCTTACATGGAGGTAGTGATGTATTATTAAATACACAGAATACAAAGGCAAGGATGGGTGGGGCGTGCACCTGTAATCCCAGCACTTTGGGAGGCCAAGGTGGGAGAATTGCTTGAGGCCAAGAGTTCGAGACCAGCCTGGGAAATATAGTGAGACGCCATATCTACAAAAAAAAAAAAAAAATTTTAAGAATAAAAAATCAAATTTAAAAAGTTTATTTAAAAAGTCAGGGATAGCCCGGGCGTGGTGGCTCACACCTGTAATCCCAGCACTTTGGGAGGCTGAGGTGGGTGGATCACGAGGTCAGGAGTTTGAGACCGGCCTGGCCAACATGGTGAAACCCCATCTCTGCTAAAAATACAAAAAATAGCTTGGTGTGGTAGTGGGCGCCTGTAGTCCCAGCTACTCAGGAGGCTGAGGCAGGAGAATCATTTGAACCCGGGAGGTGGAGTTTGCAGTGAGCTGAGATCGTGCCATTGTACTCCAGCCTGGGTGAGACTCCGTCTCAAAAAAATAAAAATAAAAAGCAGGGATAATACCTCACTTCCCCTGCTTAACCCTAGCATCAAGAGTAGATGAATACACAAGTTGAATTGGATTAGGTGACTATATATCAAAAACAATTCAGCTCAGCTGTTGCACTGAATGAACGTTTTTAAAATAACCGCACAGTTGACTATCCGAGTTGCCACCTGCCCTTATTTGGTTTGTCAGAGGGTGGGTGAATATTTAGGGACACTATAAGGGGAGTCCTCTCCTTTCTCTCCCACCTCTTTCCTTTTGCTCTCTCTCCCCCTTTCCCTTCCTCTCTTTTCCCTTCTTTTCTTTCTTTTCTTTTCCTTCCTTTTCCTTCTCTTTTCCTCTCCTCTTTCCTCTTCATCTCTTCCTATATTCTCTTTTCTCTTATTCTCTTTCTGTTTCTCCCCTTTCATCTTCAAGACATAACAACATGGCTATGGATATCTGTAAGTTTGACTGATTTTAATGTGTGCAATGATAATTTTTAAAACATGCATAGTATATACATAATATGTCTCCATTTACACGGTTCTGATGGCTTTCTTAATATTGCTAATACTAAAAAAACTTTAAAAATTATTATAATTTGAAACATGAATTCTGATTTCTAGGCTTCATGATACCTTGTGGAAAGAAGCTGTTATTTCTTCTTAGGATTGGTCATTTTTTCTTCTCTGTTATCTTTGTGTATGTATGTATTATACATGTATGTGTACCTATGTATGCGTAACATCCAAAAAAATCCACATTTAAAAAAAATGTAGTTTGCAATAATCTTTTTAAAAATGTAGTTTGTCATAATATTTTTTAAAATGTAGTTTGTAATGAGGAGAAAATGAGTACATGACAATCGAGTTTGATTTTAGTAGAGCAAAAATTAAAATCAACCCTCAGCTTATGCTTTGGTGTTTGTTAACTCAAATTTAAAATTAGAAATGTGGTAATTATTTGGCAGTTGTGGCTTTCTCAGGGAAACCATATCATATTGTATGTGTGTGCTGGCCTTTAAAAATAGATATTGCCACGAAGCTCATCATCTGAATTCATGGCCGACTCCTGGAAGTGGTGGGCTTTGGAAAGCAGGGCTGTGAGTTTGGCTCTTACACTTCCAGGGAGCTCTCCATTCCAGCTTTGGTTCCCTTCAGTCCATCTGTGGTCAAAGCTCTTTTGTTTTCAAAGCTAACTGCTGAAGAGTAAACACTCTTGACCCTGACTGTAAATATGTGTCATACGTCTGGTTAGTTTTAGTTTTAACTGAACAAAATCATTTTGGCAGAAGAGTCATTAAAGTTTGCACAAAATCCTGACCTTCACATCCCTGGTTTTCCTCACATACGCATCCGCAGGGAGTCACAATCCATTTGAAAATATTTCTTCTCTGGGACTGAAAATCTCCTAAAACGTGTATTCTTCAGCAAACAAAGTATCTCATAAAATGTAAACGTGGATGACTGGGGGAATACAATTTTTTTTGCGCATAATGACTTCTGTCAGTCCTCTAAGAAATTCAAAGAATTTTCACGGCTTCCAGTTTAAATTCTAGCGCCTCTGGCCATGGCCATGGTTTGTTCTGTGTTTGATTATCTTTCCGTTCAGGGGTTCGATTGTTACTGGGCTACTTTAGACAAAGCTACCTGGATCTTGAGTTGCCACTTTTAGCCCAAAATCCCCTTCCTACCTGTTTAAGGGGCAGTGGAGCACTTGGTGGCCACACTGGCTCTCTGTGTTAAGGTGTTTGCTGAAAATTAGCTGTCTACGGTGGCCTATGCCCGTAGTCCCAGCTACTCAGGAGGCTGAGGGGGCGGGAATTCCCTGAGTCCAGGAGTTTGAGGCTACAGTGAGCTCTGATTGCGCCACCGCACTCCAGCCTGGATGACAAAGCGACACCTTGTCTCAAAAAAAAAAAAAAATCTGCTGCAAGAGCTTATTTGTAACCTGGAAGGAAAGGAGTAGTCCAGGGTTTGGGGCAGAGCCTATTGCCTCTGAAAAGACCCAGTAAATTCTCTGGGGACTGCTTGTATCCTTGTAACTAGATAGTCGTCACACATGAGTGAAAAGAAGGCATTTGGGCTTTGAAGGTGGTCAAGAGCGTCCAGGCTGGGCCAGGCATGGTGGGTCTGTGTGAGAAGCAGAGCTTAGGAAGGCTGGGGTCTGAACATGCTTTGACTTTTGCTTTGTGCAACCAGTAATCCAGAAAAATCCTACCTGAAGCCCCAGAGGCTGTGCTTCTTCAGCAGGGTGTCATATTGTCAGGGAGCTGCAAACAGCCTGTTGTAGTCAGAAAAGACGGTGTTTTCCTTTCCACAGCTTTATGGACATAAAATAAAACTTGAATTTGACAAACAATACAATAAATCCTCCTTTCCCAAAAATTACGAGTTGAGGTCATGGTTCCTAATCGGAACTGTGTGCAGCTGTTGGATTTTTGGCGCTTTCTAGAGCTTTCACTAAAATCAAATGCATTTAAACACCCTCCCTCCTCAAGAGGACAGGATTAGCCCGCCTCCCCAGGAGAACAGTGCTCTGCTGCCTGCGTCAGCAAGCTCCTTACACAGTGGTCTCCTGCCTGTGTCAGCGAGCTCCTTACAACAGTCTCTGTGCACGTCCCATCACTTTATCATGGATTAGAGGCTGCAGGATGTTTTCATATGGCCCATGATAATGTAATGATGGCTGGTACTTTAGGACTTGAAAACCTCTTAACGTCTTGGCCAGACTGTGGACTGTTCTTTCAGGCATCTGTCTTTTAAATCAGTTATCTCCATTTGCTGTCAAATTTGGCCTGCATTGGCCGGCTTTATTATTTCTATTGTTCCATAGAGAGCCACACTGAAACTAATTTGAGAAAAGTGTAATCTCTATTGAAAACTTGGAGTCCACCAGCAAGTAGACTGTATATTTTGGAGTGTCCACCAAAAGCTCATAGTCACTGTCACCTCGTAAGGATGCTTCCAATGAATCTCCAAAAAGTAGTTTACATCTGCATCCTTGGTGGAGATTTTCTTAAGTAGACAGAATTTCTCTTTTTTTTTCTTTCTTTCTTTTTTTTTTTTTAGATTAGTTTTCCTTTTTCGCCCAGGCTGGAGTGCAGTGGCACGATCTCGGCTCACCGCAACCTCTGCCTTCCGGGTTCAAGCGATTCTCCTGCCTCAGCCTCCCAAGTAGCTGGGACTACAGGTGCGCACCACCACGCCTGGCTAATTTTTTGTATTTTTAGTACAAAATACAAAATAGAGAAATACATTAGAAATACAAGTACGATGCTCTTGTCAGGGAAGAAAAACTCTTTCTTTATCCTCTCTTGTGCAATGACCAGGGGCCTGCAAATGTAACTGACAAAAGTCAGGTTCACAGCAGAAAAGAATACAAATGTTATTAATAATTTATATGTATGGGAGTTCACAGAAAAGAAGTAACACTCAACAGATCAGACTTGGGAGCTTATATACCTTTCTTCATAAAGGAAAAGAGCTTTGGGCTTCAAGGGATGAACAATTGTGCGGAAGCAACTGGGAAATACACGGGGGAAACTAGGGGAAGATAAGCGTTATTTTAGTGAGGTTTGTTTGTGCAGACTCATCTCCATCTCTGGTGTTAAGAGTTGCACTTCAGCCAGGTGCGGTGTCTCATGCCTGTAATCCCAGCACTTTGGGAGGCTGAGGTGGGTGGTTCACCTGAGGTTGGGAGTTCAAGACTAGCTTGGCCAACATGGCGAAACCCTGTCTCTACTAAAAATATAAAAATTAGCCATGCTTCGTGGCGTGGGCCTATAGTCCCAGCTACCCAAGAGGCTGAGGCAGGAGAACTACTTGAACTTGGGAGGCAGAGGTTGCAGTGAGCAGAGATCACGCCACTGCACTCCAGCATGGGTGTGACAGAGCCAGACTCCATCTCAAACAAAATAAAAAAGAGTTGCACTTCCCCTTCCTGGTACAGGAGTGGGAGACACCTGAACAAAGGGAAGTTTATGCCTGGCTTTTAGGCAGAAAAAGTGGGCGCAGAGATCCTCCGTTGCCTTCAACTCAGAATAATCCTTATGCCAGAGTGGCATATTTTGAAATGGTATATTCCAGACCCTGCTTCATGCTTTACATAAAAAATATCAGTGCAGTACAATAAATCCTAATATCAGATTACTGTGTTTTCAGTGTGACATTTTGTTTATTGGAATCTGTCTTGTATGTCAGTTTATTGTATATTTTACTTGATTTTGGACTAACTTGCATGTATTATATATCACAATTGCCCGAACCTCAGAACGAGTTTACACGCTTTTGTCTTAAAAATGGAAATACAGGCTGGGTGCGATGGCTTATGCCTGTGATCCTAACACTTTGGGAGGCCGAAGTGGGTGGATTGCCTGAGTTCAGGAGTTTAAGACCAGCCCGTGCAACATGGTGAAACCCTGCCTCTACTAAAATACAAAAATTAGCTGGGCAAGGTGGCACACACCTGTAGTCCCAGCTACTTGGGATGCTGAGGCACGAGAATCGCTTGAACCCAGGAGGAAAATAAAAAGGAAATGCAATTTCTCAAATAGTAAAGGTTTAATAAGCCACCCACCTATGTGCTGAAATAACCTTGAATTGATAAAGATTTAAACAAAAACTAAATTTGGTCATCTGTATAAGCATATTATTTAGATATGGGGTATCATGCCATGTCATTGCAAATTGTGTAGGAAAAGCATCAACTTCTGTTTAAATTTGCTTGGCTGAAATAAATGTGAGGAAGTCAGTGTGGGAGTTTATGGCAAACTCTGAATTATTCTGAAAATAGTATATTTCAAAGAGGCAGATATCTCTAAACAAATCTGAACAGGATTTGGAAAACATTTTTGTACTTAAATTTGATATTATGCCTGATATTTAGGACTTCTAACCATTACTGCCCAATGCTTGATATATAGCAATAAATATTTGTGAAATGAAGAAATTAATGAATGGAACACACATACTTGAATGAGCAGAAAGACTGAAAGTACACAGAGCTGAAAGCCTGTTTGATTTCTTCATCTGTCAAGCTCCCTAGTGAAAATTTGCTTTGTGACACTTCTGATTCATTCAAACCTTCTCCAGAAGGAAAGTAATTAAGTGTTTTTGTTTTAGATAGTTCCATTTTTATACTGCAGGTGACAAGCGAGGAATAACCAGCTTTAGCTTTTAACACAATGAGTAATTAAACACAGAAGTTACTGCCAACAAAATTGAAATCAAATCTGTCATTTGATCCAGTGCTGTGTTGCATTTGCTTTGTGAATTGGTGGGGAAAATATGGTAAATAATAATACACCATTGTATGTTAAGAAACAGCTGGGAGAAGTAGGATCATTTTAAAAGGCTAAGAAACAAGGTGGCAAACATCTAGAAAATTCTTTAATTAAAGCTAAAGCAAATGAGATAAGATCAATCCTTCGATTGTGATATGATAGTTTTTTAAAAAATAGCAATTGTTTGGTCTGTTTCTTAAATAGATGCTGTCATTTACCTTAAAAGCTTTGCTAACCTCAAGTCTGACTGTGGGCCTTCTCTGTGGCCGCTGAAGCTACTAGTGTTGGTTCAAATTCCAACACTTTTTGTTATGATTTGTATTAGCATGGGGGGATAACTTAACTTCTGCCTCAATTTCCTCATCTGTAAAATGGGAATGATAGTAGTACATATCACATAGAGTTGTTATGAGGATCAGATAGGTTTATGCCTGTAGAACACCAAAAGCGCCACTTGCAGCATGGGCATGTTTATTGAATGATGATGATTAATCTTCATTAGGACCCAAATGATTCGTGGATTTCATTTTAACCATAAGCTGCAAGGATTTTTTTTATACTTTAAGTTCTGGGATACATGTGCAGAACATGCAGGTTTGTTACATAGGTATACATGTGCCATGTTGGTTTGCTGAACCCATTAACTCATCATTTACATTAGGTATTTCTCCTAATGCTGTCCCTCCCCTATGCCCCCATCCTCTGACAGGCCCCGGTGTATGATGTTTCCCTCCCTGTGTCCATGTGTTCTCATTGTTCAGCTCCCACTTTGGAGTGAGAACATGTGGTGTTTGGTTTTCTGTTCCTGTGTTAGTTTGCTGAGAATGATGGTTTCCAGCTTCATCCATGTCCCTGCAAAGGACATGAACTCATCCTTTTTTAGGGCTGCATAGTATTCCATGGTGTATATGTGCCATATTTTCTTTATCCAGTCTATCATTGATGGGCATTTGGGTTGGTTCCAAGTCTTTGCTATTGTGAACAGTGCTGCAGTAATCATATGTGTGCATGTGTCTTTATAGTAGAATGATTTATAATCCTTTGTGTATATATCCAGTAATGGGATTGCTGGGTCAAATGGTATTTCTGGTCCTAGATCATGCTGCAATTATATTTTTTTTAACTAAAATGTTATTGTAATTCTTTTTGTAACTTCAGTGATAAAAGTAAATGATTTGAGCCTATGATTTCCACAAAATCTAGGGAAATGATTTAATATCCTTTAATTTTTTAAAAAAAATGGCTTTAAAAGGTTCTGTTGTGGTATAGTTAGTGATAATAGAAAGCTCCTATTTCTGGTGCCTCAGTGGCCATTCCAGAGCCAGTTTCCTGAGGAGGCTGAGCTCAGTGCCTAAGACTTAGCCAGGATTCTGCAGCTGATTCACCGAGGAAACCTTGACCACAGTGGTCTCATACATTCCATAAGGGGAAAGGAAAACTTTCTTACTGATGAGTTCGTTGGGCTTTTGGAATTCATATGTAAGGTGATTATCTGGATTTTAGTACCCTTAGGTCAATCCTTTAAAAAATACGTAAAAGAAGAGAATATTCTTCCGGTTGCAATGTCAAATTATAGGTGAGTATCTGCATATTTATTCATCCAGGGAAAATTCTGGATTCACTGAAATAAAATATTTCAACTAGAACCATATCACCATGGGTTTGGAACAGATCATCATTCATCAAGGTTATTGTTTTCCAAATTGGATGATCATTAGAACTCCTTGATAAATGGCCAGGCCCCACGCCTGTAATCCCAGCACTTTGAGAGGCCTACGCAGGAGGATCACTTGAGCCCAGGAGTTCAAGACAAGCCCTGGCAACATAGTGAGACCTCCATCTTTACAAAAAAAAATTTTTTTAAGTGGCTGGGCATGGTAATATGCACTTGTAATCCCAGCACTTTGCAAGGCTGAGGCAGAAGCATTGCTTGAGCCCAGGAGTTCGAGGTTGCAGTGAGCCTTGATTGCGCCACTGCACTCCGGCCTGAGCAACAGAGCAACACCCCACTCTAAATAAATAAATAAATAAAATACTTGATAAAGATCTTGAAAAATATGGCTTTCTGGTCCCCACCCAGACCTATTTACTCAAAACCAGAGGGTAGGGATTATCAACCTCTCCACTGCACCAGAGCATCACTCATTCGGCCCGCATCCCTCCTCCTTCTTCTTTTTTTTTTTTTTTTTTTGAGATGGAGTCTCTCTGTCACCAGGCTGGAGGGCAATGGCACAATCTCAGCTCACTGCAACTTCTGCCTCCTGGGTTCAAGCAATTCCCCTTCTCAGCCTCCCGAGTAGCTGGTACTACAGGCACGTGCCACCACACCCAGCTAGTTTTTTGTATTTTTAGTAGAGACCAGGTTTCACCATGTTGGCCGGGATGGTCTCAATCTCTTGACCTTGTGATCCGCCCACCTCAGCCTCCCAAAGCGCTGGGATTACAAGCGTGAACCACCACGCCCAGCCTCATCCCTCCTTCTATAGCATCTTGGCCCAGTGCCATCCAGCCATCAGCTTGAGTGAACCCACCAGCATGGGGCTTTGTGAACATTGTCCTAATTGTCCTGTACAGATTGGACGTTTGTGACTAGGAAAAGCACATTTACTAAGGATCTACGTTTTTTAAACTTTTTGAAATCTTTTTTCCTTTGCTATGTTTTTTCTTTTCTTAACTGCATAACATAAATCTCTTAGAAAATCACATTTAACATCCAAGAGAACTCATGATGTCCTCTTCTTGTGTTTTCTGGGTGCAGAGCTCCAGAGCTGTTTCTTTGAAATACAAGTTATCTGTTGAACTTAAGCATATTTGGCAGAGCACCCTGGGAGGACAGCACTGCCCCCAAACTCTGAGTCTCACAAGGAGGGAGGTCCTTTATCAGCGTGCAAGTGATTCCCCTATAATTCCACCCAACCCACCAAAAAGCCTCACTTCCAACTCCATCCCTGATACCATGGATGATGTAAAGAATGGTCAGTCATTTCACTGCCTGATGTCACTACCAATACACAAGAAGCTAGAAAGGAGATAAACAGAGAGCAGGGAACTCTAAAATATTTTCCCTGAGAATCACTGGAACAAGGGGTCTGATTACTTCTCTGTTGGCTGTTGAGGATCCATAGTCAACCGACTGTCCATGCTCCTCCTATTCCCTGGGACCCTTGCTCGAATGACCTCACCACCTGGCTGGCACATGCTACCCTGGGGTGGAAGCACATTCTCTTATGACTTGCAATGGGAAAAAGGGCTGAGGATCGATTTTTTTTTTCCTGAGATAGCTGAGGAGGTGAGTCCTGCCAACATCTGAGCTACCCCCTAGGGCAGGCAGAATATTTCTGGAGAAAAACGAGCCAGCATATTGCTAACAGATTCCATGGCATTCCAAACCCCACCCTCCCACTGGGCCATTTGGTATCTCCTGGAGCGTAAAGTCCATGGAATGAGAGATTCTCCCCCTGGTTCTGGCGTGGCCCCATTTTCTAATAATACCCATCTGCAGTCTTAAGCCTTTAAGCTGTCCCAAGGGTAGGGGGTCTCAGGGAACCAGTTGGCTCCAGTCACCTTGAAGGATTCACTCTGAGTTCTGACTGGTTGAGACCAGAAGTTCTCGTAAGTAGCAGCTTCGCTTCTGAGATGCTCCTTTGCCTCACCTGCACGATTCTGCAGAGCTGGGGTCCTGCCTACCTTTTAACCACATCTGACAATAACTATCCTTACCTTTTGCTACCCCTTAAATTCAGACTTCTTTACCTTTGGCATTGGTTTGCTCCTGATTCCTCTCCAAAATATTCTAGAATGCTAAAAAATGTCAAATGCTCTTTATCTTAAACAAGGGCCAGTGTTTGAACCATCATATGTCATAGTGACACGCCTGTCAGAGCTAAAATGAGACTTATTACATGCCGTCCTGCTTGGGAGTAGTTGGGGATGAGTAACCACTTGACACGTTCCAGCAGTCCCCCCACCTCGGTCCCTATTCTAGACAGGCTAGAGCTGTGGCCATACCAGCATCCAGTCCTTATGTTTAAAACAGATCAAGCCTCTAAAATGAGGGACTTTTAAGTGCTTTTTTTGAAAGTGTGAAGGAGCAGTGTACTGAAGATAATGAACAAGCTTCCTTCTCACTAAACAAGAGTTAACCAAGAATTGCATTCACAGGGATATAGGCAAGGCAGGAATAGACGGCGGGACTGTAGATCATGCTCCAGTGAGGATACTTGACTGAGGAAGGAGGGGGCGACATTCCTCTCAGGCACTTAGTGAGTTGGGTATAAGTGTTACTTATTGGTATCCAAAAAGGCAACTAGAAATCAAGGTGATTCATGTGGAAAGAGCAGAAGAGTATCCATGGTAATTATGAAGTAGCTGATGGCTCTGGGCACAAAAGTGAGCTGAACACAGTTACGGGGCCAGTGTGCTTTGGGTAGCGAAGAGCCTCCTTCAGCAGCTCAGAAATGCATGAGCGAGAGTGCACCTAAAGAATCACAAGTGATGCACTGCACAGGAATTACAGGAAATGAGGAGCCAGGGGCTGAGGGAGTCTGGGAAGGTTTCATAGGCCCAAAGGGTGGGTGGGATTTTTGATTCATGAAAAGATGGAGGTTGGTGGGCAGGAGGAAAGGACACATGAAGGTAGAATGGGCAGGGTGCAGTGGCTCACGCCTGTAATCCCAACACTTTGGGAGGTTGAGGCAGGAGGATCATTTGAGGCCAAGAGTTTGAGATCAGCCTGGGCAACATGGTGAAACCTCGTCTCTACTAAAAATACAAAAGTTAGCCAGGCATAGTGGAGCATGCCTGGAGAACTGCTTAAACCCAGGAAGTGGAGGTTGCAGTGAGCTGAGGACCATGCTACTGCACTCCAGCCTGGGTGACAGAGCGAGACCCTGTCTCAAAAAAAAAAAAAAAAAAATGCAGAGTGAATGGAGCTTGTTTGGGCAGGGGAGAGCCTTGATTGACAAAACAAGTGGTGTGTGTTTATGGACAATGGCAAACCTTGGGAGTCTGGAAGGAACAGATGCTGTGGCCCTATGGAGGATGGAGAGGAGGAGGAGACACCACCAGAGGTAATTCAGAGGCTGTTGTGATTGTACAAGTCTCAGATTCTGCAATGATGGCAGCGAGGAGGGAAAGGAAGGGACGAGGGTGGGGCGTGAGGGAAGAATTGCCCAGGTTGAGGAACTGATTGGAGATAGAGATCTGCAAGAACTCAGAGATAAAATTGGGACAAACTACCCAGATTGGCAGGGAGCCCGCCACAGTGTGGAAATGAGAAAAGGGTGAGGGGTTGCTCTGACTTCACGGTGATGAGCCTGTCCAGTCCTTACCAGTCTCTCAGGGGGAGGGAGGTCACAGTGTCACAGGATCCTTAGGGTGTCGCTTTACCAGCTGGAAACCTCTGTTGCTGGTGGCACCTCTGCCTGAGTTTTGCTCATGCCTGCTGGACTTGTTCTGTCCACTCAGCCCAGTAAGATGTGCTCAGCTTGTGCTACCAGCCTGGATCCCATGCCTGCCAAGGGCAAGCCAGGCATGGAGCAGCAAGTGGGTATGTGAGTGAGTGAACACAGGGTCTGGCCACTGCACAGCCAGGCACGCTGGCTGCTGTGGCAGGGTGGGAAGCTCCATATGCCAGCTCCCTTTGAGGCTGTGGCTGGACCAGATGTGCCACAAGTGGCTTCCACTGTGGGCACCAGCGTCTGGATGAGGGGAATGTGGTGGTGCCCGAAAGCTCAGAGACACCAGGAACTGCAGAGTCCCCAAATAGGTGTTACAGCATGTCACAGCCATGGCTCAGGGAGCACCAAGGTCTGGGCTTCCAGAAGGGCTGCAGCTCTTCTCTACTTCTTGTTACCTACAGTGTGGTGAGTGGGGGGACATGTTTCAGCCCATTTGTGTTACAGCTCTTTCAGTCCCACCACCTTGCTCTGGCCCGTGGCTCATGGGCTGGACCAGCCCCACTGCTGTTTCCCATCATGTGGGGTGGCCACTCAGCACCAGCAGAGGGTGGGAGGGCTATAGTGTTAACAGCAGCTCCAGCTCTGAGGTCTGGGCCCCCAGAAGGGTTGCCATCCTTTACTCCCATAGCCCAGGAGCATGTCACCACCCACAGCTCAGCGAGCTGGTCAAGAACATGTTACAGCTCCTTTCACTTCCGCCATTCAGCAGGTCCTGAGTTCTTGTCCTGTGTCTAGGAAGAATGAGGTTATGCAGACAACTGGGTGAACAAGGCAGGCAGGAGCTTTATTGAGTGACAGAAC
The DNA here is from genome assembly GCF_000001405.40 of Homo sapiens. NCBI lineage: Eukaryota > Metazoa > Chordata > Mammalia > Primates > Hominidae > Homo > Homo sapiens. Next base: position 29,609,103 of record NC_000010.11, on the reverse strand, counting down.
AGCTGTCAGGAGACCCAAAGTGGGTAGCTCCTTTCTACAGGTGGTCCAGACAAGTGTCTTAGGCTGGCTGAGTCTGGGGTTTTTATGGGCTCAGAAGGGAGGAAGTGCATGCTGATTGGTCCATAGGTGGTCATAGGCAGGCCTGGAAAAAGCACCGTCTGATTGGCCAAAAGGCATCAGTGAAGTTCTCACTCCAGGTTGCGGACTCCACCTGGAACGGACAGCTGAGCCCCCAGGCTTCAGGCCATCCCTGGCTTAAAGGTAGGGTTTCACTAGAGACCCACCCCTTCCTGCCTAGGAACCTGTCTGCCTCCCACTGCCATCAACATGCCATCCATGGCACGCAGGCTATCTGCACTGAGGGGCACCCACATGCCCACGCTCAGCTGCCCTCAATGCCCCCAGCCTCCCTCCCACACTCATCACTGCCCGAAGTCCAGAAAGGGCTGAGGCAGCAGGGTGCTGGGTCTGCCACAACTTTGCTTCGCACTGGAGCGGGCACTTGGAGAGAGGAGAGGCCAGAGAGTGGGAACAGGCACCTCTGCCTGAAGGAATAGGAGGCTTCCCAGGCCCTGGAGAGTGCAGGGATGCCCAGGTCCACGGCTGGGCAGCTGCAACTGCCTGGGAGAACAGGCTCCCATCCTGCCAGCTTGGTAGGGTGCAGGGCTCCTGCTGGGATCACCTATTCCTGGCCCCTGCCAGCTCCACAGAGTGCACAATCCCAGCCATGGCTTCCCCACTGCAGCTGGCGTCCTCACAGCAGCCACCCCAGATGGGCCACTGCTGCCGTCAACAGTTGGCAGGAAGGCAGGCTAAGCCTGGTGTCTCAACCAGAGGACTTTGCAGCAGAGGTAATTGCCAACCCCACTTCCACTGCCTTGACGTCCCTCTTGCAGCAGAGAAGCTAATCCTGCCCAGCCTGGCCATGAGTGAGGGCACCTGAAGGGGTGAGGAGGCGGGGGTAATGTTGTGTAGGTGGGAGGGGGCAGTAGAGAGTCCCATACTCAAAGTGACTGCCAAATCCAGGGCTGTGCATAGAGTGACTGCTGACAGCGTTTGATAAGCTTTGCTGTGAGTCCAAAAGAATGATCGGATAGATGCCTGTCTTGCAGCGCATCTACATTAATCTCATAACAAATTATTCGTCTCATATTAGAGAAAGTTTAGCTTTCTTAGAAGCTTGATGGGAAAGAGCCTCCCAGCTCTTAGAGTTTGATTTTCGCAACTCAGTTCACATCTTCTTCTTACTCCAGGTTCCCAGCTCCTTGAGCCTTGCCCGTGAAGGGGTTGGAGTCAGGATGGGAAGCCTTGAGCTGCCTTGACCTGCTCCATCTCTGACTCAGGGATGTGCCCTGCTTGTCACAGCATGGGTGTGCTGGGCCTTGGGGCATCTTTTCAGGCAGAGAGCAAGACGTTGGCATTGTGGAAAGCTGTACCTCCAAACAGCAGCCCATTCACAGACTACAGAGGAAGAAAAGACCACACTTGCTACAGTAACAATGCAATTCAGTACCAGGGAATAACTTAACATGAAACATGTCAAATCTATGTAAACAACTGGAAGGCACTCCTAAAAAATACAAAAAAGAATTTGAAAAAAAAAATCATGTTCTAAATTAGGGAAGTTTGAGGTTCTAAATATATCAATTCTTCCTAAGTTAATTTATTACATTTTACACATTCTCAATTTATAAAATACCAACCATTAAGAAAAAAAATAAACTAGGCAAGGAGATTCCGAAGTTCACATGGACAAATAAGCAAGAGCTGCCAGTTATTGAATGCATTACACAGCCTCAGTAATTAAAATAATGTGGTACTGGCAAGTGAATAAACAAGACAGCAGAACATATTAGAAAGCCAGAAGTAGTCCCAGATATATATGAGAATACATAAATTTTGAAACGTGTCATTTAAAGTCAACGAAGAAAACTAGATTGCCCAATAAACATAATGGCAACTGGGTAACCATAAGGAAGAATGAATAAATCATGCCCCACACCAGGATAAATTTCTAATGGATCAAATATTTAAATAGTTCAATGTGTAGGCCAGGCATAGTGGCTCATGCCTGTAATTTCAGCACTTTGGGAGGTCGAAGTGGATGGATCACCTGAGGTCAGGAGTTTGAGGCCAGCCTGGCCAGCGTGGTGAAACCTCGTCTCTACTAAAAATACAAAAATTAGCCGGGTGTGGTGGCACGTGGCTGTAATCCCAGCTGCTTGGGAGGCTGAGGCAGGAGAACTGCTTGAACACAGGAGGCAGAGGTTGCCATGAGCTGAGATCCTGCCACTGCACTCCAGCCTGGGCGACAGAACAAGACTCTGACTCAAATAAACAAATAAAAAAATAGTTAAATGTTTTTAAAAATGAAACCACAAATGCATTATTATTTGGAAAAACCAACCGTAAAAATACATTTTTGAGGCAACTGGAGAAAATCAATTATAGATCAAGTATTAGATGATACCAAATAATATTGTTAATTTTGTTACATATAATAGCATTATAGTTATACAAGGAAATATTCATAATTTTAAAATGCATATTGAAGTATATAGAGGTAAAATGAGTTGATATTTTGGGTGTACTTTAAAATAATTTTGTTGAGAGACAGAGTCAGAGAGAGAGAAGAGATAGAAGAAAGAAGTATAACAAAACCTTGATAGCAGTTGAATTTAGGTGGGGGTATATGCCAGTTTATTATAGCATTGTCTCTACTTTGTACAGGCTTAAATTTTTTCAAAATCAAAAATATTGGCTGGTTGCAGTGGCCAGTGTCTGTAATCCCAGCACTTTGGGAGGCTGAGGCGGGAGGACTGCTTGAGACCAGGAGTTTAAGACAAGCCTGGGCAAAACAGCAAGACTCCATCTCTACAGAAATTTTTAAAAATAGGCCGGGAGCTGTGGCGCACGCCTGTAATCCCAGCACTTAGGGGCCAAGGCAGGTGGATCACTTGAGTTCAGGAGTTTGAGACCAGCCTGGCCAACGTGACAGAAGCCCATCTCTACCAAAAATACAAAAATTAACTGCGCGTGGTGGCAGATGCCTGTAATCCCAGCTACTCGGGAGGCTGAGGCAGGAGAACTGCTTGAACCCAGGAGGCGGAGGTTGCAGTGAGCTGAGATGGCACTACTGCACTCCAGCCTGGGCGACAGAGCAAGACTCCATCTCAAAATAAATAAAAATAAAAACTAATAAGTACTAGAAGAAAACAGGAGAATTTCTTCATAGCTGTGGATTTGGCAAACCTTTCCAACTGATTTAAAATTAAGAAACCATGAAAGAAAAGATTGATAAAAATCAACTATCTCTCTCTACACAAACACACACATATACATTTATTTATATAAAATATATATTATGTAAATAATATATATATATATTTGAATATATATTTTTTAAAGCCACTTTTCCACTAAGGGGAAAAAACCCACTAAAGAGAAAAAAAAAACTAGGAAAACTATTTGCCACTCACATCACAAACAAATGGCTAATATATTAATATAGACATTTCTGGAAATCCTTTTAAAAAGTTAAAACTATCAAAATAGACAAAAGATCTGAACAGACAGCTCACAAAAAAGGGAAAAGGAATTTAAGGAGTCTAAAACATATGGAAAGATGCTCAGCCTCATTTTTAGTAAGAGGAAAGAAATGTACCATATCTGGGAAACCTCAGAGCAGCAAAACTCTAGAGCTGCTCTTGCACTCTGCTGAGGCTGGGGGGAGACGGGAACCGTGGCTGATGGGAATGTAAACTGGTGCGATTTGACAGTTTTTGTCAGAGTTCTTTCAGATACACTTAGATTCAAGGTGATGTAGCTTTGTTTGAAAACAGCAAAAGAATAGAAACCTTAAGGCCCATCCGTAGAGGACTAAGTAAATCACAGACCCTGCGTACAGTAAAATACTATGCACCTGTAAGAAAATGAGGCTAATGCCTGTGTGCCTATATGGGAAGATCTCCAAAGCACATTGCTAAGAGTACTTTGCACACTTCTGCTTATATATGAAAGGGAAACTAAGTGTCTATTTGTATTTGCTTGCATAAAGAAACTCCATAAGGACAAACAAGAAACAAATAACAGTATTCCCGCCCTTATCCTGGGGGATGCATTTGAAGACCCTCAGTGGATTCCTGAAATCGCAGATAGAACCTAATCCTGTATATACTGTTTTTTCCCCATACTGTACACACATAAACCTATGATAATGTTTAATTTATAAATTAGGCCAGGTGCAGTGGCTCGGGGCTATAACCCCAGCATTTTGGGAGGCCCAGGTGGGAGGATCGTTTAATCTCAGGGGTTCAAGACCAGCCTGGGCAACACAGCAAGACCCTATCTTTACAAAAATTTTTTTAAAAGATTAGCTGGGCATAGTGACATGCACCTGTAGACCTAGCTACTTCAGATGTCAAGGCGGGAGGATCACTTGAGAGCAGGAGATCGAGGCTGCAGTGACGTATGATTGTGCCACTGCACTCCAGCCTGGGCAACAGAGCAGGACCCTATCAATCCATCAATGAGTAAGTAAGTAAATAAATAAATAAAGGCACAATGAAAGATCAACAATATGGCCAGGCGCAATGGCTCACGCCTGTAATCCCAACACTTTGGGAAGGCCGAGGTGGGCAGGTCACTTGAGTCCAGGAGTTTGAGACCAGCCTGGCCAACGTGGCAAAACCCTGTCTCTTACTAAAAATACCAAAAAAAAAAAAAAAAAAAAAAAAAAAAGCCAGACATGGTGGCACATGCCTGTAATCCCAGCTACTTAGGTGTCTGAGGCATGAGAATTGCTTGAACCCGGGAGGTGGAGGTTGCAGTGAGCCAAGATGGCACCACTGCACTCCAGCCTGGGTGACAGAGCAAAACTCTGTCTCAAAAAAAAAAAAAAAGAGGAACAATAATAAATAATAAAATACAATTCTAGTAAGATACTGTAATAAAAGGTATGTGAATGTGGTGCCTCTCTTTCTCTCAAAATATCTTATTGTACTGCACCATGGATAACTGCAACCTTGAAAAAGGAAGCGATGGACATGGGGCGACTACTGTAACTGGCACCTCAGAAATGGGGAAGGGGGCGGAAATATTTCACTGTGAAATATTCTTCTGCCACTTTTTAACTTTATTCAATCACATGAGTCAAAAAATTACAAATGTAAATTGGATTTTTAAAGACTGTACTGTGGGCTTATTACATAGTCACCTTTGCGGATCAAGTCCTGACTTTATGTATGACATCTATTAGCAGCCTAATTTTATATGAATTGAATGCAATTCCAAAAATAACAGTTAGGTCATTTGAAAACATATGCCTTAGGTGCCCATTAAATGCTCTTTTCAATATCTGTTTTGTTCAGAATGTAGTCTGGCCGGCCCTGGGTGAGTAGTTCCATGAAGTAAGATACTGTGATCACTTTGAGAGGGCAGGGTCCCTTTGCTCATTCCTATATCATTTCATCACCTTCCTCATGATCCAGCCAGCTGCTCTATTAAATTTGAAAACCAAGTATGCTTTCAACCTACAGGTGAAGAAATTAGATGAACTGTCTGGCCATAAATTATAATTCTTGGGAGCCAGAGCTGTTTCACTGTGGTTGAGACCAAATTTCAAGCATCTGCTCACTGAATGCTTTTCCATTTTTGCTTTAAAAGCTTCATATGAGTACATACAGCATTTTATTTGCTTCACAGCATGCCCCACAGAACTCTTTCTTGGAAATACAGAGATTCCTATTTTTAGTCTTTCAGGAAACAAAATTACTAACTTCTCCCCCTGCTTCTCTTTTTCTTCTTTATAAAGAAGAAAGGGTTGGAAATCTTATTTGCATTTTCATTCTCTGTGATACGAGGATGAGGGGGGAGGGCAGGGTTTGTGGGGGATCTTTCACATCGTTTCTCCCAGCTGGGACTAAATACCATGCATGGCCACAGCCTTGTCCTGTTCTGCACTTGCTTTTATTTATTTACCTCCAAAGCAAAACACATCCAGCAAGGGGAAGGAGTCTCGAGTTTCAGTCGTCAGGATGGTAAGAAGTCCTTCATTATCATCTTCCTGGGCATGAAACGATTTTAAAACAACTGATATACCTCTCCCTTTCTTTTTTTGAGATGGAGTTTCTCTCTTGTTGCCCAGGCTGGAATGCAATGGTGTGATCATGGCTCACTGAAACCTCTGCCTCCCAGGTTCAAGCAATTCTCCTGCCTCAGCCTCCCAAGTAGCTGGAATTACAGGTGCCTGCCACCACGCCTGGCTGATTTTTGTATTTTTAGTAGAGACAGGGTTTCACCATGTTGACCAGGCTGGTCTCAAACTCCTGACCTCAGGTGATCCAACTGCCTCGGCCCCCCGAAGTGCTGGGATTACAGGCGTGAGCCACAGCGCCCGGCCTCTCCCTTTCTTTTTTAAAAAAATTATATTTAGTCTTCTTTCAGGCTTGACCATTTGCATCTTTAAACATTATATTGCAAAGCCACTTGAAAGCTGCAGTTTACAAATGTACATGATTGATAGGTCTATAGATTTTCATAGAAGGCCTGACTTCATAAGAATTTATAATCATGAATAAAAACATTTGCATTCTCTTTCTTCCCCCAAATCATTCTGGCAGTGAACACTTCACCTGCCCAGGCCTTTTATGGAAGAGTGTATGTAATACCTCTGAGCCTTTGGGGCCTGGGATCCAGGTTGTCCCACAGCAGAGAAGGGAGGGTGAGACAAGGCAGGTTAAGCAGGTACGGCATGTTGGAAGGTGTACCATGTGCCCTTAAAGGTGAACCCAGTGCACCTTCATGAACCGTGGTACACCTTTAAGAACTTGGTATGCCTTCATGAACACTTAAAGTACCAGGGGGCACTTCATGAAACATCATTAAGTTTCTCCTAAGTCATTGCAAAATGATCAGAACTCTTTTGTCGTGGACAGCATTTCTTTTGTAGGTGTTTAGAGTTGCCAATAGCTCCATAAATTGTTAAAAGCAAAATATTGAAATATAACCTAATAATCCAGGGCCCCATGTTTTGAAAGATCACTGCCAAATCTTTCACGTAGATACCAAATACTGTGTCAACATTTAGCTAAATCGAACTGGTGGTGATCCCAACAAGCAATGAACTGGTACAAAGAGAAACAATTAGGAGAATAAAGGACTCAGCCATCAACAAACTGAATAATGATCAAATGGACAAAAGTACAGATAATGAGGAAGAGAAGAAAGAGAGAGGGAGAGGAAAGAGGTAACCGGTGCTGAGCAGGAGATGATGCCACCTGGTAGCAGAATCAGAAGCCTGCATGGTGCGGAGTGCACTATTACAAATGTGAATGTCATCAATCCTTAGAACAACCTTAAAGTCATTGTCATTAGAAGAGGAGATAATTAGCCTGAGTCACATGGCTAAAAAGCACTAGAGCTGGGCTTTGAACTCATGTCTGATGAGCCCAGGCTCTTACTCTCCAGGCTGTTCTTTGCATTTATGGTAGGCCGTCAGTCACCTGTTTCTCTCTGCATCAGAGCTGAAAGCCACAGGTTCAATCCTGAAATGCGCCTATGGCAAGAACCTCATTCTATATAGTAGTTGCAAATTGTGCCTCAGGCTTAAACCTCTCCTAGAACTGGGGACAAAAGTGGCTAGATGCTATGGTGAAAGAATATGGATAGTTCAGTTTAAACACATTTCTACTTTTAAAGAAAGAATGCATTAATGCATTATTCTCCCTAATAACGATTTAGAAGCATCTTGTTGATAGATACAGAGGAGCACATTTTAAGCTTTATAATTTTCAGTTTCAGCTCTGGAATTGGGTAAAACTGATGTGTACATTGGTTTTAGGTTAAAATGTGGCATGTAGCATTTTGGAAAGCAAAGTGAATAAATAAAAATCCAGGGGGAAATTTTTTTTCAATGCTTTTGCTCTAGGAACTTATTTATGCTGGTATCATTAGCTGTTTTTCTTGGATGACCAATGTCTATAATTGTAGTCACATATTTCTGAGATAGGATGAAAACCACAACAAAATACAAACCTTTCAAGTCAGCACATAAGTTATGTATATTAATGACAGGGAGAAATGGAGCCAGGAAAAGTGGTTTTAAAACCGCGCGGACACCAGGGAGTGTCTATGTATGTGGTTTTATTAAATCTGACTTCTAGAAGCGAGTTGTTCACCACTGAGTGTGAGAAAGAACCCGGAACTTCATAATCATATGTATTGACTATACTTCAGATCAGATAAGTGGTCCCATAGCACGGGTCCCTTGAAGAGAGATGCCATTGTGGGGTTTTAGTTAGAACAGTCTTTCGGTCCTTCTCCTGGTTCACAGGATTTGTTTGAATGTTGTTCTCATCACAATTCTACCCCTTCGTTTTTGCATAGGGTCCTTTTGTGCCCCAATATTTCATGTTCTGGGACTAAGAAAATGTTAATTGCCTATTCTCTAATAATATGTGTATAAAATGCATCCCCAAGTGACAAACTTTACTATGTAAATGATGCTGCTGTTTATAAAAGAAAATGGTGAGTTCTTACAGTCCTGATTTTGCCACTGACAGCACCTTAGCCAACCTGTGTGTTTCTCCATCTGATGTGGAGGTGCAACAGGCCTGGGCTGCACGCTGATTCACCTGGGGAACTTTAAAAAAATTCCCATGCCTGGGTCCCACCCAGAGATTCTGGTGCCGTATGTCTGGGTGTGGTGAGGGGCATGGGAAGGTTAAGACTCCTTAGGAGGGTCTAACAATGCTCAGCTCCAGTTGGCAATGACTAAACCAGAGGACTTCTAAAGACACCTCCAACCTTCCCCTTTGTGATTTCTAGTCTGTGTCATACATAACTAATGGCCAAAATTCAGAGTAAAAATTTTTCAGTGATTCATGTAACGAGCTCATCCAGCCAGACATGGTGGCTCATACCTGTAGCCCAAGCTATTGGGAGGTTGAAGTGGGGAAATTGGTTGAGCCCAGGAGTTTGAAGCTGCAGTGAGTCATGACTGCACCATTGTACTCCAGCCTGGGCAACAGAGTGAGACCCTATCTCTTAAGAAAAAAAAAGAATCAAAAAAATCTCATCCAGCCCAAAGCACTCAATAGTAGAGTACCTCTTTTGCCACATGTAGTGGATTTTATTGGTTCTTTTGTGGGATGCATTTACCAGATTACCCTACTCCTACCTCTAACTCTTCCATTAGGATAGCAAACCAAACAGAAGAGGGCTGTCATTAATAACGTTCTACTTAATAGGCACTTGATGAACATCTTCCACATTTGGTGTAAATTCCATTCACCCTGCGAGCCACCCATATCCTGTCTATCTGACCGTTGGGAAATTGATTTTGTTATTTTTGCTTCTCCCTGGAGGACTGCACAAAGTTTTAAGACAGGCTTGGCATGGTGGCTCATGCCTGTAATCCCAGCACTTGGGGAGGCCAAGGTGGGCGGATCATCTGAGGTCAGGAGTTCGAGACCAGCCTGGCTAACATGGCGAAACCCCGTCTCTACTAAAAATACAAAAGATTAGCTGGCTGTGGTGGCACATACCCGTAGTCCCAGCTACTCAGGAGGCTGAGGCACAAGAACCACTTGAACCCGGGAAGCAGAGGTTGCAGTGAGCTGAGATCATGCCTCTGCACTCCAGCCTGGGCGAGAGAGCGAGACTCTGTCTCAAAAAAAAAAGTTTTAAAACAAAAAGGCAAGACTGAACAAAAAAAAATGGAGGGCAAATAAAAGAAAGAAAACAACATTCTCACGATGTTGAATGTGTTCTAAATTTTCCAGGCAAGAGAAAAGAACAGCTGTGATTCTGCGAGTTTGCCTGAGTGTCAAGGTCAGACTTAGGAGTTGAGTGTTGTCCTGCGTGTCAGGCTGAGGTTCCTCGCTCTCATCTCTTACTTGCCCAGACTCGTGATTGCAGGGATGAGATAGTCCTGCTATAGGAAACATTTTTTTTTCTTTGCCAGATCAGCATGATCAAATGTTTCTAAAGCTAAACCAAATGACATATTGGCTTGCAAGGATTACCCACACCCTTGCATCAGTAAAAAAAGAAACAAACTGAACTGCCTGGAGGGAGTGGAGAGAGGCTATTTTGTGCTCTGAAAGATGCCCAAGGCAGCTGTAGATAGCATTGTTTTCATGAAACGTTGGCTGGGCTGGCCTGTGCATTAGCTCATGTTCCAAATCTGTCACCAGAAGAATGTAGTGAGAATCTTGTTTCAATCTTCTTTTCTTTCTCGCTTCACTCTTTCCTCAACCAGAGTCCAGCATCTACACAGCCGCTGTGGCCAAGGTTTGAAAACAGCAGTTTTGAATAAAACCTAACAGGCTTTTCACATTATTCTAAAAAGGAATGGAGGCCCTTTGATGCCCATTTCCAGGCCTTATTTCCCCACTCACCCCAGAGACAGTTGCTGCTGAGTTTTCAAACATATGGATTATCCTTTCTCTGAGGAATCTCCACTGAAACTAGAGATGGCAGAGGGAAAACTGGGGGCAGCCGTAACTGCATGCTGGCATTTGCAGCTCAGGTTGGTCATTTCTGTCCACAGGGGCACAGGCAGCAATCCAGGGATTTTGTACAACCTTCAGGGACCAAACAACCTTTTGGTCCTCAGTCCCACACCCACAGGTTCAGAACCCACCTGTTAACCCTTCATGTTTTCCTCTCACTAGCCCTATGGGGCTTTTTCCCTCAAATTTTTTTTATTGTGGTAAAATACACACACCATAAAATGTACTATCTTAACCATTTGAAGTGTACAGTTTGGTGGTATTAAATATCAGTATATCCACATTGTCGTGCAACCATCCCCATCCATCTCCCAAATTCTTCTCATCTTGGAAAACTGAAACTCTATACGTATTAAACTTCCCATTCCCCCAGCCCCTGACAATCACCATTCTACCTTCTAGCTCTGTGAATGTCACAAGTACATCATTATGTGGGATCATACAGTATTTTTTTGTGACTGGCTTATTATACTTAGCATGATCTACGTTGTAGCAGGTGTCAGAATTTCCTTCCTTTGAAAGGCTGAATAATATTCCACTGGGTTTAGATACACCACGTTTTGTTGACCCATTCACCCATCAAGGGACCCAAGTTGCTTCCACATTTTAGCTACAGTGAATAATGCTACTAGAAACATAAGGGCACAAAGCTGGGTCTGTGACACCCTGCTTTTAATTCTTTTGTCACAAGCCCTGTTGTTTTAACCTTGCTGTGTGAGCGGTGGCAGAGATGTGAGTTACCCTGAGTTACCGGCTGTGAATCTGTAAGGGTCCACAGCAACTTCAGTCCTTGCCTCCTAAAAAGAAATAATTCAACTGAGGGGCATCAAGCAGAAAGAGACTAAGGCAAGGTTCAGAGCAGGAGTGGAAGTGTATTTTAAAAGGTTTTAGGCCTGGCGTGGTGGTTCACGCCTGTAATCCCAGCACTTTGGGAGGCCGCGGCTGGTGGATCACTTGAGGTCAGGAGTTCGAGACCAGCCTGGCCAACATGGCAAAAACCCGTCTCTACTAAAAATACAAAAATTAGCCAGGCGTGGTGGTGGGCACCTGTAATCCCAGCTACTCGTGAGGCTGAACCCAGGAGGTGGAGGTTGCAGTGAGCCAAGATTGCCACTGCTCTCCAGCCTGTGCAACAGAGCAAGACTCCCTCTCAAAAATAAAAATAAAAGGATTTAGAACAGGAAAGAACTCTTAGAAGAGATCCAGGTGGGCGCCTGAAGGCCCAAGAGAAAAAAAAAGGAGGCATTTACCCTTGATCCTGGGACTTTATAGGCTGCCCTCTCTCCCATGATTCTTCCCTCAGGGCGGGCTTTCTGCATGCTCAGTGCCCTCTTTCCCCTTTGGAAGTGAGCAGTGCAGCCCGTTTAAGGAGTTATGCACATGCCCACAATATCATACTTCGCCATTTTGTCTCTTAACGCGTATGCCCAAGAGGTTGCTTCTCCCTGGGGTCTGCATTCAGTTAACACTTTTAATGTTAACAGGTGTGCAACCTCAGGAGCCGGTCTCTCCCTGGCTGCCGAATTACCGTTTTTAGAGAGGCAATGCGATAGTTGCTGGACCATCACCAGACATTCCTGGTAGGGGGGCGGGAGAGCCCTCTCCTGCCCTGCCCATGTCTAACTACCTGTAGCAGCTGGAGATCAGTCTCCTCATCGTAGCAATGGAGACAGCATACACTTAACTTCATGCTAGCGGGATCACACGAAGCTGCCTTGATTAAAGCCCTTTGTGAATTCTCAAACACTTTACCATTGTCCATTTATGCGGTGTGAAGATGAAACGAGATATGGAAAGCATTCTGCATGCAGTGAAATGCTGTACAAATGGACAGTATAGTGTGACTCATTTATGCTACCATGGGATGGGTTCTGTACTTGGCCCTTGGTGGGAACTTGGTTTCCATACATGAGAAAGTAACAAAAGGGAGGTGCAGGAGGGGATGGGGGTCCTCCCTCTAGCCCAATGCCCAGTGGCCCTGAAACTCCCTGAGTTGTGGCATCATCCCCCACCCCCACATTTTCCAAACCTCTTAATTCCTCTATTGCTGGATGGCTTACTGAAATGCTCTTCCCATGATCTCTGTGGGCAAAGGCAAATAATTTTTTTTTCTTTTACAGACAGGGCCTCGCTCTGTTGCCCAAGCTGGAGTGCAGTAGCACAATCACAGCTCACTGCAGCCTTGAACTCCTGGGCTTAAGTGATCTTCCTGCCACAGCCTCCTAAGTAGCTGGGACTGTAGGTGCATGCCACCATGCCCAGCTCATTTGTTTTTAGTCTTTATAGAGACGGGGTCTCACTATCTTGCTTACACTGGTCTCAAACTCCTGGCCTCAAGCAATCCTCCCACCTCGGCCTCCCAAAGGGCTGGGAATACAGGCAAGAGCCACTGCGCCCATCCAGGAAGGGAATTTTTAAAGGACAAATTATGGTGGTGCATAGCTACAGAGCCCACTAGACACAGCTCTCCCTGAAGAAGGAATCCTCGTGAAGGAGAAGGGGTGTGTGGTGCTTCTGTGCTCTCATATGTGACACCTGCTCACATGCACACAGGCTGGCCTCATCATGCATGACTGTAAAGACATTTTGGGTCACACTGCAGAAAAGAAAGTGTTGGGACTGGTCTCTAAGCTCGCCCTGCAGAAACAGCGAGCTGTCCTAGCTGTCCTGGGAATGATGGGGCCACAGACTACATGGCCAAGAGCAGGCAGAGCAGCTACTGTTTCCCTAGGGCCACGTGTGGAATGAGTCACTTCATCAGCTCACCACAACTGCTGGCCTGGCACCTGGGTCCTACGGAGAGGGCAATGGCAGGTAAAGTGCCATCACAGAACCACCAGGCACCGAAGACCGCGTTGCCTGCTTGGACGATATGGGCCTGGCTCACTGCAGAAGAGAGGCACTGATGCTAGAGACTTTCCCCTGGGCCATATGTATTTTTGTCTTGAAAGAGGAGTCGTAAGGGTTTGCCTACCCAAAAGCTATTTTGTTTCATATTTACATTTTTAGTTCTTTCTCCATTAAGAAAACGATTAGTGAAATGAATGGAATTCGCCTTCTTTGCTGCTATTGCTTATGTGTTCCTATTTCACCATCTTTTGTAAATAACAGTGTTGTTGCTGTCAGGGCACTTCTCCCTCACTGGGCACGTGCCTTTCTGTGCTGTGGCCAGCCCACCATCGCCTGTCCTCACCTGCCATCCATACCCTAGCAGAGCCGTGCTGCTCTGAGGGTGCCGGGTGGGGCTCCATTCTTACCCTAGCAAACTCACCAGAACAAAGCCCACCTGCCCAACCCTGTCCTTGTCTCATTTCTCAGCTTCCCGAGGCTCCCTTCCATACCCACAGAGGCAGGACTGCTAGAGCCCCACTCATGAGAATCACAGTCATTTCCCAGCTTCCTGGGGCTTCCTTCCATGCCCGCAGAACAGAGGCGGGACTGCTAGAGCCCCACTCATGAGAATCACAGTTTCCACAGAGAAGACCAGTCTAGCTTGGACTGTGGGTTCCTGGTTTTGCAGATGTAGAGTGGTGAAGGCCTAACCGAGGAGAGGAAACAGGAGTGTAACAGAGTCTCCATTCCAGGACCAGCATCTCTTCCCTCCCCTTCAGGGGTTTACCTTCCTGAACTTCTCAGTGTATGAAACACAGCAGGGGCTGGGGAACTATACAACCCAGAGGTGTGTTTGTTTCAAGTATTTTTTAGAGCAGTTTCAGGTTCAAAATTGAGCAGAGGCTGGGCGCAGTGGCTTACGCCTGTAATCCCAATGCTTTGGAAGGCTGAGGCAGGCTGACTGCTTGAGCCCAGGAGTTCAAGACTGGCCTAGGCAATATGGCGAAACCCTGTCTCTACTAAAAATACAAAAATTATCTGGGTGTGGTGGCACACACCTGTAGTCCCAGCTACTCGGGAGGCTGAGGTGGGAGGGTCACCTGAGCCCAGGAGGCAAAGATTGCGATGAGCCCAGACTGCACCACTGGACTTCAGCCTGGGTGACAGAGTGAGACCATGTTTCAAAAAAAAAAAAAAAGAAAAAAAATTAAGAAGGTACAGAGATTTCCCATAAACTCCTCGCCTCCCACTTGCACAGCCTCCCCTACTATCAACATCCCCCACTAGAGTGGTACATACGCTACAATTGATGAGCCTACACTGACACATCATTATCACCCAGAGTCCACAGTTTAATTAGGGTTTACTCTTGGTGTATAGCCTGTGGGTTTGAACAAATATATAATGATAATATGTATTATTATACAGGTTGAGTATCTCTCATCCGAAATGGTTGGGACCTAGGAGTGTTTCAGATCTTAGAATTTTTTTTTATTTTGGAATATTTGCATGTACATAATGAGATATCTTGGGGACAGGACTGATGTCTAAACACCAAATTCTTTTATGTTTCATGTATACCTTATATACATGGCCTTAAGTTTATTTTACATAACATTTTAAATAGTTTTGTGTATGAAACAGAGTTTGTGTCCATTGAACAATCAGAAATCAAAAGTGTCATTGTCTCATGTCGAAGCTCAAAAACCTTGTGATTTTGGAGCTGAACCAATTTTGGATTTTCTGATTAGGGATGCTCAACCTGTAGTACACTACGGGGTATTTTCACCGCCTTGAAAACTCCACTGTGCTCCACCTATGTATTCCTCCCTCCCCTCCCAACCCCAGAGAACCACTGATCTGCTTACTGTCTCCATAGTTTTGCCAAGTTTCTTAGAACTGGGTATAAATTAAGAATAAAAGGGCATTTCTCAGTCTCTAAGGATAAGGGCTTGGGCGCAGTCCATTTAATGACATTATTTTCCTTATGAAAAATTATAGGATTGATTTATTGACTATTTCTTAACATGTGTATGGTGTTAAATATTCTTAATAAGTTTTGGCACATTGTCCAAAATATTACATTGTAAATTTGGGAAGTTCCATAGTTCTTTTACTTAGAAGGTTTGAATTAGAGGTGAATTGCCCGAGATTTGAGAAGGAGGCCGGGAGGCAGAGAGTGGAAGGCATTTGATGTATCTGGGTTTTGATAACCACCCTGTTCATGTTTTAGTGAAGACCATCTTTGGCTTCTAAGGACTTGAGTCTGACAGATAGGCAACTGGGGGGCCCATGTGTGGATTTCCCTTGGTCTGGAATCTTCCTGATGGGCAGATGGGGAGTGAGAAATGCTCTCGAGTCCACAGTTGAAATATTTGGGGATCTTTAGTGACACCAGCCTATATCCTTTATGTGAAGGTCCAGGAGTGAGTTTCAGGCACTTAACAGTTAACATCCAACTGTCCGCTACTGTCAGAGCCTGCAGAGGACTGTGGGACAGGCTGTGTCTTGTGTGTACTTTTATAATAGTGTAAAATGTTAATGAAGTATTGCGTTATAATATGATTTTACTATAAAATGACAGAATATCTCTTTTTTTTTCAACAAGTATTCTCTAACTCTACAAATATCAATGTGGCTGCTATCAAAAAATTTTAAACATAGCGCAGATTAGGGCCACAGTCTTCAAGGTAATATTTAAACCTGGATCACCATATTTGATAGCTTTCAATGTGACCTTGAATATCCAAAGTCCTGCTTCTGTTTAAAACTTCCCTACAACAATTTAATAAATTAGAATTTTAGAGACTTTTTTTCCTTTAAATTTAGAAAGTGAGTTGAAATTCAACCTATTTCCACCACCCTTTTGCTAGCCCTAAAGAATGAGATAGAACATTAGTCATTAGAATGAACTTTAATCTAGGCCTTGATCATGAAGGAAATATTTAGATGAATGATTTGAATTTTGTTTAGACTCAGTGTAATTTTAGTCACACAGATTTTGCTTGAAAATCAGCTAGGCTTCTTTTACCCCAAGAGAAGATTTTTACCTAACGAAGTTCACCTTGCATGTTTTAACATTGATTTTTTATGCTTACTTTACTGTTAATTTGGATCAAATATTGGGTCTGGAAAATGCTCCTCCCCTTCCTACGTAACTGTCAGAGTCCATGCAACGATGGACACCTTGACATTGAAACCTCCATTACGGAGGTCTCACTGTTAACTGGAAGAATCGCAGCTGCAAGA
The DNA here is from genome assembly GCF_000001405.40 of Homo sapiens. Lineage (NCBI taxonomy): Eukaryota > Metazoa > Chordata > Mammalia > Primates > Hominidae > Homo > Homo sapiens. The sequence goes on along the minus strand of NC_000010.11, from coordinate 29,592,508 downwards.
AACTGAACAGCACCTGGCGACTTAGGTAGAATTTGAAACAGAAATGAGAAACCAACATGTATTCAGCTTTTGTGAAATTGTGTGCTTCTAGAAGCTTCTTCTTGCCCCTTGCCTTGTGAAATATCGAAGAGGCTTTATTTTCTTATTCGGAAATAGGTAACATGTTGGAAAATAGAATATGCAAATATTACACTTAGATGCTTAAAAGCAGTGACATTGTTTCAGAGAAATCCCCTTTTTTCTTTCTTTCTATTTTTGAGAAAGAGTCTCACTCTGTTGCCCAGGCTGGAGTGCAGTGGCACCATCTTGCCTCACTGCAACCTCCGCCTCCCAGGTTCAAGCAATTCTCCCACCTCAGCCTCCCAAGCAGCTGGGATTATAGGCATATACCACCATTCCTGGCTAATTGTTTGTATTCTTAGTAGAGATGTGGTTTTCCTATGTTGGCCAGGCTGGTCTCGAACTCCTGACCTCAAGTGATCCATCTGCCTCAGCCTCCCAAAGTGCTGGGATTACAGGCATGAGCCACAGCACCCAGCCCAGAGAAACCTCTTTATGTCCCATGAGCATTAGAGCAGTACCCAGAACCATGTAAGGTACTAGCAGTGGTAAATGCCTGGCAGGCTCTTTGCTCATCTTCCTCCTAAGCCAGGAACAGGCATCAGCCCTCACCCAGAGCACTTGGATCTCCCCACGTGTGCTAAGATCCCTTCGCAGCATGGAGCTTCATGCAGCAAGGCCGATGACATAAGCTGGCATGAGTTCTGTCTGCTGCCCTGGTATATCCTATAGCACCTAATGTGCTGGAAGGACTCACGTATTTAGGAACATGATAGTTCTCAGGCTGTCAGTTTTTTAAAAAGGTGCAGGGTGCAGGGGAGGAGAATCTGGAAGTTACTATTGCTTTGTCAGAGGTGAGATTCTGAGTAAAATGTTCGCACAGTAGCAATGCTTATGTACAAAATTTTTACTATGGCACAGGATTGCATCAGGTTTTATAGAGAGAGCTATTACTTTTTTATAAGACTGCCTCACTTTTATAACTGTCAGTATATTAGCTTATAATACAGACAATTGAAAATAGCAAAAGCACTTTTATATAGCTGACAATAAAGCCTCTTAGTTTGGATTCCCTGGGTTTCAATGCCATGGCCCACAGTCATTTTACTCAACAGGTTCTTCTTGAGGGCATGGGGTAGAAAGTTCTGGACCTGCCTGGGAGGTCAAGGTGAGAATGACAGCCAAGGAGCTGAAGAGAGAAACCAGCAATGCAGAAGCACAGGTGTTCCCAGAGTATTTGAGATTTCATGCATGTAAACACATTTCACTTCACATATATTAAAAAAGAAGGCCAATAAGTGTGTGAAACATTAATCTTTATTTGGTTATTACTAGAACATAAGTTTGTGTGGGCAGGGAGTTTGTCTCACTGTATCCACAGCCCCAGAACCGGGCTTGGCCTCTTGGGTGCTCCATAAATATTTGTTCAGTGGATGAATGAAATAATTTGCTAACATTTAATTTCTTGCATGTCTTGGAGATATTAAAACTACTTTAAACAAAGATGTCCTTGCTTCAGGGTTTCTATTTGGAGTGTTTTGTAAAATTGGCTTTGGGAGATGCATTGATTCTTTTCTGCCACCAGGGGGAGGTATAGTGCAGTTCAGGAATCAAGTTTTTAAGTTTTTTCAAAGAGGGGTTAGTACTTCAACTGATACTCTTAGATGTGGATAACTGTGACTAAGTTAAATCAGCACTGCAGGATGAGGTTTAAAGGTATTTCAGCATATTTCAAGCTTAACACAAGCATGTGTCCGGGTTAAAAATAATATCCATAAATACAGCCTGATAATGTGCTTAAATATAAAACATATAAATAGGTTGCAAAAGATGACTGAATCTTTCATCATTTTATGATCACTTTCTGCCACCCAACCAGATGGCATATGTGATCTACTAGCCAGAAGGTGTAAAGTACATGTTAAAGTGAACAAATACTCTTTTTTTCTTCAGAACAGGAAAAGATCTGATAAAAATCTATCATTCTGTCCATGCGGTTGGCACCGTTTTAATGTCGGGGGAAAATGCAGTGGTTCTAGTTCTGCTTCGTAGACAGTGACTAAATATATACCGTCAAGGCTGAGTGTCAGGGGCTGGCTCAGTACAATCAAGCATGTGAATAGCTCTTTTGTGCTGGGAACCTGTTGGGCAGCCTTACTTAATTGGGGAGCCACGGGACAGGAGGTCTGGTAATATCTTTATTATTAAGGAGAGAGTCCCAGGGGCTGGAAGGGAGGAATTTTCCTTTACAACTTTTTTTTTTTTTTTTTTTTTTTTTTTTTTGAGACGGAGTCTTGCTCTGTTGCCAAGGCTGGAGAGCAGTGGCGCAATCTTGGCTCACTGCAACCTCCGCCTCCCAGGTTCAAGCAATTCTCTGCCTCAGCCTCCTGAGTAGCTGGGATTACAGGCACATGCCACCACACCTGGCTAATTTTTTGCATTTTTAGTAGAGACGGGGTTTCACCATCTTGGCCAGGCTGGTCTTCACTCCTGACCTCGTGATCCACCCACCTCAGCCTCCCAAAGTGCTGGGATTACAGGCGTGAGCCACCACGCCTGGCCAACAACATTATTTTTAGTGAGAACAAACTTAATTTTAGTTCAGTAGACATTGCCTATTATGTGGGAAATTAATGTATTCTTTTATTACTATCTTCAGTTTGCAGTTCCTGAGGTCTTGAGGTTTGGCCATATAAGAACATCCAGGTAGATCAAGGTCTCTCGGCAACTCCAGACCCCCTGTTCCAGGAGTCTTGATTGACAGAGCTTGCTGCAAGTCAGTAGCCAGCAGCTAAATTGTCTCACCTCGTTTTCTTTTCTTGCCTGGTCTCTGGGTGGAAGTTCCAATTAGGGCTCAAACAGCCCCCAAAGCCGGCAGCTGAAGAGGAAAGGGGGAATACGGTGGTGCTTCAGTGCCATCTAATTTGGCCTTAAACAGTAGGAAATTAGCTGCTTGTCATTAAAATAAACAAATGCCAGCCTGTTCCGTGCTGCATGCTGCAGGGGACTTGCAAGGGGACTGGTGAAGTCCCCACAGTTTCTGGGGTTTACAGGGGGCCCAGAGCCGCTCTCCTCCCCTCCAGATTCCCACCACACTGTTGGCCAGCTGTGGATCCTCTCCTCCTTTGCCTAAGTTAGAGGAGACAAAGGTGAGTGTGAGCTGAGTGCTTCAGTGTCGAGGCCGTGCGGGCGATGATGTGATAGGGCGGCATGGGGTTGGTGTTACTTAAAACTCCGTTTCCCAACGCTGCTTTCCACAGAGCTGGAGGACAGGCTTTTGGTGTCGAGTGTCTCACATCCTTGTTTTTTTTCCCTTTGGCATGAATATCTAGACAGGAATTTCTGATAAACTCCTGTGAACCGAAAAGTCACCGAGGCATCTCAATCCACTTAAAGGTTTATTTTGCCAACATTCAGGATGCTCCTGGGGAAAAAGGGACACAAGTCCCAGTGGGATGAATGTCCTGTGCTTTTTCCAAACTGGGTTTGGGTTTGAGGACTTCAGTATTTTAAGGACAAGGAATAAAAGGGGGGGTGGGGGAGGTAGGAAGTGAGGCAAGTGGTCACATTCTTGTGAGGCTCTGATGAGCATTCTGTGAATCTACATTTTACATGTGAAAACAAAGGAGGGGGAAGTCAGTTACGCATTTATCTCTTGCACAGTAAATCTACATTTTACATAAGGTACCCTAAGCCTGTGAGGTCACAGCTATCTTTCTGGGGACAAAAGGCAGGCAGCTTTTGTGTGACTCGGTTCCTAAGCTTCACTTTCCGTTTGGCATAGTGAGTTTGGGGTTCCCAAGGTTCTATTTTCCTTTCACGCTCTGTCAGAGAATTTCCTAGGGACTATTTTGGTTTGGTAAATGCTGAATTAGTGTAAATTAAAAATCAATCGCTATTTACATCCCCAACATAATGGCCCTTAATAGGCAACCATTTTTCATGAGTCTTGTTTCAGACATCCCAGACTCCATTTCCCAGAGAAGCAGAGAATGAATGGGTGCTGTATGTTCACTGCTGGGTGTCCAAGAAACTGCACAGGAAGTGTCTTAACGTGAAGAGAGTCCGCACTGGACACCGGCACAAAGGGCAGAGTGAAGGGACGAAGTGTCAGATGCGTCTCTGCCACCAGCACACGTTTCAGCGGTGCTAGATTTGACTAGGCACAGGACTCTAAACTGGTGGTTTGCTGACTATTAACCTCCACGGTATTGCTATCTCATGCTCCTTGACCCCTTCCTAATTTTGCTGTGGTTCGGCAGCTCCAGTCCACTGTTGAAATGCTGGTAGATTTCAAAACTCCGTTGGGACATATTAAATTCTGGTGAGCCAGTGGGTGGGATGCCTTCTGAATGACAAAGGGGCCCCGTGGCTAAAAGCTGAAGGAAATTCATGCAATGATGAATGTGCTGCAATTAATCACCAGAGATCTGTTCTTTTCCTTGTATGCGTAGTACAGTGCAGGGGCCAGGGTGGGGGAGAGTCTCTGAGTCCAGATCTTCATAGAATTAAAAATAATGAATATTTGTAATCAGGCATCGCTTGACCAACAACTCCGCCTCCTTAGCTGGAAATACAGACGTCCACTTTTCGCTGGTGTGTAATCATTTTCTGGAATGCTAAGAATTGTTCCCCTGACCTATGGCTTCTTTTTAAGCATCCGGGATATGCAGTCAATTTGCAGGTTGCTGTTTTGAAGTCAGGGAGTCTCGGAGATTGAATATATGCCACCTAAGTTCCTGCAAGATGGACTTTCTGGGAGTCCTCTGATGAGGTTGGGAGAAGGCAAAGAGGAGACGTTTCCATGTAAAGGCTGAGCAAGCTCCAGGCCACTGCAGAAGTTCAGCTTTCTTCAGCTCTGTAAGCTGGACCCTGTGGCTGGAGTCTGGCCAACTGCAGGGACAAGTTTCTATTATTATGTAAATGGAGTCCCAGTGCGGCCTTGGAAGAGTTTTTGGCACAGGGTAACCCTTTGTCTGCCAAAAGGTAGCCTCTCCCTTTGCTTCAAGCCCAGAGCGTGCATTGTGCAGTGGTGACCTGTAAGCCACCCGTCAACCTGCAGATTGCCTTATTAGGCAGACTGCGGAGGCTGGTGGCTGGGGACTGGCTGGCAGAGGCGGTGGCAGTGAGCTTGTGTCCTGTACGAAGCCGGAGAACCCGAGCCCCGGAGACGTGGCCTAGTACTGTTCTATTAATGATAGTGCTCTGTGATGACAGGAATATGCACTCTCCTTGGCAGGCATACTTTATGGGTTGGTTGGAGAACAGGAGGTTTGCAGGGGGAGGTGACTGTCCGAAGGACAGAATGGTACGAGGCTTTCTTCACTGCGTAGCTTGTGTGTTCAGTTCTGTATCAGGGCTTATTCTACGGAGTATGGACTTTATCGGGAAAATTTGTTTTTAACTTTTAAGTTCAAGAGTACATGTGCAGATTTGTTATATAGGTAAACATGTGTTATGGGGGTTTGTTGTAGAGATTATTTCATCACCCAGGTACTAAGCTTAGTACCCATTAGTTATTTTTCATAATCTTCTCCCTCCTCCCACCCTCCACCCTGCGAAAGGCCCCAGTGTGTGTTGTTCCCTTCTATGTGTCCATGTGTTCTCATCATTTAGCTTCCACTTATAAGTGAGAACAAGTAGTATTTGGTTTTTCTGTTCCTACGTTAGTTTTCCAAGGATGGTAGCCTCCTGCTTCATCCATGTCCCTGCAGAGGACATAGTTTCGTTCTTTTTTATGGCTGCGTAGTATTCCATATTAGGAAATGTGGAATGTTTTCCTTTTAATGCAAGATGTTTTGTGGACTCTCAGAATCTTGTTTATGTTTTATAGTAAACTTTTTTGAATGGTGAGGTCATGTGTATAGTAGGGAGGAAATATAACTAGATAGTCAGGTGGTACAATGGAAATGGCAGAGTTTTAGGAGCCAAGGGACCTGCGTTCCACGGCTGCCACAAGTGAGCTAAGTGGAATAAGTCACTTGCATTAGGGAGGTGATTTCCCCAAGGACAGAATGGTATAGCTCATGTATCTAGGGCTTAGTGGGCAATCACTAGTGATCACTAGTGAATCTGTGATCACTATACATTATACATATCCAAACATCACTCCGTACCCCATAAATATGTACATTTATTATTTGTCAATTAAAAACTAAAATAAAAATGTAGAGTAGACTGAATGCACTCAATAACCTCTCCATCGTACATTTCTCTCCTCAAATTGCATTAACCAGCCTCCCCTCTCCTTTTTGTTCTCTTCAGTAAAGCTGTTTAATGAGTGTGTGTGGTTAATAGCCACAGCCGAGCATCCACGGGGACCGTTTTCCCAACGGAACCTGTAAGGCTGAATCCATCTTTTCTCGTTTGAGTTTCTTCCAAACTTGCTGCAGTAGCTGAAAGTTAGTGAAGACGGCACTTTCCTGCACTGAAATGCTCGTTCAGATGCCTCAGGTTCTATGGGTTATGGCTCATGGACCAAAGCTGCACATGAGGCAAACGAACACCTGGAGGAGCCTGCGTTCAGGATGGGGCAGTGACCGCGCTCAGAGCGCTCTGGCTCACATCCCTTGTCTAAGCGGCTTCTCATTCATTGAGCTGAGGCGTCGGACACCTGCCGGGAAGACAGACGCGAACCGCGGCTCACTCTGACTCCTGACTGCTCCGGACCCCGGCTTCAGTTCTCCCCTCCCTCCAGAGATCTTGGGGCACCAGGGCTCATAAGCTGCTGCATGAGAACAGGGACGCTCTTACTGCTGGAGTCAGATTCAGAGTGTGTGTGTGTGTGTATTTTTAGCACAGTTGGGAGATGACATCTGAGATGCTGCTGGCTCAGCTCTGCTGGTGTCTCTTTTGAGCATGGAGCGGTGTCCTCGTTGTCTTCTTTTCATTGCTTATATCTGCTGCTTGCTGTTCAGGGAAAGCACAAATTCACTTTCTCCTCTTGTTAAAAAAATAGTTTGGCGGGCGTGGTGGCTCATGCCTATAATCCCAGCATGTTAGGAGAATGAGGTGGAAGGATTCTTGAGGCCAGGAATTCAAGGCCAGCCTGGGCAACATAGTGAGGCCACTGTCTCTATAAGGAATAGGCTGGGCATGGTGACACACTCCTGTAATATCTGCACTTTGTGGGGCCAAGGCAGGTAGATCACTTGAGCCCAGGAATTCAAGACCAACCTGGGCAACATGGCAAAACTCTGTCTCTACAAAAATTAGCCAGGTGTGGTGGCACACACCTGTGGTCCCAGCTGAGGTGGGAGGGTCACTGGAGCTCAGGAGATCAAAGTTGCAATGTGCCATGATCATGCCATTGCACTCCAGCCTGGCCAACAGAGGGAGAACCTGTCTCAAAAAAAAAAAAAAGGAAGAAGAATAAAAATATTAGCTGAGCATGGTGATGTGCACCTATAGTCCCAGCTACTTGGGAGGCTGAGGTGGGAGAGGACTGCTCAAACCCGAAGTCGAGGCTTCAGTGAGCTGTGATTGCAGCACTGCACTCTCTAGCCTGGGTGATGGAGCAAGACCCTGTCTATTTCTTTAATGTATTTTCTCACCACCTGAAGACCAAGCAGCATGATGTATCCCAGCTTGATGTCTGGGTGTGACAAGTATCTGAATTTTCTTTTTCCACTTGGGCTACAGGGATGGCTCTGATGCTTCTTCACGGGCTGTCCACGGCCTCCCTTCCCACCTCAGAATGCCCTGGCTGGGCCCACAGCACGTTCCGTCTGAATGTGGGTGGCTGTCTTGCCGAACCCGTGTCGACTCCATGGGAAGGCCGCAGGTTAAAGAGGCCGAAGAGGAGACCCAGAGCCAGTGAACGAGGCACGGGGTTCTGTTGTGGGCTTGCATACAGGGGAGAGAGTCCAGTGGCAGCGGGCTGAGTGGGAGAACCACAACCGCTTTCAAAAGGCATGCAGTTTATATAGCAATAGCATGTCCACTTGGCACCTCCCCGACAATCTCCACCTGGCAGCCTTCACATACCCCAAAACAAACAGTCCAGACCCCCTGTGCATGCAGTGGTGGCAGCAGGGCAGGGAAGCTGCTCAGATGTTCCTCATAGATAAGGAACGAATCTCCAGTTGGCCTCTCCTGGATTCCTTAGCTTGGAACCCTGAACCCCATGCAGGTGCCGCTGCCATACAGGGCCATTCTCAGGGTGTGCCTAAGTGATTGCTGTCAGGCGCATTTACCATGCAGAGGGATGGGACCATTTAAGCCCACGCCCCGGTTAGGCCTCTTCCCAGTTCCAGCTCCCACACTGTCCGCTCTTCTTCCTGGCACGGAGGTGAGGGCCCATGGCCTCCCTGTTCACCTATTGCCATCATCTCCTCCACAAGTAAGCTCTCCAGTCTCGTCCTCCAGGAAGCCTTCCTTCGTCACACTCACCCCATCTGATTATGCTGTTTCCCTGTTTCTTCCCAGGCTTTATATCATCGGTGGCTTGTATTCATGGTTTTCTAATTCTGTGGGCGTATCCTAATCACCTGTGGTGGGAGGACTTTCATTTTAAACAAATACCGCAAGTGGTCTGAGGGCCACCCAAGTTTGATATCCTTTGCTTAATCAGATGTTACACCCACGCATAAACGTGTCTTGAGTCATTTCAACAGACAGTGTGGAATGTGCCTTTGATTTATTTTGTGTCATGACCTCCCCAAGGCACCTGCACTGTGAGCACGGGATCTGCTTTCCTGGTGCAATAATATGACCATGAAGAAAGCCAATCATGAAAGTGTGAAATATCACAAACACGCCCTCCCCTACCCCGCATCAATCAGCAAGGGGCTGGGGACCTGTTCTGAAAGACTGGTAGGTCTTGGGTACCAGTTAATACAACCCATGGAGGCCGGGTGCAGTGGTTCACACCTGTAATTCCAGCACTCTAGGAGGCCGAGGTGGGAGGATTGCTTGAGCCCAGGAGTTTGAGACCTGCCTGGGCAACATGTTGAGATCCCATCTCTACAACAAATACAAAAGTTAGCTAGGCGTGGTGGTGGGCCCCTGTAGTCCCAGCTACTCAGGAGGCAGAGGTGGGAGGAATTGGCTTGAGCTTAGGAGGTCGAGGCTGCAGTGAGCTGTGATTGTGCCACTGCACTGCAGCTTGGGCAACAGAGCCAGACCCTGTCTCAAAAAATAAAAAATAACCCATGGAAAACAAGGGTGACACTGGAGATCACAGGTTGATGAGCTTTTCTTGCATTTTCATACTGATTATTATTGCTGAGATTGTCATTGTTGTTACTTTATTAAGATGCCCTTCTGAGAACAAGGAGAGCCAGAAATTACTTTATTTGAAACTTTCCTTCAAATTATTGGAGTCTAGCTCTAGAACAGCTATGATCTATCTGGTACCAACAGACATTTTATATATGTGCTTGTCTGCTATCTGGACTTTTAGACTCACAGGAAATTCTCCTCTGTGACGACTCAGTGTTTCCCTGCTTTCTGTTCATGTGAAAACCATCAAGTAGTGAGCACTGAATGACTGGATTTGGCAGAGCCTTCTCCGCTCTCCCTGGACGATTGTAATCAAGTCAGCCCCTTCCCCTCTGCATGAGGTCTTCTTCTCACGAGAGGAGAGGCATGGGCCCCCGCAGCTCTGAAGGTGTGGCATGCTGCACCTTATGTCCTGGGATGCAGCCACAGACCCCATACAGTGAACACCTAGGTTTACTATTATTATTATTATTATTATTATTATTATTATTATTAGAGACAGGGTCTCACTCTGTCACCCAGGCTGGAGTGTAGTAGCATGATCAAAGCTCACCACAGCCTCAAATTTCTGGGCTTAAGTAATCCTCACTTCTCAGCCTTCTGAGTGGCTGGAACTACACCATCATTCCTGGCTAATTTTAAAATGTTTTTGGTAAAGATGGGGGTCTCACTATGTTGCCCAGGCTGGTCTCTAACTCCTGGTCTCAAGCAGTCCTCCTGCCTCAGCCTCCCAAAGTGCTGGGATTACAGGTGTGAGCCACCGTTCCTGGGAACAGCTAGTTTTATGTTTATTCGTCACATCATTGTTTAAGAGCCCTTTGTGGGTTGGGGCTTTGAACAGGTCAGAATCGTCCTTGGCGTCTCCTGGCCTCTGGCAAGTGGTGGGCCGGCCATGTGCCCCTCACAAGAGCTGTTCTCCAGGTGCTCAGCATGTGCCTGCATTGTATGTCAGCTGTGATTTGCCCTCAGTGTACATTTTATTGTAGATTGCACTGAAATATACACACCATGACATTTACCATTTCAACCACGTTTAAGTGAACAGTTCGGTGGCATTTAGGTGCATTCGCTCACAGTGTGCAGCCATCACCACCATCCCTCTCCAGAACTTTTTCATCATTCCAAATGGAAACTCTACCTATTCAACAACTCCCCAATTTTCCCTCTGCCCAGCCCCTGATAAACTCCCTTCTACTATCTGTCTCTGAATGTGACTGTTCTAGAAACCTCATATAAGTGGGATTGTACAGTATTTGTCCTTTGGTGACTGGCTTATTTCACTTAGCATAATGTCTTCAAGGTTCCTCTACATTGTAGCAAGCATCAGAATTTCCTTCCTTTTTAAGGCCGAATAATATTCCATCATATGTATATTCAGTGTGTAATTTAAACACAGAACTGACCTATGTCTTTCTTTTCTGACAATCAGCTGACCATTCTCTCTTCCTCTGAGGTACCTGAATTTTTCTTTCCAAGAGTCATTAGCCATAGATTTGGAATGAACCAGAAACTAAAACGATTGGAGATAATTTCATTACAAATGTTAACATTACTCTTTTGAACATTAACTTTAAAGACACTAATAAGTCTTTTAGGTGATTGCAATAAGCCTTTTCTTTAAAAAAGAATTCTGAAGTTTAGAAAGGCTGGCATGGTTTTCTTTCAACACATCCGATAAAGAAAAAATAGCTGTGACTTGCAACATTTCTTATTGAACGTACTTTGCCTTTTCATCTCCACCTATGTGGTCTGTTTCAAATTACCTTATGCAGTGATGTAATGCAACATTTTATTTGCACGCTTGTCCAAAATATTACCACTAACCAAAATTCACAGAGCATCTCACAGTGCACGCAGGAGGAGAATTAGACTAAAATGAGGAATCTGGAAAGTCTGACTGACCAGTGAGATGTGATCAAGGGGAAATGAAAGGGCCTAAGTGGGCTTTCCCTAGGGGCAATTTTCTCAGGTCAGGCAGTTCTGCCTCAGATTAAGGATCTGCACACATAAAGAAAATCCACCAAAGAAAATGAGAATACCATTTATGGCTGTTGCTAGCATACAAAATGCTCCTTTACTGGGCTATGAAAATATGTTCTTCACTTTGGAATTTCACTCCAGCCATCATCATTAGTAGCTTATAGTAGATTTCATTAAAATCATTTCCATAGCACTTCTTGATTTTGGAAATGTATTGATAAGTCATGTCAGTATGTATTCAGACAACTGCTAGTCATAATATCACACTCCCCTATACTGTACATTTAAATTCCAGCTCATGGTTGGTTTGATGGCTCACGCCTGTAATCCCAGCACTTCGGGAGGCCAAGGTGGAAGAATCACTTCAGGCCAGGAGTTTGAGACCAGCCTGGGCACATGGCAAGATCCCATGTCTACAAATTTCAAAAAATAGCCAGGCGTGGTCCCAGCTACTCGTGAGGCTGAGGTAGAAGGATGGCTTAAGCCCAGGAGGTTGAGGCTGCAATGAGCCGTGTTTGTACCACTGCACTCCAGCCTGGGCAACAGAGCCAGACCCTGTCTCAAATAAATACATACATACATACATACATTAATTAGTTAATTCATTCATTCCAGCTCATTTTCCTGTAGACTGGGAGTGCTTTCATTGATGTTCACTGAGCACAACAAGGTGACATGAGGTGACATCGTACGGACCTCTGGAGGAGCATGTAGTGCACCTGAATCCCTTTTCAATACGGAGTTCCTTGTGTGGATTAAATAATGCAGTCCATTTTTGGAGTGCTTCTATACGTGTTCTCTCATTTTATCCTGACCTCACCATCCTATTTCCCTCTTTGATTTTGTTGTGGCTGGCCAGGGAATGGCTGTTTTGCCTTTATTAAAACAATTTTTTTAGAGACAGGGTTTAATCTGTTGCCCACACTGGATGAGTGCAGTGGCGTGATCATAGCTCACTGCAGCCTTGGCCTCCAGGGTTCAAACGCTCCTCCCACTTCAGCCTCACAAGCAGCTGATTACAAGTAGGGATTGCAGGCATGTGCCACCATGCCCAGCTAAATTTTTTTTTTTTAAATTTTTTGTAGAGACAGAGTCTAACTTTGTTGCCCAGGCTGCTCTCGAACTCCTGGCTTCAAGCAATCCTCCTGACTTGGCCTCTCAAAGTGCTGGGATTACAGGCATAAGCCACCACCAGGCCCTGTTTTGCCTTCAGAGATGTATTTTAAGTTGTTGGTCTACGCTTGATGTATCTATCCTAGGTCAGGCACTATCCTGGTTTTCTCATCTGCATATGAGGATAAGTCACCGAGAAGACTAAAGGAATTAAATACTCCAGGACCCTCAGCCTTGCATCCGCCCCCCAGTGATGAGCCAGGGGAGGTCACAGGCACCATCCTGTTCGGCCCTGGTGGGAAATGGCTGGCTGCAGTGGAAGTGCTGGCTACTTCCCTTTCCCTTGGCTTTGCCCTCGTTTTCTCCCCCAGGATGATGGCCCCCAAAGGAGAGTTGCCTCAAAGGACAGCGTTGCAGGGGTGCTTGTGTGTCATCAGCCAGAACAAGTGACAGCGTCTGACTCCCCAAATAGCCTCCCTGTAAGTCTGAGCTGCCGCTGTGACCTGCGCTACACAGTCCCTGAAGGTTTAATACCGTGACTGTCATCTAACGCCTTAGCTTTTGACCTTGTCAATTTGGGAGGTGACACGTCTCACCTGGACTCATACTGAGACATTGTCAATAGTTGGACTGCAGGAATCATTGTCCCCGTTTTTGTTTTTTGTTTTTTGTTTTGTTTGTTTGTTTTGTTTTTTTGAGACGGAGTCTTGCTCTGTCACCCAGGCTGGAGTGCAGTGACGCAATCTCTGCTCACTGCAACCTCCACCTCTGGGGTTCATGCCATTCTCCTGTCTCAGCCTCCCGAGTAGCTGGGACTACAGGCGCCCGCCACCACACCCAGCTAATTTTTTTGTATTTTTAGTAGAGAGGGGGTTTCACCGCGTTAGCCAGGATAGTCTCGATCTCCTGACCTCATGATCCGCCCGCCTCGGCCTCCCAAAGTGCTGGGATTACAGGCGTGAGCCACTGTGCCTGGCCCATTGTCCCCGTTTTTACCTTTGCCTAGCTCAGAAATCCTGTTAGATGCCCAGGAACTCAGATGAACACATTGTTCTGAAGAAAACTAGGAATACACATAGTAACGAAGTAGGTGAAATAGAGCATAATAAGATACTTCCAGTTTCCCCAGCGAATCTTTAGCATGTTCTTCCTGATTCTCCCTACATGCAAATATTTCTGTTTCACATCATGGCTTCAGATTTTAGGAAAGACAAGAAGACTTTAAGTAATAGTCTCAGGCTGAGGAAAGAGAAGTAATACTTTTCCTCTCTGCAAACTATTCAAGAAATGTGGTTGGCTAAGAATGGGAGAAATTTAAGGATAGAAGTGATTTCAGTGCTTGCCTGCCCATTTGATTGATTGATCCATTCAAGCAGTATTGATAGTTTACTTGTTCTGAGCCAGGCTCTGTGCTAGAAATGCACCCGGAAGTGTGCATCACGTGCTGTCTCTCCAGTTTTTATAATCCTTTAGCTAGGAGACAATAAAGGCTTTTGAGCAGGAAAGGTGTGATTGGTAATAAAGAAGAACATTTAGGAAGGGGATTTAACAGGTGAATTCAATGTTGGTAGGCAGGGCAAGGTTCTTCTGTGCGCACCTGGTGTCAAGGTTAAGCAACACTGGTGCCTGTTATCAAGGATCTTGGTGACCATCTAGACCAACTCCTCAATTTACAGCCAAGAAAATGCATCTGCTGGAAGAAGTGAGCAGGCTGATTTTGAGCCATAGGCGCCATTCATTCATGCCAGGATTTTCTCCTGGATTTTTAGCCTATGTCTAAGCTTTGGGGATTTAAGAGGTCTTATTGCCTTCATCTTCATTTGTATTTAATTGTTTTGCAATTACAGAAGGAAATCGTGCATATGGTGGATACTTTGGAAAATAGAGAAGTTACTTTGGAAAACACATGAACAGAGTTATCTCTGAGTTGTGAGAGAATTAATGTCTTGGTTTATTTCCTGTCATTCTGATTAGGTGTGTGTGCATCTCTAATATAATATTTAAAATTTTTCAAATCAGTAATGGAGTTTCAACCCTGGTTTGCTCGTGTAATTGATTTACCCAGTCTTCTATATGCACCCCAGGTAGACTAATTCCCATTTTATACATTTATAAATGTATACACAAATACACATTTATAAATGTATACGCAACTGGGTCCATTAACTTTAACAATATTAATTATTCCAATTCACGGACCCATTTATTTGAGTCATCTATAATTTCTTTCATCGATGTTTTATAGTTTTCAGTATACAGATCTTTCATCTAATTGGTTAAATTTACAACTATTTTATTTTTTGATACAATTATGAATGGGATTGATTTCTTAATTTCTTTATTATATAGTTTGTTGTTGGTGTAAAGAAATGTTATTGGCATTCCTTAAGGAACCAAAAGTAGAACTACCATTTAATCCAGCAATCCCACTACTGGGTATCTACCCAAAGGAAAAGAAGTCATTATATAAAAAAGACACATGCACCCGCATATTTATAGCAGCACAATTCACAATTGCAAAGACATGGAACCAACCTAAGTGCCCACAGACCAACAAGTGGATAAAGAAAATGTGGTATATATACACTGTGGAATACTTCTCAGCCGTAAAAAAAGAATGAGATAATGTCTGTTGCAAGAACCTGGATGGAGCTGGAGACCATTATTCTAAGTGAAGTAACTCAGGAATGGAAAACCAAATATCATATGTTTTCATGTATAAGTGGGAGCTAAGCTATGAGGACTCAAAGGCGTAAGAGTTGTATAATAGACTTTGGGGACTCTAAGGGGAAGGTTGGGAGAGGAGTGAGGGATAAAAGACTACATATTAGGTACACTGTACACTGCTCAGGTAAGGGTGCACTAAAATCTCAGAAATCACCACTGAAAAACTTATCTGTTTAATCCAAAACCACCTGTACCCAAAAAACTATTAAAATTTAAAAAATCATTTGCAGTCAGGTGCGGTGGCTCACACCTGTAATCCCAGCACTTTGGGAAACCGAGGCAGGTGGATCATGAGGTCAGGAGATCGAGACCCTCCTGGTCAACATGGTGAAAACCCGTCTCTACTAAAAATACAAAAATTAACTGGGCATGGTGGAGCGTGCCTATAATCCCAGCTACTCGGGAGGCTGAGGCAGGGGAATCGCTTGAATCCAGGAGGCAGAGGTTGCAGTGAGCCTAGCTCGCGCCACTGCATTCCAGCCTGGTGACAGAGCAAGACTTCGTCTAAAAAAACAAAAAAAAATCATTTGCATTGTTAAAAAGAATAAAAGAAATACTACTAGCAGGGAGCGGTGGCTCATGCCTGTAATCCTAGCATTTTGTGAAGCCAAGGCAGGAGGATTACTTGAGGCCAGGAGCTGGAGATCAGCCTGGGAAACATAGTAAGACCCAATCTCTACCAAAAAATTCAAAAATTAACCAGGCATGTTGGCACATGCCTGTAGTTCTGGAGACTCAGGAGGATGAGGTGGGAGAATTTCTTGAGCCCAGGAGTTCAAGGCAACAGTGAACTATGGTCACACCACTGCACTTCAGCCTGGGTGACAGAAAAAGATATACTACTCATAATTTTATTTAATTTAATAAATGATGGGGTATGTATATATCAGAATTAGAACATGTCGCCATAATGCCATAGTCTTTATGTTCTGAGTCATCATCAATAAACCACAAACATTGTAAAAACATAGCAACCTGACATATAAATTAGAAGTTAATAGGTTAACTTCTATATGTAGACCAAATGAATATCACCTCTTAGAGATGATACCAATAATCACAAGCCTTGTCAACATTATATCAATGCAATTTTAGTAAAAAGTAAATTTTCCCTCTTGCAGATCCCATCAAGTATGCTAGTCACTCATTGAGAAGAAGAGTGCACAAGGGTAATCATGTTGCCTGAAGGAAAGGCCCTGATTGTCATTCTTATGAGTGTCCATAAAGGTCTTATTTACCATTGGCATCGTTCACAGCATACACTTTCATCATAACGAAAATGAAGCCAAACGTATTCGGGAGAGAAAAGTCAGGTACCAGATTGCTCATCAATTTATCCAATTTCAAGTTTCATGGGAAAACACATATTATTGTAACTCACATTTATACCCCAATTGCAAGGGTACTTCAGTCATAAAGATTCATCAGTGATCAAAACATATCCTAGCACTGTTAGAATACTATACTAATATTATAGAAAATTTAGTCTGTATTTAGACCTCAATGACTATAATGCATTGAGCAAAATTCCAATGTGTCATATTTCTCAACCCTTAAAAAAATCAATCCTAGGTAAAAAGTAAGGATTTTCTCATGAGGATTCCATCACATGTGTCTGTCAGTTATTGAGAAAACCGTGTCATGATATTCTTGTTGTCTGAATGAATAATTGTAATTATTATAGAGCTCAGTCTTCACTAGTTCAATTATCTATTTGGAATTTTTCAGCCGGCAAAGGTAGCCGCTCACTTCCACTCAATAGAATAGCACCAGTAGGGCTTACTAAATCATCCAGTGAGAGAAAGAGAGCAAGGGTCTTAGTGCCAAATACCCAAGAAAATTAGGAATTATAGGAAACTTAAACACTTAAAGAATCAGAATTTATAGTTTACTTAGAAGCACACAGATAGAAGTGTGCAAAACAAGTTTCACAGAAATATTTCATTGCCAGAATCCTGAAATAAAGTCTCCACAGAAGGAAACTAAGAAATCCAAACTTCTTGTCTCACAATTGTTACCTAGGCTGGGCCTCAGTGTAATCCTACTAAGCTTAATTTTTACGTCATCATTTCTCGTCAAGATAATAATTCAGCATTGGCCTAGCCCATGGCACTCATATGCATATGCACACTTAGATCAAATATGCTTAAGAGAGATGGTTTCCTTAAACACTGGTGGGAAAGTGGACTGGACACCACATCTTCAGTGCCAGACAATTGGGTGGTATCAGTATACAAATGGTAAACACCCTTGAGTTCATTCACAGTAATTTCATGTGCATTTTTAGAAATAGAATTAATGAGTCATTGCTTCCTACACACTTCAAAGTAGCCACATCCATATCTTATTCCTCTCCAGTAAGGTGGGAGAATTAGGAAGAAAAGGAAAAATAATAATCAATTGCTTCTTTTTATACACAACACCCACACCCCACCAGGGACACTGACTTCTCTCTGAGCCTTATGGCCTTAGCTATGCCCTAGTTACTCATATCTGGGGGTAGCCCTGGTTTCGAGCAAGGTCTGTGGGATCAAAACTAGACCTAGAAATCATAAGGTTTATGAAAGACAACTGCAGCTGGCCTGATGTCTCCTTCTGGGGTCAGGCTGGCCCCTTTACCAGCGACATCCATGTGGGCCAGGGCTGGGAGGCCCTATGACCTCAATCCAGGACAAGTTTACAACAGTGGCCCCGGTTCTCTTGTGCTCAGGCTGATCAGGAATGTGGGAGTTGTCCTGGGGAGAGTCAGAGCATGTGGATTTTCAGCCTGGCACTTCCACGCCACAAGCTTTGTGACCTTGAGTATTCTACAGGAGTCATCTAACATTTCATTACATGAAGACCAGGTGATCAGAAAGGCCCCTTCGTCTCCAGTCTTACCAGGGTCCACCAGGGCCTGATTCATTTGTTCCAGTGATATCACTGTGGGGTGTCAGCATCCCAATGGTTCACTCATAGATCCTTCAGGTCTCCTCCAGCCACCGCCCGTGTACCATGACATGACATGGCATGTACCATGGCCCGATGTCATATGTACCATGGTGTGGTGTGATGTGTACCATGACATGACCATGTTACATGACATGCTATGACAGTGACCTCCCTCAGCCTCTCCCAGGCACACAGTTTTACCCCTTCTCCTAAAGCAGGTTCGCACGCCCATCTAAAGGCAACTTCAGTATTTGCTTTTACTTCTCTTTAAAGATTACAGCCTTAAAAATATTCAGTAAAATATTGTACTTCCATAAAGCATTGCCCCTGAGTAAGATTAGTGCTTCTCAGTGGACACAGCAGCAGGGAACTTTGTGCGTTCATGCTGAGCTGGTGGCTGTGTGATGCTATTGAAAAGGGAATACACCACCATCAGCGCTCGGTTAAAACGTCTTCTCCCTGAAATTTAAGAAAGTCACAGGCTGGGCGCGGTGGCTCACACCTGTAATCCCAGCACTTTGGGAGGCCAAGGTGGGCGGATCACCTGAGGTCCGGAGTTCGAGAGCAGCCTGGCCAACATGGCGAAACCCCGTCTCTATTAAAAATACAAAAATTAGTTGGGCATGGTGGCGCGCGCCTGTAATCCCAGCTACTCAGGAGGCTGAGGCAGGAGAATCGCTTGAACCCGGGAGGTGGAGGTTGTAGTGACCCAAGAGACATGCCATTGCACTCCAGCCTGGGTGACAGAGCGGGAAAAAAAAAAAAGTCACAATCACAACTTAGAATTTCTCTGCAAATAAATATGTTAACCTACAGAATGACGTGAGGAAATGTTTGGGTATTTTGTAGCTCCCCTGTGTGAATAAGCTAGCCTAAAACAATAATGATAATAATAGTAGTAATAATTCTTGAATGTCAAGTGGAAAAATTAAAAATAATAATTCATTATAATTATTGGAGAGTAAATGAAAATTTTTCAAAGATACTTTCTATGAACATAAAATAGAGATTTTTCTTCACAGTCTTATTTGGTTT
The DNA here is from genome assembly GCF_000001405.40 of Homo sapiens. NCBI lineage: Eukaryota > Metazoa > Chordata > Mammalia > Primates > Hominidae > Homo > Homo sapiens. Next base: position 29,573,440 of record NC_000010.11, on the reverse strand, counting down.
CCTATGGATAGGATACCTAAATAATAGATTAAATTTTATATCCATAATTTCATAAAGAATGTTGTGCCTTTTTCCTTTCAACAACTATGTCATATTTAAATCAGTTTGCTTTGTACCGTAATCCATGGGTGAGGCAAAGAATTCTGGTAAGACTCCGTTACCAACTTAAAGATAATACCCAACAATTAAAAAAAATGTGTACTGGAATTTTATTTTCAAATTTCGAATACGGGAAGGGGACAAGAGCTGAAAAACAAATGATTGGGTACTATGCTCAGTACCAGGGTGATGGGACCCATATACCCCAAACCTCAGCATCACTGAATGTACCCATGTAACAAACCTGCACACATACCCCTTAATCTAAAATAAATGTTGAAAAAAAAGGAGAAAAGGAAAAGCAAGCGACAGGAAAATTTGAAAAAAAATTAGAATAGACTTATTCCTTAATAATAATTCAAAATAAACATTTAGATTCTTTTAGATAACTGTAATTGAGTATTCTACAGGAAGAGTAATTTTCAGGCACAAAAAGGGTGATGAGCAGTGATACTGTGTTCCATAAACTGTTACATTCTTTATAAAGGATTATTTATCAACATGTCAACATGTATATTATTTCATCCTATCTCTCTATTCTTTTTTTCTTTTTCTTTTTCTTTTTTTTTTTTTTTTTTGAGATAGGATCTCACTCTGTTGCCTAGGCAGGAGTGCAGTGGTGCAACCATGGCTCACTGCAGCCTCGACCTCCCAGGCTCAAGCAATCCTCCCACCTCAGCCTCCCAAGTAGCTGGGACTATAGGTGTGTACCACCACATCCAGCTCATTTTTTATTTTTTGTAGAGACAGGGCCTCACCATGTTGCCCAGACCAGTCTTGAACTCCTGGCCTCAAGTGATCCTCCTGCCTTGGCCTCCCAAAGTTTTGAGATTATAGGCATCAGCCACCATGCCTGGTTCATCTCTTTATTTCCAGAATCAGTTGCTTTTACTATTTCCTCTCCTTCCTCTTCTCCTCCCAACACTCCCGTTTTTCTTTTTGTTGCTAATTATCTATGACCTTACCATCAAGTTTCTAATTTAGTTATCCAAGGTACTGACGTTGTTCCTCGCTGAGTTTTTTTTAACTATCCTATTTGCCATAGTTTTTCCTGATTTTATGACTATAATGTAATGAGTTTAGAGAAAAATGGCAAAAATGCCACCACTGACCCCTCTAGTACCCAGGGTTGATGTACCTTGTGTTTATGTGCCTTTATTAATTCAGCATATAATTCTTCATTTTCACCTTAAGTGTGTTTGTATTTTACAAATTAGTCTAAGTCCACCTGGTTTGAACACAGGATACTAACTCCACACACCCATTTTAGAAGGAGATCTCTAGCTTTTAGAAGAGATTATCTTGTGATTTCCTATGGTCATTCAGCAAACATTTCCTGCAGCCCTACTGTGCACCAGGTACAGTGTCCAGAACTAAAGATACAAAGAGTAACTCAGAGTCCCTGCTCCTAGGTGGGGTGTGGTGAATCACAATTTTGATCCCGCCTCCCCAAGATCCCATAGCTCCATCACCAAACAGTTGTCTATCCAGGAGCAAGCTACTCGTCTAGCCCTATTTCCTTAGCTTGCAAATGAGACCATTTCTCCTGGTTCTCTTGAATGTTCCGTTTTTCTGTACAATCAGTCTGTAATTATTGCGAATTTTTCTTGGAATTGCATGAGCATTGCTTGAGCTCATCAACTACATATTGTGGTTAAAATTAAGCGGGGGCAATCTAATAGGCAAAGCTTAACTTAATAGCTTCTACCTCAAATTAAAATTTTGAATCTCTAGTAATATCTGCCCTTTCTTTTCCCACAGTTTCACTCATATGTTGTTCATAAATCTTAAGTATGGGTTTTTGGCTCTCTGTTAGGTAAAATACTTCACTTAACTTAGCCAAAGCCAGACTTGCAGCAGCCTGGAAATACTCAAGCGTCCCTTCTTCCCAATACACGAGGGTCTCTGTAGGTTTTTCTTTGTATGTGTGTCCGTAGGGAGAGGAAGTTGTATCTGACTCCTCCGAGGATGGTTAGGTTGCAGCACTGTCTCCTTAACCAGAGCAAATGCTGGGATGCTCCATGGCTTTGCCTTGGTCATCTACATCACCCACGTCCCATCACTGGGCTCCAGTCTGTTGCAGCGCCTCCAGGCTTAATTTCTGTTCATAATCTGATTATGGGGTCTGAGCTATTCCAGCCAGTGGCCTCTTGCTTCTCCTGTACCATAGGCACAAAGATACAAGTGCCTGGTCGCTCTAGTCCTGCACTGTGAAAAATCTCAACCCAGTTTTGCTTAGACCAGACGAAGGTGGTTGCTGGCTGAGAATTAGCTGTAGAGCAGGCTGTGTGACCGAGCCGTCTGTGTGCAGCCATGTTCAGAAGCCCAGGGTTTTCCAGCTATTTGGGAGCTTTCAAATTCTCTGAGAAACAAGGTAAGGCAAGATAAATACGAAATGCACTTATGTATGGATTGTATAACACGATGAATGCCTGGGGTCCTCTATTTTGCCCTATGTATTCTCCTGTGTTCAGTTACTTATACACATTTCTCCAAAGACACTTTAAATATCTAATTGAGTTTATAAATGAGCTTATCTTGTGATTGCTGATAATGTGAATTTGTTTTCCCTTAATAAGTTAAAGTTACTACTAAACCACTGAAACCTTTTTGTAGGAAAAATTGCAAATGCAATTGGAATGCCCACACTTTGGATCAAATGCTAGATGTGCTGCACTTTAGCTAAAATATTTTTCTAAATCAAATGCTATACATACTAAATTATTTCCAGTAGGCAGTGGTGAGTAGCGTCTTTTTATTAACTCTTCATGTGAGACAGTTTGGAACAAGATACTGTCTTTTCAGTGGCTTTCTTCCAGCACAGAGGAAAATACATGCTTTCAATGTAACTACTGAAGTGGTGTGGCATGTTCAGTTCACTGATTGAACAAAACTGAAACGCTAAGGTTATTTTGAGTATCATATTTGAAACTCAGCCATTATACATCAGAACTGCTTTCCAGCTCAAATGCACTATTGGGAAGTGACTTGAACAATTCAGACCTCAGATTCAGGAATTTTCTCCTACAGCACTTGAAAGCTTTCTGAATTGATTTCTCTTTGGTTAATTACATAACAAGATACTTGCATAGTTAAGAGAAAAGCTTAGATGTTTTACTGGCATTATACCTTTCATTTTATTGTATTTCTTTAGTTGGCCACAGTTCCAAATTCCAGGACTGAGGATGTATTTTGATGGATAATGAAGTGTCAACATCTGATATATTTTGTACTTATTTTTCCTTGGGCTTCTGCCCCTAAATATTAAAGAGCAAAAGGCACTTCCTTAGGGGAAGAAGTTTCTGTAAATGGTCTATTTGTGGTTTTCTTAGTGGACAAATGCTGTAAGCCAAAGGCTGTAAAACAGATTACATGCCATTAGACTGGTTATAAATTTTGTCTGTGCCTGGTTTTGATTAACCTGTTCCTTTGGGATGTTTTTCCTGTATAGAATTGTTACCAGCTGTCTTTACATAATACCTATCTTGTCTTCAAAATACAAATAAATAGTTATTTTTATTGGTTGTTATTGTGTAGATTTTAATGAGAGCAAAAGACACAGCTGAGTTGTCCTTTGCTCTTCAGACCCCACCCCCATTCTTTAAAGGCATCTCAAACATTTCTAGTTGCCTGGACCAAAATTGCTTAGTTTCTCCTCTATTCCTGAGTATATAGCTGCCTTATTTAGCATTTAATTGCTTTGAGTTATTCTTGTTGCCATAACAAATTTAAATGGTAACATTGAACTGTGTTAGAAGTATTATTGTTATTATTGTTGTTATTATTTTCATTTACCCATGGAGTATGTTGGCTACTTTCCGGAAGAGAAAAGCAAAACTTGCCTATGTAAATTTCCATGTGGAATTTGATTCTTAGAAGGTGTCATTTTTGTATTTCTATTTTTTGTCTGGTTAATGGTTTTCTTTTTCTTAAATTATATGTTCAAAAGCAGTTTGGAGAGTTTTTTCTCACCGGATTTTTAACAATTTGCATAACTATTTCAATGTTACATTATTTCTTTTCCCTTAGATTTCAACAAGAAAAACTTAAGCTTCCTTGGATTCCCACGTCAAAGGAAAGTTTCAAGGTAAAGTGGCCTTGTCTCAACAACTGTGAAATTTTGAAGATTTGTTGTAGCTTTTAAAATTATTCTCTTGAATGTCTAACTCATGAGTTTAAATGTTTGGCAATATGTTTTCTCTCTAGAATTTGATTTATTAAAATGTATGAAGCAGAGGAATCTTTGTATTTAATTCTGCTTATGGAAACTATTTGGAGAACAGAATCTTGCTGTCTCTTGTCATTGCAAACTTTTAAAGGACTATTATCTTTTCTTTCTCACACCTGCCTCTAAGCAGGCACTGTCCTTTTGCAATCTGTCCATCAAAGAAGGGAGCTAGATTCTTTTTAGAAATGGTTTAAACTTGTTTCTCTTCCTTCTCCCTTCCTCCTTCCTTCCTCTGCTCCCTCCCTCCCTTTTTCCATAGACACACACACATACACAAACACACACACACACACATCCATCCATCCATCCATCCATCCATCCATCCACCCATCCACCCATCCATGTGAGTTATTCTTCCCTGGTCTTCTCAACTCTCTCTCTTAACCTTTCTGAACTTCCAGTCCCCTTGGCCACAGAATATTATGGGTGCTAATTTGATTGACCTAATGTGCTAAAACTCCATGACACATCATCATGGATGTAAGAGAAGTGGAAATGAATGCCTGTGCCATACACAGTAGCTGTATCTCAGGTGCTTTTTAGTAGATTGTTGTCTATATTAATAGAGTTTGATATTTTCAGATGGAGGCACAAAGTTGTCCCCTACGCAGTCAGGCAAAGATCTCAATCTGTGCTTCATTATAGCGGAAGGACCCAGCCCCCATTTCCACACAGTTGCTCTTGTGCCTAAGGTATTATGACATTGTTCCTTGACCAAAAAGGGTTTGCATTTCAACAACATTAGGATAGACAGGGGTCTAACTCCTGTCCTCCTCAGGCTGAGCCTGCTCTGCATTTGAAAATGGCAGTTGATCTTGTAAACACCCTGGATGGGACAAATCCTTGGTGTATTTCCTCCACATCTTTTAAGTGTTTATGCTTTAATTTTTACACACAATATCATCAAGCGGCACATCTAAGTACAAGGTTAATTAGAGCAATGATGATCCAGGGTCATCAGTGAGGTTGTCTTAACTGACTCACGAAACGTCACTTTTTTAATGGGATGCATCCGTATTTCTCATCTTGGCCATGTTTTAATAGGATCTGAGGCTTGGTTTCTTTCTGTTTTTGTTTTTTTTTTTGTTTTTTTTTTTGAGACGGAGTCTCTCTCTGTCACCCAGGCTGGAGTGCAGTGACGCGATCTCAGCTCACTGCAAGCTCCGCCTCCTGGGTTCACGCCATTCTCCTGCCTCAGCCTCCCGAGTGGCTGGGACTACAGGCACCCGCCACCAGGCCCAGCTAATTTTTTTGTATTTTTAGTAGAGACGGGGTTTCACCGTGTTAGCCAGGATGGTCTCGATCTCCTGACCTTGTGATCCACCCACCTCGGCCTCCCAAAGTGCTGGGATTACAGGCGTGAGTCACTGCGCCTGGCCTCGGCTTGGTCTCTAATATGTCCCTAGCAGGTTGGTTTAACTGTCATGGAGCTAATAAGTGACTAAGGAAAAAAGAGACAGGAAGGCATTCCTTATTCAAGGATAGGAAAAGCATGCAATATGAAAGTCACACACGTCAGTGGACAGAGACTCAAAGAGACACAGCTATTCTCAAATCATGGACATTATGTCATGCATACCTATTAAAATGACAGCCTGTGTGCCATGGTGCTAAGTGTGAAATGGGCTGGAGGTACAAGAGCCTGCTTCCTTAGAAGAAATCTGGTCAACCAGACACCAGCTAAAAGAGACGAAAATATGAGCTCATGGGGCTTCGTCTCCCATATCTTGTAATTTAAACTTCAGTAATGGAATGAACAGATTGTGGAGGAGACTTACACCGCATGGGTGCTGGACAGTCATTGTAATAGTAGCATATTCCACGTTGTGAAAAACAGAGATGATAACAGCGGAGCATCCTGCTCTCCCTTTAATAAAATTCCCCCGTGCTGCTATGGGCAGGCATTTAAGTAGGTTAACGGGACACGTTTAAAAGAAAAATTGTCACAGAAGCAGGGGGCATTCTCTTCTTAGAAGCAGAGGAAGGGGGGTGGCGGCACAAACAATCAGTCCTAAAGAACGAGCACTGTTTCAGGGGAGACAAAGAGAGTTGGAAAAAAATCCAAAAGGTGTTTCTCACTGTTAGAAAGTTAAAATCAAAATGCAGAAAATGAAGTGGACAGCACTAACTTTAGTATCTATGGAGAGATGCTTCCCTACTGAAACACAGGCTCTTACTTTTGGTTGAGCTCTAGTGAGACACCAAGGCCTGCAGAGGTTGACCCTGCAGACACCCCTTTGTCCCTGGGGAAGTTGGGGTTGAGGGGTGACTGAGGAGGAAGGGCAGGATCCAGCATCCGAGAGCTCCATGCTTTTGGGGTCACTGGTCATGTGCATTAGTAATGGGCCCTACCAGTCTCCCGCTGGGGGGCCTCTGAGTCAGAAGAAGCAGAGAGGAGAGAAGAGTCTGGACCCTCACAGGTGCTTGTGTTTCATCAGCGTCAGATGAGCCAAAAAAGGTGCTCACTGATGAACCGTCCTGAATTTTACAAGCATGTCTTACCTGTGTTTTCATTGATGATCGGTGCCCTCGGGTAGAGAAAGTTCAGGGAAGAAACATGATTTTTTTTAAAGAAAGAAACTCGATTTCACATGTTGATTTGAGGGGTCTTGCATTAATCACAGCTTGTGGCACTGCCTTGAGCCAGAGCCACACTTTCCAGCCCAGTCTGCCTGCTCCTGCTCCTCCTGTCTGCTCATCTGATTTCTCAGAAGCCCCCAGTCATTTAGCGGGAGCAGGGGAGAGAGGCAGCGGAGACAGGACCAGAGGGTGATGACAGCCGTGTGGACTCAGTAATAAATGTTTACCTGGAAGCTGCAGATTCTAAAATCAATACTTTATAAACACGTGCAATTATGCCAGTTTTTCACACATGTATGCAAGGTGAGCAAAGGTACTAAAGAATGATGTGTTCCAAATTATGCCCTGTCCAAAGATGAAAGAAGGAAAGAAAGGAAGAAAGGAAAGGAGGGAGGGTGATAAGGAAGGGAGGGAGGAGGGGCTTATGACTGATGTTATTGACCGTATGCTCTTATAGTTATTCTCAATGTTTGTAATGATGTTACCTCTGGCCATCACATCAACTTTGCATAAAAGGTACACAAAAAATACTTCAGCGTGAATTGTAGTATTCATTTGAAGTGTTTTGTAGTAATCATTCATTCATTCGACATATTTTAATTTTTTAAAATATTTTTAATTCAATCATTTAATTTTTTTAACAGACAGGGTCTCACTCTGTCTCCCAGGCTGGAGTACAGTGAAATGATCATAGCTCACTGCAACCTCAAACTCCTAGGCTCAATGGATCCTGCCACCTCAGCCTCCTGAGTGGCTGGGACTACAGGCTTGTGCCACTGTGCCTGGCTAATTTTCCTATTTTTTTTTTTAGAGATGGGATCTTGCTATGTTGCCCAAGCTGGTCTCAAACTCCTGGGTTCAAACAATCCTCCTGCCTCAGCCCCCACAAAGTGCTGGGGTTAACGAGGTGTGTAATATACTTTGGGTGATGGTCACAATAGGCAGTGGGTTTAGGTGCTTTGCCCTGAGGACATGACCAGTCAACTGAGGCCCAGACCAGAAGCGAAATGAAGCCACACGATGGCAGGAGGCTGGAGAGGAGAGAGCTCAGGGGGAGGAAACAGCATGTCAAGTGAACCACGTTAAGAAGCATCAGAGACTTTCCTCTTAGACCTTTGGTTTTCTTTGGTTTCTGACCTGCCATCAAAAGGCTGCACTTCACATGGGTGCTGGCACTATTTGTAGCGTGTTTCGAGAAAATAAGTGCCTGTGAAGCCAGGGAGTGTCCGGTGATGACTCGTAAAGCTCACTCTGTAAATTCAGCGGAGTATTTAACTCAGGGACAGTTTCTTGCTTTTTATTAGTGGCTCTATTGAGCTTTCTGAGAAACAGAAAGAAAGAGGAAAATAACGGCATACAGATGTTTATTTTTGAAAATAAGATATAGCATTTGTACCGCAAGGTAAGTGGCCTGAAAAGCTGAATATTTCAAGGATTGCATTATTTCACTTCAATGTAGAATTTTTTTTCCTGAAAAGATTTTAGTTTCCTAAAGAAAGTATAGAGCTTTGTCAAGATGTTTAAATTAGCAATTAAATAATCAATTAAAATAACACGCCATTCCTTAAGTCGGGTACATTTCTGCCATTATTTAATTTTTTTAGGTTTCTACACTGAAAGGAGTAGTTACTGCCTTACAATTCAGTGTTTAGAAGTCGGTGCTAATTCTAAGTTTCTGACTAGGCAGGTGTCCTAGGCTCTTCCAGCCAATCTGGAGTGTGGCTTATGAAGCATAATTATTCTCAAGACTTTTCATTAAATAATGTGAACACACTTACCTATGGAATGTAAGCTTTGCTACATTGTATATGGAAAGACGAAGATTTCAGATGGGCTTGGTTCTAGGAGGGCAGGATGGTGGCTGTGCTTTGGACTGTGTGGAAGTTCTTTCCCTGTAGTTTTTACAGGGGGTAGAGGTTATCAATTGTCCCACTTACACAGTATGCGCAGTGGCTTCCTCGGTCTCTTCCTTGGCCTCTATGGAAATGCACCCGAACAGGGGGAAGGTCAGCTTCACAGTGAGTCTTTTCCAAGCCCATCTTTTCCCCCTCTGGAGGTCACACTGACCTTGAGGAACTGCAGTTCCCTCTTTCCACAGGTTTGTTTTCTTCCTTCGAGGCAGCAGCACCCTCTGCCCTGCCCGCTCCGACCACATCAAAGACCATGGAGTTGGGTACACAGCAGTCTTGGGGTGACTGTGGCTAGTATGAAACTAGGAGATGGATTTGAATCTCATCTCCTCTTCTTGTCAAATACGAGTCTTTGGGCAAATCATGTAACAATTTCCGGATCTGTAAACTGAGGATGGTACTAGTTCCAGTGTTGTGCTGCGGCCAGACATGTGTGCCTCTCTCCCAACTTTGAGTTCAGTGAGTCCTGTGGGAGCCTGAGATCCGCCATGGTGGGAGTGTTGACACCACCAGTCAATATTACAAAGCAGGTGCTTTTTGCAGGGCCGTGTGGAGGGCCTGGGTGGGCGGGGCAAGAGGGCAGGGCCATTCGTACCTTTATCAGCACCTCGCTGAGTAGTTCGTACCTCTTAGGGTCTTGGAGAGATAATTAAGGAGATACCTGGGGGATACATGGGGAGATAAGGAGATACATGGGGGAAAGCAGATACATGGGGGAGATGTATTAAGATGTATTAAGATGCATTAAGGAGATACATGGGGGAAAGTCCACAGTAAGGGCTCACTTCCTTTATTATTCTCCTCTTTCATTTCCTCTTTTATTCCAACACGAGTCTTCATGAGGCTTTCCAAACTTTTGACCATGCTTTGATGCCTTGGTTGTTTGAAGGCATCTGTTACTTTAACATAATTTTAACACTGGAAGACAGAGTGTAGATCACCTAGACAAGTTACTGATTTTCTGAAGAAGAAATTGTAGCACAGAGAGGTTGAGTAATTAATGCAAGCTTGCACAGCTATTCTTAGGTCAAGAAGAGGTGGTCAGTCTGAGTTAAAGCTCACGACTCCCAGTTCAGCAATGTTTTCACACATCACACCACGCCACCCGCCAATCCTGCTGTAATTAGTTGCACAAAAAATCAAATATTTACAGAAATATAAATAAATGAAAAAAGTTACCAATTTACTCCCCAATATAAAACATTTTACCTGCAATCTATGTGTACATATTGAATGATGTGTAACAATATCATAATTTTTGTGTTCTGCATTTTTTCACTTATATATCTTTATTTAAATGGACTTAACTTTATTAATGGAGTAATTTTTAGCTTTCAGAAGGAGTTCTCACTCGAAGATAAAGAACAGCTCGCTAACCACGAAAGAGGAATCGATGCTCAGCTTTTAGTTGCACTTCCTAAAGGTAAGGCTGTTCCTAAGTGACCAACCATGTCTGGGTAGATGCGTATTGTGTTGTCCGAATTTCCTTGAGCAGAACTCTCTCCCTAACCTCCAGCTTACAGTCTCCTTTCGGCCCTTCCTGCCTCCTCCCAGAATTAGCTTCAATTCCCTTCCCCCTCTCTCCATGCATCCATGCATTTTTAATCCTCACCTTTCTACTCCTTCTTGCCCTTTAATTTTAGGCATCCTCAGGTTTTCGCCAGAGGCTGGGTGTGGCGGGTGAGACAGGGAACATAAAATCGCCCTGCCCTCATCTCTTTCTCCGTTTAACCTTCTCCAAGGGCAGTGAGTTCTGACCATACCCCCATTTCTTCTCTGTCCACCCACTCCTGCTGCCTCTGGAGGCTGCCCCAGGCCTTACGGCTCTTTTTTTTTTTTTTTTTTTTTTTTTTTCTTTTTTTTGAGACGGAGTCTCGCTCTGTCGCCCAGGCTGGAGTGCAATGGCACAATGTCGGCTCACCGCAACTTCCGCCTCCCAGGTTCAAGTGATTCTCCTTCCTCAGCCTCCCGAATAGCTGGGACTACAGGCGCCCACCACCACGCCCGGCTAATTTTTTGTATTTTTAGTAGAGACAGGGTTTCGCTATGTTGGCCAGGCTGGTTTCGACTCCCGATCTTAGGTGATCCGCCCGCCTCCGCCTTGCAAAGTGCTGCGATTACAGGCGTGAGCCACCGCGCCCAGCCAGGGCTTTTACATTTAACATCTTGTAGCTTCCTGCTGAGCGGCGAACAGCCCGTGCAGACTTTATCATGAGCATCTTTCTTCTTCCCCAAGGAGGCACTCACACGTGTTTGGTGAATTACTATTTCCACTGGTCAAGGCGCACATGCGGTAAAATGTCTGCACCAACTATAAACCAATTCCCCCTAGTGTTACCAGTGAAATGATGTAAACATTGATTGGTCTTTGTAACTGTAACACTAGCACAAGGAATGATCATTAGTCTCAGCTCACAAAATGTCTTCATCCTGACTGAGCTGTGGAAACCTTCCAGTGGAAGAAACAGATTTGATGGAAGGGCAGATTTTTTCTACTCTGAAAGAAAAAGCAAAAATCATGCCCCAAAGAAATTAGAACAAAAAACGTATTCTTTTAATAGAAAGTAAATCCAGTAAAAAAAAGTCCCACTGACGAATTGGAATATATCCTGAGGAACTGAACGGGTGATAGGCCGAGACACAGTCTGATGAGGGTGAATGTCTGAAAGACTCAGGGGATTTGGCCTGGTGAAGGAAACCCAGACAGAGACATGTGGCAATTTTCAAGAACTGACAACGCTGTCAGCCGGAATACAGGTTTATTCTATGTTGCTCCAGAGGCCAAAAGTAAGAATAACGTGTAGAATTACAAGGAGGCAGATGAGATTTCATATCAAAAAGAAAATTAATCGTTCACGGTACCTGGAAATGAGGTGGTCCACGCTGTGCTCGCATCGGCTCTCCCCCAGAGTTTTCAAGGGCAAGCCAGTGGCCTCGTGTCCAGTTAGGACGGGTGCAGATGGGGCATGGAACGGCTGTCAGATGGAATGGCTCTGCCAATGTTTAGGACTCTCTGTGAAAGACAAAAAAAAAAAAAAATTTCCTCTGAGCCAAACTAAAGTGCTTAATACCTATGCAGATGATCAAAACAAAGTATAAGAATGAACAAATCCATATTAGCAATAGCTGAGAAAAGTTTATTAGGCAAAGTTCTACATAGCAGAGGTTGTTTCCACCAGTCAGAAGCATCCCTCTTTCCCTTCCTCTATCCCAGTTCCTTTATTTGATGCATAATACCGCAGACAATATTATGAGCAGAAAAATCAAAAACAGGATGAAATGCTGGGTTCCTTAAGGTTCAACAAATGGTAACTTCATCTGTAATAAACTTTTAGAACACCTAAGCTTATTAGCCAGTTGTATTAAAAAATTTGTCATAAATGATTATAAAAAATAATTTTTACAAATCAAAGATGACGATTTTATGTGTTCACCAGATTGGTGTTTCTAAATTAACATGGTCCCTAAATCTTTAAAACATGCTTTAAAAGTGCCAGTGCCCCGGCTGGGCATGGTGGCTCGCATCTGTAATCCCAGCACTTTGGGAGGCCAAGGCAGGTGGATTACGAGGTCAGGAGATCGAGACCATCCTGGCTAACGTGGTGAAACCCCGTCTCTACTAAAAATACAAAAAATTAGCTGGGCAAGTCCCAGCTACTCGGGAGGCTGAGGCAGGAGAATCGCTTGAACCCGGGAGGCGGAGGTTGCCGTGAGCCAAGATCATGCCACTGCACTCCAGCCTGGGTGACAGAGCGAGACTCTGTCTAAAAAAAAAAAAAAGTGCCAGTGCCCCATGTCCCCTGAATTTCACCTAAATTCTCTACAGTCTTATTTCACATATCTTTGCTTTTTATGAAAAAAATAGGCAGATTTGGAAAGACCAGCAATTTCATTGTTTCTCTGATTTAACACATGTATCAATGATTTTGTGTGTCAGCTCTTAGCAATATTATGTTAAAAAAAGATTTGGTTATAATTTTATTTTAATGACATCAAGTTTTATGTGTGAGAAGTTTATGGAAGTCTCTTTCTGTTCATTTCCTGTGAAAATGGGCATTAAAGTGGTTGTTACTTTTTCTCTACGGGACTTCCTCTGTGTATCACAAACAAGTAATCAAGGGATTAAAAATCTTTACCTATGTAACGTTTATAATATTTAAAAAGATTTTTTATTTAGGAATTATGAAGTGGACCAAACGTATTACTCCACTTTCTTTAGCAGGTTTATTAAGATACAACACACATCCATGCAATCCTATCATTTAAAGTATGCGATTACGTTGGTTCTGGCAATTCAGAGTTCTGCCTCCATCGGCACAGCCAGTTTTAGAACATGTTCATGACTGCAAAAAGAAACCTACACCCTTCAGCTGTCACCTCTCCCCCTTATTCCTCTAGTTTGTAATTGCTTGGTTTATGAGCTGCTTGTCTTTATATTAGTGGCTGCCATCCAAGAGTAAAAGTTAAAGGGCTTTACTCCTGTGGGAAGTAAGATCAGAATATTCCAAATCTGGCCTGGGCTCTTGAGCTGTCGTGTGAAGGAGAGAAGTGTTCTTGGCAGTACCCCTGCCACTTATATTTCTTTGGAAGATTCTACTGTACTCAAGTTTGGAGGACTGAACTCAACAATGTCTTAACCAGAAACCTTCTGTTTCTTAGAGCTAATGGAAGAAACTATGTTTCCCAAGAAAAGCACCCTGCAGACCAAATTGTCTAGAATATTGGTGTTATATAGTCTTATTGCAAAGCCTATTAGGTGGTTGTAAATAACTTTATGAAGTATTATAGCTCTGCTATCAAATTTCCTTAAATCGCCTTACTTGAAAACTAACCTCCAGCTCCCATCAGAAATAACTAAAGAAATAGACTCACAGAGTCCAGATTGCCACAGTAGTACCACTCCGAATTACTCAAAGAAGAGTAACAGACCAACATAGCAGGTAAAATAAGGGACAGGTGGATATGTTTGGAAGTCCTAATGTATTTGAAAGCAAAATAGAAAATGTCTCATTAAAATGGAAATTAGACCATCGATGTTTATTTATATCTGGATTACATAATAACTACTATTACTAAACATGAACCATATATGAATTATAATTATGACACAGCATATAATCAATTGAATTGTAGCTGGTGAACCTAATTTTGAAAAGCATTCTTATTCTTTTTTGTTAAGAAATACACACTGAAGAATTTAGAGATGAAGGGGCCTCATGCTGCAATTGACTCAAATGGTTCAGAAAAAATACTATGTAAATATGTATGTGTATGTATGTACATAGACACATATGCACATGTAAATATACTTAAGAGAAAGAAGAATAAAAATAAACCCAATATAGTAAAATGTTAACATATTGTGAAGGATATCTCTTACATTTTCTGTACGTCTGATATTACAAAAAATTTTTTTGAAGTTTTAAAAGAACACAAACCTTCAAGATTTTCAACCAGAAGGCAACTTTGGTAGAACTGTAGGTAGGCTTTATAAATAAAACAACAGCGTTACAACATAGATTTCCACAGCAATGGTGACTTTCATGCATGATGTTTTTAGTATTGGCTTTATGCTATTAATAGTACAAAAACATGTTTTATATGATTAATAATATAAAATAATATAAAACATGGTTTATATAATAATATAAAATATATAATATAAACCATATTTTTTATATATATATATATATTTCGAGGCAGAATCACACTCTGTCACTCAGGCTGGAGTGTAGTGGCACAGCCTTGGCTCACTGCAACCTCTGTCTCCCGGGTTCAAGCAATTCTCCTGCCTCAGCCTCCCGTGTAGCTGGGATTACAGATACATGCTACCAGGCCTGGCTAATTTTTTGTATTTTTAGTTGAGACGGGGTTTCATCATGTTAGCCACACTAGTCTCAAACTCCTGACCTCAAGTGATCCACACACCTCAGCTTCCTAAAGTGCTGGGATTACAGGCAGGAGCCACCATGCCTGGCTATTATTATTAATAATAATATAAAACAGATATGTAATATAATACACATTAATTATATTACATGTTAGTACAGACATGGGGAAAAGAGGCAAAACTCAAAATGTCTCTCTGTTGCTTCTTTTTGTCTTGTACATCATTTCTTATAATCCCGTTTCTGTAGGAATGAGGCATATCTTGGTAATTAAAAATATATTTGCTAGAAAGAATAGACTGAGAGGTCATCATTTGTTTGCTGGGGAGACTTTTTTATTTTCCTTTTAAAATTCACTATAGATTTTCACTAGGAATTAATAAGCTCACCAATACATTTAAAGGACAATTTAATTTATAAGCTCATTTAATTCCTCAGTGAAATGATCAGAGAGGACCCTAAGGTGTCCCTTCAAGTACCCACTATGTTGATGGATTCTAGCTTCCAGGAGCAATAGGCTTGGCATAGCTTTGCGTTGAATCTAGGCTTGACTGAAAAGAGTGCAGTGCTGGGCTAGTGGCGTCTGTACTGTGTAACCTAGGGCCTGGGTGTCTAAGGCACAGGCTGTGTATTTGAAATTCTAGTACTGGGGAATCAGTGATTCTCAATGGTTCTCAATTTAGGGCAGTCCCTAAGGGGCTTTAGAAATATATGAGGATATTTTTGTGTCACAGCAAATGGGGGTGATTTAGCATCACTATAAGAACCTGGGACATTCAACATCCTGCGGCAGAGCTCACAGCAAAGCCACTTCCCATTCAGAAGCCATTAGCGCCCCCATAGTGATCTGGGAGCTCTCCAGAGCCAGCCTCCTGAGCCCATGACCCTGATGAGGTCCATCTGTGTGTCTGCTAGATCCTATCCTGAGAATTTCTCGTTTTATGCCCAGAAGTGGATGGCTATCAGAGGGCAGTGTTCACTGGAAGGGCAGTAGGAAAGTCTACCTTTCCTGTGGACAGGAGGCTTGCACAGTCTCCCAACTAGATCTTTCTTTCTGGAATATGGGAAATAGAAAATAGCAGGAAGCAACATGTTGCTTTGCTTTTCCATGCACTGTTGTAATCTTTTTTTAAAATGCCTTTAGTTGCATTTCTATAGAAAAATTTTAAAATTAATTAAAATTTGGATGAAATGAAAGTGATTTTCAGCAGTCTCTAATTAGAACCAAGAAAAGTCTATCTTAACTTTTTCCAGTGGAAGTTACATGATACTCGGTTTATTAACGGTTTTGATACTTATCCAGTTGAAATAATGTGGGGCAAGAAAAGGGACATGTTAGGCCAGGCGCGGTGGCTCACACCTGCAATCCCAGCACTTTGGGAGGCCAAGGCAAGCAGATCCCTTGAGCCTAGGAGTTCAAGACCATCCTGGATAACATAGCGAAACCCCGTCTCCACAAAAGACAACCAAAAGCTAGCCAGGCGTGGTGGCACATGCCTGTAATCTCACCTACTCGCGAGGCTGAGTTGGGAGGATCACTTGAGTCTGGGAAGTTGAGGCTGCAGTGAGTCGAGATCGTGCCTCTACACTCCAGCCTGGGTGACAGAATGAGACCCTGTCTCAAAAAGAAAGGGAGGGGGGAGAAAAGAAAAGAAAGGGAAGGGGAAGGCAGGGGAGGGGAGGGGATGTGATTATGCTACTCAGGACCCTATTAATATTTTCTATTTCTCAGTTAGGGTTTGAGGCATGGGTTCAAGTCGTACCTTTTAGGCACCCTTGGAATTTGGTTTTGATAGCTTCTTGAGTGGTCTTTTGAAAAATAGGGCTCCACTTTCCTCTTTGGGGTTTAAATAATTAAAACCCTTTGGTTTTTGTCATCCTTGAAAATATTTTCAAAATATGTCCTACCAGCCATTAAAGTTGTATCACCATAATCCCACTAGGGCTAATTTGTTGACAGGGAAGCTGTTGTTATTGACCAAGCCTCCTCTCCCAAGGCCGCATGGCGGGGTGCACCATTCTCATTATACCCCTGTCTTCTAAATAGGAACATGATTAGAACAAGGACTTCTCTGCCTCCAGCTACTCTGATTCCTGGGGAGGCCAACTGGGAGACCTTTTTGAAGTCAGAGGGAGAGAGGTTTTGTTTTTTTGAAGCCGGCTATCTCAACAAAAGCCAATTCAACTGAAGTTTTAAGGTGGCTATCACTTAAAAATAAATGAAGAAAAACAAGGCTTCTATCCCTGAACACAAAGGGCAATATAAAACTTTGTGTGTGTGTATGCGTGCATGTGTGTGTGTGTAGTTTTGACTCATTACTAAAAATTACCACTTAGAGAAAAGAAAATGGAAATTGAAGCAGTCAAACATCAAATTCCTTTGAGTTTCTCCTGTGACTCAGCCTTTCAAAACTTTTCATTGGCCCTGGCCCCAGGCTGTCCAGCCACCCCTCTCTCTTTCTCCCACCCCATTCTGAGTCCTTCATAGGAGTCACTCAGATGCGCCCTTATGAATTTAAGCTATTGAGGAGGAGGCAAAAAGAGAGACCTTTATTCTCCATGAACTTTGGCCATTTCTCCAAAGAAACAGTTGTCTGGCATCTCAGTAATATCCTTGTAGTCAGTATCATGTGAGAATCTCCCAACCTCAGCACAGCGTTTGTTCTGTTTCTCCAGTGCTGCCAGAAACATTGGGGTAATTACCTTACCCATCATCCACCTAAATTATAGCAAGGAAACCATTGTTAACATTTGCTTCCAGTGAAAGCCTGTGCAGGGAGGCGGAGGACCTGTGTTCATCTAAACTGTAGCTAATTGAAGCGGCCACTTTAGGCACTGCTGGAAACACAATCAGATAGTTACAGCCATTGACAAATTCCGTGACAGGGTGGAGGAGAAGCGGCTGTGAGTTCATGCTTGTAGCTTGCCGATGGCCCTGTGGGGTTCACACTCCTAGTCTATACTTCTGTAAATGATTTCCATAATAGAAGCTTAGAATACTTTGTTAAATCAAACAAAAGTTAGAAACAGTTGCTGAGATTTCTGCCTAAAATACTTTCCTAGAGAAAGCTTGCTCGTCAGGTCTCCCTTGATTCCCCTAGATGAAATAAAACCTTCTGCCTTACCCTGTAGGATTTTACTTCTTAGCCAACCTATATATGTGACATATACGTGAGTCACATAGCTAGGTGTTACAATATATATACAACAAAACATTCTATTTAAATTATTTTAATGTATGTGATTTTAAATATATTACATATATATTTCATATTAAACAGTATGTTGAGTGAGCATGTCTTAGCTTTGCCTTGATAACTCTGTCATTTTTATGGGCATCAAATATTCAGCTTGACCTTAGAAGAGGATGATGCGTCCTAGGGTGTGTCCATGTGTGTGTGTGTGTGTGTGTGTGTGTGTGTCTGCACACTCTTATTCATTTGGCATCTGCCTCCCCTACTAGGAAACAGTTTCCAAGAAAGCAGGAACTTGGTCAGTTTTGCATGTCACTGTGACATAGGAATCAAGAACTGAAATTTGCAGTTCAATAAACACGTTGCATGAGTGAATAAAATGAGCGCACGACTACTAAATACTATATTTTGTTCTTTTTTGGTTTTCTTCCAGTTGCAGAATTAAGACAAATCTTTGAACCAAAGAAGAAAGAATTCTTAGAAATGAAAAGGTAAGATCTTTATAGTGGGAGTTAGGAAGTAGAAGAGAGCTTGGCAAAGCAGTATTCCATTTTCCTTTAGATTCGATCGCTGTTGCTCACTCTGCCTCTTGTGGTGTATTTCACAGAAAAGAAAGAATTGCCAGGCGCCTGGAAGGGATTGAAAATGACACTCAGCCCATCCTCTTGCAGAGCTGCACAGGATTGGTGACTCACCGCCTGCTGGAGGAAGACACCCCTCGATACATGAGAGCCAGCGACCCTGCCAGCCCCCACATCGGTGAGCGTGGAGCTGGGTGGCCCATTTTCCAGCAGGCTGCCTGGCTGGTTACGAGTTGCCCTTTCCACCCAGTGGTATCAGAACATGAGATATTCCACAGAAGTGAATTGTGTGGATATAATTTTTTTAGCACAAGGTTTCACTCTGTCACACAGGCTGGAATGCAGGAGTATGATCATAGCTCGCTGCAGCCTTAACTCCTGGGCTCAAGCTCAAGGGTTCTCCCGCCCCAGCCTCCTGAGTTGCTGGGACTACAGGCTTACACCACCACACCAGGCTAATTTTTTTTTTTAAACATTTTTGTAGAGACAGAGTCTCACTGTTGCCCAGGCTGGTCTCGAACTTCTGGCTTTTAGTGATCCTCCCACCTTGGCCTTCCAAAGTGCTGAAAATACAAGCGTGAGCCAGTGGACTTGGCCTAATTTTTTGTTAAATGTATTTGTTTTTTGTTTATTTTTATTTTTATTTTTTTTAGAGACAGAGTCTCACTCTGTCACCTAGGCTGGAGTGCAGTGGCCTGATAAGCTCACTGAAGCCTCAACCTCCCAAGGTCAAGTGATCCTCCCACCTCAGCCTCCCAAGTACCTGGGACTATGAGCGCGTGCCACCATGCCTGGCTATTAAATAGATTTGCTAAAAACAGCAACAACATGTATGTCATCTCTGCCCCGCCTCACGGATCTGGCCTTCCATGTCACAGCAGTATGAAATGATTCCCCTCGCACATTGTTGGGTAACGGAGGCCAGTCATTTTCCTCCCTAGACTGGGGCCCTCAAAGGCAGAAGCTGTGTCTTTCTTCACCCTCAGGGCCCAGCACAGGATCTGTGCTCTAAGATAGGGGCCTCTCAAGGTTCTACCCCAGTACAGGGAGCGGCTGCTCTCAGCAGGGAGCGCTAGAGTCAAAGCTGCACCTTGAATGAGTACGGTTCTTACTCTGGAGATGCAAGAAAACTTTCTATCTAAGTTATCTTAATGTAGATAATTTTAAATACGTTGCATATTTATTTCATATTAAACAGTATGTTGAGTGCACGTGACTCAGCTTTTCCCTAATCACTCAGTCATTGTTGTCATCAAATATTCAACTTGACCTTAGGAGAGGAGAATGCACGCAGGGCTGCTCTTCCCACCACAGTCCCTGGCTCTGAGGAGCTGTGCTGCTGCTTTTTATTTTTTTTATTTAATTGTATTTTATTTTTGGAGATGGAGTTTTGCTCTTGTCGCCCAGGCTGGAGTGCGATGGCAAGATCTTGGCTCACTGCAGCCTCCACCTCCCAGGTTTAAGCGATTCTCCTGCCTCAGCCTCTGGAGTAGCTGGGATTACAGGTGCCCGCCACCATACCGGGCTAATTTTTTTGTATTTTTAGTACAGATGAGGTTTCACCATGTTGGCGAGGCTGGTCTCGAACTCCTGACCTCAGGTGATCCGCCTGCCTCGGCCACCCAAAGTGCTGTGATTACAAGCGTGAGCCACTGTGCCCGGCCATGCTGCTGCTTTTTATAGCCAGTGTTTTCTAGTTTCTAGCTCAGAGACAGCTGTTGATCTCATTTTATGATGTTATCAGTTTGCTTGTCTCTACAGTTTCCAATTTCCTGTGGCCAGAAAGCTAGAAAACTAAGATATTTTAAAATCACATGCAATTATTGAAAAAAAAAAAAAAAAGGCTGGGCTTGGTGGCTCAACACCAGTAATTCCAGCACTTTGGGAGGCTGAGGCAGGAGAATAGCTGGAGCTCAGGAGTGCAAGATTAGCCTGGACAACACGGCCAGACTCCACCTCTTAAAAAGTAATTACACGCTTGAAATATCAATACACAGATCAGAGTCCCAAAATTTATAGCCAGAAATAAACCGTAGTGTACCCGAAATGGTAATCTGTGTAGTATATGTGAAGTTTAAGCTTCACATAGTAGTGAGAAAAGGAGGAATTATTTAATAAAATCATAATGAAAAAAATGGGTTTGCCAGAGGGTGGGAAGAGGCATATCTCTCTTCTCAATTCATACCAAACTCCAAAATTAGTTCCAGTTACTCACCTGTTTAGTTTAAAGAAAATAATGGAAAAGATACATGAATATTTAATTCAGGTGGAATGAAAAAGGCCGTATGGGAAGGGTTAAGGTAATAATGGAATGCCTGTTAGATAGACTGTTAGGACCCTTAAATGATATCTTCAAAATAGATTTCCAAATATGGGAATTTTTTTTTTTTTTTTTTTTGAGACAGAGTCTCACTTTGTTGCCCAGGCTGGAGGGCAGTGGCATGATCTCGGCTCACTGCAACCTCTGCCTCCCGGGTTCAAGTGATTCTCCTGCCTCAGCCTCCTGAGTAGCTGGAATTACAAGCACGCACCACCATGCCTGGCTAATTTTTGCATTTTTAGTAGAGACGGGGTTACACCGTGTTGGTCAGGCTGGTCTCGAACTCCTGACCTCGTGATCTGCCTGCTTCGTGATCCGCCTGCCTCAGCCTCCCAAAGTGCTAGGATTACAGTTGTGAGCCAGCTGGGAAAACATTTTTATAGAATACGGAAAATATTTTTATAGAACATTAATAACTAACTATTTTATAAAGAAAAAATTATATTAACTAGAAGGAATATATAAAAATGTTATTAGTTTGTAGGGTGATGATTGATAGGTTTTTTTTTTTGTTTTGTTTTTTGAGACAAGGTCTTGCTCTCTTGCTCAGGTTAGAGTTCAGTGGCATGATCGATCATAGCTTACTGCAGCCTTGAACTCCTGGGCTGAAGCTATCTGCCCACCTCAGCCTCCTGAGTAGCTGGCACCATGGACATGTGCCATCATGCCCAGCTAATTTTTAAAATAATTTTTGTAGAGGCAGGGTCTCACTATGTTACCCAGGCTGGTCTCGAACTCCTGGCCTCCAGCCACCCTCCCACCTCAGTTTCCCAAAGCGCTGGGATTACAGGTGTGAGCCACTATGCCAGGCTCATATTAGATATTTCCTACACCAGGCATGTGTGTTATAACTGGGGAAAAAAAACACTTCTGTAAAAAAGAAAAGCCTGGTGAATAATGATATGGGCCATATCGTTATGGTTACTCTCAGATCCCCGGAAACCAGCATCCATCACTTGTCCAATGACGGCAGCTCACTTGTCTGCTGTCTTTCCCAGAGGACCCAACTCATCCTATGGCCTCCCACGTGAAATACTGAACTCCACAAAAAAGGGTAAATCAGTAAGGGGAAATAAGCACTGAACAAAGACTGAGGCGCTCTGGGGAGTGAAGGGGCTGAGCTGAAGTTAAAGCCACGCCTTACGGGGCTTGCAGAACGTGCACCATTCACAGCCTTTGTAGATTTCACTGCCGATCTCAGACTTCTTCAACAGCCCAGGTAAATAATCAGTTTAGGCAAACACACCTCGGTGAGAAACTGGTCCTTCACAGCATGGGCACCCAGGTGTGTGCTGTGTGCAGTAGAGTGTCATTCTGTGTGTAAATACATGTCTTTACTTGAAATCTGCACCTCTCATCCATGTGACCTTCTTGTAGGCCGATCAAATGAAGAGGAGGAAACTTCTGATTCTTCTCTAGAAAAGCAAACTCGATCCAAATACTGCACAGAAACCTCCGGTGTCCACGGTGACTCACCCTATGGTTCGGGTACCATGGACACCCACAGTCTGGAGTCCAAAGCCGAAAGAATTGCAAGGTACAAAGCAGAAAGAAGGCGACAGCTGGCAGAGAAGTATGGGCTGACTCTGGATCCCGAGGCCGACTCCGAGTATTTATCCCGCTATACCAAGTCCAGGAAGGAGCCTGATGCTGTCGAGAAGCGGGGAGGAAAAAGTGACAAACAGGAAGAGTCAAGCAGAGATGCTAGTTCTCTGTACCCCGGGACCGAGACGATGGGGCTCAGGACCTGTGCCGGTGAATCCAAGGACTATGCCCTCCATGTGGGTGACGGCTCTTCCGACCCGGAGGTGCTGCTGAACATAGAAAACCAAAGACGAGGTCAAGAGCTGAGTGCCACCCGGCAGGCCCATGACCTGTCCCCAGCAGCCGAGAGTTCCTCGACCTTCTCTTTCTCTGGGCGAGACTCCTCCTTCACTGAAGTGCCACGGTCCCCCAAGCACGCCCACAGCTCCTCCCTGCAGCAGGCAGCCTCCCGGAGCCCCTCCTTTGGTGACCCACAGCTATCCCCTGAGGCCCGACCCAGGTAAGCATCCAGTCCACGCTAAGCACCCTGAACGCAGGACAATACCTTCTTTTTGCCTCTCTGTGTGATAGGGTTTGGCTATTCTAAGCATTATGTGGAAGTCAAGGCTTATTGGAGAAATATCATAGTATATGATTCTTTTTTTTTTTTTTCTGAAGACAGGGTCCCACTCTGTTGCCCAGGCTGGAGGGCAGTGGCACTATCATAGCTCACTGCAGCCTGGAACTCCTGGGCTCAAGCAATCCTCCTGCCTCAGCCTCATAAGTAGCTGGAACCACAGGCACATGCCACCACGCCCGGCTAATTTTTACATTTTTTTTTTTGTAGAGACAGGGTCTCCCTCCATTGCCCAGGCTGATCACAAATTCCTGGCCACAAGAGATTCTCTTGTTTGACCTCCCAGTGCACTGGGATTACAGGCATGAGCCACCGTACCTGGCCTAAGATTCTTACATTTCAGCCATATCAAAACAGGTTCTACCAAAGCAGGAAGCCTCATGTTCTTTTTCTTTGTGCGTTTCTTATGTTTTTTTTTTTCTTTTTCTTTTCTTCGTAATTCTTTTTTTTTTTTTTTTTTATACTTTAAGTTTTAGGGTACATGTGCACAATGTGCAGGTTAGTTACATATGTATACATGTGCCATGCTGGTGCGTTGCACCCACTAACTCGTCATCTAGCATTAGGTATATCTCCCAATGCTATCCCTCCCCCCTCCCCCCACCCCACAACAGTCCCCAGAGTGTGATGTTCCCCTTCCTGTGTCCATGTGTTCTCATTGTTCAATTCCCACCTATGAGTGAGAATATGCGGTGTTTGGTTTTTTGTTTTTGCGATAGTTTACTGAGAATGATGGTTTCCAGCTTCATCCATGTCCCTGCAAAGGACATGAACTCATCCTTTTTTATGGCTGCATAGTATTCCATGGTGTATATGTGCCACATTTTCTTAATCCAGTCTATCATTGTTGGACATTTGGGTTGGTTCCAAGTCTTTGCTATTGTGAATAGTGCCACAATAAACATACGTGTGCATGTGTCTTTATAGCAGAATGATTTATAGTCCTTTGGGTATATACCCAGTAATGGGATGGCTGGGTCAAATGGTATTTCTAGTTCTAGATCCCTGAGGTTTCGCCACACTGACTTCCACAATGGTTGAACTAGTTTACAGTCCCACCAACAGTGTAAAAGTGTTCCTATTTCTCCACATCCTCTCCAGCACCTGTTGTTTCCTGACTTTTTAATGACTGCCATTCTAACTGGTGTGAGATGGTATCTCATTGTGGTTTTGATTTGCATTTCTCTGATGGCCAGTGATGGTGAGCATTTTTTCATGTGTTTTTTGGCTGCATAAATGTCTTCTTTTGAGAAGTGTCTGTTCATGTCCTTCACCCACTTTTTGATGGGGTTGTTTGTTTGTTTTTTTTTTTGTAAATTTGTTTGAGTTCATTGTAGATTCTGGATATTAGCCCTTTGTCAGATGAGTAGGTTGTGAAAATTTTCTCCCATTTTGTGGGTTGCCTGTTCACTCTGATGGTAGTTTCTTTTGCTGTGCAGAAGCTCTTTAGTTTAATTAGATCCCATTTGTCAATTTTGGCTTTTGTTGCCATTGCTTTTGGTGTTTTAGACATGAAGTCCTTGCCCATGCCTATGTCTTATGTTCGTTTTAAAAACAAACTGAACAGGTGTCATGGGGACACTTTCATGGACTCCTCACTTCAGGACCCTCTTACTGGGTTTCTCACACCCCTTTCATAGTTTATCTTTTCGCCGCTTTTCTGTAATCATATCAGAGACTGATGATTGTTGGTGACTGCTTTTGTTGCTGTGATTAGAATCACAGAGCAGAAGAAGCACCACTAACCAGTGGAAGCATCTCAGTGCAGAGCACAGAAGTATGACTGCAATATACACGAAATAGAACTAGAATGCCTAGTTCTGTAAGTATATCACACACTAGGACACAGGTATGTGTGAGAACCCCGCATTATGAAGATCAGCCATTAGAAAACCACTGTGTAAAAGGATCCACTCAAGATAAGAGCAGCTGCCATTTGGAGAAATTGAAAAAGGTATGAAATCAGAAAGTCAGATCACAGAAGAGAATATATGTTTACTTCCAAATTTAAATTTTAAAAGTGTGATGGCTATATTAAAAGTGCAATTTACTTAACTGTCCTGCTTAAAGCTTTGGGGTAATTGTCTAGGTGGATCTTAAGTGTATTTCTCAGTTCAAACAAGCAATAGTTTCCCAGGTGAATTGAGAAGGGATCAGAACCTAAGGTCAGGGAGATTCATTCTGAAAAAAAAGATTCATATGTGGGAAACACCCCTATTTTTTTCCCACTGGGACACAGGGGTGCACACCTGGTCATCTCTAAGTGGCAGTAACACATATGAAGCAGACCCTTGTGGTACTGAAATGTATTAACCCAAAGACCTGTCACCACATACTCGAGCATCCAGACTGAAATACTTAGAGAGATCAGCTTCCAACAGAATTAAAAGGTAGATCCCAAGGATCCATTTTGAGCACCTTTTTTCAGCCTTTAGTTTTAACTGGAAATGTAGGGACTGTGAGTTACTGTCTCATATTTTGAAATGAAGGTCTTTTGTTTGAGGAATTTGCATTTCATCGTAGAAACCACGTTCTTGGTTTAGTTACTTTCTACCAAAGGAAGTTCTTCCTGTGTTTTGCAAGTAGGATGAAGAACCTAACAGACTCCAATTTAAAAAGAATATCAGAGATATATAATTACACTGGTTTAAAAGAAATGGGGAATCTAATTTCAGATTGCCACATGATGAGAGCTGTTGAAGTCGTTATCACGGTATCTGAGTTAGTCACCTAGATCACATATAATAGATTCTCAAATAGATTTTAAATCAGTTATAATAGTAATTAAGACTTTGTTGAGCATCCCAAGTAAAGACAGGATACTTCATATTTCGTATGAGTTAAAATCTTAATATTAAAAAAATGTATATAACTTGTCTTAAGACCTAGAAAAAAGCATTGTTGACATATTTAGGCCTGTAATAAAATAAAGCCACTTCTTTGTAGGTTATTTTGAAGATGCATGTTACCTAGAAGTTTTCATAAGCCAAGCCTTAGCCTCACAGCACTTTACTTTCATGAAAAAGATTTAAAAGAATTAAGAAATTGTAAGGACTTCTAGAGAGGTGCATGCCTTATTTTCTAAGCCATTAAAGGTATACAATTCTATGATTCACAGGCAAAGAAACCCAAAGTAGTTTATATATTTATTAGGAAAATACCTGGGACATATTTACATAAAGAGGGATGGAAAATGTGTGACAAATTTGACATTTAAAAAAATTAAGATTTACATTGTAATGACAGCAGTGATTCAGGTTGTAAAGATTGATTTACAGTGGATTAAAATTCTGCTTAGATAGTCTTTATCTAGAACCAGGAAATTCAACTTTCAGAAAGTCATTTTCTGATTCCTATTTAGGGAGAAGTAAGATGAACCAAAAAAAATATGTGGTAACCCAAAACAGTAACAAAAGAAACCTCCTTGGTGACCTAAATAACTGTATATGAAAATAATAATGTCATCTGATATGGAAACATGTAACCGAAAACTTTAAAATCAACAAGTGAAGACAAATAGTACCCATGAATAATGTTTAATGCTGTGGTTTTTTGTGGATTTTTTTCTGTCACTAAAATGGAATATTTTTCTCACTGCTGCACTCTCTTGTCATCTAGCTCTGCCAAATTTTTGGCTATTAAATCTCTGAATCAACTCATTCCCATTTAATCATTTTGTTCTGTGCTCGCTAGCAAGAGGCTGTCTTATTATTTAAATACGAATACGATGACACTCATGAATATACCATCAAAAGACCACCAATAGTGTCCTAAATATTCAAATGTGAGCACCATCTCCAATGCTCAGTTTTTGAATGTGCTCACGTACATTAACACCTGTACACATCTGTGTATATATACAGAATAATCATTAATTCTTATACTTCACTATACTGTACTCATTAGCATTATAGGCAAAATAACAGTCTTTAGGACAATATTTACCTGAATAATACATTTATTTTACAATTCTTTAGTATTCAGTTTATATGATAAAGAAGATTTTTTAAAAAATAGTTAATTGATTAGTTGATATTACAGGATTTTTAACTCAGAAATCCTGTTAGATGCCCAGGAATTCAGTTGGACACATTGCTCTGAAGAAAACTAAGAATACACATAGTAACGAAATAGGTGAAGTAGAAAACAATAAGATACTTCCAGCCCCACCTCTCTAACTGTTACAAACCTGTAAACTTGAAATTTCAGAAATGGTATTATTTGCTGGAGAGGTAGTGTTACTGATTATGAACCATTCTTTATTAATTCCACCACTGTGAGTTTTAGAATAAAATTAAAAGGGATTTAGGTCCTATGGATTATTCAGATTTTTAAACACCTGAGCTTGAGCTTCTACTACTAGAAATTCCGAATCCAAAGCTCTTGTTGAATTTGTTACTTTATGCATCTCACGTATCTATATAAAGAAAATGTGCTGTATTTTTTACTTTTATGAGTGGAGAAACTCACTGTCTTCAGTCCTGCTGTTGCCTTTGCTGAGCATCCGGCCATCACTCTCTGTTCTCAGGGAACTATGTGACTGGCAAAGGGAATGAAATGAAAGGTAGACCTCATTTTCTTTCTTTCTTTTTTCTTTTTCTTTTTTTTTTTTTTTTTTTTTTTTTTGAGACAGAGTCTCACTCTGACTCCAAGCTGGAGTGCAGTGGTGCAATCTTGGCTCACTGCAACCTCCACCTCCTGGGTTCAAGCGATTCTCCTGCCTCAGCCTCCCAAGTAGCTGGGACTACAGGCATGCGCCACCACACCCAACTAATTTTTGTATTTTTAGTAGAGACGGAGTTTCACCATGTTGGCCAGGATGGTCTTGATCCCTTGACCTCATGATACGCCCACCTCGGCGTCCTAAAATGCTGGGATTACAGGCGTGAGCCACCACGCCCGGCTGGTAGACCTCATTTTCTAGTGGTGATCCACTCTAGAAAACCCTCGTTTATTAGTTTTGTTTGTCATTACTGTACTGCAGCCCCTCACCACTCTTTTCTCTTTAGCAAATTGTGTCCTTAGTAGTGAGAACATGATATGGAGGTTTCATGCAGAGCTGAGGCTGACATTGGACCCCTGGGAGAGTTGCCATTGGTGGATGATGGTTTGGGCAGGGCTCCCCATGGATGCCAGAGAGCCGCCGATCGGCTCAGGAAATAGACCAGGGCACCCTCTGGAATGCAGCTTCTGTAACAACTTGACACGGTGCAGCCTCAGCCACTAAGAAAGGAAGGGGCTTGTGCTGGGCACTTGGAGTTTATTTCTGATTGCATTTGCTCATCTCCTGATGAGAGATTTTAGTCTAAAAACCGTCTCCAGAGCCTCAAGCTCTCTTGGCTCAGTGGTCTGTTTCCATGCACTGAGAGAGGTGTCTGCAGGAGAGCATCGTGCTTGACCTTCCACGCTCTCGTGTCCACTAGCAGGCAGGTTTTCTGACACAGGCTGCGGAATTCAGGACAGTGCATCATGGAGAAACATACATCTTGGGGGCCATTCTAAAGAACAGACATCTGGGTCCTCCTCACAGCTTATTCTATTACTGGAATGGAATTGGCTTCACCTTTCAGTCCCTGTACCCCCAAACACCTGTGCTCCCTGCCATACTCTAGAATCCCAACTGTTAAAATAGATGGGTAAGTCATTCCCTCTTTTTTTTCATTTCATCCTGTTCTTATTGTCAAGTGACAATTCTTATTCTTTTTTTTTTTTTTTTTTTTTTTTTAGAAAAGGTCTCACTCTGTTGCCCAGGCTGGAGTGCAGCAGTAGCACAATCTCACTGCAGCCTTGACTTCCTGGGCTCGAGCGTTCCTCCTGCCTCAGCCTTCTGAGTAGTTGGGACTTAACAGATGCACGCCACTATGCCTGGCTAATTTTTGAATTTTTTGGAAGAGATGGGGTTTCACAATGTTGCCCAGGCTGGTCTGGAACTCCTGGTGTTAAGCGATCCACCCGTCTTGGCCTCCCAAAGTGCTGGGACTACACGTGTGAGCCACCGGGCCTGGCAGACTATTCCTATTCATTGGACTAAATGTAAATATATCTCCCCAAACCCTAGCTACTATGTACACTAGCTAAAAACTCAAAGGTGTGTGAGATTTTAAATGCAAAATTTTTCCTTGAGCCTGTGTCCTTGCAGATTTTGTACCTGTACCTATCTGCAGAACGGTCATTAGCAGTTTTTCCAAACAAGCGACTTTTAGCAAATTAACCGTTAATTTTAATGAGATTCAAAAGTTAATAGCCATTCTTAACGTTTTATAATTAGAAGCTGTTATATAATTAGAGCTGGACACCCACATGGAGAAACTAATTTGACTGTGCTGCATTTGACTTCACTTTGGTAACAGGAAGCACTTTTTAGTCTGTAGACCCTTGGGAGTTGTAGGGAGTTAAAGCTGATCATTATATACTATTATATACTTAGGGATACAACCCAAGGGCAACCCCTGGCCTTTATGAAAACCTGGAGTGAGTTATTATTTCCTGGTAATACAATTCTCTGCCAGCCAGTTGCTGCATCAAAACAGTTCTGATACACACACCTAAAGTCACCACTTCCTCATTCTGGTCCCCAATAACCCTATAAGCCTCTCCCCTTGTAGGTGACCTCTGCCCTGTGAAGGGTTGGCTCACCCCAAGATTCCATAAAATAAGTTGTCTGTTTGTTTATGAGAACAAGGCTTTTTAAGTACCATATGTAATACATGCATATAAATGCATGTATTTAGATCAGATTTCTGGAGGAGGGATTGTAAGTTTGATGACTAAAGGAGGCAGGGGAGAGGGGAGAGATGGAGGAGGAAGAGAGGTAAGAAGGAGGGGGAGAGAGTGCGAGAGAACAGGATCATGTAGGCAAGAGAGCACGTGTACCCGGAACAATGGTTAGAAACTAACAAGGTGAAATTTAATGAAGTCTTGAATTTAGATGGAAAAAAAATCAGTGCACAAGTTCAAGATTGTGGAAACCTGATTTAACAGCAGTTCGTGGGAAACAGACCTAAGGGTTTTAGTTGACAGCAAGTTCTTTATATGACTGCCAAAGTGATTAGTCCAATCTTGGGGGACATTAATGAAAGTGAGTTGCCAATAGCATAGGTAGGCAATGGTCCCCCTGCGTCCTGCAGTGGTCAGATTACATCTGGATATCTCTTTCTAATAGGGCCACTGACAAATGTGTCCAGAGAAGAGTCCACCTTCCCATCTGCCCTGCTTTCTTGACCTTTCCAGGTTGTTTTGTTGTGTTTTGGTAACTTCTCTCTCTCTTAACCCATGTATGCCCGAGGTTGCAATTTTTTGAATTTTTGCAATCAGACCTTGGTGCTGTCCTTGAGCAGTAGAATATAAATAACTCCCACTTGCTTAGCATTCCAATAATGGAACACTAGGCATAAATGGGCTAATAGAAACTGGGACCATTTTTGGAGTCACTTCCACTTTCTGTGGTGTTTAGACTCTCGCACCAGTCTGCTCTCATTATCATATCGTGAGTTTCCCAGAGACAGAGCTGGAGCTTGGCTCAGCTTGGCAAACAGAGCCCTGATGTTATTAGTTTGGCTTCTGGGTTGCTGATGATTGTACTGGAAGGGAAAAGAGGAGAAACAGGTCATGAGCCAAATGAGGAGTCCCACAGATGCCACTTCACAGGCACCCTATGTCATAGGAAGGATATTCAAATGTCCAGCACCTAACGGGTACAAAAAGTAGTTAGAAAAAATGAATAAGACCTGCTTTGTGTTAGCACAACAGGGCGACTATAGTCTAATAATCGTGCATTTTAAAATAACTAAAAGTATAATCAATTGTTTGTGACACAAAGAATAAATACTTAAGGGGATGGATACCCCATTCTCCATGACATGATTATTACGCATTGCATGCCTGTATCAAAACATCTCAGATACCCCATAAATACGTACACTTGCTATGTACCCACAGAAATTAAAAATTTAAAAAAAAAAGACAACAAATGGCAAGCACCCTAGATCATGGCTGTCATACCCAGAAGAGGATTTTAGCAATTTCGTAAGGATTTTTTCCAGACACGGCACTGTGAATTTGGTGTTAAGCTCTTCTGTAAGTCTGGTAAGGATGATTGCAGCGATAGCATTACTTTAGTAGAAGCTTTAAGAGATGAGTAGATACCTTGCTCTAGTCATTTTCATATCTCCTTCACTGCAACTGGAATATCCAACAATTTCAAGTGACCTAGAAAATCATTTTTGAATGAATGTTCTGCTATTTTCTGTGTTTGCTTAAAGTGTCACCAAACTATAGCAGTGCTGTTTGAAATAGCCAATCTGCAAACTGTTTATCAGCACACAACTATGAGACACTCGCACCCAAATGCAAATTGTGTTTGGTTTCCTTCATTGAGAAAATCAAGCTGTGAAGAAAACGTCAGCTGAACTACACAGCAGGCTTAGCGATGTTGTTAATTTCCCTTCTGGTGACAGCCTTTTGTCTAATCATGCAGAGGGACACCAATCAGTGGAACGCACTGTGAGCAGCACTTGTTTATACGACAAAGCTCTTTCTGCTTTGTCTGGGATTGGGGTTCTTGTATGTGGTCTTGAGTCAGGCTGCTCATAAATATCATTAAACAGTAAATGGGAATCGTGATAAGTGAGCAGAAAATCATCGGCCACTTGTGGAGCGTCGTGAACTGAGTCCACAGCCCCGCGAATGGCTGATTCTAGTCTAGTCTCATGATGAAAGCTGTCAAGTCCCCGATTACCTTATTCTAGGAGTGATGGTTCCAATCAGGAGATGAGGGGATGCCAATCCAGCCTCGCACCTTCCTCAGATTCCAGCATTTTCTGACAATTGTGCTTTCTGCACATACCTCCTCCCTCCCTCCTTTCTGGGCTGCGGTTACAGCATTCAGGCCTTCACTGAGATTAGCTCAAAGGGAGACTGGAAGAAATTGGTTATCTCACATGTTTATCCTGCTTCTGCCCCCAGAAAATGCTACATTTTCAGTACTCAAGAAGTCCTTACTCTGTAACCCAACGATGACATATTTTTTAAATGAGGTATAATTTACATCAAATACACAGATTTTAAGGATGCAGCTTGGTGAGTTTGGGTAAATGTATAATCATCATCCCAGTCAGGATAGGAAACATTTCCATCATCCCTTGTGCCTCTGTCCACCAGAATTGATTCTTGACCGCATGTGCAAAGACTGGTATAGCCTCACAGTAAGTATCCTGTGTTCAACTCATTATGTTGTATAAAGCAAATCTCCCACTGTTAATTTCTTAACCAAACCTTATTTATCAAAAATAATTAAGCGTAACATTTAGGAAGACTTCATGAAATAATGTCACACAAGATTAAAAGACATGAAGAGAAAATAAAAGAGGAAAATAACCACCATAATTCAGATGTGATCTCTCTTTTTGTTCATGTTTTTTAAAAAATCTCACCTGCTATTTTACTGTCTCTCCAAAACAATGCCCTGTGGGCCCCTGAAGTAAATTTTGTACTTTGATGGAATGAAATATTTTAAAATCTCAGTTGAGCATCGCTTTGCCAACCCCTCAGTATTATGATCAGGCTGCGCTGCTCCAAGGTGGAAAGCTCAGTCCACAACCTTCCACTGCCTGACTCCTTTGATTTGATATTGTTCATTGGAGAAACAAAGGAAGAAGGTAGTTAGGTTCTGCAGAATTCATAGGTAATCGGGTAACTCTTCTGACGGTGGAAACGGCACTAGAGAGAGATCCACATCCAGTCAGGGTTGTGGCTGTGACCAGGAAGTTCTTGGTGTCTTCCTTGCTTAACCTTAGAGTCCATGAACACTGGCATCCCAACCTCATTCTTACCCATTCAAGCCAAGGAAGCAGCCATTTTCCAGAATGTGGAAGCTTGTCACTCTGGAAGGCTGGAAGGAAGGTGCATGCTGGGGGGTCCTGCTGCACTGGGTCCAAGCCCCATCCTTCTGTTACCAGTCGTGTGATCGTGAGCAGTTAATGTCCTTTTTCCCTTGCACCTCACCATCTGCATCTATAAAATGGAGACGAGAAGACCTCTTAGAGTTGCTGTGGAGATTATCATTCATCAGTTAATCATTCCATGAGCATCTGAGACCTACTGTTCACCACACATAGTTCCGAGTGCCGAGGAGATGAATGTGAACGAAGTCTCTCTCTCTCCAGAGGCTGTCACATCCTAGCGAAGAGAGAGGGCTGTAGCAGAAGGGGCAGGTGGTAGGGATGATGTTAGTGAGACCACAGATCGGGGAGGGCCTTAGAACCACCGCAAGGGCTTTGGGGTTTGCCCTACTTGATATGTTGAGCCCTAGGAGGGTTTGAACAAGAGGAATGACTCATCTGCCTTACATTTCAAAGCATTATGCTGGCTGCTAAGCGGAAGATAGACTTTAGTGGGGCCAGGATGAAAACAGGTAGAATAATGAGGAGGTCATCTTGGTAACGCACGTGAGAGGCGGTGGTGGCTTGAACTAGAATGATGGCAGCACAGGTGGTAGAAAGAGGTTATATTTTGAAGGTACCCAAGAGAACTTGCTGATGAGGTAGGGGTGGGGTTTGAAAGAAACAGAGGAGTAAAAAGCGAGTCTCAATTTTTTGGCCAAGGCAACTCGAAGCAGGGATTTGGCATAGGGAAGACTCCAGTACAAGTTGGGACAGAGGGAAGTTAAGAGTTCATTTTCTGGGCATGTAAATTTAAGACGTCTATTAAATATCCAAGTTGAAATGTCAAGAGCACCCTGGGGCTGTGTATCGTGGGGGTGAGGAGGAGAACTCAGCTAAGAAGTCTGATGGGGGAGATGGGAGACAGAAGAGGGGAGTGTCGAAAGTGTAGATGCTGCTGCACAACTCAGAAGTGGCTGCATTCTGTGAGATCATTGCTACACAGCGCCCAGGACAGCGTGTTCACTGTTGGTGTCTGATTTAGGCGTCTCCTCATCCCTCTCTCATTTTCATTTCAGATGGCAGATAACCTCACCCAAATACATGTCATAGCCAACCTCAGGGATCCTGAAACCCTTACTTGGAGAAATGCTTTTCTAGATCACTCCTGCTTTAAATGTACTAAAGACAAAGTCAGGCCCTCCTGGTGAGGCTGGACTCACCCTGCTGAAAATCGCATGACTTCTGAATTGGGTCTCCATAAGTATTATGTCTTCAAAGCATAAAAAGAGAAATTCATAAACTTTCATTGCTGTGTTGACTGTGAAGAAGGAAAAAGATAAGAAAAGCATTTAAAAGGCTTATTATGTCCTAGGCATGATGCCTTCACATACTTTGTTTGTTTATTTATTTATTTATTTATTTATTTATTTATTAGAGGCCGAGTCTCACTCTGTCTCCCAGGCTGGAGTGCAGTGGTGCAATCATAGCTCACTGCAGCCTCAAACTCCTGGGCTCAAAGGATCCTACTGCCTCAGCCTCCTGAGTAGCTAGGTCTACAGACACATGCCACCATGCTTCACTAACTTTTTAATTTTTTAAATACAGACAGAGTCTTGCTATGTTGCTCAGGCTGGCTCGAACTCCTGGCCTCAAGGGATCCTCCTGCCTCAGCCTCCAAAAGGGCTGGGATTACAAGAGGCGTGAGCCACCACACCTGGCCTCTTTGTTTCTTATTACATACATTTGTATTTATTTTACAGATGTTCCTCAACTTAGAATGGGGTCGCATCCCAATAAATCCATCATAAGTTGAAAATATTGCAAGTCAGAAAAACAAAGGAAACATTAAGTCAAAAATTCACTTAATACACCCAACCTACCTTAGATATGCTCAGAACACTCACATTAGCTTGGATTTGGACAAAACCATCTGGCCATGCAGCACACTATGGAGATGGGTCGTTCCCCTCATGGTTGTATGGCTGGTGGCGATCTGGGAGCGGCGGCTCACTGCCTCTGCGAGCATCGCAGGGGAGCATCGCACCACACACCACCGGCCCAGGAGAAGAACAGAATTCACAATTCCAAGCACAGGCTCTCCTGAATGCCTATCACTTCCACAACATCTTAAAGTCAATAAATCTTACATTGAACCATTTTAAGTCGGAGACTGTCTATATACTCAGACTTTGAGTATTCACCACCCTGGTGGTAGTCCTTTGGTTTTTGGCTGGTTTCATATTTCAGGTGTAATAAGCAAATGGAGCCCAGTAAGTCCCCTGTGTCTGTGTGGGATTTCCATTTTATAAATGCTGAGCCAACATTCTTACACAAGCCCTTGATGGAGTTTGACGGTGATATTGATCAAATTTTATTCTTGTCAGTTAAGGTCATGTTCGAAAAGTTGTATTGCACTTCTTTTACAAAGCCCTCTGTTATACAGAAAGCATTCAGCCTAAACATAACCCTGTGAAGGCGGCAGATTCGTTATAGGAACTTGATGTCATTTCCAACAGCAGGCGTCTGCTGGCCCCTCTTGCCCTCTGCACACTGGACTGAGTTGCACTGCCTTCGTTCCTGGCTGCAGGCGATGCGCCAAACTCTTCCCATCAAATAAAAGTTGATGAATTGGACCCTTTATATTTGGAAATGAAATGACTTTACATACATCTTAACTTTTTATTTGCTGTGGGCAAAATTGATGTGATGCAGAGGATGGGGAGGTGGGGTGATAGTTTTAGGAGTAGCAAGGCTGAAGGATCTTACTGGAGAAACAGATCAGTCCAAGCCTAGACCGAGATAGAGGTCAGTGGTTACAGCAAGACGTACAATAGCGGTGCCAGGTACCTGCCTGTCCCCTCCAACCAAAACTCAAACCAAAATGATTTTAGAAAATTAAGTTGATTATAACTTTTATTTTCTTTTAGAAATTTCTTTTTGAGCTGCAATGTGTTTCCAGCCTGGTGTTGAAAAATTCTTGCAGATAGGCTCATAAAGTTTTGAGCTGGTAAACATTGTAACTAGCCTGTAGAATTTCCTTTTTTTCTTTCTACATTGTAAGAGGAGACAGGGCAGTAATCTGAGTGTTCCTCCTTTGACTTGCTTTATGTTGTTAAAACAAGGTTGTCCTTACCCATGATGTTTCTCTAAAATACCTTCAGCCTGGTATAATTACTCGTTCATATTCTGCTTGGCATCATACTCAGTCGTGTGTTGAGGAATGAATGTGTGGACTATATATTACCTAGCCTACCTGCGGTTTAAGGTTTTTAATGGCTATGTTGATTTATGATTCATTTTCGTCGTTCCTTAGCTCATTACTTGCACTTACTAGGAGCTCAATAAATATCAGCAGAATGGACCTGAATTAGTACTTGTAACTCTTGTGTTGGTCACATTATTCAGTGATAATTTTAAAAGGAAAATGTGTAATAGCAACTAAAAATGTGATCCCATTGACTTATTTTATTTTATTTTTATTTATTTTAATTATCTTCTTTATTTGAAATGTGTTGTTTTACATAGATGCTATTTTTATATTAGGCTATTTACCAACGTGCCACTGCAAAACTTATGGAAATTAAATTACCTTTTACTTTTAGTCAGCTGCTTACAAGAGAATTGCCTGGTATTTGTGGGCAGAGTGTGACTATAATAGACTCCGTTCTTTTTTTTTTTTTTTTTTTTGTGACAGAGTCGTGCTGTTATCGCCCGGGCTGGAGTGCAGTGGCATGATCTCGGCTCACTGCAACCTCCACCTCCCAGGTTCCAGCAACTCTCCTGCCTCAGCTTCCCGAGTAGCTGGAATTACTGGTGCCCACTACCACACCCGGCTAATTTTTTGTATTTTTAGTAGAGATGGGGTTTCACCATGTTGGCCAGGCTGGTCTTGGACTCCTAACCTCAGGTGATCCACCCACCCCGGCCTCCCAAAGTGCTGGGATTACAGGCGTGAGCCACTGCACCCGGCCAACAGACTCCTTTCTAATAATTTAAAATTACTTGGGAAAACACATGATTTGATGGCCTTAGATACATTTATTTTTACCTCTTGATTTTAGTAGTGAGCCACATGTCCTGGAAACTCCATGAAGTGAATATGAACTCTATAGCAAAATGTGCTTATACATTTTCAAAAGACAGAATTATTCTTTTTTTCCCTATAATATTCCTGTTTGTTTATTTTTTTAAGTTTTAATTTAGGTTCAGGGGTACATGTGCAGATTTGTTATGTAGGTAAATTGTCACAAGGCTTTGGTGTATTAAATATTTTGTCACCCAGGTAATAAGCACAGCAGCCCACAGGTTGTGTTTCCATCCCCGCCCTCCTGCCTCTCTCCTCCCTCAAGTGGGCCCTCATGTCTGCTGCTCCCTCTTTGTGACCATGTGTACTCCATGTTTAACTCCCACTTATAAGTGAGGATTATTCTTAATAAAAATCAGCCTTTAGGTTTTAAGTTATGGTAAAGTCTGTGTATATGTTGACGTTTTAATAGAGATTATCTGGTTTTGTTTTTTGTACACAATAGTACAGGGAAACCCAAACATGAGTGGTTTCTCCAGAAAGATTCCGAAGGGGACACACCTTCACTTATCAACTGGCCTTCCAGGTACCCGCACGCCGGCCCTCTGGGGCTTGTGTGCATGAGTGTTGCTTCCTCCTGCCTGACCACACATCAGCTAACACCCACTCTCCTCTTGCCTTCTTTAATACCAGTGCACTTGAAAATCACGTGGAAGTTACTTTCTAATCATTTGCTTTTCCCCTCCACATGCCCTAATCCATGCTAATAGTATCTCTCCTTCCCCCTCTTTTTCAATCTTTGTCAATCTTTCTTGATTGACAAACCTTTTACTTGACCTTTTGCTTTTCCCTTCTCACCAACTCACATAGGACTGGCCAGTGAGGGGCAGTAGTGAGCACCCAGCCAGGCCCTGGGCTCCTTTCCATAGCTGGACTCGCTAGCCGGCGTCCCATCTGCTCAGCTTCCCACTGCTCCCAGCCCTTCCAGCCTCCTTGCTTTCATATCTCCTCATCTCTAAACCAGTAGTTAATTTTCAACAGTTAAATTTAGGGCATGTGGTTTTAAAAGCAAACAAAACCCCCTATCATTTCATTTTTAAGACTGGGGGCAGGGAGAGGCGGAAGGAGTCAGAATGAGTAAGTCATGGAAGGACAAAGCTCCACACACAGAGTTTCTGACAGTCACTTTGTTCTTGGCTGAGGACAACATTCAGATTGTCTCTGATCAGGAGCACGCATTCCACAGGAGAACTGGAACCGCGCTTCAGTCTCCTTTTGATTAACAAACGTTTTAAGTATGAAAACCTCCAACACTGGCTCATCTCTGGGAAAAATAACAACTAAGAATGTTTTCTTTCCCTGAGTTGTTCATAGTTACCACCTCTATGTGCGTCTGTGTGGATTGTCCTTTAATGACACATATATAGATACACTGCCTCGTACGTTAAAAAAAATATATAGGAGTTTTTATCAAATTTAGCAGGGTGCACTTGTCATTAAATAAACTATTCTTTTCCATACAGTGCACATCATAAATAATTACTTTTGCCAATTAAGCTTAAGTAAACAGTCTAAATTCCTCTCCCCGCAAGAAATCCCTTTTCCCACTCCAAAAGCCCTCTTTGCTTTTTAAAGCTGAGCCCTAATCAGTTTTCCATTCTCAAGTAGTTGGAATTGTGTCTCCTTTCCCACTACATGGTACTTCAAAAACCAAAAATAAGAACTAGATAACACTATTAAACATTTACTCTTTGCTAAGCACTAAGCCACGTGCTTTGCAAATATCACATTACATTATGTCACTATTATTTCCATTTAAAAGGTAAAGCAACTGAGGCTTACTAAGGGCAGGTGAGTTGCCCAACACTACACAGCTCAACCTGACTGAGCCAGGATCTGAGCAGAGGTCTCTTCCAACCCCACAGCCAGAGCTCTTGGTTTCTTTGTTTTGCAGTAATGGAAAAAGGTCTGTAGCTTTTGAAAAGGATGTCAGTTTTGCTCTCAGATATTTGAATAACTTTAGAAACAACTGGAGCAATCTCTCTTTATTTTTATTTTATTTTTGTTTTTTAGGGACAGAGCCTCTCTCTGTTGCCTATGCTGGAGTGTAGCTGTACAATCATAGCTCACTGCAGCCTCAAACTCCTGGATTCAAGTGGGCCTCCTGCCTCAGCCTCCTAAGTAGCTGGGACTACAGGCACACGCCACTGCACCTAGATATTGTTTTTTACTTTTGTAGAGACAAGATCTCACTATGTTGCCCAAACTGGTCTCAAACTCCTGGCCTCAAATGATCCTCCTGCCCAGGCCTCCCAAAAGGTTGTGATCACAGGCATGAGCCCCAGGGCCCGGCCTCTCTTTTGGGATTCATTTTTAACTAAGAGCATAACAGCAGGACAGGGGGATGGTGGTGGGAAATGTTCACTTCATTAGTTCTGTCAGCAACTATCTTTTCTCTAACATTCTTTTGGTGCTAGAATT
Organism: Homo sapiens; assembly: GCF_000001405.40. NCBI lineage: Eukaryota > Metazoa > Chordata > Mammalia > Primates > Hominidae > Homo > Homo sapiens. The sequence goes on along the minus strand of NC_000010.11, from coordinate 29,534,093 downwards.
ATTCATAATGATGCCCAGACTGGCCACATGCCTTCTGAATGAATGAATATACTCTGCATTGCATGAAAAAGCTTGTGAATGTCTAGTTGAGTGCTTTAAAAGAGAGGTGATTGTTGTATCTTGAACTAAATAAAAAGCATAAATAATCGTGAGTGCTCTTACATTTTCAGACGACAATGAAATTACAGCGTTTGGTCAATAGGTGTCTGTATGCCAGGAACCTTCCCCCACAGTCCGTGTTCTGGGCGTGTACATGAGGAAAGCTTACTGATTCAAGGGACCAGGCTCATTATGCCCTAATGCATGCTGGTGGTGGATATTAACGCATTTTTCTGTGGCTTCTGGGTATTTATTTAGTCAGAAGGGACCCATTCTCCCCCAGGATAGCATCTGACCCCTGCCAGCTTTTACAGGGGTAGAGTTAGTTTTGCACCTCCTGGGCATACATATGCAAATTGGAAACTCAACTCAGGATCATCTGACAAGTAGTTGACATTAGACACCAAAATGCTTTTTCACAAGTTATTCTCTCTCAGGTCAGTTTCCATTCACTGGTAATCTGTGATCTACGCATGCTTTCCTCCTGTGAGGCCGTTACTGCACTTTGCAACTTAAATCCTTTTTCTTTCTTAAAGAGTTAAAGTTAGAGAAAAATTGGTGAAAGAGGAAAGTGCTCGAAACAGCCCTGAACTCGCCTCAGAGTCCGTAACTCAGAGGAGACACCAGCCAGCGCCAGTCCATTACGTGTCATTTCAGTCTGAGCACTCAGCCTTTGATAGGGTCCCCAGCAAGGCAGCAGGCTCTACACGACAGCCAATCCGTGGCTATGTCCAACCCGCAGATACCGGTCACACCGCCAAGCTAGTGACGCCAGAAACCCCAGAAAATGCATCTGAGTGTAGCTGGGTAGCATCAGCCACCCAGAATGTCCCCAAACCTCCCAGCTTGACGGTTCTAGAAGGTGACGGAAGGGATAGCCCAGTTCTCCATGTCTGCGAGTCAAAAGCAGAAGAAGAAGAAGGGGAAGGAGAAGGAGAAGAAAAAGAAGAAGATGTGTGCTTCACTGAAGCTCTCGAGCAAAGCAAGAAAACCCTACTGGCTTTGGAGGGTGATGGGCTAGTGAGAAGCCCAGAAGATCCCTCTAGAAATGAGGACTTTGGTAAGCCTGCTGTGAGCACAGTCACCTTAGAGCATCAGAAGGAACTGGAAAACGTGGCACAACCCCCTCAAGCTCCGCACCAGCCCACTGAGAGGACAGGCAGGAGCGAGATGGTTCTCTACATTCAAAGTGAGCCTGTGTCCCAAGACGCCAAACCAACTGGTCACAACAGGGAAGCCTCGAAAAAGCGCAAGGTCCGTACCCGCTCTCTGTCAGATTTCACAGGCCCCCCTCAGCTCCAGGCCTTGAAGTATAAGGACCCAGCTTCCAGGAGAGAGCTGGAGCTGCCCAGCTCCAAGACCGAAGGGCCTTATGGGGAGATCAGCATGCTGGACACAAAAGTCTCTGTCGCCCAGCTCCGAAGTGCGTTCCTGGCATCTGCCAACGCCTGCAGGAGACCTGAACTGTAGGTGATGCTTCACACGCCCTCCAGCTGTGTCACTTGCACGTCCCTGGCAGAATGATTCACTCCTCGACCTGTGTTGTGTTCTGCATTGAATCATATTAGCTTAGCTCACAAGTGCGTGCAGGGCGACTATGCGGAAAATGGCTCAAAAACTACCACTCTGCTTCTGCCTACTAATGGGGAACTAGTGGATTGGGTGTCTGGAATGTCTCCTTCCTTACGTGCATGGTAGAGGCATGAAGAGGGGTTTGGTGGTGTCTGTCCCTTGACTCACGGAGATGCATAATCCTTTGCCATCTTCTCTTTCTCTGTCTTCGTTTGCCTTCCTTATACTCTCTGCCCTTTGATTCTCAAAGCAAATCACGGGTGGAGAGGTCGGCTGAAGGACCTGGCTTGCCCACCGGTGTGGAACGGGAGAGAGGGTCCCGGAAACCAAGACGCTATTTTTCTCCTGGTGAAAGTAGAAAAACTTCCGAGAGATTTAGAACCCAACCTATAACTTCAGCAGAACGAAAGGAATCGGATAGGTAGGCATGCGTATGCGCAGTTTCCTCATCCAGGAACGTGGCAATGACACAGGAGTTTTACCACACTGACGGTCTTGACGCTATTTATATAGGATGTTGGCGATTCCATAATTGTTCCATCTAACCTATAAGCGTTATTTATTTGGCTTATTTAAAAGTCTTTTTAAAGAATATTAGCCTTTACAGCGGTATTATGATACATACACAATTTTACATTGCATTCAGATGATAAGAAGTAAGAAACATTATTTTTCTTTATTTAATGGTTTTAATGTTTTTTACCCCTTGTTAAATTAGACTCCAGATTGCATATTCACCAGATTTTACAGTGAAAATAACTGAGGAATTTTATATTCATTTTATAAATGTCCATCTACTTGTTGTATTTGAGTTTTATACTGAAGTGTCATATACTATTGCATAGAAATGGTAAGATTTGTCTGGAAAATTGTCATCAGTGGTGTTTAACAAGTTGTTCTTGTGCCTGGTCTCTCTCCACGGGGTGTGTACTTGGCTGGGATTGTGTGCACACACGCTCCACAGTGTTGCTTCACAACTGTATGTGTGTTTTCACAACTAGAATTGCTACCAGGAGGTTATTTCTTAAAAGAATTTAATTGCATTTTTATTTTTACTTTCAGTATGATGTTTTATTTCGATCTTCTGCTCCCACCTGCTAATGTATTATTGTTATTTGCTAATGTCTTTCCTAGGTGCACTTCACATTCAGAAACGCCAACTGTCGATGGCAAGTACCTGTTTCCCTTTTTTTTCTTCTTTATTATCTCATCTAGACTGGATTTAATAATAAGGTTTTTGGCTTTTTGAGAGAGTAAGATGATGGAGCATAACAGTGTCTCCCTTTGCTGCAGGTTTTCGTTCTGTGGATATGATAAAATCTAGTTGAAATTTTCAGACAAGCTTTCCCTTCTTTTTGAGAGCAGTTAGAGAATCATACAGTGACCAATGTAAAAACAACTAATTCAAACCAAAGGAGCAGGTTCTTCTTGTTGTTGCTGCTGCTACTATTTAAAACTAAAAGAAATTCCCCCCATAAAATATATTCATGAAATCTCGATCAGACAAACGTTAGAGTAGAAATCCCTGGACAGAGTTTGCTTTGGTTTGGCTGGGTTGAATTGCAAGGGAAATTAGTACCTTTTCACTGAGCAGAAAGAATGGGCTCCCTGCAAGGGGAAACTACCACCAATTATTATTTTAGTGCACCTATTGTTGTATTCAAAGATTTCCAGGTCAGCCCTGAAAGACTTTTTGGAGACCGAACTTAACCTTCTCTAATGATGTCCAGTTTTTAATTTGTGGCTTTTTGCAGATGAAGAAAAGGTGGATGAACGAGCCAAGCTGAGCGTCGCCGCCAAGAGGTTGCTTTTCAGGGTAAGCTGTGCTGACGTGCTTGAATAGAGATCCCTACTGGGTGCAGTAATCCCAGCTATTTGAGAGGCCAAGGCAGGAGAATCACTTGAGGCCAGGAGTTTGAGACCAGCCTGGGCAACACAGTGAGACCCCCATCTCAAAAAAAATAAAAATTGTAAGCCTTAGGGAGGGGGAATCTTGTGGACCCAGCCTACTTCATGCACCTCTGGGCATGCTAAGGCCCTCCTGCCTCTGGCCCACCTGTTGTTCTCTTCCTAATCTTTGGCTGGTTGTGGCCACCTCATGGACACAGCATGAGTGTACACTTCTGACAACAATACGAGGTGCTCATTAGTGACCCCTCCTGTAGGTCCTGTAGGAGAACAAAGTGAAGAATTTTTACTACCCCCATTTCCTTTCCTTGAATTTCTTTGTTATTTTTAATTTTTTTTTAGAGATAGGGTCTCACTCTCTCACTCAGGGTTGAGTGCAGCAATGTGATCATAGCTCACTGCAGCCTCAACTTCCCAGGCTCAAGTGATGTTCCCACCTCAGCCTCCCAAGTAGCTGGGACTACAGGCCTGTGCCAGCATGCCTGGCTAATTTATGCATTTTTTGTAGAGATGAGGGGGTCTCACTTTGTTGCCCAGGCTGGTCTTGAACTCTTGGCCTCCAGCAATCTTCCCTCCTTAGCCTCCCAAAGTGCTGGGATTACAGGCGTGAGCCACCGTGCCCAGCTCTTTCCTTGAATTTATAAGGGTTCCACAATACTTCTAATCTTAGGAGATGGAAAAATCTTTTGATGAACAAAATGTTCCAAAGCGACGCTCAAGAAACACAGCTGTGGAGCAGAGGCTACGCCGTCTGCAGGACAGGTCCCTCACCCAGCCCATCACCACTGAAGAGGTGGTCATCGCAGCCACGTAAGTGCCCACAGGACTTCTCAGCCTTGTCTATAGTGTCTTTTTTTAAAAAAATACATTTAAAGAGTGTTCAATGAAAATGAGGCATTGGGGAGGTGATTTAGCTAGAAGCCACAGAGAAGTTAGTACTAAGGGATTTTGTTTACTGTGGTCTCTCTAAACTTTGTAATGGGATGTGTATCTTCTAGAAAAACTTGAAAGGAGTTTTTGTTCTATTTTGTTTCTGTCTCTGCATATTGATATTTTAAAAATCTCTTTGACAACGGAAAATAGAAACATGAAACTTGGTGGATTGCTGTGATGAAACCCCAGCTTCCACGGTCACCCGCTCCTGGCCGGTGATGCTCAGCCCGTGTGCCATTCATTTCCCCTTTCCTCCTGTGCTATTTTCAAGCAAACACTAGAGGTCTTACCATTTCATCCATAAATATCCCAGTACGCCCCTCTAAAAGATAAGGTTTGTTTTGTTCTTAATTGCCAGAAATCTCTTTTCTTTTTTTCTTTTTTTTTTTTTTTTTTTTTTTTTTTTGAGAGAGAGTCTTGCTCTGTCACCCAGAACGGAGTGCAGTGGCATGATCTCGGCTCACTGCAACCTCCGCCTCCTGGGTTCAAGCGATTCTCCTGCCTCCACCTCCCGAGTAGTTGGGATTACAGGCATGTGCCACCACACTCAGCTAATTTTTGTATTTTTAGTAGAGACGGGGTTTCACCATGTTGGCCAGGCTGGTCTCAAACTCCTGACCTCAGGTGATCCATGCCTCAGCCTCCCAAAGTGCTGGGATTAATTGCCAGAAATTTCTAAAAATTAAATTGCAGTTTGATAACTTTCCAAACAATAGGAAGTTTGTTTTGAATAATATGTTTCAATATATTCAGAATTAATTTCCCAGAGTAGTTCATTCAGAGATCATTGCTTCAATCAAGTGAAAAATTTTCTTATTTTTGCGGGGGGCATTGTTTGTTTTTTTGAGGCAGTGTCTCACTCTGTTACTCAGGCTGGAATGCAGTGCGCCATCTTGGCTCATTACAGCCTCAACCTCCTGGGCTCAATTGACCCTCCAACCTCAGCCTCCCAAGTAGTTGGGACTGTAGGCCCAACCACCACACCTGGCTAATTTTTGTATTTTTTGTGGTGATGGGGTTTTGCCATGTTGCCCAGTCTGATCTTAAACTCCTGGGCTCAAGCGATCCTCCCACCTCAGCCTCCCAAAGTGCTGGAGCTACAGGCGTGAGCCACTGTACCCAGCCTAGTTTTGTTGTTGTTGATGTTGTTAATTGGTTTTGTGCTTACCTTGGACACACAGACACCCTTCCTGGAAAAAAAAATAGTTCATCCCATTAGGTTATTGACATCCCAAAAGGCCTCTATGTCAGTGCCCCGTTCTGTAGACCTGCTGTTAGATCAGCTGCCTACAGTTCCTCCCCGAGTTGTTCCTCAGTTTCTTGGTGCATTTGTAGCTAAGTATATCCTTGCACTCATTAGGAACTCTTTGCAAATCAGTTTGTTTTTTAAAAAAAGAAATATTTGAATGGCTGGTGTAAAATAACAGGCAGATACCCATGGGAGCAAAACAGTAAATATAAGAAAAATTAATCCCATTTTAAGGCTCAATAAATCTACCTTGATGTGCCTATAGATTGTATAAGAACACTGATACTTTTAAAAAGTAGATTGAGGCCGGGTGCAGTGGCTCACACCTGTAATCCCAGCACTTAGGGAGGCAGAGGTGGGTGGATCACCTGAAGTCAGGAGTTCAAGACCAGCCTGGCCAACATGGTGAAACCCCGTCCCTACTAAAAAATACAAAAATATTGGCCAGGCATGGTGGCGCACGCCTGTAATCCCAGCTACTCGGGAGGCTGAGGCAGGAGAAATGCTTAAACCCAGGAGGTGGAGGCTGCAGTGAGCCGAGATCGCGCCACTGCATTCCAGCCTGGGCGACAGAGTGAGACTCTGTCAAAAAAAAAAAAAAAAAAAAAGGCTGGGCCCAGTGGCTTACACCTGTAATCCCAGCACTTTGGGAGGCTGAGGCAGGTGGATCACGAGGTCAAGAGATCAAGACCATCCTGGCCAACATGGTGAAACCTCATCTCTAATAAAAATACAAAAATTAACTGGGCGTGGTGGTGCGCGCCTGTAATCCCAGCTACTCAGGAGGCTGAGGCAGGAGAATCACTTGACCCCGGGAGGCGGAGTTTGCAGTGAGCCAAGATCATGCCACTGCACTCCAGCCTGGTGACAGAGACAGACTCCATCTCCAAAAAAGAAAAAGAAAGAAAAAAATTAGATTGGAAACAATATTCTAAAACACAGACATAATCTACTGATTTTTTGATAGCTAATATTTGCTTTTTTGAATTATTATTTTTTTTACACCAAGACATGTATTCTCAAGACAGAGTAAATCCTCCCAGCTCTGAACACCTATTCTTACCCCATTTGCTTTGGGTAGCCACTATCTCTTATTTCCTGAGTTTGTATTTGCTTTTGAAGTTCTTTCGTGATTTTTTCTCCCCAAAAATAATTAGCAAAATATTCTGTTAAAATTTTTGATTTAACGTTTCTGAATTTAAAACTATGCTGTCCTTAATGCTTCTTTTCTTCTCTCTCCTTATGAATGTTTCCTCTTTGGCAATTGCTTTTAAAGTGAACCTATCCCCGCTTCGTGTTCTGGGGGCACCCACCCTGTAATGGCGAGACTTCCTAGCCCCACTGTAGCTAGGAGCGCTGTGCAGCCTGCCAGGTACTGGACAGATACAGATGCATGCGGCACCCGGTGCAAAGGTGCCGAACAGCAGATGCATCCTAAAGTCTTGAATGTCTGTCGTTTGTTTGACAAACAAGTCAATGCCGTGAGTTGTTCCAGAATGCGTGGCATTTTGTTTTGTCATAGCACAAGGTGCTGATAACCACATGCTGGCGTGCGTGGGAAAACATTTTGTCTCTCTGCATATGTTATGTGTTAGAACTAGGATCACACTAACTCACGTATCCAGTTGCTTTGTTTGTTTTTCATAATAATGGTCATCCCTCAAAAATTTTGTTCTTCATCTAAATACTGTTATAGCACTTAATAAAGATTAATAGAAAAATGGGACATTGGCCAGGCGCGGTGGCTCATGCCTGTAATCCCAGCACTTTGAGAGGCCAAGGCAGGTGGATCACGAGGTCAGGAGATTGAGACCGTCCTGGCCAACATGGTGAAACCCTGTCTCTACTAAAAATACAAAAATTAGCTGGGCATGGTGGCATGTGCCAGTAATCCTAGCTACTTGGGAGACTGAGGCAGGAGAATCGCTTGAACCTGGGAGGCAGAGGTTGCAGTGAGTCAAGATCGTGCCACTGCACTCCCGCCTGGTGACAGAGCAAGACTCTGTCTCAAAAAAAAAAAAAAAAAAGAAAGAGAAAAAAAGAAAGAAAAAAAAAGAAAAATGAGACATTAACCTGAATGTTGAAATGCTGATAAGACCCAGTCTTTTTCAAACACCTGTAGACACAAATACAGACTGAAAACAATCCTCCCTCTTTCTAATTTATAGAGTCAATGCCATTATATTTTGGGACTGGGAAAATAACAATTTGTAGTGTCTAAACGTAGATGTTTTACTGTCGTGTTTCAGATTGTGGTGCTTTAAAATTATGTCCTCACATCAGGTCATATCCCTTCATTTTACTGTTATATGAGCCAAACCGCAAAAGCTAAAAATAATGGCAGTGCCGGGATAAAGCTGGTACACCCACAGCAGGGCCCTCCCGGAGAAGTGGGTTTCCCTGCCCTCCTGGTTACTGCACGAGGTCCACGGAGGACTCTGAGGCTCAGGTGGCTTTTTTGTCACTGGCCTCATTATACACCTGGAATATGGAAGCTGGCTACTCTTTGGCCTGGGATAGCCTGTGCATTGGGGATTCACTAGAATCAAGGCAGAATATCTCCTTTACTAGATCTGACAATTGGATCGGTCAGGGACAGAAGATATAGTGCATTACAAACCCCTAGAGATTCATATTGACCGTGAAGACTTCAGGCTTTCCTTCTCTTCTAGCTGGAAGTTGGAGGGAGCTATTTATTTATTTACTGATTTATGTATTCATTCATTTATTTTTGAGACAGAGTCTTGCTCTGTCGCCCAGGCTTCATCACTGCACACTGCAGCCTCTACCTCACAGGCTCAAGCGATCCTCCCACCTCAGCCTCCTGAGTAGCTGGGATCACAGGTGCACACCACCAAGCCTGGCTAATTTTTATATTTTTTGTAGAGATGGGGTTTCACGATGTTGCCCAGGCTAGTCTCCAACTCCTAAATTCAAGTGATCCTCTTGCCTTGGCCTTCCATAGATATGAGCCACCAGACCTGGCCAGTTGGAGGGATTTATAATCACCTGAAATTTTCTTTACTCCTCTGGTTACTGGAAATTGCAGATTTAAGTACCTTTTAGAAAACTGGTAGGAACCTATGAGAGTAAATGCTAAGCTGAAGCAGTGACTCTTTAAAAATTAAGCCATTTGTCTTTAGCAAGTAAAAATCAAGACCTTCTGTTATGTTGTTGACAGAGGACTATATCGTTTCCTAATTATTTAAAATGAAAGACCACCTTCTGAACCATATCTTTAGATAAGGTCTAAATACACCGTAGGTAATACTTTGTGACTCCCTTTCATTCTACTTATTACGATACTAACAATGCCGCCTCTCTGTCTAAGATAAGGTATAGCCAAGCTGACTTCAATGTCTTAAACAGGAAATTCGTTTTGTAGAAATAATTCGGAGCTCAAAGTCTGCTCTTTGTAGAAGTGATGATGCTAAGTGTCCTGTGCCGACTCTGCTTGTTGAGTAGCTGAACAGCTGCCTGCCTCTGTCCTAGACGTGCTTAGGGAAAAAGAAGCCCTTTGCAAAATGATGTGACACTTGGCAGAAAGTTAACGTAGAAACTTAGCGGTGTGCTTTTGTTTGTTGGTATATGTGTTGCTGACATTTTATTTTTTTCAGATTGCAGGCCTCTGCTCACCAAAAGGCCTTAGCCAAGGACCAGACAAATGAGGGCAAAGAGCTTGCTGAGCAAGGAGAACCTGATTCCTCCACTCTAAGCTTGGCCGAAAAGTTGGCCTTGTTTAACAAATTGTCCCAGCCAGTCTCAAAAGCGATTTCTACCCGGAACAGAATAGACACGAGACAGAGGAGAATGAACGCTCGCTATCAAACTCAGCCAGTCACACTGGGAGAGGTGGAGCAGGTGGGTGTGCTATAGTCCGATTGCAGTTTGTGTGTGTGTGTTCTTAAATTATAGCACTGCAGTATTCCTCTGAGGTCAATGATGTAATTAAGGTGCTCTACCAGGAAACTGCTACCTGTAGGTGATTTGGTAATAGCTTTCTTCCTAAAAATGAGAATTCTACCAAGTATGTTGCTCTTTTTTTGTTTTCATACCTTGCTTGCTGAAATATCTAGAATGAGTCCATTTTGGAGAGAAAAAAATAGTATGCCCAACTGTGTTTCACCCAGAGGATTTTGTTTAATGAGACGTATTATATAACTATGTCCAGGAATGGTTTTCCACTAAGAGAAACAGTGAAACTGCATCAAATCGAGTATTTCAGCTTCTGTCAATTCATAAACCAGGATTTATATAGATGATATTTTTCAAGCAGCTTTTTAATTTTTAACTGTGTCCTTCCAGGTGCAGAGTGGAAAGCTCATTCCTTTCTCACCTGCCGTGAACACATCAGTGTCTACCGTAGCATCCACGGTTGCTCCAATGTATGCCGGAGATCTTCGCACAAAGCCACCTCTTGACCACAATGCAAGTGCCACTGACTATAAGTTTTCTTCTTCAATAGAAAATTCGGACTCTCCAGTTAGAAGCATTCTGAAATCGCAAGCTTGGCAGCCTTTGGTAGAGGGTAGCGAGAACAAGGGAATGTTGAGAGAATATGGAGAGACAGAAAGCAAGAGAGCTTTGACAGGTCGAGACAGTGGGATGGAGAAGTATGGGTCCTTTGAGGAAGCAGAAGCATCCTACCCCATCCTGAACCGAGCCAGGGAAGGAGACAGCCATAAGGAATCTAAATATGCTGTTCCCAGAAGAGGAAGCCTGGAACGGGCGAACCCTCCCATCACCCACCTCGGGGATGAACCGAAGGAATTTTCCATGGCTAAAATGAATGCACAAGGAAACTTGGACTTGAGGGACAGGCTGCCCTTTGAAGAGAAGGTGGAGGTGGAGAATGTTATGAAAAGGAAGTTTTCACTAAGAGGTAAGTGACCAGTGCCCCTAAAGCTTTAGAAAGCCACTGGGTTTTAGTTTCTGCTTGATTTGTCCTGTGTCTATGATGGCTTTTAACAAAGTTCTATAGGCAGTTTACAGCTAGTATTGGTTAAAAGTTCAGCGGGAATCCTATTCTTCCCTGGATCTGACTAGAGGATACATCAAGTTTTCAGCAATAAAACTACTGGAAGAGCTTTCACACATCTTCATGGAGTTTCTGTTGACTTTGGTCACTCACACAATGGCCTTCTGAGCTGCTTAGTTCTGGTGGCCCCTTTTAGAAATTGATGACCCCAAAGGTCCAGGCTGGGTAAGCACAAGGAATTCAGGAAAGACTTGACCCCAGTCTCTGAATCGCTAGAGTGCTTCTTCCTGCATGCCTGTTTTGCAGGCTAGCAAGCTACACTGCGTGGGCCCTTCATCCTCTTTCTACGTTTGTATGAAACAGTACAGTGTAAGTTATAATAGGGGTTTGCGTTTGTGAGTATAGCACATTTGAATGTTAAGGTATTATTTTGGAGAATAGAACCATTCTGGAGTAAATAGTTAAAGCTGACTTCCTGTGTCTCGCACACAGGAGAGAAACCAATTGCCACGAAGCATTTTGCTGTGTGGGTAACCCTCCAGGAAGTTTGGTTTTCTCACAGAGTGTAGCGTGCTGCAGATTTGCATAAATCCCAGTGGATTGGGTCACCCGCCGTGTGCCCACGGATTGAACCCTGAGAGCTGCACTGTTGAGGGCGAATCGCTGGAAGAATGTTTGCCTGAGGAGTTCAGTGCTGATGTTGCTCTTTTCCTTCCCAGCGGCAGAGTTCGGGGAGCCCACTTCCGAGCAGACGGGGACAGCTGCTGGGAAAACTATTGCTCAAACCACAGCCCCCGTGTCCTGGAAGCCCCAGGATTCTTCGGAACAGCCACAGGAGAAGCTCTGCAAGAATCCATGTGCGATGTTTGCTGCTGGAGAGATCAAAACGCCGACAGGGGAGGGCCTTCTTGACTCACCCAGCAAAACCATGTCTATTAAAGAAAGGTAATGAGATTCGGTGAGCGAAAAGTAATTCTCTCGGGGAGGAGCTTACAGCTTGCTTTTAGAAAACAATCTCGGTGATGGGCAAAGAGATGAAATCATACATTCAGCTTCTAACAGGACTGTGCTGTTGTCCTGGAGTAATTCTAGGAAGCTGAGGTGTTTGAGAGTGAACTGCCTTTGCTCATGAGCCTGGTTTGGTAATGAGCCTGGTTTGGACAGGGCTGGTTCCAGACTCAGATGAGAAAACAAACAGAAACAGACTTCTGTTTTATTTATTTGTTTCCACTGTCCCAATATCTTTTATAATATTAAATTCTTGGACTATCTAATGACAGGAGCTGAAATCTTGGCTCTTCCCCTTTTAGATACACAGGGTTCATACTGAATGCACAAACCACTTGTGACTTTGTGTAAAATATGTGTAGAGGGAGTGAAGATAAATTTACATAGAGGGCATATATCTTTGGACTTAGAATCCAAGTTTTGTTTCTTTTACAGATTGTAAAATGGATGACTTTTCTGAACTGCATTTAGAAATTGTATGTCAGGTAATAGCTTGAAAGATTGCATTTCAGCATCAAATAACACAGTAGCCTAATTTCTTTCAAAAGAATGACGTAGGGTGCAGAGGAATATATTTAAATTAGACAGATACAGAGAACTGGAAGTAAATTACCTTGGGGATGTGTTTTCCTTGTTAACCCTTAACCACAGATGAATTAAGCAGCAAAAGATGCAATAGTGGGAATAAATTCAGAGTTTGATAGCAGAGTAGGGTGACTAAATAAAAACGTATTGTACTGAGGTGATGGACATTCTAAATAGAGGCTTGATCACTATGCATTTTATATGTGTAACAAAATTTCTCATGCACCACATAAATTTGTACAAAAAAAGGAGAAAGTATTCAGTAGGAAAAAAACATGATGGAATAGTTGATAGGAAAACTGGGTGAAGAAAAATCTTGTCAACTCCATATTAGGAGAACCATTTCCATCGCCTGTTCCCACAGTTCTGCCAACCTCCACCCTTCCTCAGCACCTCCCACCACACGGAAGTCTGCAGGCTTCACTGACCACTCTTATTTTTCTAGATACATTTCAAACTGCCTAAGACTATACTAAACCACAATGAAAAGTCTTCTTTCTTTCTTTTCCTTCTTTCCTTTTTTTTTTTTTTTTCTTTTTGAGACTAAGTCTTGCTTTGTCACCCAGGCTGGAGTGCAATGGGATGATCTTGGCTTACTGCAACCTCTGCCTCCCGGGTTCAAGCGATTCTCCTGCCTCAGCCTCCCAAGTGGCTGGGACTACAGACGCACACCACCACACCCAGCTAATTTTTTGTATTTTTAGTAGAGTTGGGGCTTCACCGTGTTAGCTAGGATGATCTCGATCTCCTGACCTCCTGATCCGCCTGCCTCGGCCTCCCAAAGTGCTGGGATTACAGGCGTGAGCCACCGTGCCTGGCCCCTTCTTTCTTTTTTTTTTTTTTTAGAGGAATGGTCTTCCTCTGTTGCCCAGACTAGAGTGCAATGGTGCTGTCACAGCTTCACTGCAGCCTCGAACTCCTGGACACAAGTGATCCTCCTGCCTCGGCCTCCCCAGTAGCTGGGACTGCAGACACGTACCACCATGCCTGGCTAATTTTTTCAAAAAGATTTTTTGTAGAGTTGGGAGGTCTCACCATGTTGCCCAGGCTGGTCTCGAACTCCTGGCCTCAAACAGTCCTCCCACCTCAGCCTTCCAAAGTGCGGGGATTACAGACATGCACCACCACACCTGGCCCTTCTTTCTAGTTTTAAGCCAAGCTTCTTGAACATTATTTGTAAAATAATAGATGCTATCTTTTTCAACTGACAAATTAATCACATTGTTAAATCTGACTTACTTTCTCCTTTACTTACTTAAAATTCATGATAAGTTAGACCTGGCAGGCTGAGGGGCATAGGGAAGGGGCAGAGGGGACAGTGCAATGAGGAGAGGGATGTCTTCAATCGGGGAAGCAGTTGGGCCTATTGAGGCTTGAAGTTCTCTTCCACGAAAATGGGGCTCAAAGAGAGTTTCATCCCAGAAACCCAAATATTGACAACTGGTTAGGTGAGGAAGAAGAGAGATCATTTAAGGAAATTAACAATAAATATCACTTATACACAAGTTCTGATGTTTTACACATGAGAAAATATCCCTGGGGTATTCCCCAGTGGGAAATACTAATATTATGCCCCCTTCTTTCAAAGGCTTTTAAAGGAGCCTTCCCATCTTTGGGAATATTCTGTCCATCTGGACTTAGGACTTTTGATGAAGAAGTCCTGTGTCTATCCACTAAGCAATAATTCCTGATTTACTTACCTGTTTTTTGGTAAATTTTAGTTGACCTGTATTTTTCTGAAAGCTTTAATCCTACTGTAAAATTCTCATTTTTAAAAGTGAGATACTGGAAAGACGTAGCTTCTTAGCTTGGGCTTTGTGGACATGTAAGGCGTTCAAGGATGGCTGTAAAGTTTCTGTGAACAGCCCGGAAGTGTATTCAGAATTGAATGGGTGAGCACACACACCTGCTGGCTAACAGAAGCCATAACTTATCATGGTCTCCAAGAGATCCCTGAGCCCAGTCTGTTCAGAATCATGATAGAAAGGAATGCTTGATTGATATTCAGCTATTCAGTTTGTTAAAATACATTTATGAAAGAACAAGGGACACTTTATTTAGCAGCTATGCTTGTAATAAATTACACTAATGCAAAATATATTGCCAGTGATCTTTTCCCCCTTACCTTCACAGTACTTTTATTTGTACTTTGCTGAAAGTGACTAAATTACATATATTTACAATTCATCCATGATAGCTTTTCCATGAGACTTTAATCCCTCCCTTTTGTGAAAATGAAATAATGAAGCTTAAACTATTTAAAATAAGAATGTTATTCCTCCATTTATTTGGGCTTTACTTTTCCTTCTTGAGAAAGAAATATATAAAATCATAGGACTTCCAAACTTTATTCTAACCGCCTCTGACTGCCTCATTTTACCAAAGGAGGGATTCGGCTCCGGTAGCCTCCAGGGCCACGTAGTGAATAGAGCTGACCCAGGGGCCACGTCTCCAACTCTCCCCTGGTCCATGGTGAGACCGCGGTGCGCTCAGATTAGTGTTAGAGCAGCCAACCCCGTGTGCTCTAACCAGGAGAATACGGTGAGAGGACAGAAATCCCAGCTAGACAGCAGTGTTAGAAAGACACACCTTCTTTCTTCATGAATTTTCTCAGTTCACATGCTCTTAACAGGGCTTATATTTCAAATTACACATCCAAGTTCACATTTCAGAGTCTCAGAAATAGAGTCTGGAATTTGCAGATTTCCTTCATCGTTTTTTATAAATGCCTGTCCCCACTAAGGAGGGCAGGTCTGTCTTCTTCAGCCTTGTTGTGTCAGTCTCTCCCCTGTCCAGGGCCTGACTATATTAAGTTCTCAGTGCTCAGTGCTACCCAGCGTCACAGACTGCCTTCCACATTTTGTACATGATCTCTCATTTAATTTTTGTCTGTTTGTTTGTTTTTTGAGATGGAGTCTCGCTCTGTCACCCAGGCTGGAGTGCAGAGGCACGATCGCGGCTCACTACAACCTCCGCCTCCCAGGTTCAAGTGATTCTCCTGCCTCACCCTCCTGAGTAGCTGGGATCACAGGAGCCCACCACCATAACCAGCTAATTTTTGCATTTTTAGTAGAGGCGGGGCTTCACCATGTTGGCTACGCTGGTGTCGAATGCCTGACCTCAGGTGATCTGCCTGCCTCAGCCTCCCAAAGTGTTGGGATTACAGGCGTGAGCCACTGCGCCCGGCTTTCATTTAATATTGAAGACAGCCTCCAGAAGAAAGCAATATTATCCCCATTTGTAGACAAAAAGCATAGAAACTAAGAAATTATAGGAAAACCTCCATACACTCCTTTTTTAGAATATGTTTGATGCTCAAGGAAACATATTAAAAAGTTATTTTTATATTTATTTATTTATTTGTTTATTTTCTGAGACAAGAGTCTCACTCTGTAGCCCACGCTGGAGTGCAGTGACACGATCTTGGCTCACTGAAGCCTCCCCCTCCTGGGTTCAAGCGATTCTCCTGCCTCAGCCTCCCAAGTAGCTGGAATTACAAGCACTTACTACCATGCCTGGCTAATTTTTGTATTTTTAGTAGAGACAAGGTTTCACCATATTGGCCAGGCTGGTGTCAAACTCCTGACCTCCAGTGATCCACCCGTCTAGGCCTCCCAACGTGCTGGGATTGCAGACGTGATCACCACACCCAGCCTTAAAAAAATTTTTTTTCATCTTTTCTGACATTGTGAATGTCAAATTTGAACCATAACCAGCAAAAAACTTAGGATGCAATCGACTTTTCCCACCGGATTAGTAAAATTGCTATTTTCTGACTGTCCAAATGATGTGTGTTTAAATTATCCCTGTTTGGGAACTTCTTTGAGAAACATTGCGAATTAAATAATTCTTATGTTATTTAGGGATAAAACCTTTGCTATTGCTTAAAGAGTATGTTAGGCCTTTAGAAATCTTATTTCCACAATGTCAGAAACAGTGGCATCTGAGCTTTCTTATTTAGGGAAAAAGACTATTGAAAAGAAAAAAAGAGCCATCCTTTCACTTTGGCAAATTGGTGGCATGTAAGGACTTAGTGGAACTCCCTGAACTGTTGCAGAATCCACCTCACGCCTCTATGGTGTTCTGCCCTAGAGGGACCGGCTGGAGGCTCCTGTGTTTCCCGCCTGCCGGCCCCCGCCCCAACCATCCACCCTTCGGTATCCCACCCAGCCAGAGGCTGTCTCCCTGTCTCCACAAACTCCAGGTTCTTACCCTGTAGCTGGGAGATTTCAGCCACTAGAGGGCCCCAGATTTATGTAGGAATAAGAATAGAGCGGCAGTTCCCCTTTACTCCCTCCTTTTCTTTTTCTTTTTCTTTTTTTCTTTTATTTTTCTAGACAGGGTCTTGGCACTGTTGTCCAGGCTGGAGTGCAGTGGTGCGATCATAGCTCACTGCAGCCTCCACCTCCTGGGACTCAAATGATCCTCCCACTTCAGCCTCCCAAGTAGCTGGGACTACAGGCACACACCACCATGCTCAGCTGGCTTTTTATTTTTTATTTTTATTTTTTTGTAGAGACGGGGTCTTGCTCTGCGGCCCAGGCTGGTCTCCCACCTCCTGGCCTCAAGCGATCCTCCCACCTCAGCCTTCCAAAGTGCTGGGATTACAGGTGTGAGCCACCACGCCTGGCCCTCCTTTTCCAAAGTGTGATTTGTCTCTCATTTAAAAGACACTTTAGTTCATTCACTTCTCCAACTTGTGAACCAGCCAAAACCAAGATCTAATATAAGTACTTAAGTGTGCTGTTCATCCCTATCAGAGATCTATGGGGTGCCTGTAATTCTCTAAAATGAAGGGAAAATTCTGAAAAAGAGAGAGAAAACACATCTTATTTAATATTAGGGGCACATGGTTGTCATGTCTCCTGTTTGACCCAGCCCTGACTGCTCTGAGCCTGATGTCCTTGTTCTCAACAAGCAGGGTTCTCAGGCCAGCATTCCCTGCTGGAACAGTGTGGGCTATGGAAGAGGAGGCACCGTTTCCCCGGGTGTCCTGGCAGGCACCTGTCACGGTGGCCCTGGGCCAGGCGTTGGGTGAGCGGGCCAGTGTCGTGCCTCTCTCTGGGTTCACACAGCCCAGGCCTAGCCACTGCCCAGGCTCCCAGCATCACAGTCCTGCAAACAGCACTTTGGCTTGGCAGTTGTTAGAAGCGCTGACAGTTGTTTGAATTGCACCGGCAGGAATTTATGTCCTGCGTAGGCCCAGACGTCGGCTCCTCGACCCTCTCAGAGCCTGGTGGTCTGCGGTGAGCCGGAGGGCTGTGAGCTCACAGGAGGAAGGGACACATTTGGGAAGATCTCCCTCCCTCCTCAGCGTGGTGGACACCAATGAGGAAATCTAAAGGGACAGGAAGAACACACTCAAGTTTTAGTGCGTGTTATTTTCAAGTTATTCGTCATGTGCTCCGTAGGCTGGAGCCGAGGGCTGGCTCCAAGTGCCAGGTGGGCTCCACGGAAGCACAGTTTCTTCCAGATTATTCTGGTTACTCTGTAGTCTTCGGAAGTCCCCAATGGTAACCCTGCCAGCACATGTAGAAGCAAAATTTCAGGGTTTTGGAATGGAGGAATTCTTTGGAGGCCATCCCATGGTGGGAAAAACCTTATAAGAAAGCCAGAATCCTATGCCTTTCCTAAAACGGTGTGGCAAAAATGTGTCCGGTCAGCTAATGTTCTACCGAAGTGAAACAAGCTACACACAGGCAGGCGAGGGCTGCAGTCACGTCTCTCTGCCCACTAACATCCAGTGTGACCTCAGTCAATGGAATTCTTGACCCGGATGTACCCACGTTCCTTGTCCGTCAGAATGGGAATAACAATTCCCAGTGTCTTAGGGGTCGCCGTGCAGATCAGCAGAGTATAAGATGGACGAGGAGGTGATCTCAGATGCCACAGCTTGTGTTTTTCTAAGTCAGTTTTAGATGCCACAAAGCAACCACCAGGGAAATCGTCCGATGACATAGGTGCTGGTGTCCTTGCCCCAGACTTTTGGGAGCTTCTTTTTGAGAAGGTCTTCAAAGACCAGAGCTCATGACTTTTAATGAACTCAACTCAGGAAGATGAATTTGATCTTTTAAAAATTCATCATTTGAATCCAATCTGATTAACAAGGTGGATGTTCAGGAGGAGTAGCTGCCAGCCTGGGTGGAAGGTGAAGTGAGAGAAGCTGGTTCTGAGGCCAGTTTACAGGGAGAATATCAGTGAGATGAGTGCTTGGTTCCACAAGATCATGAACTGGAAGGACTTCTCATTTGGGTATTAAAGTGCTGGCATGCTTACTTTTTGAAAGTCTCATTTATTGATGCTTTGAAAGCTCAAATACAGCATGCAAATATGAATTTCTTTTAATGATTTCATTTTGTGAGATTATTTTATTAGGATAAAACTGACTCATTCAAAATAATTGGAGAAAAGATGAATCATAGTCATTATATAGTATGAAATGGTGCGGATTAGAGCTCTTGAAGGAATTTCGACTTCGTGTCCAAGCCCATGAACTAGCTCTTGTAGCATGCAGGGTGTTGTTAAACATTCGAGAATTACAGGAGTTAGGACTAAATGAGACCTTGACCCAAAGGGATCTGCATGAGATTGACAAGGCAGCCTTACCCCAGTTCTAGAGATTGAGCACTTGAGATCTTATCTGCTGCCACTTAGCAGAAAGAGGAAAACAGAAATGAAGGGGGGAGAAGGAAGAGATTGAGGAAGGGGACAGGTCCAGAGTTCGAAGCTCCTGCCTCCTTTGGGGGATTCCTTTCTTCACGGCTTACTTCCCGTTATTTGACTGAGTGAATAGACAAATACAAGGTGTGATTATGTACACATACGTAGATGTCGCCGGATTCTTGTTTAAGTACTACAAAATTTGTTTTCTTATTAGCATAACAAAACTTTTATCATAGAATATATCTCATCCCATCTCCAAAACAAATATTTAATGGGAATCGGGAAGCTTGGAAGAAGGACCCTTAGAGATCATCTGACCAGTTCCTGATGTGACAGATATAGGAGGGAGAACCGAGATACCCAAAGGGAGTAGCCAAATTGGGACCAAAGCTGATGTTCTGCTTAAAAATACACTGTTGTCTAGGCGCGCTGTCTCATGCCTGTAATCCCAGCACTTTGGGAGGCTGAGGCAGGGGATCGCTTGAGGCCAGGAGTTCAAAACTGCCCTGGGCAACATAGCAAGCACCTGTCTCTACCAAATAAAAATTTTAAAAATTAGCCTAGTGTAGTGGTGCACAAGTGTAGTCCTAGCTACTCTGGAGGCTGACATGGAAGAATTGCTTGAGCCCGGGAGTTCAAAACCAGCCTGAGCAGCATAGCAAGACCTCGTCTCTACAAAATAAAAATTTTAAAAATTAACCAGGCGCAGTGATGCACACCTGTCATCCTAGCTACTCTGGAGGCCGAGGCAGGATTGTCGCTTGAGCCCAGGAATTCGAGGCTGCAGTGAACCGTGATTGTGCCGCTGCACTCCAGACCTGGTGACAAAGGAAGACCTTGTCTCTAAAACAAATTTATAACAATAAAAAATATTTATGGATTTAATATTTATGGATAAAAATATTTATGGATTTAATATTTATGGATTTAATATTTATGGATAAAAATATTTATACCATTTGTGGATTATGCATTAGTGATATCAATAAGACCTGGCCCATCAGGTCCAGCACAGAGGGAAAAGGATCTAATTATTTGGCTTTTCCCTACTCTTTAAATTGTTTGAGCATCGGCTCAAATGAGTTTAGTGATCACCACCTTTTTTTTTTTTTTTTACCTTTTATCTTTCCCATGTTTGTTTGTCCAGCGTAAATACCTAAGATTTCTTCATTCATGCAATACAGTTAGCTGAAATAGCCTCAAGTTTGTGAAAAATAACCTTTCAGGATTCCAGTATTCAAGCACTGCCTATCAAGTCACATCATCATTGAGCTAAAGTAGGTTAGTTAACAATATCAGTTAATTAGATTCTTTTTTTGTGTATATCCTTCCCCTGAGGAAAGTTGAAGTGATAATTTTAAAAAATGGGTTTATAGAAAATAGTTTCTGTCTAAAGAAGATGGATAAGAATGATCAAATTCATTTGTAGGAAAAGAATAGGGCTTAGAACACCTGAGGAGAAACAGTCATAAACATCAAATTTTACCTCTAATTGAAAGGGATGATATTAAGAGACTGTAAGTGCTTCATGGCTTTATGTTTTTGTTTGTTTGTTTGTTTTTTGAGACAGAGTCTCACTGTGTCACCCAGGCTGGAGTGCAGTGGCACAATCTCGGCTCACTGCAACCTCTGCCTCCCAGGTTCAAGCGATTCTTGTGCCTCAGCCTCCCGCTGGCTAATTTTTGTATTTTTAGTAGAGATGGGGTTTCACCGTATTGGCCAGGCTGGTCTCGAACTCCTGACCTCGTGATCCACCTGCCTCAGCTTCCCAAAGTGCTAGGATTACAGGCGGAAGCCACCGTGCCTGGCCAGCTTTATGTTTTTAAGCCCATGTCTGCATCATTTTCTGTAACACAGCTTTAGTCCTTTAATGTTATTTCACAAGTGACCAGAAGGCGTCGCTAAAAGACATTTTTCTCTGGGGACGGTTCTCTTGCTTTCAGCCCAAGGCCAAGGAACAGACATCCTTGGCTGGAATGATGGTGCATCTTTTATCTAGCAAGTCAGATTTCAGCTCTGTGTTTCAATCAACTGTAAAATCTTCGGGCCATCTTAGAAAAGGGACTTTATTATTTTTCCAGACATGCTGTCTTCCGAATAAATGAAATTCAAAATGTTAAAACGAGGCGGCTGTGGTCATATCTTGGCCCAAGCCGCCTCTCTTACCTAGATTATGGTTCCATCACAAGGAAGAGTTTGGTGCTGAACTCTTTGTGGCGGGCATGTTTTCCTCCTAGATTGGCACTGTTGAAGAAAAGCGGGGAGGAAGATTGGAGAAACAGACTCAGCAGGAGGCAGGAGGGCGGCAAGGCGCCGGCCAGCAGCCTGCACACCCAGGAAGCAGGGCGGTCCCTCATCAAGAAGGTAACATTCCCCATGTTAGGAAAAGCCTTCCGACTAACATCACTCTTGGAAGTGCATCAAAAAGACAAGCGTGTGCCACCTAATTCCTACTCTGTGAAGCATTTGTGCATTTTTGCCCTTAGGGTACACACTGAGAGTCTGTCACAGAGCAGCTAAAATTGGGCAGAAGGCTGTGCCTGGAGATGTTTTAAAACTGGGATCAGCAACACACACACACTATGTCAGCAAGCAAGTGCCTGAATTTTAAAGTGTGGACTTTTTCTTCAGTTTAAAAACCTTCTTAAATGAAGTCTGGCTTTCATGTGTTATTAAAGCCTTTATAATGAAAAAAATTGAATTCACCACTAATATCTTTAAGTTCCATGTAAAATACAGACTTGTGTTTCCCATGCAGAGATTTTAAACCTAAGTATAAAAAATAAGGACATAATTGTGGTTTATGAGTATTTAGTTCATCATTTAAGCGTGTTTCATGAGTAGCTATGCCTTTTATTGAGAATGTACAGTAATGTATAAGTTGAAACAAAATTAGGTAATGCATGGTGATCAATACTAGCAAGCATTTCATATGCGAAAGTATTGATGAATTGTTAAATCACAGATGTGATGATGACCAGCTTTTGACCAGGTAGTGCACACTTTTGAAACTGATGGTGACTTACTTGCTGGCTGGCCCTACAATTGCAAATGCACCTTCTGGCTGGAGGCGAAATGATGCACCGGTGACACACTCCCTGGTCACTTTCTAGGATCAGAAGTCTTCAAGTAGAAAAGAAAAAGAATGCTTTCAACCCGATGATCCCCAGGCCCCTTCTAGCTCTAAAATAAGTTAAGCATCTGTGGAAGGGAGAGATGATGAGTGTGACTTTCATGCATTAAGAAACGTACATAAAAATGAGATGTGCACATAGAAGTGTGAGTCAGGAGTTCTGACACTATTTCCTCTGATACTTCTGTGTCTTCTTAGGTTTCACTGGAATGGCAATTTGAATTCTCTTCTTTGAGACATACATGGTGTTAAAGATGATTTAACTAAAGACATTTAAGCCTTGGCCATTTGTAAAATTCTCAAATATAACTAGATATTTAGAAAGTATATGCATGTGCATATTTTTCACACACCGTGTGAAATTCAGATTTCAAAAATGTGATCCTGAAGTGAAAATCCATCTGTCAAATTATGTATCCCTGCTACCCGCAAACTTTATTTAAAAGAATCTTGAAATCATTGCTTCAAAAATGACTTTAACACATTCCTCATTAGCAAACCTGCCAACTACTATGTCCTGGCACCAAGCAGCGCCTGGCCCCTTGTCCATCATTTTGGAAGGTGCAGAGACTCCCCGGCCCATCAGGAACTGGGAGTCCCAGAGAGCCAGTGGAAATTTAAATGAAGCCAAAAAGCACGAAGCAAAAGAGGTTCCTGGTGAATAGTGAAATGGGTGCACTGCCCCCTTAGAAGAATGGAGGATCACCTTAGGTGTGGAAGCCAGAAGGCTTTGAGTGGAGGATGAGATCCGAACCACCTGAACGCTGGCTAAGGTTTTTAGAAGGCAAGAGAGGCCAGTTGACTGCAGTTGCCCTTGGGGTTGATAATCCAGTGACCTGAAGCCCCGGGACTTGCAAGCAGGCTAGGGCTGGAATGGGAAATGCTGCCTCTGGGCGCGTGGAGGCTGCTGTTTCTGCAGACGGTGAACTCTCCCACTCTTCTCAGTGGCCTGCTTCCCTTTGGCTGGAGACAATAAGCTCTTTGAAGCTAAAATAAGCGGATCTATTTTAGGCCTTTGTAGCCCACACTGGGCAATCTCAGGTTCTGTTGAGGTCAGGTGTTTCTCAGACAGCCTCTGACGACCCCTCGGTTCGTTCCTTCCCGAGGGCTGGCACTGTTTTCAGTCACCCGCCGGCTGTGCTCAGATGTGGTGGGTGAGGCGCCTTAAACCTGGTCTGTCTTGAGGGATTCCCCCAGTAGCTGAGGAGGCTTGACATGCCCACTGCTTGCGGGGTGTCTGAATGCTGCCTTGGAGAAGGACAGACAGTCATGACACGTGGGGCCTGAACAGGGGCGCTTGCTGCACGGAGTAGCTCTAGCCTTGCTGACGGAGAGGTACCCAGGAGAGCAGGTGCCGGAACCTTCCATCTTTAGCACCAAAGGCAGAAAGGAGCCGGCGTTATGGTCAGCTCATCACGCCCTTCACGGTTCCTACGTTCCTTTTGTGTGCTGAGAGGCTGCTGCCGTGAGTGTGCAGTCTGTGGAAATGTAGAAGAGGCAGGAAAGAGAGGGGACTCTAGAAGTTCCTTCCATTGCTCCTGTGAAAACACGTGCAACATAGAAGTCAGCACCATCCTGTAAAAATAGAATGTGTGCCACACAGGTCATTTTGAAATTTCCTTGGAGTCACATTAAAAAAGTACGATAAAGGATGTCTTGAAAAATCTGTAACTGTTTTGTTTCTGTCAATGGATTGGTCTCAAAAGAAAACATATTTGAGGGGCTCCAGCCAGCATCTCATTTTAGGTCTTTTATTATGTTAAGATTTACTTTGGAGCCAAGCTCAATGGCCGTGCCTGTAGTCCCAACACTGGGAGGCCAAGACAAGAGGATTACTTGAGCCCAGGAGTTTTAGACCAGCTTGGGCAACGTGGTAAAACCCCATGTTTACAAAAATTAACTGGGTGTGGTAGCGCACGACTGTGATCCCAGCTACTTGGGAGGCTGATGCAGGAGGATCGCTTGAGCTCGGGAAGTTGAGGCTGCAATGAGCAGTATTTGTGCCACTGCACTCCAGCTCGGGTGACAAAGCAAGACCCTGTCTCAAACAAAAACAAAAACAATTTTGGGCCTGTGAATAGATATTAAGCTGGAGTTTTCATTCCTTTTTTTTTTGAGACAAAGTTTCATTCTCGTTGCCCAGGCTGGAGTGCAATGGCACAATCTCGGCTCACCGCAACCTCCGCCTCCTGGGTTCAAGTGATTCTCCTGCCTCAGCCTCCCGAGTAGCTGCGATTACAGGCATGTGCCACCATGCCCAGCTAATTTTTTGTATTTTTAGTAGAGACGGGGTTTCTCCACGTAGGTCAGGCTGGTCTCAAACTCCCAACCTCAGGTGATCCACCTGCCTCGGCCTCCCAAAGTGCTGGAATTACAGGCATGAGCCACCATGCCCAGCCTGGAGTTTTCATTTCTATACTAAAAGATCAAGCACATCTCAGGGAATAGGAAACTTACCAGCAGTTCCTTCTTTCCCCATTTTACACACCCTCCCCCCAAAATGAGGATTGATGATCAAGAGCTTAAGAGCACTAATTGTTTACCTAGCTAGTTCTGTCATTTCCTGTGAAAAACTGTTTGGGTATTCTCTCTCTCTCTCTCTCTCTCTCTCTCTCTCTCTCTCTCTCTCTCTCTCCCTCCCCCTCCTTCTCCCTTTCTCTCTCCCCCTCTTTCTCTTTCTTTCTCTTCCTTGCTGCCCTTATTATCTTTCACCTGTTCTTGGTATAGTCTAGGCCAGGCTAACCTGACTTAAACATGTGTGAGTCTCGTAGCATATATACTTGGTCTAAAGACGGTAAAGCTGTCTGTTTTGTGGATTTGGTCTGGTCTGCACGGTGTGGTTTATGTGCACTTGAGCATGGCTTGTGTACACTTTCCTCCAGAGTAACTCATTCCACCAGAGAGAAATCAAACGAAGCAAAGTCTCAAAGAAGTGGTTTGGCAGCAGTCTCTGTTACAACTAACTTTCAGTTATGTATTTATTTTCACCAAATAGTTATTTTCAATTCCATCCCTATTTCGGTTTATTCGACGTTAAGGCACACACGGTGGCTCCCACGTCTTTTGTGAAGATAGTCATCCAGCGAATCAGACATTTTCCAAGAAGTGAAAACCCTTTATAGACTTGGCCATTAAAACCCTGTGTCTGTTTCTGAGTTCCAGAGGGAACTGGATATCCCACTGTGCTTCTGCAGCTGTGAGGTCAGTGTATCCAGCTCAGATCTATGACAGCCCCAGAACAAGTGCCCGAAATTTCAAGAAAGGTGAATCTGGCACATTTATATGCTCAGTGTCTGCTGCCATTGAAATTCCAGATCATAGTGCAGGAGAATGAAGTCACTTTAAAGTGCGAGGATGGGAGGGAGAGAAAGGCTGAGGGAATGCTCTCTAAACTCCAGATGATCATTCTGCGGTCACGGAATGAGTTGGCCTGAGGTTCACATCACCCTATTGTGTGAGCACGTGCATGCTGCTGTTTGAACCCAGGCATGAAATACTTGAAGGTGATTGCGATGCCCTGACCAGGCTCTTCTCTTCCAATACTCTGCCATGTTCCCTGTTTGTTTTAACCTGTAGGAAGAAGGAGGAGTTGCGGATGATAGTGCCATTTCTAATCTGCTTTGGGTAAGCCTGACTCTAACACAGGTGTCCTCTCGATGGTGGCCAGAATTACACTTCGCGTGGGTAATCCTGATCCTGGGTGGTTCCTTCGTGCACCCTCCCTGGTGCTTTTCTTATCTCCAGACCAGACACAGCCTTTGTCCGGAGTGGAGAGCTGAGCCCGTGCCCTTAAACTATTTTTTAATCATGTAATGAAGATACTTTAAAGAAGATGATATTTTCTGTTAAATGTTAAAACTGTCAATGAAAGTCATGGTTCCTCTCTCTGTAACTGACAATCTTCTATAAATTAACTCATTTAATTACTGCACAAAGCTGACTCAGGTATATTTACCGCGCTTGTGTGGATTTACTTTAGCATTAGCATTCAAGGGAGGACTCTCTTGAAAAGAGAACTGAAATTGCAATGAGTAAATTAACATTCTGTTAGAAAAATCATTGTTTTGTCTCTCCCTCCCCCATGTCCCTGCCCGGCCCCGCTCTGATAAATCTTCTCTTTTCACCTTAAACCCTCTTGCTTTGCTCTGTAGGAACCTGTATATGCTTCTACTTATTCTCCTGCTATTCCTGCTGCCCATAAATACCTGTCTTTTGTGTCGATTAATCAGGTGAGGAAAAGCCACTCATCTTAAGCCTCACTGCAATTTCTGAGCAATAGGAAAAGAACTTCTGTTTTAATTTTGGGAAATAACTTATTTGGTGCATTTCACTTTGAAAGAGAGGTGTGTGTGTGTGTGTGTGTGTGTGGCAGTACAATTGTGTGTGTGTCCATGAGAGTGTGTATCTATGAGTGTGTATCTGTGAGAATGTGAGTGTGTGTGTCTATAAGAGTCTGTGTGTGTGTCTTTAAGTGTGTACGTATGTGTGTGTTTAATTGGTTCTTCATATATTTAGGATCAGTCACACACACACTGATCCTTGGCTCAGATTTTCAGGTGGACTGGATGGCATTAATTCACCTCGTAGTCATGAAACTGGTTTAAGAGGAGAGTGTCCCCTTTCAGCCTCTGAGCTTCGATCCTGAGTCAGGAGCCCAGGAGATGCAGCCATGTTCTTCGCTCCAGCTCAGTGAGGATGTTGTCCTACTCAGTTCATAGAGGAGGAGGATATGGTGGAGGCAGTTTGGGGTGTGGAGGGACAGGGAGGAAGACTCAGCGAGGGGAGGCCCCTCCAGTGACCCTATTAAAGAACCAGGAGGAGCTGGTTCCAATGGCCCTATTAAAACTAGAGACCATGGGCCCCCTGCCTCTTCCCTCCATCCTCACTGTAGCCTCTCTGAACCCCACCCCAGAGAGCAGACCCCAGCCTGGGCTGAGCCACTGTGTGGGTGAATAACATGAAAAATAGGAATGGCTGGTTTCTTTTATTTCACCGTGGAATGTCCTTGGTGTCAAAACAACTCTGCAAAGTGGCACCATCCACTTTTCCATGAATGCCAGGCTCCCATCTCCTCCCTGCCGGGCTTTGCCCCATCACTTCCCTCCTAGGGCCTCTGTCCCTTCCCTCCTAGGGCCTCTGTCCCTTCCCTGTAGGCCCTCTGTCCCCTCCCTCATAGGGCCTCTGTCCTTTCCCTCTAGGGCCTCTGTCCCCTCCCTCTAGGGCCTCTGTCCCCTCCTTCGTAGAGTCTCTATCCCCTCCCTCGTAGGGCCTCTGTCCCCTCCCTCATAGGGCCTCTGTCCCCTCCCTCCAGGGCCTCTGTCCCCTCCCTCTAGGGCCTCTGTCCCCTCCCTCTAGGGCCTTGTCTCCCCAGCAGGACTGGGGCTTTCTTAGCTCTCAGGTGGCCTCTGACAGTGCCGCGATGGGCCTGCTCCAGCAGCACCAGCAGTTATTGAATGAGTGGCTCAGGGTTTCACATGCGAAGCTGACAGGGAAGGTGTCTGGGGTCCTCCCGTAGTCATCTCGCCTCTTCACAGATGGAAACTCCCCACTTCTTCTCCCTGGGGCGGCCTTTCCCTCACTCTCCTGGTTCCTTCCCCCGAAGCTGGAAATGCTGGTTGTAAGAGCCCAGGCCCCACGTACCCAGCCAGTGTCCACCCCAAGAAAGGGGCTGAAATGTGGAGCAAACTTCCCATTCCATCACGAACGGGGGAAATGAGCTTGTGTTTCTTTGAAATAAGCCAATATTAAACTTTAAAGGAAAAGATATATTACTGAAGTCTTTAAGTGTATACAGTCGGCCCTTCATCTCTTCCAGTTCCGCATCCAAGGATTCAACCAACTAGGGATACTTGGGAATAAAATCAATAAAAAAGAACAATACAACAGTTAAAAAATTAAAAACCAATACAGCAGAACAACTATTTACATAACATTACCTTGTATTAGGTATTATAAGTCATCACGAAATGATTTAAAGTACACAGCGGGGATGTGCACAGGCTGTGTGCAAATCCTACCCCATTTTACATCAGGGACTTGAGCATCTGTGGATTTTGGTATCTCTAGGAGGTCCTTGAACCAGTCCCCCATAGACGCTGAGGGACAACTAGATATATTTTTCAGAAGAATTTATTTTTTTGGAGCAGTTGTAGGTTCACAGCAGAAAGTACAGAGTTCCTGCATCATCCCTGCCCTCCCACACACAGCCACCCCAATTATCAACATCCCCCTCCAGAGTGGCACATTTGCTACCATTGATGAACCTACGTTGACGCGTCATTATCCCCAAAGTTAATAGATTACGTTAAAATTTACTTTTGGTGTGGTCCATTCTTTCGGTTTTGACAAATACTTAATGACATATGTCCACCGTTACACTATCATACAGAATCGTTTCCCTGCCCTGAAGATCCCCTGTGCTCTGCCTGCTCATCACTCTCACCGCCCAGTCCTTGGCAACCGGTCATTTTTTACTGTCACATGGTTTTGCCTTTTCCAGAATGTCATTGAATTGGAATCACACAGTATGTAGCCTTTTCAGATTGGCTTCTTTCATTTAGTAATATGCATTTACGATTCCTCTGTGTCTTTTTAAAATTTTATTTATTTTTAAATTATTATGATTATTATTATTATTTTTGAGATGGAGTTTCACTCTGTTACCCAGGCTGGAGTGCAGTGGTGCAATCTTAGCTCACCGCAACCTCCACCTCCCGGGTTCAAGCGATTCTCCTGCCTCAGCCTCCTGAGTAGCTGCGATTGCAGGCGCCCGCCACCACACCCCAGGTAATTGTTTTGTATTTTTAGTAGAGATGGGGTTTCGCCATGTTGGCCAGGCTGGTCTCAAACTCCTAACCTCAGGTGATCCGCCCACCTCAGCCTCTCAGAGTGTTGGGATTACAGGCGTGAGCCTCCACTGTGTCTTTTTATGGCTTGAAAGCTTTTTTCTTTGTATCGTCGAATAATATTTCATTATCTGAACGTGCCACAGTTTATTTGTCTATTAATCTACTGGAGGACAGCTTGGTTGCTTCCAAGTCTTGGCAATTATGAATAAAGTGCTAGAAGCATCCATGTGCAGGCTTTTATTTGGATGTAAGTTTTCAACTCATTTGAGTATCAAGGAGCATGATTGCTGTATCATACGGTAAGAGTATGTTTAGTTCTGTGAGAAACCTCCAAACTGTCTTCCAAAATGACTGTACCATTTTGCATTTCCATCAGCACTGAATGAGAGTTCCTGTCGCTCCATATCCTTGCCAGCATTTGGTGTTGTCAGTGTTTGCATTTTTGCCATCCTAATTGATGTGTAATAATGTCACCTTGTTTTAATTTGCAAGTCTCTAATGATGAGATTTGCAGATATGATGTTGAGCATATTTCCATGTGCTTATTTTCTGTCTTATATCTTCTTTGGTGAGGTATCTATTCAGATGTTTTTCCCATCTGTTAATCTGGTTGTTCATTTTCATATTGTTGAGTTTTAACAGTTCTTTGTATATTTGGGGTAGTAGTCCTTTATCAGATATGTCTTTTGCAAATATTTTCTCCCATTCTGTAGATTGTCTTCTCATTCTTTTAACAGTGTCTTTTACAGAAGTCTTTAATTTCAGTGAAGTTCAGCTTATCAGTTATTTCTTCTGTGGATATTGCCTTTGGTGTTATATCTAAAAACTAATCACCAAATCCAAGATAATCTAAATTTCTTCCTATGTAATATTCTAGGAGTTTTATAGTTTTAATTTTTACAGTTAGGCTTTTGTGATCCATTTTTAGTTAATTTTGGGGAATGGTGGAAAATTTGTATCTAGTTTTTTTTTACATATGAGTGTCCACTTATTCCAGCATCGTTTGTTGAAAAATACTATCTTTTCTTCATTCTAATGTTTTTGCTCCTTTCTCAAAGATCCGTTGACTAAATTTATATGAATCTATTATTGAGCTCTCTATTCCATTGATCTATTTGACTGTTCTTTCATCAATACCACACAATCTTGATTGCCGAGGCTTTATAGTAAGTCTTGAAGTTGACTGGTGTTGGTCCTCCAACTTTTTTCTTCCCCTTCAGTGTTGTGTTGGCTATTCTGGGTCTTTTGCCTCTCCATGTAAACTTTAAGATCAGTTTGTCAATATCTACAAAATCTCTTGCTGGGACTTTGGAACTGCATCGAATGTACAGCTCAAGTTGGGAAAACCTGCCATCTTAACAAAATTGAGTCTTCTTATCCATGAACATGGAATATATCTCCATATATTGTTAAGTTTAAAGGAAATTAACATTTGCCAAAGGCATTTCTGTTTCATCACTTCAAAATTAAAATTTCAAAAAATTATATACTTTTACCTCTGAACAATGTTTCCCAGCTAAATATAAATAGTTTATATACTGAGTATGTAGCACTAGCTCATCTGTGTTTTCAGAGGTCAAGTCACTCCTTTTCTTTCTTCCAGCAATACTGGTGTCTTAATATTTAATAATACAAAGGTTCAGAGAAGAAAAAAAGCACACAGGCTCTGTCTAAATGGACTGTTTGTCTCTGTGTCAGGCTTCAACCTGAATTCTTTCTCACATGCCTCAGGGCTGTACCAGAAAAAGATTTTACTTTATTCCCTTCCTTTCATCTTAGGAGCTGGTAGATGGTGACAGGACTGGAAAACACTTACTTTGAGGTCTGAGCCTTAACCTGTGATCTTTTCTTCATCTTTTATTCAGGGTACTTGAGGGTGTATGCAGTGACGAGGGACTGAAATTTCTCTTAAGGAAGGGGCAAAGCTAAATTTCTTTCATAGTGTGTAGAATTTGAAATGATCTTAGCATTTTTGAAAACTGAAAAGTACAACTTTGTTCCTTTCACCTTATTTCTATTACTTAATATGTGCTTTTATAATTTCTTCCTTTACAGTTTAACTACATGTGAATAAGATAAAAAAAATTTTAAAAGCCAGGTCACAATATTTTATTTCGATAAAGCTCTCTGGTTGTGGAAGAGTTTGACCCTTAAATCCGCCCTAATCCTTATAATACATCTTAGTTCTATGCTCTGTGTTGGATCACATCCCTGCGTGAGAAACATTGAGTGAGATTTGCTATGATTTTTCAGTCAGTGTATACAGAGAGAAAGAAACCCATCAGCAACATCAGGCAACCTAAAAGTATTCGTGCTGATTTGTCCTTTGCACAGTTTCAAGCTGTGACCTACCAATATCTGACCATCCCTAAGACAAGAACCTCCTTTCTACCTATTTCACTGCCTTCTACACACACACACCCACCCACCCACACACACACACACATGTGCATACACATACACAAATACTCAATTTCTCTTCCACCCTCTTTTTCTGCCTTTCCCCACCACATTCGTGGGATCTGTCTTTGAAAGAATGAAGGACAGATGGGGTAGGATTCTGTTTAGATTCTTCCTCAACTCTCTCTTACTATTCCAGCCAATCCCAAACATGTGTCAGCTAAACCTGGAAAAATGACACAATACTTATTACTATATATATAACATCCTTCTCTAAACAAGGAAAGAAAAATTTAGAAGGAAAAAAACAAGACAATAATGAAGTTTTAAGCTTAAAAAAATCAAATGAACAAATATATATATCTTCTTTGTTCTCACATTTTGAGTTCTAAATTGTGATAAATATTTATTAGATTATTTAGAGAATAAACAAACTGTATATGCTTTACACCCTTCTAGAGCCACGTAAAGTTGAATTGCAGCAATTAGGGGGTCCTAAGCTAACCCTACTAAGTAGCAAAGTTAAGTCAAAATTTCTAGAAAACAAAAACATTTATGTTTAATATTACTATTCAGAAGGGAGTAAAAATTATTTCTTCTTGCCCTAGGTCTGGCAAACGAATGGGAGCTTTAAATTCTAAAATGGTTGTATCATCCCAAAGTTTGTATCCATTGTGTGCATAAAGGGCTCTGAGGGAATCCCAGTGCTTTGAAAAACGAAATTTTGGATTTGAAGATACCATTTTTCTGAGTCATTATCCACACCCACTACCCCACCCTGGACTGTTGAGATGCCTGAGAGAATTCACCACAGAGTTGACTAAGTGAATAGTGAATCACCACAGTGATGGCTGGACCTTTGGAGACGC
The DNA here is from genome assembly GCF_000001405.40 of Homo sapiens. Lineage (NCBI taxonomy): Eukaryota > Metazoa > Chordata > Mammalia > Primates > Hominidae > Homo > Homo sapiens. The sequence goes on along the minus strand of NC_000010.11, from coordinate 29,501,848 downwards.
CAACTTTCTTGGCACTTGATGTTTCTTGGAAATATTTGAAGCCAAGCGCCATCTTGGTTTGATTAAAATTCACTCCTGAAACTTCGTTTTCAAAGAAAACGTATTCTCTTTGTTGAATTTTGATGAGGTCTTTCGGGCAAGTGAACCTCATCGTTTATTTAAAAAGGATACGTGATTCAGAGAGTTACTTGGAATTAGGGGCTTCTCGCCGATCACGAGGGGAAATGTTCAGGTTTTTAGGAAAAAATTTTAGTAACTTTGAATTTTGATAAAATGTTAAACTTACAGAAAAATTTCCATTATAGGCAGAGCACTTTCATACGCTTTACCAGAACCACTCATTGTTGACATTGGCCCCCCTCCTTCACTCTCGCTCCCTTCCTCCCTCCACTCCTCACCCCACTTTCTTGCCTTCTCTTCCCCCATCTCATTTTTCCCACCCCAACCATGTGCCAGTAGTTTGGAAACATTGTGCTCCTCTACCTTTCAATATTTGACTTTATTTCCTAAAGTCAAAGATATTTCCTCGCATAACCACAATATGGTGGCCAAGAGGAGGAAGTTAATGTTGATACAATATTTATCTGATCCACGTCCATCTTAAAATTGTCAGTTTCCTCCAATAATGCCCTTTGTAGCCCCCACCCCATCTAGGATTCAAGCCAGGATCATGCATCGCGTTTGGTTGTCATATCTCTTTAGGAAAAGGTTTTTAACCTAATTTAAGTTGGCAGGGACCTCGAAATCACTTCTGGCTATGAAGGCTTTATAGAAGAATCCTGTGAAAGACAGATTCATCACTTAGATGATGGAGAAGTCCACGTTCATAGCTTAAACCAAATCTTCCCAGTGCAGACCTGGTTTTGTGCTGCTGGAAAGGAAGGGAAGGCGCCTTTCCTCTGTCAACTCCCATCATTCCAGGGGTTAAGAAAATGAACTGTCCCCATCTCCACTCTCTTCCTGTCCCTCCTGAATCAGGAAGTTCTCTCTCGTGGGTCAGTGAAGGGAAGTGGTTTGCCATAGTGAGGAGGAAAGGCATCGGGGAAGAGAATCTCTAGGATGGTCTTGACTCGGGGCTCTCCGAGTCCTTCCCTGTGTCAGCGCGAGGCCTTAGGATCACATTGATCCATGGAGACTTCTTAGCCAAGGAAAATGCCTTAGGAAGGCAGAAAAGGTGGGGGACCTGCTAGAATAAGTTGAGTAGTGCTCAGAAGTAATTTGAAAGCAGATGCGCTAGCAGCAATCTGGGGAACCTCCTAGAAGAAGGTGTGGAGTGCTCAGATGTAGTTTGAAAGCGGATGCGCTAGCAGCAGCAGCCTTCCTCGGGTTCAAGAGACAGTGGAAAGTGAGAGGGCAAACCCAGGAGGCCATCACCGGCCTCCAGAGCCCCTTCCAGAAACCAGCAGGTGACAGCCAGGGACGTGCCTTCTGCTCTGGAGGGGGCACCTTTGCACTCTTCCTTCCTTGGCATTAGCTCCACACCTCCTGTGCTTCTCCCCCGCTCCCCACCCAGCCCAGTGCCTCGCCATAAACAGGGGTCTTGCGGTGCAGGGAGGGATGGCTTGAAGACAGAGGAAAAGCAAACTCTGCCGGCCAGCGTTTGAGGACCTCCTGCCCTGGTATCGCCCGCGACCACCACCTACACTCTTCTCCCCAATACACATCACTCAGTGGCATGAGCCCTGTCCTCTGCTTCCATCGCTGCTCCTGTCCCTCCCTCCTCAGCCCCATCTCCCCATCCCAGGCCTGTCCTGAGCCCCTCCTCCTTTCCTGATGCCCTTTGAGTCCCCTGTAGCTTCTTCCCCTTCCCCTCCTGCCACATCCCCAACCGCAAGCCTAATGAGCATCATCAATGGCTTGGAAATGGAAGAAGCAGATCTCTCCAGAAATATTCCAATTAGAAACTGCTGAGAGCATTTTCAGTAGAAATGTTACCGTGCATGTAGGTTTTGTCTACAGCATAGTTCACCCTCAACATCAGATGTCTCACAGTTTAAAGCCACTTCTGTGGGCTCTCCTGGTTGTCTACCTGCCCGCAGAACATCAGTGGCTGCAGGAAAAAGCAAGCAGAGTGCCAGAAAACCTTCTCCTGCCCCTTATTCCTAACCAGCCTTCCCTGTCTCTAACTGGGCAAGTTCCTTGTGTGCTCACATGGATAAAGTTTTCTAGATCAATCATGTTCTTTGTGAGTATATAGGGATAAAAATCTCCCAGTTAACTGAGTTTAACTAGATGGGTTAAGACAGAGAAACTTTAAAACCCTGTAGAGTCCAGGGCATGAAAACAATCTATTTTTAATTGTTTGTGCTTACAAAGGATTGTTCTGGTGCTCCAGTGCCCCAAACCAGTAAGTCACAGGACAGAGGCATTCATCTAAAGTTACAGCATCGCCAATGGTGATCTCCACCCAACCTGGACGTAAGGAAGCCAAGCCCATTTCAGATAGAACATTTTTGAACATCTTTGGACAATATACTTACTCCTCTTTGTCAACCTGCTTTTTTCACTCATGAAATGCTGCAGGCTGAGGTCCACACCGCTGTCATTTCTCTCTCCTGTTTTCTCTTCTGTACATTTATGAACAGCGGGTCACAGAAAGTCGAGAGAGCCAAATGACGATTGAGGAGAGGAAGCAGCTCATCACTGTGAGAGAGGAGGCCTGGAAGACGAGAGGCAGAGGAGCGGCCAACGACTCGACCCAGTTCACTGTGGCTGGCAGGATGGTGAAGAAAGGTCAGTGTGTGTGTGTCCATGTGTGTGGTGTGTGCACAATGCACACACGTGAGCACACTTACCCATGGAGGGCATGGTGGTACGTGATAGCTCAATTTAAAAGAAGAAACCATGGTCTTTTTAAGTTTTTTCTAAGAGACAGGGTCTTGCTCTTTTGCCTAGGCTGGGGTGCAGTGGCTCAGTCATGGCTCACTGCAGCCTCGAACTCATGGGCTGAAGCAATCTTCCCACCACAGCCTCTCTAGTAGCTGGGATTATAGGTGTGCAAAACCATGCTTGGCTTTTTAAAAATTTTTATGTAGAAATGGGGTGTCGCTGTGTTGCCCAGGCTGGTCTCAAACTCTTGGGCTTAAGTAATCCTCCCACCTCAGCCTCCTAAGTAGCTGGGACTACAGGCTTGAGACACCATGCCCAGCCTTCTTTTAAAATTTTTTAAACTTACTGACATTCTATAAATGTTTTTTGTGTAGGTTCTGTGAGATATTTCTACTGAATATCTTTTCTTCATAAATAGTATCTTCTTTAAACTTTATATGATTCTTGGAAGTATTTGAAGGTCATAAAACAGTGATGCATAATTCCATTTGTCACTATTTCAAAACTTACCCATTTGGAATTGAGTGCAAGTGTAGGTTTCAAAAGCAGTTCAAATCTGCTAACAAATTTTGGTCTTTTCCCATAATTACATTTATTTATTTAGACGGAGTTTCACTCTTGTTGCCCAGGCTGGAGTGCAATGGTGTGATCTCGGCTCACTGCATCCTCCACCTCCCGGGTTCAAGCAATTCTCTCGCCTCAGCCCCCCAAGTAGCTGGGATTACAGGCCGCCACCACCATGCCTGGCTAATTTTTCATCTTTTTAATACAGACGGAGTTTCACCATGTGGGCCAGGTGGTCTCAAACTGCTGACCTCAGGTGATCCACCCGCTTCGACCTCCCAAAGTGCTGGGATTACAGGCGTGAACCACTGTGCCCAGCCCCCATAATTACTTTTTTCTTTTTTTTTTTTTTTTTTTTTTTTTTTTTGGTGGAGGGGACAGAATCTCGCTCTGTCTCCCAGGCTGGAGTGCAGTGGCACAATCTCAGGTCACTGCAACCTCTGCCTCCCAGGTTCAAGCAATTTTCCTGCCTCAGACTCCCGAGTAGCTGGGATCACAGGCGCGCGCCACCATGCCCAGCTAATTTTTGTATTTTTAGTAGAGACGGGGTTTTGCCATGTTTGCCAGGCTGGTCTCGAACTCCTGACCTCAGGTGATTCACCTGCCTTGGACTCCCAAAGTGCTGGGATTACAGGCATGAGCCACCCCGCCAGCCCATAATTACTTTTAAATTGTTTCCATTTCCTTCTGACCTGGCAACCATGTACCCTAAGTCAGCCTTTCACAATAAAGAAGTTTATCCCCTCTTCCTTTTAGGTTAATTCCTAGGTCCTTCTCCATCAAACCTGATTTCTCTGACTGACCAAAGCCAAATCCGGATATGCTTTAATAGATGTCTAAAATATGTCCTCAGTTCCTAGGCAGTGGGATGTCCCTGCTGCAATCTTCTGCTGCTGAGCTCTTGGAACTGATTTGATGCCTATATTCAAAAATTTATGAAACTGACTTACATATCACTTGGTTAGTAAAGTTACTGGAGAGCTTTGAGGCTTCATAAGAGTGTTTGGGGCTTTATTTCATATCCTGCAGGAAATGATTAAAATTTGGGTTCCCTTTGTCACCTATATGCACATACCATCACTTTCTAAGCTATTATTTAAAAGCAGATTTCCCATCATAGTGGTATACGTTTTCACATTCACTTGTTCTTAACATCTTGTCATCAAATATAGAGGCTTAGCTTTTCTTTTTCTCAGAACCTTTAATCCACACTTTTATGAAGAGTACCTAACTCATTATAGGTATATAATGAATGTTTGTAGAAGGAAGGGAAGGAGCGAGACGTGGGAAATCCCTGAATGGTGATTAACTCAAATCTTAGTGGGGAATCCTTTCTAACAAATCTATTCTTACCTTATCTTGGAATGGTGAAAATATAATTTACTCTCACAGAATGAGGTACCATTTGCCAATTTTCTGCATCAGATCACAGAACTGGATACTCATGTTTAAACTCCTTTAACGTGAGCCCCAACCCTTCTTTAACAGAAGCACGTCGTTAGGTGCAGGGTGACTAAGTAGAACTGGAACTGAGAACTTGAACCAGACCTCAGGTTTTCCAGCTTCTAGCCCAGGCTTTTATCTTGATGACTTTCCGCTTTGGTTTCTTTTCTTTCTTCCACCTTAAAAACCCTAATTTATTTGTAAGTGGGTTCTTACTACCAAATGCCACTGCCCTTGTCCACATTGACATCTGTGAAAATGTTCCCGAAGAGAGTAGGTGACTGGTTGTTGTACCTAGAATTCATTGAAAAGAGCTATGGGGGAGATCTTTGTTTTGTTTTAACATTTTGTAATTTGCATCTCCCTGCCATGAGCCATTCATTCCCTAAGGATCCTTAGCTAGGTGGGGAGCACGTTTGCATAGTGCCACTGCCTGAACCGCCAGCAGGGGGAGCCATGGCAGCGGGGTTTGCCCGGCACCGGCCAGGACACGGATGGATTTCTCCGGTTGCTTTGGAAACCAGCCTTCAGAGTCAGTCCTGTTCATTAGCTGCGGAGTTAACGGCCTCTGTGCTAATGAACTCCTCTGATGTCTCTTCTCTTAAGCATCCTTCTAGTGAGTAAAGATTTCCCTCCCCACCCTGTGATACCAGATTTTATTTATCATCTTTCAAGAAAGTTTACTTTCTCATGGATGGAAACCCTTTGCAGTTCTGGCAATTGAAACAAATTTTAAAACTTTTATTGACACCATCAATCAAATATATGTATATAATGAGACGTACTTGTAGAATATTACTAAAACTTGAGTTTTAAACCATTTAATGGTTTTTTTTATTAAATTTTTTAATGCTATAATACTTCTCCCATTCACAGGAGGAAGGGGCAGAATCATTTATTCCCTTGGTTTTCCTTGTGATAGTGATTTGCATAACCTCTCGATGTTGTTCGTCCAGGGATGCATTGTCATCTAAGTGGCAATGTCATCTAAGGATTTCACATTTATTACAAATGAGTACAGAGAACATTCACATCTCATTTTGTTTTTTTGTAAATGCACTAATCAGTTTTCTTTCCAATGCCTTCCACTTAGATTAGGGAAGCGATACTCATCCTTCTGTTTACTAAGTTTTCTTCTTCCAGCTGGATACTTTCTCCATGCAGGAATTCCTCCCTTTCCCTTTCATGTGTCTCTCACCACTTGCCCTTTTAAAGATTCCCCACTCTGCTTCTCGGTAAATATACTAGGAAAAGCATTTCCTGTTTCTGCCCACACGGGAGATGGACAGGACTTCCAACACGCACAGTCGGTCCAGACCTGCCCTGGTCTGTAATTTCTTCTGAAAGGTTGGCCCTCCTTGGGTTACTGTCTGTGTCATGTCCCCAGGGCCACTGTCCCTCCCTCCCCTCAGCCTGGAGGAGAGCTCCACTGCGGGGGGCCACTTGCTGGCAAGTGTGACACAGCTCATTCTGCAGATGGCACCAATGCACTCTCAGCTGCCCCTGCCATCTCCGAAGGGCCTCAGAACTCACAGCTGCATTTGCCCAAGTTAACGTGTCATGGACATGTTTTCCCACGTCTCCACCGTTCATTTTGGAATATCGGCTTGTCAGCCACTACAGTCCTTGGAAATAATAAAATCCAGTCTACGTTTGCAGTTGGTTGTCCCACAGTCGTGGTACGTGTGAAATGTGTGTGTGTGTGCCTGCATGTGTGTAAATTCTTATATGTTGTGCCGTCTACCCTGGGATTTCTGGAGATCCACCAGGGTCCCGGAGATTTCCAGAAGTGACCCTGAGATGCTCAGTAGCTCGTCTGTGTGTTCCACAGGTTTGGCGTCACCTACTGCCATAACCCCAGTAGCCTCACCCATTTGCGGTAAAACAAGAGGCACCACACCCGTTTCCAAACCCCTGGAAGGTAAGTCGCCAAGGCCCCGGCCACGCCAAGCAGTTTCTGATCAGAAGAGGCCTTAGTGATGCTGTCTCACTGACGGTTTCTGCTTGCCTAGATATCGAAGCCAGACCAGATATGCAGTTAGAATCGGACCTGAAGTTGGACAGGCTGGAAACCTTTCTAAGAAGGCTGAATAACAAAGGTACCTACTGGAAGCCAGAAGGCTTTGCTCTCAGAATCTCTAAATCCTAATTCTGATTGCTTTTCTTCCTCAGCCAAAAAAAAGAAGTTTTGGTCAAGACTGATTAGAGAAACAAGCCCTGATTCACTTGATAACGTACTAAATTGGGGACTCCCAATAATACATTTTTTTCTTGAATCTAAGCCCTTGGGATGCCATCCAATTGGAATTGTGAACTGAGTGATTTTGCTTATAACTCTGAAAGCAGATTATTATGTGTCGGCAAAATCAACGTGACCTTGGGCCTGGTGAACTTTAAATTGTATGTTATCAATTTCCAATAAGGTAAAAGCTAATATTATTTCATATAATCACAAATGATTTCTAAAAGAAAATTATGGCAAATGAATATTGAAGTAAATGTTTCAATATAAAAGTCAATGCGGTATACCAAATAAAAGAGCAATATGCAAAAACAGCCTTTTATCTCTTGATTAAAATGCCCAATCCTGGAAACTTATCAAATACTAGGCGCTGGGAGTCCCTACTATTGACAGTGACCACTAAAAGGTTGAAAATAATACAACCACCACTGAACAGAAATATAAAAGTGTAATATAATAACTGAACTGGCTAGGCAGGGAATGCCAGTCAGCAACGCATTTATTACACACATGGAGCAGTGATCTAGCCCGTGGGTCAGCAAACGATGGCCATTGCCAAATCCAGCTGCCCACTTGCTTTTTTTTTTTCTTGTTTGTTTTTTAGAGACAGGGTCTTGCTCTGTCACCCAGGCTAAAGTGCAGTGGTGCCATCATAGCTCACTGTAGCCTTGAACTGGACTCAAGCAATCCTCCCACCTCAGCCTCCCAAGTAGGCGGGACTATGGGCGTGCACCACCAAGCCTGGCTAATTTTTTTTCTGTTTTTGTAGAGATGGGGACCCACTATGTTGCTCAGGCTGAAGTCCTGGGCTCAAGCGATCCCCCAGCCTCAGCCTCCCAAAGTGCTGGGATTATAAGCGTAAGCCACCATGCCCAGCCCTGTTTTTGTAAATAAAGTTTTATTGAAACATATCCATGCCCATTTGTGAACTATTGTCAATAGCTTTTGCATTAAGACAGCAGAACTGAGTTGTCGCAACACAGGCCCCATGTCACCCCTCCCCATGCAAAGCCTAAAATGTTTACTGGCTGGCCCTTTTTGGAAAAAGTTTGCCAACCCTTCACGTAGAATGAGGCTGAGGCTGGTTCACCTACCCTCAACAGAAGCAAGGGCAGGTTCAGAAGCGTTCAGTGGGCGCGTGTGTGCAGTATGGTCAGCCTCCCTCTCTCCCATTTTACTGCAGATTTGTTCAGGTGGGAAGTCCTTACGTCAGAGATTAAGTAAGGGCCTGGGAAGCAACCACAGGACCCTGTATATCACAACCGTGTTTCTTCCACTCCTGGAACTTAGGAGGCAATAGAATTTTTAAACTATTGTGAAGCATAATTGGAGTCCTTGTTTTTATAAAACTCTTATGTCTTTTGCTTGTTTGTTGATAGTTGGCGGGATGCACGAAACGGTGCTCACTGTCACCGGCAAATCTGTGAAGGAGGTGATGAAGCCAGATGATGATGAAACCTTTGCCAAATTTTACCGCAGCGTGGATTATAATATGCCAAGAAGTCCTGTGGAGATGGATGAGGACTTCGATGTCATTTTCGATCCTTATGCACCCAAGTGAGTTATTTGGGTCTCCGTCTTTCCTCCACTGAGAAGGGCTTCCTTCGCCTGCAGAGGGCACATCCATGAGGCTTTTCCCCCAGTGTGGCCTCCTTCTCCTTCTAACTCCATCACGGCGGCGTTAGTATTCTAGAGCCAGGGCAAGGTGTTGCAGGAGCCAGGGGCACGGAGCCTCGCAGCAGATAAAACATGCAGACGGCAGACCAGATGTGCATGCAGGCAGACCGCGTGGGCCACAGATGCTTGTCCTGTGCCATAAAGAGGGCGTCACTGGATTTTTCACATAATGTAAATATTGTTTTGCAGTTTTTAGGTTTACATCACTTAGCAGAGAGTTCAACGCCTGTCTTTCATTTGACATATTGAATTCTTGCTCATAATTTTGCAAAATATTTGGATGAGATGGGCTCAAACTAATACAGCTAACTAGAAAATCAGTAAGGCATGTTACTTAGCTTCCAATCATTTATAAAATCAATAGATCTGCGGGCTTTCTCATTGATGTCTAAGGGTTTCTCTTCCCAGGGGAACATGACTAAACCAACTAGGAAAAGTGATTATGGTATTAGGAGTCCGTCAATTTCAAGTGCCAAGAAAAAGATCCCAACTCAAACTGATTTCAGCAAAAAGAAAAGTGCGGAGGGCTTTGTCGGCTCACTGGCTGAACAGTGCGGAGGGGTTTGCCGGCTCAGCCACTGAACAGTGCGGAGGGGTTTACTGGCTCACGCGCTGAACAGTGCAGATGTGGCCTCGGGTTCTAGAGGCCCCTCAGAACACAGTCTGTCTTGGCTGTTTTCCTTTGGGCTGGCCTCACTCTCCGTCAGGCAGCGGCCTGGCGGCAGATGGACACCCCAGCTCTGGAGTCACAAGGCTGCCTCCCTGGCCAGCCCAGCACGGGTAGCTTTTCTTCCCAGTAGTCCAAGCAGAAGTTCCAGGTTTGATTTTCTTGGCTTCAACTTGAGCCCCCTGTCCATCCCTAAACCAGTCACTGTGGCCAATGGGATAGAAGATGCTGACTGGGTAAAGGCGGGGCTCTGGGTCTCCTTTAGAGCCACGATGGGGGTGCAGTGAGGTGGTTTCCCCAAAGGAAAATCCAGATGCTATTACCAGAAGCAGAGGGAGACACGCTAGACAGGCTCCACCCACGGCAATCCACCACATCCATCTGCTCTTAACTGCAAAATTGTCAGTGACATATACCATTTTCTACAAGCTGCTCCTGATAAATTCTTTGCATATTCCAGTTTGCTCAATTTGTTTCAGTTTGCATGTTTTAATTTCCTACCTTAAAAAATGAGCCCTTTGCCATTTTCTACTTCAAAATAGTATTTTGGGTATTTGCATACATAGCGGTTTAACCATTTCTCAATCTTCCGCCCACACAATGTCACTGTTTAAGTAGTTGTATATCATAATTTAAACATATTGATAGACACATATGACACCATGGTACGTAAAGACGCCTTTTGGGCACAGAGGCCCGCGCAGCTGGAGGTGGAGAGTGGCAGCAGGAGTCTGTTGGGAGATCGCTTCTCTCGGTCTGCTCACCTTCCCTAGTCTGGTTTTCCACCCCAAAGAATTGTGAGAATGTGGGGTGGTCACAGATGGTTGCGGGCCTATTTTATTTCAATATAGTCTTCCAAAAAGTGGTTATTTTTCAGAGGAGGCAGTGCGTTAAGTGGAAGCTAGTCATGGAGGGTCAGTAAGGGGACCGAAAGCTATTGCATAGGGAGAAAGTTTAGGCCGAGCGAAGAGGATTACGTCAAGGAGCCCGTGCAAATTCCCGAAGGGCTTGCCGGAAACAGACAAGTAGACATGGGTGTATGATTCCAAAGCGAGAATTAGGACGTGTGCATGGGCGTGGTAGGGGGGAGGGAAGAGCTCCCTAAACCCTAGAGCTGTCTAGCAGAGCCGTGAGCTGCCCGGAAGTACTCCACACCCTCCCAGGAGGAGACCAAGGGGCATGAGTGAGTGGGGGCATCCGGGTGTGGCTGAGATTTGAACTCAGTGGGCTTGCATCCCTCTTCCATCTCCAAGATTCTACGACTCCATGTCAGGGGAGTGGCGGTGGGAGGAAGAGTTGCAAGATTTGTAACAAAATCAGGAAATACTTTGTGGAGTCCAAGACCCCCAGGTCATCCAGGGGTGGTGGTGTCACAGACTGGGACCGCGGCTCTGCTTCCATCCGCAGATTGACGTCTTCCGTGGCCGAGCACAAGCGGGCAGTTAGGCCCAAGCGCCGGGTTCAGGCCTCCAAAAACCCCCTGAAAATGCTGGCGGCAAGAGAAGATCTCCTTCAGGAATACACTGAGCAGAGATTAAACGTTGCCTTCATGGAGTCAAAGCGGATGAAAGTAGAAAAGAGTGAGTATTTGAACCCCCACCCTGCTTCTGTGTTTGGGAATGGCTTCTTCCGATGCTCTACTCATTGCTTGGTTTTCTGCCTTGTGAAGGCCAATAATGGTGCTCAGAAGACCCTCATGAAGTAAAAAGGAGTAAGTTTGCACATACATGTGCACGCACCTAGACTTTAAAGATTTTTCATAGAAATTCTCAAAGTGTGTATCACCTGTTCAGTTAGTTAATTCAGATTATACTGGGGTTTGGTTTTTTTTTTTTTTTTTTAAAGACTGGGGGTTTCATCATATTGCCCAGGCTCATCTCAAACTCTCTGGCCTCAAACAATCCTCCCACCTTGATCTCCCAAAGTGCTGGGATTACAGGCACAAGCCACCGCACCCGGTTACAAATTACCCTGTTTTGTTGAGTTTTTTTCTGGAAGTTAGAAGAGATGGATATTTCTGAGTATGGTAATTCAGCCATTTTCAGCTCTGTAGATCCTGAACACACAATCATTCTTCATTTAATCTTATTAGTCGTTTGATCTCTTATAGTAAAAGAGTTATTTGATCTCTTATAGTAAAACACTTCAAATCACTGGAGTATCTAATCCTAGATTTTTATATTATTAATTAACACAAACGCCAGTGCTTTTCAGATCGTTCTTGGTAGGACCCTGAGCTTCTCGGAGTTGGGATGTGGGCTGGAGGGAGCAGGGGGAGCTGGCAGGGGCGATGAATGGAGGCGAGGAGATGGGCTCCAGACTCTCAGTCTCACTGTAGGCTGAGCCACACTGCTCTCATCTGCCCAGTAATGTGGGGTTCCATCATTCTGAAACAGTGATTTTCTTGGTTTGAGGTGATAGCATGCATAATCTTGATTTTTGGGATAATCTTGCTATAATTTTCATTTTCCCATAACACTCATAGACCTATTTCCTAATGTTTTTCTTAGAAATATAGTATTTAGATGAAGTGGTTGAGTCTTTTTGTTATAACTGGTTTACTATGAAAGTATATTTCAGACTGGGCATGGTGGCTCATGCCTGTAATCCCAGCACTTCAGGAGGCAGAGGCAGGAGGATCACTTGAGCCCAGGAGTCTGAGACCAGCCTGGGAAACATAGCAAGACTTCATCTCTACAAAAAATGAAAAAATTAGCCAGGTGTGGTGGCACTCACCTGGGGTCCCAGCTACTCAGGAGGCTGAGGTGGGAGGATCACTAAACCCCGGGAGGTCAAGGCTGCAGTGAGCCATGACTGCACCACTGCACTCCAGGCTGGGCGACAGAGCCACACCCTTTCTCAACAACAACAACAAAAAAAGTGTATTTAAAAAGCACAACACCATAATGAATTGACAAGTGGTATTATATGTCTTCAAACCTAATCCCAGTGAAATAAATTTCTGAATTTCTCTCTAGCATATACATTTTTAAAACAATAAGTTGGAGAAATAAATGTTGGCACAGATTTTACATATGTTTCCTCTGCCTCCACTTTTGGGGGCTCAGGGGTTGGATTAGTGATGACTGACCGGTCTATAGATGTTTGCTGTTTTGCAGTGAAAACCCATCTTATAACTACAGTCTTAACTCTAAGAGCAGAAGATCTCAAGATATCATCTGGCTGATCACTTTGCCTTCAGATAAAGATTAGAACCTAATCATCCCTTACAGAGTGTCTACTTTTTTGTTTTCTTTATGTATAAAGGCTTTTGGTGAAAGCGGTCTAACAGTCATCTGGCATCTATACATTTGGACATGTAAAAGTTGTTAGGATTTAGAACAGCTTTCAGTGGAATTGCAACAAGTGCATCCAGCTCCTGGTTTTGTACTAAAGTAGCTGGTCCACGTCATCACTCAGTTCTTGTCCCTCTGCACAGCATGGAGTGACACTTGTCAACAAGCAGTTTATATTTTCAATGCTGTACTTAATTCTTAACACAGTGGTTAAGCATTGAATTGCACATTTAATCAAACTTGAGTATGTTTTCCCTCTCGGGATTAACTTGAAAAGACAAAGGTGTTGAGTCAGTTATGAATAATTTCTGACTGTAAATATTGTCACTGTAACTGAACCTCCTGCGTTGTGTTTCCTTATTCAACGTGCCCAGTGTCTTCCAACTCCAACTTCTCAGAAGTCACCCTGGCGGGTTTAGCCAGTAAAGAAAACTTCAGCAACGTCAGCCTGCGGAGCGTCAACCTGACGGAACAGAACTCTAACAACAGCGCCGTGCCCTACAAGAGGCTGATGCTGTTGCAGATTAAAGGTATTTCAGAGCAGCCTGGCACGGTGACTCAGGGCCCGTGGTTTCTGTCTGGTCCCATACGGAGTCCTGACTCTGTAATTCATTGCCTGTGCCGGGAAAGGAACGCACACTTTTTGAGAACTTATTGTGTGTTCCTTGCTATGCAACCTCCTGTCTCTCAAGCTTCCCCAAATCCCATGACATAGGAAGTATTCTGCCCACCAGGGCTTCCAGAGGCAGGAACGTGTCTGGAGTCCCAGCAGCTACTGGGTGGCAGAGCTGGATTTGAACCCAGGTCCCCCCACTCCAGAATCCCAGCTTTTACTCCTGGCGCCCCGTGCCCCACGAAGCGGTCACACATCCATGCAGTTACCAGAGGTGCCCTACATCATCAGAGGGGCTCTCTGCTCTCTGCCCAGTTCTCCCCGAGTCAGTACAGAACTGGGGAGGAAGACACAGCTTGGAGAAGGAATCAAGGGAAGTTCGACGCAGATGAAGCCCACCTGCATTCCGCTCTAGTGCCCTTCCTGTCCGTAGCAAGGGAGATTCCAAAGATGAACCAGGGCGTCTCTGGGCCATGAGGAGGAGACTCGGCTGCCTCCTGGTGGCCACTGTATAGATGAATCCTTGAGATGAGAATGAAGGAAATATCCTCTCCCTCCAGGAGGGTTTCCCACATGTTTCTGTGTAACCACTATCCTATTGTGTGTATTTAAAAAGACTAGTGACAAGCTCAAATAACCAATCTCTGTCCTGAGTCCTAACCCAGAGACTACATGATCTGTTTAATTGTGGAAAGCTCAAAATCAACAAATATTTAGGAAAAGGTGTTGAAAGCCACAGAAGGTGGCGCCTCCATCCTTCCTGTTGAGAGGCCCCTAGGGTTCATAGTGGAAACTCCCCAGGGGAAGAGCCGACCCTTCCTGAAGGCGTGGCTTCCCTTGCCTGGGCCACAGATGTAATTGGGTGCAGGAGGTGGCCAGGGGAGAGAAAGGCCCCGGGAGAAGAGTGAAGGAGGGAAAAGGAGCCTGTGTGCTCATCTCCCTGGAAGGGGGAGCCTTCATTAACCCACGCACATGACACTGATAATGGTCCTGAGAAGTGGGTGACATTTGGGAAAGCACAAACCAGGAAAGCAGCCGCTAGTGCCATCATCATGCCCTTTCTAAATCCCCCTGCTGCCACCCTGGGCCATGGGCACTCTTATTAGCAGACAAGACTCTTTAGAAGTGAAAGCGTCCGCAGCAGGGATGCTTCCGATATGGGGTGCGTCCTATCCCCGTTCTGTCTGGAAAGACGGTGACTGTCTGCCTCGTGTTCAGGAAGAAGACATGTGCAGACCAGGCTGGTGGAACCTCGAGCTTCGGCGCTCAACAGTGGGGACTGCTTCCTCCTGCTCTCTCCCCACTGCTGCTTCCTGTGGGTAGGAGAGTTTGCAAACGTCATAGAAAAGGCGAAGGTTGGTACCTGAAAAATAAAAATGCTTTAGCTAACATCTCCTTTACGCACCGGAGGAGTGTTCTTCCTGACGTCAGTCACAAAGCTTCTCAAAAGCCAGGTGTTGCATTCAAGTGAGAAGGGATAGGTAGGATTTCTTTTCCTGAATGTCTCTCAAACAAGCTTTCATTACATGTTTAAATGGGATACTTTAGGACTATGACCTACACCCCAGTGTTTAGGTCCTGGGTTCCTTCCTACTCCTGTGTAAAAAAGGAAGCGGCCCCACTTTAAAGTCCTTTATCCCAGGTAGCTCTGAAGTTCTGCCATAGACCTGTTGAATGAGACTGTCATGGGGTAAAGCCCAAAGAATAGTGTTTTTTAAAAGCATCACATGTGACCTATTGAAGATGGAGAACTATTGCTCTAAAGAATTGATACTCCCTGGTCTTTCAGTTACATTTTCTTGAGGTCATTGAAAATACCCAGTAACCAGCATCCACCCACACCCGTGGTCACAAGGCTTTCCTTGCAGGCACACTGTTTCTCCTCTCTGGTTTTGACATGTGCCACTCTGTCTAGCCAAGGGCTTTTCTACCCAGGCAATTGTGTTCCTCTCTTTTTTAGGCCTCAGAACTTGCAACTTTAATTCAGACAAAGAGGGAACTTGGTTGTAGAGCTACTTATATCCAAACCATTGAAGAAGGAATTAATACACACACTCATGCAGCCAAAGACTTCTGGAAGCTTCTGGGTGGCCAAACCAGTTACCAATGTAAGACTTCATTGTACTTCAGAGATTGACGAGACTTGAATCTCCTTTCTTCTCCCTTAGCTCATTCTTCTATTTTACATTGTAAATAAAATTTTACAATGTGAAATTCATTCACATTTTACATTGCAGCTACTTTGCAATGTAAAATGTGATGCTCTCCTGTTCTTCTTATCCCCAAGCTGCTGGAGACCCAAAAGAAGATGAACTCTATGAAGCAGCCATAATAGAAACTAACTGCATTTACCGTCTCATGGATGACAAACTTGTTCCTGATGACGACTACTGGGGGAAAATTCCGAAGTGCTCCCTTCTGCAACCCAAAGAGGTACAGTCCGTGGGCTCTGCCCTTCAGTGAGAAACCACATTGAAAGCACTCAGCACAGGCTGCCCAATAGATTAGAGAGTAAGTTCCCAATAAAGGTTAGCCAGTGTCGGTATCCATTGTAGAACATTTACAGCTTTTTAAAGGATATTTGTGATTTCAAACCATTACTGGTATCTTAAATGCTAATATGGAATCCAGAATATCATTTAGAGTTGGCATGGATCATTGAAGGCTTTTATATCTTAGGCAAAATACAAATATTACTTAGCCCTATCTTTTGCATTTTGCATAAACATTATAATAAAATATTTTTAAATCCTTAAGTTTAAGGAACACTAGATGCATGCATATATAATTTATGGATTTCCCAATTAATGTGCTGTTTTTGTCCTGTCACAGCAGTAAATATTTATTAATTACATACATTTCCAGTATCATTAAGCATGCTAAGTGTTGAGAAAGTGGAAGACACGCAGGCCCTTAAGTTTAATTGGGTGGAAGAGTATTAGAAGGAATGTAATCTGGAGCAAGGTTGACTGTGTGACATGTATGGGCATTTACATGAGGGAAAAGTCACAGAAAAAGAAACCTTCAGGAATAATTTTACATAGAAAGTGAAATTGAGCCTAGTTTAGAGTTAAGCAAAATTTGAATTGCTGGAAGTGAAGGGAGAACTCATTCTAGGAGAAAGAATAAAATGAACCATGAACATAAGAAATAGCATTACATTCATGTATTCATTCAGCAAACACTTAGTAATCAACCCCTCCTGTATGTATCACCATGATCTGATCCCTGCCCTTAAGGATCTTGGAATTGTGTACTGGAGAGAAGACACCACTGGACCATGAGTGCCTGCGGTATATGAAGTGGCCTCTGTGTATATATTAAGTGAATGAATGAGCACATGAGAGGGGGAGGAATAGGGGAGAGAGGCAGGAAGTCGACAGGAAGATGTACCTAAAGAACTCTTGTGAATCGCAAGTTGTAAGCAGGTTGAGAGTTCAGAGGAGGGAACATTATCCTGGCCACTTAGGACACTGGGAGGAGGAATCGTGCCCGCAGGGCAGAGGCTGGCTCGGTGGGGCAGTGCCAGCTGAGATCTCCTGGCCTTTTTGTGTCTGTGTTGGTCGCCCCGTTAGGATTTCTGTCTTCCTCCGTTTGACTCACTGTCAACAAGAGACCCTGTTGCACCTGATTCAACTGTTGCATGTTCTTGAAGTTAACAAATTCTTTTGTGCCATTTCTCCCAGGTACTGGTGTTTGATTTTGGTAGTGAAGTTTACGTATGGCATGGGAAAGAAGTCACATTAGCACAACGAAAAATAGCATTTCAGCTGGCAAAGCACTTATGGAATGGAACCTTTGACTATGAGAACTGTGACATCAATCCCCTGGATCCTGGAGAATGCAATCCGCTTATCCCCAGGTACTCCTGCCGCCGCCCGGGGACAGCTCTTCAAGCGAGCTGATTCCCTTCGATCCCTCTGTTCTCACCACAGTCCTCTACTCTCGCTCTTTATAGGGTTCAGTTTTCATAAACGATTATATGCAGTGGACTGTGAATATTCACAAAAGGAACAGTTCTTTAACTTTTATCTAACTATTGCAGAAATATGGATGTCGTAGTCTTCTGGAAGAGGTTTGTTATAGTTGATTTCTTGAAGTGAGCAAGAAATGCTGCAAGTTCCTCCCTGCGGCATTACAAGTGCTGCTGTGGCAGATGAACAGCAATTGTTTAAACAAATTACATGCGGATCTGAAAGGCTTCCCCGGGTCTGGAATTCAGCCATTGATCTGAAAGTGCAAAAGCAACATGCCTCCCTCTAATTTCATACCTTCCCAGCATCGCCCTCGAATTTCAGGATTTATTTGGCAGCAGATGATGTTTATGTCTTTATATCTTTTGGGAAGGGAAGAGGGGGAGGAGATGGTGTTAAAATAATGATTGCAATTGTAATATTCCCTGCATGTACTAGACTCTTTAAAGTCATTTTGGCAATTCAATAGAATATGTGCAAAGTCAGAAATTATGATGTTGGAAAAAATAATTCCTACGTGCAAAGGATTGTTGTTTTTTCAACTATCAGACCAAAAAAAAACTAGTGCTTTTTAACTATGGGTGCCGTTATAATAGATTAGAAACCAGTGAACCACCAAACAGCATAGAATATTGGGCATCTCCCAATACATTTTAATGTTTTCCATTGAATTGGTCTATGAATTTCAACTTTCCTGCCTAGTTTCCTGCTTAAAATCCAATTATTGATTTTCTTATTAATTAATCATTATAGAAACCATTAAAAATTATGGCAGTGTGATAAGTTTTAAAGTCCTTGTTAAGCAAATGCACTAATGTTTAACCTCAGTATGGTAACAACCATTATTTTAAGGACTGGAACTACAGCTCAGAAGATTTTATTTGGTATAGCAAAGGAAAAAAGAACAAGCTAAAGCATAAAATCTATGTGATAGCCAACTGTATTTAATAGTGGCATAATCACAGATCTGAAAGTGGATGACTGAGCTCCTAACCCACTGGTTTTCAACATCTCTGAGACAGAATCACCTGAGGGGCCTTTTAAAAAATGCATTTGCTCAGCCCAGCCCCAGAGATGTGTTTTCGTTTCATGTGAGTTAGAGCTTATGTGTCAATATGTCTTAAAAGCTCCTAGGGATTTTAAGATGCAGCCAGGATTACATACCCAGACCTTCTTAGCAAATGAGGCTGAAACCACTGAGCCCAGTTCCAGCTGTAAGTCAGGGAAGGGGGTAGAGAAACCCCTGGCTCCTGGCCCAGGTTTGTCCCCCTCACCCTGCAATCTGCCACATCGCTTGCTCACAACGCTTCAAAACATAAATGCCAGATTCCAAAGCAGAAACCAAGAGCCCTTTCAATCATCATCTTAGCAAGCCTGCAGAGTAGGACTGACATAACAAACAGTCATTCAGATATTTTCTGATAAAGACCACAGCCTTTCAAGACCGCCGTGCATTTTCCATAGGTGCTTATGTTTGGTTCCTAAAGTCCCATAAGAGCATGAGGTAGAAGTGTCTGTGCTCTATGATTTATCCGGCAGCTTTCTTTGAATCAGGCAGCCTTTCTGATGTGCCTCAGCTGTGACATCAGCAGCTGTGGTCTTGACCAAGCAGGAAGTGACTGAGGCAGTAGCACAGCAGGGCACGAGCAGCAAGGGGGGTTGCTCTAAGGGGTGGCTGCATTCCGGGCCGGATTCACAACCGAAGATGGATCTGGAGGGATGAGAGATCGTGCATGTTATTCCAGGGCTACGCCCTCTGCAGCACGTGTATCTTCTCAGCTCTGCCTTTATCTAAAATACCTGTGTTCTTGGGGACAGTGTAAATTTTGAAATCCTAAGGCCACACAAGACCTCCGGGTGGAGCTATGCCGTTTTCTTTCCTATCTCTCTGTGCTCTCCTGTCTGCTGCCCTGGCCAGTGGCCTAGAAATAAGTGCACAAAAAGGCACTTCAAGATCTATGAAAGTGTGTTCATTTTAGTGACGGGAGAATCTCCATACTCTGGAGAGCTTTGTTGTAACATGACATAAAATAGTAGAGAATTGAGGAGGGAGCTACCTCTTCCCTATGTCTATTAATTAATTGGACGGGAAACTTGGTAAGCATCTGCAGGTGACTGGGCGGCTAAAGTAGACAAGGTTTTCCTGCGGCTCCTGCCTTTTCCAAAATCCCCACCCAGCGTGCCACCCCAGGGTATCCCAAAGACAAGAATTTGCTAGAATGTGGCCCACACCTGTAGTCCCAGCACTTTGGGAGACTGAGAAGGAAGGATCACTTAAGGCCAGGAGTTCAAGACCAGCCTGAGCAACATAGCGAGACCCCTGTCTCATATTTAAAAAAATACAAAAATTAGCTACGCATGGTGGCACACACCTGCAGTTCCAGCTATCTGCAAGGCTGAGGCAGGAGGATCACTGCAGCCCAGGAGTTCAAGGCTGCAGGGAGCTATGATTGTGCAACTGCACTTCAGCCTAGGCAACAGAACAAGACCTTATCTCTAAAAAAAAAAAAAAAAAAAAAAAAGAAAAGAAAAGAACTTGCTAGAATGTAAGAAAAGTCTAGTCCTGACATGGTTCATGTCACATTCAGGCACATCAAAAACTCCATGGACACAAAGCTTTGCAAGACTTCAGACTAAAATAACAAAATGTCATTATTTGGTAAAATGCAGGAAAATAAACCATTTACTTTATATGTACTCACGTACTTTGAGGTTTTTTCCAGCAGCCGCATGTGTTTTAGATTCCTTTGTTTAAGCTTGGCTTCATCTTGGTTCTTTTCCTGTCTGTTCTCCCAACCCCCCTCCCACCCTACAGAAAAGGACAGGGGCGGCCCGACTGGGCGATATTTGGGAGACTTACTGAACACAATGAGACGATTTTGTTCAAAGAGAAGTTTCTGGATTGGACGGAACTGAAGAGATCGAATGAGAAGAACCCCGGGGAACTTGCCCAGCACAAGGTATTCCGGCGACCAAGCCTCAAAACTCGGGGCTTGGTTCGGGTCCCAATAAAAGTGGCCTTCATGTAAAATGATCAAATCAGGATAGTTCGTATGGCTGTCACCCCAGATGTATCATTTCTTTGTGGTGAGAACATTCAAATCTTCTCCTCTAGCTATTTTGAAATATGCAATACAGTATTGGAAAACAGTCACCCCACTGTGCAGGAGAAAACCAGAGCTCATTCCTCCTCTCTGTCACTTTGTACCGGTTGGCCAACATCTCCCTATCTTCCCTGTCCCGTCTCCTTCCCACACCCCCTTCCCCATAAAACAGATGCATGTATCAACACATCGAATCATACCCATAATAATGTGTCAACTAAAATACTTTTTTAATTAAAAAAAAAACCATGGACACACAGACACACAAACAAACACACACACACACACACACACACACACACACACCCTTAAAGCTAGGAAGCCTTCCCAGGATTCACTAGTAGAACAGCAGACAGGCCTCCAATTCTAATCTGACTCTGGGAAGTGAAGAGTCTGATTTGTGCCTGTTCTCAGGCACCCATGTGCTGTTGTGGCGATGGGTGTTCAGACCTCCCAGAGTCTTTCTGGAAATGCAGCCTTTCCCTGACTGCAGTTAAACATCCTGAGACAGAGTGTGGAAGCTGTATTTTTATGCTGTCCCATGAACAGCTGAAGCAGCATTGAGCATGACAAGGAATAGCTGCAGAAACAGGCAACTGAACTGATGTCTTTGTGTTCCCCTGTAGGAAGACCCCAGGACTGATGTCAAGGCATACGATGTGACACGGATGGTGTCCATGCCCCAGACGACAGCAGGCACCATCCTGGACGGAGTGAACGTCGGCCGTGGCTATGGCCTGGTGGAAGGACACGACAGGAGGCAGTTTGAGATCACCAGCGTTTCCGTGGATGTCTGGCACATCCTGGAATTCGACTATAGCAGGCTCCCCAAACAAAGCATCGGGCAGTTCCATGAGGGGGATGCCTATGTGGTCAAGTGGAAGTTCATGGTGAGCACGGCAGGTTAGTGAGCGCTTGTGGTTTTTTCCAGCTGAAAGAGGCTGGCCCGGCAGCCCTGCGGGAGCCAGCTTCTCCAATGAACCCTGTCATGCCCTCTGCTGCGTCCGTGCAGTGGGGCACTGCAGTCATGCGCCTTTGAGAGCCACCTAGTAAACTACAGAGATGAAAAGAAGTAAGGCCGAATTCCTAACAACCTAGCATTGCCGAGGCCGCTGGTGTTCACCTGTAGAAATTGAACTTGCACATCAAGGCTTCTCAGCTCCCTCTCTCCCTCCCCTGCCCCTGTCCCCAGAGCTTTTCTGGGAAAGAGATGATTGGCCTCTAAATGATATTTCCCATGTGGCTGTGTGCTGCTTCAATTAAAGTCGTTAAGTACAGCATATCTTCGTGATTTAAAGCTGGAACCAAATGGTGCTGTAACATTATAGTAAATACACGCACAGAAGATTGATTTGAAAAGTGAAAGAGGCTGTTTCTCCCGAGACTGAGAGCACGGGTGGTGCTTTGTGGGTCTGGTGTAGTAAATGCAGAGTCTAAACTCTCCTCGGTTCCTGATGGTGACGGACCCCATTGCAAAACACTCACCTGGATGCTTGGTGCTGGGGAAAGGGGGAGTCCGGTGAACTCTGGAGAAATCATCCCTTTCATTGCCAAGGAGGAGCCTTTTCCACAGCGCTGCTCACCCCTTCCCATTTAGGAGAGCATGCAGGTCACAGGTTTGTGATTTCAACTCAGAAGAGAGTATTTTTGCCTCTTTACAGCCCCCTTGCTGTGCAGGTGCACCTGCCCCCGGGGCCACAGGAAGCACAGGCAGCTGTTTGCTGATCAGAAAACTGCAGGCTCAGAACCAGGATTTCTTTCCTGATTTATACAAGATGCATCTATTCATCAGCTGACAACATTTCCTGAGCACCTACTCTACGGAAGACACTTTGTAGGGACCAAGTAAATATTTCAGACCCTGTCTCAGTGACATAAAGCAGGTGCAGGAACAGCCAGCAGGTGGGCCTCGCTGAGCACACGGCCAGTGGGGCTGTGTGCTGTGCAGAGCCGGGCTGTGGCCCAGAGGTCCCCCTGCCCCCTCAGGGCACGATGCTGGGGGCTTTACTCTGCCTGTAGCTGAGGGCCTACTGGGCTCCCTGAGACATTTCTGTTGTGGTGCTAATTTTTCAGATAAGGACCAAGACAGTAAGATCAAGGAACCTGCCTGAAGCCACACAGCTAGCAGGGAGTGGAGCTGGACACTCAAGTCCAGACCTGCCTCTTTTCAAACCCAACTGTGCTATTAAACCGCTCTGCGGGCAGAGAGTCAGAGTGGGGCTCCAGCACAGGATGTGGGCAGCTGTGAGTCTGGCTACAAGGAGGGGCTGAAGATCCCAGTCACCAGACCTTGGAGCAGGTCAGCATTGAACCAGCAGCAAGGCGACTTGAGGTTGGGCCGCTGAACACACCAAACTTCAGGGGCTTCTTAAACAGCAGGAAGGGGATCTTCCAGGGCCCAGGCAGCTCCAGCCTCTCCTTCCAGGGAGTAGTGGGATGTCAGACAAGGACCCCCAATGGGAGGGACATTTCTTTCTCTCTTTTTGTTCTTTTTTTTTTTTTTTTTTTTTTTTTTGAGACAGGGTTTCACTCTGTCTTCCAAGCTGGAGTGCAATGGCAGAATCTCGGCTCACTGCAGCCTTGACCTCCCAGGCTCAAGCCATCCTCGTGCCTCAGCCTCCCAAGTAGCTGGGACTACAGGCATATGCCACCATTATCAAGCTAATTTTTTCTTTTTTTTTTTAAGAGATGAGGTCTCACTATGTTGCCCAGGCTGGTCTCAAACTCCTGGGCTCAAACCATCCTCCCACTTCAGCCTCCCAAAGGGAGCAGCATTCCTCATCTACTTAATTTCTTATGAGCAAGCAATTGGAACTGCTCCTTTCCTTTTTCATAAGGAGCTGTGTCCCTTGAGGGAAGGCCACAGGTGCTGGGACCCTACAGCCTGGGATTCAGAATCTCAGGCCCTCACTTACCAGCTGTGTGGGCTGGGTAAAGTTACTCTGTCTGAGCCTTGGTTTTCTCACCTGGAAAATAGGGATTATAGTACTCAGCTCACAGGACTTTATAATCAGGTATATATGACGTTTAGCAGGTGCCTGGCCTGTGTTCACATTGTAGGTGCAGGAAATACTCATCACTGACATTGTCAGCAGGAACAGCGTAATTACTGTTTTTAACTTGAAGACAAGATAATGTGGATCTCCCCAAAACAATAACAATAACAATTAATAACAAAGAGTCACTGTCGTGGACTTACGCTTTTGCTTTTGTGCAGAGGTGGCATGTACAGTGTTAATCTCTGATGCTGGTTGCCAAAGACAATAATAATAGGGAATTGAGTGTGTTTCGGGGCAGGCAGATCTCTTAACCTTTGGAGTAATGGAACTGGGAACTTTAAAGAACAAACTAAAGGCACTTGTAGTGCCCGTTCCTAAAATGCAAAAAGGGAAATCGTGTTTTATAAAACCAGACATAGTTTAATTTAGCCATTTTCTTACTTTAGCTGTTAGTTATGAGAAAAAAAAGTAATTGTGAGTGAATGAATGAGTAAAACTGTTAAAGTGAATTAATTAAAAATAAAGCGAAGAGTTCAGACTTTCATGGACTATTGACTTGGAGGCCCTTAGGAAATATGATTTGAGCCGGGTGATTCCTTTCTATATTTCTTCCCAATGAACACAATGGACATCTCACAGCCAGCTCCAACAACATCTTTTCCAGCAGACTTACAACTTAGAAAAAGCCCAGCTTTAGAGAATTAAGTTAAAGCAGGGAGCATTCAGATTCCAGACCATCCCTCCAGCAGGGGGGAAGCACAGCCCGATGGCACTTGCAGTCACTCCGTAACCAACGCGGAAGCTCTGGCCCCTTGGTGACACTAGTCCGGCTCCCCTATCACTTGTGCGCACAAGGGCCACACCTGCAAACAGGACTGAGTCAGAGCTCAGGGTGCACTTCTGGGAGAGGGTCAGCAAAAGCAGCAGCTGCACAGGTGGTACAGCCTCCGCTTGGCCAATGCTGGCCGGCCTGCTAGGGTCAATGTCCTGGCCCAGTGCCTGCAGGGTAGGGTTGCTCACTCCCCAGCAGGGTCGCGACAGCTGCTCAAGGTGCCCAGGGATCTGAGCCAGGCTCCTCCAGGGCCTGATAGATGTCTAGTTCCTATAAATAGGTGGCTCTGGTGCAAGAATGCTTGACCATGAACAGTCTTTATATTTGTGTTTTCTGTTATTCCTAAATAGAACTACTAGTACCAAACATTCTTGAAAGTGCCTTGGTGGCGTAACATGTCCACACTTTAAATTAGGTAACTAATCAAGGTTGTAAAGAGAATAGCTGGCTGGGCACGGTGGCTCATGCCTGTAATCCCAGCACTTCAGGAGGCCAAGGCAGGCAAATCACGAGGTCAGGAGTTCGAGACTATCCTGGCCAACATGGTGAAACCCCCTGTCTCTACTAAAATACAAAAAGTTAGCTGGGCATAGTGGCGGGCACCTATAATCCCAGCTACTCGGGAGGCTGAGGCAGGAGAATCGCTTGAACCCGGGAGGCGGAGGTGGCACTGAGCCAAGATCATGTCACTGCACTCCAGCCCGGGCAACAGGGTGAGACCCTGTCTCAAAAAAAAGAATAGCCCAGAAGTTCTTACTACTAAAAATTTAATCTTTATATTGCCAAAATTAAAAATGAATACACATACGAAAAATTAAGTTTCATGTAGGACTAAATTTGGGTATGTGCAGAAAAACTGTAAAGAAAACTAGTGAAATGTTTGCTTCATAAAATATCTTTAAAGAAATAAAATTCTAGACTCACACTTGTAACCCCAGAGTTTTGGGAAGCTGAGGTGGGAAAATCACTTAAGGCCACATGTTTCAGACTAACCTGGGCAACATAGTGAGAGACCTTGTTTATACAAAAAAATAAAAAATGAGCCCAGCATGGTGGCATGCACCTGTAATCCCAGCACTTTGGGAGGCCAAGGCAGGAGGATCACTTGAGCCCAGGTGCAGTGAGCTATGGTCATACCACTGCACTCCAACCTGGGCAACAGAGCAAGACCCTGTCTCTAAAATAAAAGTAATTTAAAAAAGAGACACAATTCTATTTTGTGTATATACACTCAAGTCTGTTTGCAATGTTAGGATGTGATGTTGGTTATTTAAGTGTGAATATGTATTTACACAATGTATTTGAGTGCTAACAGATTTCAAGATCTTTATAAACTGTTATGATCTATTTGAAACATATCTTTCCTCAATAATCTATTTAGTGCAACAAATGTTCACTATTTGAAGAATGGGATTGCTATTCAAAGGCAAAGTTTTGTTGCTAAGTTAGCAGAAATTTCAATTAAGTGGCTTCCAAATTAATTGTGGGATTTATAATCTAGTCATTGATGGTTCCTATTTTATTTTGCCCTCTCAAAAACACCCAAACTTAACCAGTTGAGATCCACAGTGGATGGTACAAAAGACTGTGCTTAGTCAAAATACTGTAAGAAATTATTAGAATCATTTACGAAACCTATGTTACAGATACTTTACCAAACAAAGGGCTAAAAATCAAATAAATATGACCCCCTACCTTTTAAGAACTTAAATGAGTTTTATTCTTCCCTTCAAACCTCAATACAGTTGCAATGTTGGAAATGGGATTGGAGCTGGGAAAACTGCAGTGATATAAAACCAGAGACTCCAGTTATTCTCATTCCTTTTAAACCTGTGTGGGTGTTCCCACCAACTGCTGCAGCCTCCCGTGTTGACCCTCACTCCCTGGGACACCTGGGCCTTTGGGTCAAGTGCTTGGTCTACTGGCCTCACTCAGCCTAGAAGCTTCTGCTTCCAGATTAGCATCATTCAGGTCTACACTCCCCACCTCCTCAGAAAGGCCCTCCCTCAGCAGGTGTCCCACGAGCCCTGACCCTGCCTGGCGTCACCTTCTTGTCTCTTGTCCTCATAGCACTTATCACTATCTGAAATTGTCTTGCTCGTCTCTTTGTTTATTAGAACAAAAGCACCCAGCATCGAGTTCATCATTGTCTTGTTCACCATTGTAGCCCAGAATCCTGAAGTCCCCGCTCATTGAATATTTGTTGAATGCATGAACGAATGAAGGGAATCTAGAGTGAGACATATTCTTACAGGTAGAGATTTGGATGTCTGTAGTAACATCTAAAATGCCCATTTGGCCTATAATTCCAGCACTTTTGGAGGCTGAGGTGGGAGGATCACTTGAGGCCAGGAGTTAGAGACTAGGCTGGGTAACATAGTGAGACCCTATCTCTACAAAATTTTAAAAATAAAAATTAGCCAGACATGGTGACGCATGCCTGTAGTCCCAGCTATTTGGGAGGCTGAGGCAGGAGGATCATTTGAGCCCAGGAGGCTAAGGCTGCAGTAAGCCATGATTGCACCATTGCACTCCAGCCTGGGTGACAGAGGGAGACCCTGTAACCTCCCTGTGACTGCTCTCCACACCAAGCAGTCTCATCTGCCTCCTGTGCTGCTCATGTTTACCGAGTGCCTGTGCAGTTCCAGCCATGGGGACCATCAGCACTTAATCCTGGCAGCAGCCCTGGTGACAGACATGAAATCCAGATTAGTTTATGCTCAAGTGATATGTCAGCAACCTATCTCCTCCTTTCTGACAGAACTTGAAAACTTCAAAGTTGTATTTTTTACTAGAATAGTTTTAACAGCCTGCATTTTTTCCTTTGTGCTTAAAGCTGGCCCTGCTATTGTTTTTAACATTTTTTCTCTACCAGCTATTCTTTTGCCAAAGAGTGGTGTAATATGGAAAATGAGTTTGTGTCTGTGTGAGCCCTTAGTCCTGCTCTGGCGGTCACCAAATACTTTATTTATTTATTTATTTATTTATTTATTTATTTATTTATTTATTTATTTGTAAGAGAGTCTCACTCTGTCACCCAGGCTGGAGTGCAGTGACACAATCATGGCTAACTGCGGTCTCAAACTCCTGGGCTCAAGTGATCCTCCTGCCTCAGTCTCCCAAGTAGCTGGGACTACAGGTGTGCAACACCACACCAGGCTAATTTCTTTAAATTATTTTAGAGGTGGGGTCTTGCTATGTTGCCCAGGCTGGTCTTGAAATCCTGACCTCAAACAGTCCTCCCAGAGTGTTGGGATTACAGGCATGAGCCATTCACCTGGCCTCACCAAATATTTTGAAGAAATTACTCTGTTGCACACTTGGAGTGATCTGCCACCCCCTCCAGATGACAGATCTTTTTCTCAGGGCACCAAGAGGGCCCCTCAGATCCCTTTTCTCCCTGTGGGAAGTTCTGGGTCAGGAGCTGGAAGGAAGGTGGTTTTTCTCTTCTCCTGGGCGTGACCAGCCTTCCCTCCAGGTGCCAACGGTTTCTCCCCTGCCCTAGGTCCGAGGCTCTTTGCCACTGGTCCTTGCAGGCCCGGGGAAAGTGAGCCAGACATTTGCTTCTCCTCGGGTGTCTCAGCTGCTGACCTGTCCCTCTGCCATTCTGTGTTTGCAGTGGGAAGTCGCCAGAAGGGAGAGCACTCGGTGAGGGCAGCCGGCAAAGAGAAGTGCGTCTACTTCTTCTGGCAAGGCCGGCACTCCACCGTGAGTGAGAAGGGCACGTCGGCGCTGATGACGGTGGAGCTGGACGAGGAAAGGGGGGCCCAGGTGAGTCCTGGGGAGCTCTGCACCCCGGGGACTGAGAGGAGCATCCTCTCCTGGGAGCCGATGGCACTCGGCCTGGTCCCTCCCAACATGATTCTGATAATGGAAGACCACGTCACCCAAAGCACTTCAGTCCTGGTCTGGCTTCTGCAGGTCTCAGGCTGTGCCTCCCATTTCTTTCCTCCTCCCACTTTTTGTAAGATGATCCTGGAGAAAATGTTGTATCTGCAAATAGGAAATCCACATGACAAGTGCAGATGGCCAATGGGTGGCTTTGAAAGGTTTCCACCTAACCAATCAAGGCACTGTAAGTAAAACAAAGAGATGCCATCATCCACTTCTCACAGTGGTAGTGATTTTTTAAAGAATGGATCCAGGGCCAGCTGGCAAGGCCTCGGTAGGATGAGGATGCTATGTTTTGGGTGAGAAGTGTAACTTGAACAGCCATCCTGAAATTTTGTCACGAGAACCTTAAAACTTTGATCACTTGTTCCATGTACACGAATCTACATGAAGGAAGTATCAGGTGAATGTAAGGATTGGGAACGCCCATCACCTGTATTCGTGGCAGCCTGAGTGGTTTTCTGGAACAGGTCAGATTGGGTCACTCCCTTACTGTCTGCCACACACACTGCAGTCTAAGCGGCTTCCCAGGGCTCCAGCACCTTCGTGATGGGCCCTGGGCACCTCTCCAAGCTCCCCCTGCTCCTCCCCTCCACCCAGGCCACTCCAGCCTCTCCCTGTTCCACGGCCACCTCCTTCCACTCACCTCCTGCCCTGTGACCCATTCCACTGTCTGGAAACTTCCCCTGCCTACTCCATACTGCCTCTACGTATGTACCCCTGTGTACAGCCTCTTATGAGGCAGGTTTCTGTTGAAATGTTACCCGCACCACTGCCCCCCGCACCCATTCTATCCAGAGCCTTCTCATTCTCCCATCCTTCTCAGTCCCTGCACTTTATCCCTTTATTTTCACAGCACTTCCCACCACCTAAAGCTACATGATCCCCCAGGAGCATGACAGAGACCCTGAGACCCTGGCCTTACAACCCCATGGCCTTATCATCCCAGGGCCTGCATCGTGCCTGGGAGGGACTGCTGCCCAGATCCAAGGCCACCTAAAGCTACTGGCCTCACAACCCCATGGCCTTATAACCCCAGGGCCTGCATCATGCTTGGCAGGGACTGCTGCCCAGATCCAAGGCTTGCAAACCTGTCTCTTTAACATTCAGATGAGCTCTGCCTGAGTCTCCTCTGCTCTGTAGAGTACCAGCAATTAAGAGTTAACTTGCTGAGTAGCAGCAATTAAGAATTAACTCTGGGATTCTTTGAAAACAGGACAATGCCATGTGCAAATCTCTTTATTCTCCTGGATGAATGATTAACGATAGCAGGAGGGAAGACAGCAGAGACATTCTTGCCAGAAATAGATCCACACTCACCCAGCCTTCCACAGTTCCAAGAACCAATCACATTTCCTAAAACAATATTTTCTACTATGGACTATATTTTAGAAATGGTACTGGCAAGAGTTGCATTTTAATTTATTCCTAATAGCCATTTCAACTACCCCTTTATTTTTTTGTAAAGGCCATGAATGAATATGCTTTTATCATGCCTTCAAAATCATCCTCAGAGTTTTGAGTCTTAATCTCTCTCATTTGAGCATTTTACCTGTTACCAATCCAGTGGATGGAAAATCATTTTATTTTTATTTGTATCATTTTTTTGAGACAGGGGTCTCACTCTGTCACCCAGGCTGGAGTGCAGTGGCACCATCACCACTCACTGCAGCCTTGACCTCCCAGGCTCAATCAGTCCTCCTTCCTCAGCCTCCTGGGTAGCTGGGACTTCAGGCATGCACCACTACAGGCATGAGCCATGGTCCAGCTCTGGAAAATCATTTTAGATATGAAATACTGCCACAAAATGGCAATTGGTTATGCAAAATGGGCACAGAGATTGATAACTCACAGTGAGAAATGCTTTCTCTCAGTGCTCCCTGACTACCAGCTCCAGGAAACATTTCCTCTTTAAGGAAAGGTGTCCTAGAGGGAGGTGACTCAAACCTAACATTATTCGTGGTGCAGATAACACCTGAAGGAAGAGCCTTCTCTAACAGGCCAGGAAGAGGCTGAGTGGACTGCTGGGGTGGCCACAAACCATATATTTTCCCTAGAATTATTACCAAGTCAGTGATGAGTCATTCTCATTGCTGAGAGCTATCTTGTTAAGAATGTATTTATATCAGTCTTGTGACATCAATAACCACAGAATACCATTAAAATATCAGGAGTTATGTTTTAAAAGAATATTCCTTGACAGAACAACATTAAGTAAAGAAAATGAGGCTGTACATCAATATAAAGCAAGGCTCCTATTTTGTTTAGGAAAAGAAGACCCTCCCTGAGTAACACCCTGAGAGGAGGCTGCACACGGCAGCGTTCGCAGAGCTTCTCTTTAGGTGGTAGTGTTAGCAATGGCTTTTGTTTGTACGTCTTGGTATTTTTCAGATTTTCTGCAAGAGGCATGTATTGTTTTTAGGACTTTGAAAGCCCCGCGCCCCTTACCTATTTACCTCTGTTTAAATCGGAAGGTCCAGGTTCTCCAGGGAAAGGAGCCCCCCTGTTTCCTGCAGTGTTTCCAGGGGGGGATGGTGGTGCACTCGGGGAGGCGGGAAGAGGAAGAAGAAAATGTGCAAAGTAAGTCACTTTTACTGCTGGAATTCGACTTTGCCTTTCCCTCTCTTGGAAAGAATTTTTATAAGCTGGGGGCTGAAAGTGAGTCTGTCTTCATCTAGCTGTGGCTCGACCTCTGAAAGCCTCCTGATGTTTGCCTGATAACTCAGCTCTATGGGTGCTCATGACCCGCCTCTCCCTGGAGAATTTACTCGGGGATTCACCTTTGCACGCAGGAGGCTGGAAGGTGGTCTCCCCTCCTCTGTCTGCTGTTTTTAGGAAGAAAGAAAAATCAGTGGCTCTTCTATGATAAATTATGAAATTTTGTGTTGACCAGCACCCCACCCCCCAAAAAAATCTTAGCTCTAGAGCCTTTTAAAATATGCCTGTTATAGAACTTGTTGTATAAATCTTGGGAAAATGGCTTTTCTACATTGTGGACTTCAGATCACCTGCTTCTAACTATGTAAGAACCCACTTTTTAGGCTGGCAGGAAGGCCTGATGCCTCAGTGCTCCACAGGGCTCCCTGTGCAGTGCCTCAGCCCCTCCAGTCCCCTAAGTCCCTGGCCCTGGACGGAGGTGGCTGCCTTGGACGACACAGCGGACACTAGGAAGGGCCGCGTTTGCTGCCACTCGCTCACGTGCTAACTCCTCCGCGCCGCCGGTGCCCCCTGCAGGTGAGTGGCGGCTGTACTGCGTGCGTGGAGAGGTGCCCGTGGAAGGGAATTTGCTGGAAGTGGCCTGTCACTGTAGCAGCCTGAGGTCCAGAACTTCCATGGTGGTGCTTAACGTCAACAAGGCCCTCATCTACCTGTGGCACGGATGCAAAGCCCAGGCCCACACGAAGGAGGTCGGAAGGACCGCTGCGAACAAGATCAAGGAACAGTGAGTGTTGTGTCTGCGGCGAGTCCCCCCACACACCGGGCTTCCCAGAGGGACGGGGCAGGCTCAGGGGTACCAAGACTCCCAGCAGATCCCAGGGTGCTGAAAGTGACTGCAGCAAAGGATGGCTGGGAACGTGGTCAGGGGCCTCTGACATTCCGAGCAGAGAGGACACACATCTCAGTCCAGACCTCCGACTTGGGGGCCGCTCTGAGGATTTATCTGGCTGGGTGAGAGGCTGGTGAGGAGCCAGGGAGTGACTCTTGGAAGCACTCTGGGTTCTTTCTTCATAGTTGCCGTTCAGCTTTTGGATGAGAAGCCTGGGGGCCTTTGATATTTAAAGGGAGCACATTTCAAATTTGTGGAGTTTTCGTTTGCCAGAACAGCAGAGTGTTAAAAAGCTAAAGAAGAGTGTGGGAAACCGCCATCTGTGTCAGACGATAAGATATCCCCCATTCTGGAGAGCAGCCCCCGATGGAGAGGGATCGGACTCTCCGGGCACTTCCCGGGTACAGCACTTCCGGGTTGGGTTTTGTTCCCCTCCCAGGCAGGCACCTGCCGTTGGCCACTTGCAAAGACTCAGCACACTGTGAGATAGCACTGAGTGGGGACCTTGGGGAAGAGGGGAACCGGAAGGGCAGTGAAGGCCACAGCCCAGGGAGGACGCTGTGGTGGCCGGCCCCCCCGGTAAGGTGGTCTGCCTCTGTGGCTCTGCACTTCCTAGCAGCCCAGGCAAAATAAGCATTGCAAGCTGCCAGAGAAGCCCAGTGTCGCCCAGGCATTCAGGAGGCAACTGAGACCTGTGAGGACCTCAGTGAGGAAAAGTGAAGAGCTTCCTAGGGTCACATGTCCCCAGAGTTTGATTTGGTGAACCCCATTCTCTGGGTTCTGGAACAGAGCAGTGGCCAGGGCCCCTGTGTCCACTCTGAAAACACACTACCCAGAGAGGGCAGAGAGGAGAACGGGGCAGGTGACCTCTCTACAGGGAGGCAGATGTGAAACAAGATGTTTCATCTCAAAACACCACCTGTGGGCTAGGGCACGGGGAGGGGTGAGAAATCACATGCCCTGAGGTGGCCCAAGGCATTTGAGGCCCATCAGAGGGTTTACTTGGACCACTGAGGAAAAGAAAAACAATGAAGAGCTCATTCACATATTCACTCAACAAACATTTATTGAGTACCTGATTGGCGCCAAGCAATCTGGAATTACAGGACTTATCCTATAAATCTCGGAAAAAATGGTTTTTCTGCATCATGAACTTTGGGCAACCTGCTTCTAACTCCAAAGGACTGGAGTTAGGAACTGGGGACTTGGTGGTGAATAAGCCCAAGTCTCTGTCCTCATGAAGTTCATGTTCTAGCAGGAGAGAAAGACAAGAAATAGTCAATATGTATTGTTCTGTATAAAAATGTGTGTAATTTTCATGACACATTAGATGTGATTAAACATCCCTCCCTAGGAGCAAGTCAACTTCCCCTCCTCCACCACACACACTTAGAGACTGCAGAGCATTTTTCCATTCATGAGTAAGAATTGCTTTTCCTTAGAAAGTAGAAGAGACGGTGAACTGATCTCCAGATTTAGTTTTGAATAATTTATGGCTGTACCCCATATATATATGTACATGTATATATATATGTATATATATATACACCTACTATTAGTATATACCCACAAATTTTAAATTTAAAAAAAGCAGACAATAACAAGTATTGGCAAGGATGTGAAAATTGGAACCCTTACACATTACTTGGAAAACAGTCTAGCAATTTCTCAAAAGATTTAACAATACAGTTACCATATGACTAGCAACTCTACTAGATATCTACCCAAGAGAAATGAAAACACTTGTACATGAAGGTTCATAGCCATATTAGTCATAGTGGCCAAAAGATGGAAATAACCCAAATATCTACCAACATATTAATGGATGAAAAAAATTAGTGGAATATTATTCTGCCATAAAAAAGAATTCAGTATTGATACATGCTACAACATGGATGCACCTTAAAAACATTACACTAAGTTTAAAAACTCAGTCACAAAGGAACATATATTATATAATTCCATCTGTATGAAATGTCCAAAACAGGCAAGTCCATAAATACAGGAGTAGATTAGTGGATTCTGAGGACTAAGGATGGGGGAAATGCGGAGTGACTGCTAACGGGTACAGGGCTTCTTCTTCCGGGAGATGAAAATGTTCTGAAATTAGTGATGACAGTTGCACAACTCTGTGAATAAACTGAAATCTGTACACATAAAAAGAGTGAATTTTATGACATGTGAATTATATCTCAATAAAGCTATTATAAAGCTGTTATCATAATAGTAATAATAATTTTGGGTCACCAGCACTCTCCAGACTTATAAAGAACTCTTGGAGTTTCTCCCTTGCAGATGTCCCCTGGAAGCAGGACTGCATAGTAGCAGCAAAGTCACAATACACGAGTGTGATGAAGGCTCCGAGCCACTCGGATTCTGGGATGCCTTAGGAAGGAGAGACAGGAAAGCCTACGATTGCATGCTTCAAGGTAATGTGGCATCCACAGTCTGCGATCTGGTTTTTTTGTTTGTTTTTGGAAACAAGAGTCTTGCTCTGTTATCCAGGCTGGAGTATAGTGGTATGATCACAGCTCACTGCAGCTTCAACCTCCTGGGCTCAAGTGATCAGCCTGCCTCAGCCTCTCAAAGTGCAGGCTTGAGCCACTGTGCCCCATTCATGTTTTATCTTAATTCTTCAGTGTGTCTTAAATCTAGTGTGATGAGTATTATGTCCAGCTGATTGAACAGTTTTTTTCTTCCCAGGGGTGAGTTTAACTTGGACACCAGGACTTCAAATTCTCACTGGCAAATCAGCTCCCAAGGCCTCCCGGGGACCAAGCCACCTTCCAGGGTCTTAGGGACTCAGGGCACCATTTTCTTTCTTTCCTCATAGCTGCCACCTGAGAAATAGCAGTCCTCTGGGTGTTGGAGTGCGATCTGGGGAAGGAAGCCGGCCTCTTATCCCCTTTCCAGAGCCCTTCAGTCATTAACCTATTTGGAAATACAAAGATCGTGTCTGTATAGAACAGGCACTCCCATTCACCAGAGTGAGGTTAGGTGTGTATATGTGTACTTTCCCAGCTGTTCTAAAAATACAGATGAACATTAGAAGGAAAGCGAACTTTTGTTAAGCAGTTCCAGTAAGCCAGACACCAGCCAGCACCTTACATATAGTAACTCCGTTAGTACAACCCAACACTCTGCCATTTTTACAGATGAGGAAACTGAGGCATACAGAAGTTAATCAACTTGCCCAAGGCTGGGCAGCAATGGAGTATCCTCATAACTGCTCCATAATACTCTGCCCCTCAATGTTTATAAACTTTTATATAGCTTTTTAAACATAATGCCTAGAAAACGTTTGAAATTATGGAGAAGTTAAAAAAAGAAATGAAGTCACTTATAACCACATTTCTCAGAACAGAATTCACATTTCTCTATGCTATATATAATATCTATTTTAAAAAATAATATGTGGATCTACTGTTTTGTAACCTTTTTTCCTTTATAATGAATAATTTCCCAAGTTATTAAAATTTAGATTTCTAATGGCTGTGAGATATTCTGTTATACTGTGAATATATGCCACTCTCTACCTGACAGTCTCTGACAGCTGGGGAGTTGAGTTGTTTCTTATTTCTGATTTTTCTCCCTTATACAATAATGCAGTTTGAATACTTTTTAAAATAATCCTATACATTCATTCCTAATTGAGAGGAATTCCTAGATGTGGAACCGCTGTGCTTGTCATAAAATCTGATAGCATGTATCAGCTCGGGCCAAGTTTCATTCTCACCTGCAATACACAGAAGCGTTCATTTCTCAGCACAATCATAAATTCAGCATATTATTTTTTCCTCTTTGCCAAATTGATGAAAGGAGACAGATAGCTAAGCATTGTTTTGTTTTACTTAGAAGTACATATAGATGTATATTTATATACATGTATAATGTATATAAAATACAATATATGTATATTTATGTTATATAACATATATGCATATTTATGTTACATATGTGTATGTGATATACACATACATATATCTGTGTATAGATATGCATATATACACAGTATCTATATATATTTTTTAGCCATTTTAATTTCTACTTTGGTGAGTGTTCTATTTGTGTCTTTTGCACATTTTATTGATATTTATTTTTTCCTTATGTATGTCCCTTCATGTATTAAGGATATTAACTAGTTGCTGTATTACAAATATTTCCCATTTGTTACTTGGTTTTTCTTTTCTTTTTAATTTTGCATTGTTTTTCATTTTTATATAATTAATGCATTATTTTCCCTTTTGATTGGTTCTTTTACTATTGCACTTGAAAAGGCTTTCTCCACCTTGAAGCTCAGATAAATCCTACCTGTGTTTCCACAGTGCTTTGAATTATTTCATATTTTACATTCATTCTTCATCTGGAATTTACTTTGATGCACATGATATCTTCAGCTTTGTTCTCTTTTCTTTCAAAGATCCTGGAAGTTTTAACTTCGCGCCCCGCCTGTTCATCCTCAGCAGCTCCTCTGGGGATTTTGCAGCCACAGAGTTTGTGTACCCTGCCCGAGCCCCCTCTGTGGTCAGTTCCATGCCCTTCCTGCAGGAAGATCTGTACAGCGCGCCCCAGCCAGGTAAGGCCTGCAGGGGGCAGCTATGCTGAGCAGTAGAAGGCACATCTTCCAGAAAGCCTTTTGATTTTACGTTGGTATTTATTAAGCAGCTTCTGTTTGCCAAGTACATTCCCAGAGCACCCAGAACATGTGCTTACACTCTTTTCATCCTCACCCCTACACCAAAAGGAAGGAGAGTGAAATCAGCCACACTTTATAGCATAAGGAACGAGACTCAAGTCACTTAACCCACCCAAAGACGTCAGCTAAGAACAGGTTGAGCACCACAGCGGCAGGCCTGGCGTCTCCGCTCTTTTCCCAGCCTTCCTCTCAGTCTTGTTGCTGCATGGTCACCCGTCGACTGCCATTGCTCCAGCCATTATGTTTGCATTCAAGATAGAAAGAGAAAGAAAGGGGAAGGAAAAAAGCCCACCTAATAGCCACTCTCTCTCTTTAATCAGATAAAGCACGTGTTTTCCCAGAAGCCCCCAGCAGACTTCTGCTTACATCCCATTGGCCGGAGCCTGTCACATGGCCAGCCCCAGCTGCAAGGGAGCCTGGGGAAGCAAATGGCAGAGGAGAAGGATGTTGGGGTATTGGCTAAGTTAGCCAGGGAACAGGGTCTGCCATACCAAGTCTCCACAGCAGAGCCAAGACTCCAGCCCAGGTCTTCTGATCCCAAGGTCAGGGCTCTGTGCCCTCATTCTGGTTGGGAAAGTAACAAGAGACTGGGCTTGACAACCCCTCCCACCCACCCTCCAATGAAGCCAAGGTCAGCTGCCTCTCAGTTTGTGTTTGTTGCTTCTCACATTACAAGAGCCTGGAGCTGCAGCCAGGGACCTCATCTTGCACCGGGATCTCAGGGCAGCACTGAAAGTTTGCCCAGTGCACATGTCATGCTTGGAAAATCAGCCACCAGTAAGAGAGGGTGTGCCCACGCCCTTCATCCTGGGGCTCAGGGCGGGTTATCAACCTCCACTGGGCTTTTAAAGTGTGGTTTTCACAGAATCCTGAAATGCATGTCAGGAAAGGACTTACAGTGAGCCGACTAGCAAGAGTGAGAGGCATTTTGCCACCTGGAGTAAGAGTCAGACTGACAATTTGAGGAGGAGAAAAAGGTAGGAGGAAAAGGCAGTAGAACAGTTTTGATTTTTATTTCCTTTTATTTTATTTTTTAGAGACAGGGTCTTACTCTGTCATCCAGGCTGGAGTGCAGTGGCGCAGTCATGGCTCACTGCAGCCTCTAACTCTTGGGCTCAAGCGATCCTCTCTCCTTAGCTTCCTGAGTAGTGGAGACTACATGCATGCAGCACCATGCCTCGCTAATTTTTTTTTTCTTTTTGTAGAGATAGGGTCTCATCATGTGGCCCAGGCTGGTCTTCAACCTCCGGGCTCAAGCAGTCCTTCCTCCTCAGCCTCCCAAAGCACTGGGATTACAGGCATGAGCCACCACTCCCGGTGGCAGTTTTGCTTTTTAAGGCCCATTTCTCTGTAAGAGAGCCATGAGCTCACCTCACTGCTAAGCAATCGCGTGCAGGGCAGGAACGCCACTGACCTGTCTGCAGTGAGATGTGCGCTCCAGTGTTGATTGTGCTCTTTGGAGATATGCGGTGCTAACAGCCCCTTGAGTGGCACATGCATTATCCCTTCCACTCTTAGCACAGCCCTGCCAGTATCCAGAAGGGCCAGGGCCTTGAGCTGGGGCAAAGGGAGGAGGACCTGGAGGACGAGGAATGAAAAAGACCAACTCCTTGACACCACTTCTCTCTGCCTACAGGCTTCTCCCCGTTGAACTGTCAAAGGGCTGGGGTATCCTGGGTTTCTCTGTTTGCCCCTTTGCCCCTGGTTTGATGGCCAAGGGGGTTTCCCCCTGTGACACTGCAGTCAAGAGGGACAACATCCACTAGGTTGGGGGAGGAGTGAGCTAGAAGTGTCCGTGAAGGAGCTCCTGATGGTCTGGCCCTGTCCCTGCCCTCACAGCACTTTTCCTTGTTGACAATCACCACGAGGTGTACCTCTGGCAAGGCTGGTGGCCCATCGAGAACAAGATCACTGGTTCCGCCCGCATCCGCTGGGCCTCCGACCGGAAGAGTGCGATGGAGACTGTGCTCCAGTACTGCAAAGGTGAGGCTCCCTCTAACATGCCTGCAGCACGGAACAGATGGGGAAGCCCCTCAGGCATGCGCAGCCAGGAGACCCCCTTCCCCTTCTGTGCATGTCAGCCAGCATCCATCCATAAAGCCTGGCAGGTGGTGATGAAACCAATTTTTTCCCCTTTAACTTTTTGAGATGTATTAAGTTTTAGATTAGCGCATTCTCAGCTGCCAGCATGAAGAAGAACTAGTTTTTCTCTCTGATATTATGAGGCTAACTTGTTACCCTCAAGGATAAAGGCTGTATTGTGGAATGCCCCAGGCAGATTAAAACCCCGCTGTACTCGGGGTTGATCATGCTGAGAGACAAGTTGGCCTCTGCCCTGTACATTATCTGCAAGCACTACCACGCTGTTGGAGAATGGAGGTCTCCCCCAAACAGTGAACGGCCATTGCCAACCTTTTTATTATTCATTATTATTTTTAGTATTATATCCAAAGAGAAATACCCATAGTAAGTTCATGGTTCTTTACTATACACATGAAATTTCTAGTCTTTTATATAAAATGAAAATGCCAGTAATTAATCTTATTTAATTTTTATGGTTTCATTGACACAACTAGTTTAATGTCACTGAGTATGTGCAATGGATTCTCTTCCTGAAAAACTCTTTAGCAATAAATAACATATGAAACCTTCCACTCAATGTTATAGTGAATGTGGATGTATAAGATGCTGTCGTTCGCCGTCAGTCATTATGGGAGTTAATCCTGTGCTAGGAAATGAGACGGATGACTCTACAGGTGAATTCAGGAGGAAGAAAATGCTCCACCCAGAAGCTGCAGACAGAGCCTCTCTCTCCCTTCCAGGAATACACAGCGTTTTGTTAGGTTCAAGAAGTATAGACTCAGGTTGATTATAGGTCACTATGGTAGTCACAGGCATGAAACTAACAAACATCTTATATAAACATTATCCATGTGTTGTTATGAACTACTGGTAACTTGCATTTTAAGCATGAAGTCATGAGTTCTGGCAAAGAAGAAAAGATTTCAAGGGAAATCAGAGAAAGACAGGGTCTCCCTGGGGTCTACTGACATTGCAATCTGTGTAACTACAGGAAAAAATCTCAAGAAACCAGCCCCCAAGTCTTACCTTATCCACGCTGGTCTGGAGCCCCTGACATTCACCAATATGTTTCCCAGCTGGGAGCACAGAGAGGACATCGCTGAGATCACAGAGATGGTGAGCACGCTTTCCTGCCCTATGAAGGTGGCTCCTGCGCCTTTTGGATTGTGGGTTAACTTTACTTTGGGGAGAGCATCCAATTGCACTTTCAGAGTGGGAAAATATTTTTCCTTTTGCAACATCTTAACAAACCTACATAGAATTTGCTTAGGAAGAAGAGAAGTCTAATGGAAAATCAATTAACTATTTTAGTAATTTTCTACACGATACCCAAATTTTAAAAACTTAAAAGCAAAGGTGAGTTGAATCATGTTGAGGACTATATATGTACATAAAAGCTGCGAACTCTTCATTCTGTTTGCTAAGAACCTGTTGCTTGGCATTGCTTGTCTCTCAGTGTCCATGTGACGCACAACCAAACCCTCATGTTTCAGATGTTAACCTTGTGTAGAGGAGACACAAACGAAATCTGATGAATTAGTATGTTCAGAAAACTGAATGAATGGAGGTGCTGCGACTCCCTTATGATAAGGGATCACTCAACATCTCATTAATATTGTCTTTTATGAGACCACCTGGTATTTCTGCATGAGGCATTTATCATAACTTCTATCCACCAAAATATATTATAATCTAGAATGTTTTCTTTTCCAACCACACAGGAAAGAATTTTATTATAGCTATGTTGAATTTCTTATATATGAGCTATTAACATTGCTAGGAATAGCAAATCCAAGGATTTGTTTTGATTTGGTGAGAGATAGGTTTTTTACCATTTTGATTTTTTTTTACCATGTGAGAGCTGCTTTGCTTGGGGAAACGACCCAAGTGTATTTTATAGGAAATTCGAGTAATTTTAAACAAACAGAATCTACTTCTGCTTAGCAATGGAGAGGGCCTGTTGGGTAGTACAGACATCACTGCTCACCCTAACCTGTCTCCCTGGAGCCAAATGGACTTGATGTACACAGGGAAGGGGCTGACTTCAGCTTGGTGTCTGCCGCAGCCGGAACGAGATGTTTCTGTTCACTGCAACTGTGGTTTCGTGAAACCAGAAGGCTCTAGGGATTACGAGCTCTATGGCTGCTGCATGCAGTCTAAGTTCAGGAGTTACCAAATTGCCAGGGGTTCAGTCCAGGGCTTATTGCTCACTACACAGAAGAAAGCCAATCACTGAGACAAGCATAGCCAAGGAAGAAAGTTTATTTGGGTGCTACAGCCAAGGGGAACAGGACATAAGTCTCAAATCTGTGTCTCTGGCCTACTAAAATTAGGGATTTTTATAGCAGGGAAGAAATGTAACCATGTGTGGGAAACAGGAATTAGGGAGGGGTGAGGAAGAGGAGCTGGTCAACAGGAAGCGGGGGGTTGGTTAGGCATCATGGTGGGTAAGGGGTCTGGTAAGCTTCAGGTTTTGTTTTTGTTTTTTGAGACAGGGTCTTGCTCTGTTGCCCAGGCTGGAGTGCAGTGGTGTAATCACAGCTCACTGCAGCCTCCAGCTCCAGGCTCAGACAATCCTCCCACATCAGCCTCCCAGGTAGCTGGGACTACAAGCACACACCATAATGCCTGGCTAATTTGTTTTGTATTTTCAATGAGGTTTTGCCATGTCTCTCAGTCTGGTCTTGAACTCCTGAGCTCAAGCCATCTGCCCACCTCAGCCTCTCAAAGTGCTGGGATTACAAGCATGAGCCACTGCTGGCTTTTTGATACTATTGGAGATGCCTGATGGTTGGTTTCCTGAGAAAGGAACTCAGATAAGACAAATATAACTTTCTCGAATTTCAAGACTAGGAGAGTTAATTTCGACGTTTATTCCAAAGAAATCATAAACATCAGTTCTGTGGCACAGTTGAGCCACTTTCAGAAGGATATAACTCACCATCCTCCCTGTGTATTCACTATAGATCTTGGGGGTTAGCAGCGGGGCCATTTACTGTTGTGCAGGCCTGTGGGATTCCAGCCGGAGAAGAGTCAGGCTTCCCACACCAGCAAGTTATACAAATAATTAACATTCAGCAAGTGCCCACTCTGCACTAGGCACATCTCCAAGCACTTTACACTGATTTTCTCATTTATCACAACAGTCCATCAAGATATCTTATTATTATTCCCATTTTACTGGTGTGGGAGCAGAGACACAAAAACACGAAGTCACTTGGCCAAAGTGACTTTCAGTGAGTGGAGGAGTCAGTACTCAGACGCAGGCAAGATCATCCAAAATTCGCCTCTTCTTTTTTTAGAGAAAGGATCTTGCTTTGTCACCCAGGCTGCAGTGTGGTGACTCAATCATGGCTCACACAAACCTTGAACCCCTGGGCTCAAACGACCCTACCACCTCAGCCACCCCAAGTAGGTAGGACTACAGGTGCACACTTCCATGCCTAGCCTATTTTTGTATTCTTTATAG
Source organism: Homo sapiens (assembly GCF_000001405.40). NCBI lineage: Eukaryota > Metazoa > Chordata > Mammalia > Primates > Hominidae > Homo > Homo sapiens. The sequence continues at coordinate 29,459,923 of NC_000010.11, read as the reverse complement.
AGACAGGGTCTCATCATATTGCCCAAGCTGGTCTCCAACTCCTGGATTCAAGGACTCTTCCCACCTCAGCCTCCTACAGTGTTGAGATTACAGGCACAAGTCACTGCACCCAGCCCAAAACCTGCCTCTTGACCACCAGTCTGTTCCATGTATTTCTAATATGAGCAACAGCTCTTAGTCATGCATTCCCACCATCCACCCACCCAAAAGGAGAGCAGCCAATCTGGGGTCCCAAGTTTAATGGAGGAAGAGAATTTACCCAGAATAGTTTGTTCATATTCACACAGTGGTTTTAAAAACAAAAAAATTGATTCTGCTCCAGAATATTCTAGGTGCATTTTCTGACCTTCTTTTTCTATTGCAGATTAAGAAATGGGGCCAGGGGAGGGAAGGGGGGTGTGATTTCTTTTCAGGTTATTTTTTAATATTTATTTTTAAACAAATTCCATTATTTGGAGGCTTCTGGTGTTTAGACTTCAAATCTACTAATCTTAGTCCATAATTCACTCATGGGACAGTCCCTAAACATTTTTCCAGAGACAGTTCTGAGACAGGGTTTGTTTAAAACTCTGTGACAAGGTGAGAAAAGATCTATAAGTCAGAGAAACAAGACTCCATCATCTCTACAAAAAAATTTTTTAAATTATTAGGTGCGCGTGGTGGCACATGCCAATAGTGCCAGCTACTCAGGAGGCTTGAGGTGGGAGGACTGCTTGAGTCCAGGAGTTTAAGGCTGCAGAGAGCTATGATTGAGCCACTGCCCTCCAGCCTGGGTTACAGTGAGACACTGTCTCTAAAAAATAACAAAATTTGGGGTCAAGTGTGGTGGTTCACACCTGTAATCCCAGCAGGAGGATCGCTTGAGGCCAGAAGTTTGAGACCAGCCTAAGCAGTATAGCAAGACCCAGTCTCTACAAAAAAAAAAAAAAAAATGGAAAAGGAAAAATAAATTAGCCAGGCCTGGTGATGCATACTCATAGTCCCAGTTACTCAGGAGGCTGAGGCAGGAGGATCACTTGAGCCCAGGAGCTGGAGGCTGCAGTGAGCTATGATTGCACCACTGCACTCCAGCCTGAGTAGCAGAGTGAGACCTTGTCTCAAAAAATACCATTTTTTAATTTAAAATTTAAAAATTTTAAAAATTAAAAGTCCAGACAACTGCAGGGCTTTGGGCGATCCCTTTTCTTTCAGAGCCATTTCCTCCTCAGTGATATGGAACTATGCATCCTCAGGCAGTATGCAGGTGGCACAGGGCTGTGTGTCTGTAAGCACTTAATAAAACAAGTTCAAATGTAGGACACGAGCTCTCCTCTCTGCCCCCTCCTCTTCTCTAGGACACGGAAGTTTCCAATCAGATCACCCTCGTGGAAGACGTCTTAGCCAAGCTCTGTAAAACCATTTACCCGCTGGCCGACCTCCTGGCCAGGCCACTCCCGGAGGGGGTCGATCCTCTGAAGCTTGAGATCTATCTCACCGACGAAGACTTCGAGGTAAGCGGTTCTTCCGGTGGGGTGGGGATGGGAGTAAAACAACACACGCACGCCCGGCTCCTTTCACTGAGCCGCGGGGCGCTTCTCCCAATGTTTCCAGTTTGCACTAGACATGACGAGGGATGAATACAACGCCCTGCCCGCCTGGAAGCAGGTGAACCTGAAGAAAGCAAAAGGCCTGTTCTGAGTGGGGAGACGCCAGAGGAGCCTCACGGTCACGTCCAACAACACCACTGCACCAGGGAAATGGATATATATTTTTGGACTGGTGTTTTTCACAAAGTATTTTTCAATCAGAGTTTTCAGAACCTGACATTGTTAAAGATACTGCTTGTCCCGGAGTTGTGTATTTTGTAAATGTTCAAGGGAACTGTTTGGAAACTTCTTTCCACCATTCAGGAGGTTATCAGAATTAATAAAAGTATCTGTTATGTGCACTTAAGCCGCAGCTGCTATAGATAGCACTGCCTTCTTGTTCCAGCTAGGCAATGCCTTTTTTTTTTTTTTTTGAAGCAGTTCTCTTTATAAAGTGTTATTTTGATAGTTTGTGGATTCTAAAATATATATATATTTATATAAACACCATATAAGTCAAATATGTATTTAACAAAGCAATATGTATTCATTCACTTTCAAGATTTGTTTTGGTGTCAAAATAACATGAAAAGGTAGATGGAGTTGCTTCTGTTGAATTAGCTCTGCCACCAATATGTATCTTCATACACGTTTGGAAATGTTTCCTGCAGCATTAGGTATGACTTGTTCTGAGTACTGCTTCCGGTGCTAAAATGAACAAAGAATTTGTACTTAATGGCATGGACTCTGGAGAATCTATGCGAATCAACCTTTCTACCTTAATATCTCCCCAAAAATGTATAGTGCCTTGTTTTTATGTACAGTTTATATACAGAAAAGTTTGCTCTGCATTTTTGATGATGGTTTGGAACATTATCTACAATTTTACTCTCAAATAGTCAAAATAAAAACATCTCAATTTCTAATACCGGTTGTAAACAGTACACATGTCATTTTGTGATATAGGACTCCCAAATAAAAGTATCAGAATAAACACAACAATTAACTGGTTCACATTGAATTCCAAGCATGTTCCTTTCTGGAATTTTTTTTTTTTTTGGTAAATATTAACATAGCACCAAATTTTGTAATTAAGTATAAATGACTATACATTTGAATTTAGTTTAGGGCAAGATTTTATACAAGGTCATAAGATTAAATACAGAGTTATTTGCCCCATAAAATTAGTACTCAGTACTATAATGAAGACATACTTTTGCAAATCATCATTCAGCAGAAGTTCTTTATCCCACAGCTATATCTATCTACAATTTCAATTTTAGGATCTCAATGCCCTTTAAAAAATTGTATGGGCCAGGCGAGGTGGCCCACACCTGTAATCCCGGCACTCTGGGAGGCTGAGGCAGGCGGATCACCTGAGACCAGGAGTTCAACAGCAGCCTGGCCAACATGTTGAAACCCAGTCTCTACTAAAAATACAAAAATTAGGCATGGTGGCACATGCCTGTAATCCCAGCTACTCAAGAGGCTGAAGAAGGAGAATCATTTGAAACTGGGAGGCGGAGGTTGCAGTGAGCCAAGATCGCGCCATTGCACTACAGCCTGGGTGACAAGAGTGGGACTCCATTTCAAAAAAAAAAAAATTATATGGATAAGACATCTAGAAAACTTAAAAAATGAGTTAGAAAACTCCTCACAAGCTCCCATGTTCTTAAATCCATGGTTTTGTGAACATATTCTACAGACCTACTCTGAATTGTCATAGCCCTTCCCCACTCCCTGTTAGTCTAATTTAACACATCCAGTCACAGCACATTTGCCTGAAACTTCAGGACTTACAGGCCCCATCCTGGGACCGCACCAGGGTAGAAACCTATAACCTGCTCCTGGTCTCACCATTTTATGATTTTTATGATATTGGGTCATCACTGAACTTTTCTACCTTGATTTCCTTTAAAAGGAGACACTCCTAGCTATCCTGCCTGCATCACAAGATTCCGAGCAAGGAACTAGTGGAAGCTCTTTGAAAATCGCCAAGTGCTAGATACCTGCCAGTATTAAGATTATTGTGATGGTAGTTAAAATGGGAAAGCAGGGGGGTTAAGTTAGGGAGTGTTGTCATGCACCTAGAAATGATGGATTAAATCAAAGCAAGGAGACGAAAAAGAAGAGAGGTTCAAAGTCCATGTTCCATAGATAACACGCAAGAGGTATGGAGAAAGGTTCCTAGAGTCACTAGGGCAACCTGAGGGTCAGAAAGAGGCAGGATTGCAACCTCTGCAGCAGGTTCCAGATATCACCTGAATCTTTAGATACCCAGGAAGGAGCTTGAGTTGCTACAGGAACTACCAGTGGAGAGCCGCTGTAATGAATAAATAAGACAGATGTCCTCATTAATATTCATTAACACCAGATTTTCCCAAAGTCCTTTAAAACTGTGTCTATCCACTTGTATTAAACATTGGCAACCAGGTGCGGTGGCTCATGCCTGTAATCCCAGCACTTTGGGAGGCCAAGGCAGGTGGATCACTTGAGGTCAGGAGTTTGAGACCAGCCTGACCAACATGGCAAAACCCTGTCTCTACTAAAAATACAAAAATTAGCTGGGTGTGGTGGCGCACACCTGTAATCCCAGCTACTTGGGAGGCTGAGGCATGAGAATCGCTTGAGCCTGGGAGGCCGATGTTGCAGTGAGCCGAGATTGCACCACTACACTCCAGCCTGGGCAATACAGTGAGACTCTGTCTCAAAAAAAACACAAAAAAACAAAAACCACTGTCCCCCGACAAAACGTGCTGTCTGTCTGCTTCTCGCCACTTCTTGGTGAATAAGACACCCCAGCTTGGAGAGCCAGTATACTTTTTGCCTCTTTTCCTCTAAATTGTTTCCTGCATCTCTTTCCTGCTTATAGAACCAGATCCTATTTTCCATGGTTTTTTCTGATCCTTTTCCTTCCATAACTGCAAACTTTGACCTTTGTACACTGGGAAGGGACCTAGCTGAAACACTTGAATTGCTAAACCTTAAAGTCTCAGCCCAGGAATTGACACTGGTGCTTGGGGCTTTTCTCCACAGTCATCCAAACTCAAACCCCCGCTCTCACTAAATGCATCAGGGGCAGGGAAGTGCGATGTCCTGAATTTGCTGTCCTTGAACTAAGAGACTCAAGAGAGGGGTGGGTGTTTGGATTGAGATCGATATCAGAGGTGCCGCGGGGCAGATGGGATGTTGAGCGTGTTCTGTAGCTTTGGATGAACTGTGCGAATATGAGCCACTTCTAGAGTGGGACAATCCTGCCTCTTTGTTCCCAAATCCGAGGAGGGGAAAGGCTGCTGTGAGCCCACTTCTTTCTCTCCTACTTTACATTTCCTGCCCTGCTATTAGAATTCCCATTTTGGTAAAAGGAAACGTATTCCAGAAACAGTTCCAGAATTCATTTTGGTCCTTTGGTTTTGTTTTTTTTATTATAAAATTAGCCGTGTGTGTCCACTCAGAAACCTGGACACAGATGTTCATAGTGGCATTATTCATAATAGCCCAGACCTGTAAACAATCCACATGACCGTCAACTGAGAAACAGAAAAACAAAATGCAGGACCTCCATGCGATGGCGTCCTCCCCGACAGCAAAGGGACAGATATTCCTGCGTATACATGACGTACACCTGATACTCACTACAACATGCATACGCCTCAAAAGCATTAAGTGAAAGAAGCCAGATGCAAAAGGCCACATATTGTTTGATTCTTTTTATATGAAACTTCCCATAAAGGCAAATCTGTGCAAACAGCAAGATCAACAGTAGCTGAGGTTGGAGATGGGAGTGGTGGTTAACTGCAAATGGCATGAATGATCTTTTTGGAGTAATGGAAATGTCTCAAAACTGGATTGTGGTGATGATTGCACAACTCTATAAAGGTATTAAAGATTTTTGAGGCCAGACACCATGGCTCACTCTTGGAATCCCAACACTTTAGAAGGCGAGGCTGGAGGATCGTTGGGCCTAGGTGTTCAAGACCAGCATAGGCAACATAGTGAGATCCCATTTGTACAAAAATTTTTAAATCAGCCAGGTGTGTTGGTGCGTGCTTGTAGTCCCAGCCACTTGGGAGGCTGAGGAGGGAGGATCCCTTGAGCCCAGGAGTTCGAGTCTGCAGTGAGTTGTGATCATACTACTGCACTCCAACCTGGTGACAAAGTGAGACCTTGTCTCTAAAAAATAAAAAAATAATAATTAAAGAAATTATTGTTCACTTACATGAGCGTATTTTATGGCATATATTATTATATACATACATACACAAACACATTTTATATATATATGTAAAATATCACAAAAAAGCAGTTTAAAAAATAGTAACACCTGATCTACGTAAAAAATGCAATCACTACAAAGATATATAATCTAGGAATCAAAAATCATAAATAATACCACTAACCAAATACAAGTACTTTAATAATCTGATTTATATTCTTCTGGATTTTTCTTTACATCTACTAGCATAGATGTGTATGCTCACATTAAAAAAGGAAAAAAACTGGCACATCCCTGTAGTTTCGGCTACTTGGGAGGCTGAGGCAGGAGGATTACTGGAGCCCAGGAGGTAGAGGCTGCAGTGAGCCATGATTGCACCACTACACTCCAGCCTGGGTGACGGAGCAAGACCCTATATTAAAAATATATAAACAAAAACTGTTTTTGTTCTGCATCTTAAATTTTTTGTTAGCAATAAGTTGCAGACACTGGTCCTTGGAGGTTTATTTATGGGTGTGTGATGTTCTGAGATCACAGAAGGCCCAGTGTGAAGACCTAAATCAGCGATGGTCCTGAGCCCCAATCCCACTGACCTCCCACCACCGTCCTCAGCCATCACAGGACTTTCTTGATCTGAGATCTAGGTAAGGCACAGAAGTCTCAAAACAGACCTCTGTGCAAAGCCTTTCTGAACTAGCGTAGCGACTAGTAACAGGCGACAATAACCAAGAAGTCAATAAAGAGTTTGGTGCGAGGCCAGGTGAGGTGGCTCACGCCTCTAATTCCAGTGCTTTGAGAGGCCAAGGAGGGAGGATCCCTTGAGGCCAAGAGGTCAAGATCAGCTTAGGCAACATAGTGACATCCTACCTGTACAAAAAATTTAAAAATCAGCTGATAATGGTGGGGACATGGCTTTAGTTTCAGCTACTCTGAAAGGTGAGATGGAAGGATCACTTGGACCCAGGAAGCAGAGGCTGCAGTGAGCTACTATCCTGCCATTGCACCCAGCAACAGAGCAATACCCTGTCTCTTAAAAAAAAAAAAAAAAAAAAGTACAGTGCTCTGTTTTCAGAAATATCAAGGTAATTCAAATGCAAATAACTGAAAATTAACTATATTGGTAGGGCATTTGGCCCAAAGAAGCCTTCCTCTTTTTGAAAAGAAAATACATTGCATTGCATGCATTTGCTCTTCTCCCCAGAGAAAGGATGTTGGGCTGCTTCAGACCTCTGACAATGGATGCACCCCCAGGATTAGATCAGAAAGATGGACCTGCCAGGGGAAAGCATCAGAGGCTTCTGTTCCTACCATCAGTACCATGGATGCGCTGCGAGTGTGGAGTCTGTATGGAAATGCCCCACTGATTTCACAGTGTCTAAAGCTGATCCTTGAGGACTAATAGAGAAGAAAGATGAACAGACCAGTATCCCTTGTTTCTAATACTGAACTGGCCTTTACTGAGCTTTTCTGTCGCGCAGCTGAGATTGAAAAGGAAGCCACAGGAGCAGAAGCGAATGCAAGCTAACAGAAAGAAAGGGAGCGCGGAGGATGCCACAGCCCCAGCGCCCTCCCAGCCTCAGCAGAGCTGTGGGGATTGTTCTTCACATCTGACGCCATGGGGTTCTGGAAGTCTCTTAAGGGATATATTGGAACTGACTTGTATTATTTGGAAATTGACATAAATTGTCTATTATTAAATCTCACTGAATTAAGCCCAAATTTACCATCTGAACACCGTTTTAGCATTCATCCTGAAATGGCTGGAACACGAGTTGTTAGCTCCATAAGGGTAAATAAATATTAGCTGGGCGCAGTGGCTCATGCCTGCAATTCCAGCACTCTGGGAGGCCAAAGTGGGAGGACAGATTGAGCCCAGGAGTTTCAGATCAGCCTGAGCAACATGATGAGACCCTGTTTCTACAAAAAATTAAACCATTAGCCAGGTGTGGTGGCATGTCCCTGTAGTCCCAGGTACTCAGGAGGCTGAGCTGGGAGGACTGCTGGAGCTCAGGAGGTTGAGGCTGCAGTGAGCTGTGATTGCACCACTGCATTCCAGCCTGGATGACAGTGAGACCCTGTCTCGAAAAAAAAAAGAAATATTGAGAAACGACTGACCAAGAGCCCATATGGAAGCAAAGAAAAATAAAACAAGCCCAATGTTTAGTAGTGGTTTCTGCAGATGGAAGACAGCAAACGGGGGAAGAGTGCATTTGGGATTGCAAGACTTGGTTAGTGTCAGAGCCCGTCCTAAAAGACAACGATGCAGCAGGACCCTACCTGTCCTTATGACTTCCTTTCATCCTCCAGGCTCACCCTCCATGCTTCCCTTCCTGAAGGAGGCCATTCATTATTAAAAACAGGAACTGCAAAGATCCAGCAGGGAGCATCGTTTGCCAATGACACTTGAGGTCCCAGTGGGGAAGACTTTTTTTTTTTGGTCAGATGGGGTCTTTCCCCAGATTCACATACAGTTATCACCACAGCCACAGCATCTGCTGAAGTCTATTTCTAGTATCATGTTGCACATTCCAGAGCCCTCATTATTTGCAGTGGTCCGCATTCATTCATGAATACTTATATTTACTACTTGTTCATTCAAATATTTATTGAGTGGGTGCTTAGCTTAAGGGTCAACAGAACACAAATACGCCTTATATCTAGGCTCTGATGCCCCAAGGGGCCTGCATTCCAGGAGAGGTGAAAATAATGATAATTCACCAAGAAGCACAAATAATGATGCAGGGTCAGACATGGTGGCTCACACTGTAATCCCAGCACTTTGGGAGGCCAACGCAAGAGGATGGCTTGAGCTCAGGAGTTTGAGACCAGTCTGGGCAACACAGTGAGACCCCATCTCTATAAAAATATTTAAAAATTAGCCAGTCATAGTGGGCACACCTGTAGTCCCAGCTACTTGGGAGACTGAGGTGGGAGGATCACTTGAGCCCAGGAATTCAAGACTGCAGTGAGCTATGATTGTACCACTGTACTCAAGCCTGGACCACACAGTGAGACCTTGTCTCTAAAAATAATAATAATAATAGCAGTGCAACAAGAATCTGTTCTGGGTGAAATTGTGCCCCACTTTTTCCTCCTCACCCACTCCCCCAAAAAGATTGGAGTTCTAACCCCTAGTACCTCAGAATGTGACCTTATTTGGAGATCCTTGGGTAATTAAGTTAAATGAGGTTTTCAGGGTAGGCCTAATCCAATCTGACTACTGTCTTTATATGAAGGGGAAATTGGGAAGTGGCGGCAGGCATGCACAGAGGGAAGACCGTGTGCAGATGCACGGGGAGAAGACGGCCCTCTGCAAGCCCAGAAGAGAGGCCTTAGAAGAAACCAACCCTACCCACACCTTGATCTCAGACTTCCGCCCTCCCGAGCTGCAAGACGATAAAGGTTCTGTTGTTTAAGCAGCCCAGTTTGTGGTACTTTGTCACAACAGCCCAAGGAAACTAATCATGTCCAAAGGAGGGACTTCTGGCTGGAGGTGGGAGGGAGGGGAAGGAATCAGGGTGGCTTCCGGGAGGAGGTGTCCTCTGAATCAGCCTCGAAGGACTGGCAGGATTTCTCACTGCAACTGGACATCAGTTCTCCAGCCATCAGCTCCAAAGAGAAGATCTGGAAGGAGGAGAGGGAAAGGAGAGGCACACCCAGTCTCCTACGTGTGGCACAGGCAGGATAAGGGCATAGCAAGTAGAGCCTCAAGGCTGAGGTGAGGGTGCACAGAAGGAAAGTGGACTTGGACATGGACGGGCCAGGGGAACCCGGCTAAGGGACTCTTCAGATGTGGGGATGACCCGGCAACAGCACCTGCGACTGATTCCTCTGGTCCGCAGGATCCCCAGGCCTAGTGCGTCCCTTTCTCATGGGGCCCGGGGTGTTTCCAGGGCTGGGGCTGGTTTCATAGTATCCTGCGCCCTGCGCTAGCACTTCTATCTTGGATCTTGATGTTGAAACCATTAGAGGTGCTGACTCTGTTACATTCTCCTCTCATCTGATCCTCATGTAAAGATATTTCTGAAATCTCCAGCAAGCAATATGGTACGTGGAAAATGGCGGACTTGCGTTTCCCACACAGTAATGCCGTTTCTCGGTAGACATCAGTGACCATGAGGCAGCTCTACCAAATGCTGCTCTGATCTTATAAGCTGCTCAGGAAAAGGAAATTGTTCTGTTGCATTGAAAATATCGAAAGTTTTGGAATCTTATCTTGCTATTTTAAAGTATTAATCTTTTTAGATTTTGACTCTTAAAAAATATTTGAATGGCCCTGGGAGATAGATTGGTCATGTCATAAACAAAAGACCAAGGCATACGAAAGTTACGGGACTCGGCTAAGATAACAGAGCTGGGTGGGGCAAGGCTCTTTAAGGACGGCACCCAGATGTGGTGGTCCGCATTCCCCTGTACCTGATTGTTGTTGAATAATGGAGGTAAACTGAGGCCCAAGGTCACCTCCTGCTTCAGGGAGGGCTTTAGGTAAGGGCGGGAGAGGAATCGCAGGCCCCGCCCGAACAGGCTGCTTTCTCTGCATGATTTCATCACATCCTCGCAGGCAGCCCCGAGAAGCACCTGCTGTGCCCTTTACTGAGGAGGGTCTCCAACATTCAGTTCTTCCTCATTCTCCCATCGCTGGTAAGAGACCCATTCCAGTGGAAGCTGAGGAACGAGACCTGCCTGGGAATGAGACCTTTCCTCATGAACACTAATTTTATCCAGGGGTGATAGGGTTAGGGGGAGATGTTTGCTGTTAATATCCGAATGTCTCTCTAACAGATTTCTATCAGGTTTGATATAACCTGTCAGCTGCCTCCCTCCAGCTGGAGAAGCCAGGAAAGGAAATGCAGGGACTGGCCAGGGAAGGAAATACGGAAGCGACAAAGGAGGAACCTTTGCATCTGGCGAGGGGCAGCCGCGCTGAGGGAAGGCTATGGCCAGCAGGTGGCGCTGTTGCTCACAGCAGAAGCCAAGGCTCCAACTCCAGCGCCGCCTCCGGCTTCACAGTCCTAGGATCTGCAGAGGAAGCCTCTGCTCTTAGGCACAGAACTGGGCCAAGACCTTCCCCTAAAGACCCCAGGGGCCAACTCCAGCTCCGTCCGGCTCATTTGTTTCCAGTTCAAGGAACCTGAACTCTACGATGGGCTGACCTGGGAATGTTCCCATTGCCCTGATGCAAGCAGTGATAAATTGTGCAGTGACATGAACGTGCCCAAGGGCTGGGGGAGTCTGCGAACCACAGTTCCTCTTAGCCAGGCTTCCCTCCGCCTGCATGCACACGCTTTTTAATTTTTGTTTTATTTTGTGGCTTCTTTAAAGCTCTTCCCTTTGCCAGTTTTGCCATCTGTAGAATGAAGGTGATACCTTCCTTTGGCTCAATTAGTTAATGTTAGGAAAGCTCTCTGCAGATGAAAAGCACTAAATTCTATTGATCAAATATTTAATTAGCCACACTTGCGGATGATTCATAATCATCTATTCAACTTCCTGAATTGCCAAGCAGAGAAAATGGCATGATTAGAAATATAATTTTAAATACCGGTTTTCAGAGATTTTGTACCTGTCAAGGCTATGAGAGAATTTCTGAATTAGCATACCAGTTCCTCCCCGATTTTCCAAGGGCCTGAAGAAACCAGCTCCCTTCCCACTCAGCCTGTGGCTGTGGCCATGACTGCCCTCCTCTACCCGCACCTGGCCTGGGGAGTAACTCAGCCGCAGGGCCTCAATGGCAGCGTGCAGAGGGTTGGACCGCAGTGCCAGGACCTCCCCAGCACGGGGCTGCCTCTCAGCCCTGGCAGGCCACAGCACCTCTTCTGCCTAGGGCAGTACCTTCATGGTCTGTCACATGCCTGCCCCTTTTCTGCCCTGGTAGGGACTCAGTGAGGAGAAACTAGGTCATGTAGGAGACACGGACACATTCAAAAGCAAGACACCCAAGCAGCTCGAGTGTAAGGAGATTTCCAGGCATTTCCAGTTGCTTTGAAGCACAGTCAGCAACATGGCCTGGTTTGTCTTCAGCTCTGGGTTCCAACCCAACCAAGACTGCAGGTTCTGGTTGTGCATGTGGCCTCTGAAAGCAAAATAGGCTTTTTCTTATTCATTCATTCTGCAAATATTAGTGTAAATGCTATGCTAGATATGCAGGCTAAACTGGTACAGACGATTATCTTTGACTTTCTGGCAAAACGTAATTTTCAAAAAGTGAAAAAAACAAAACCATCATACAGATAGATGGGAAGCACGTGTCATTTGGGGTCCTCAGGAAGCAGGTGTCAAGACAGAGCTAGACGTGAAAGACATTTATTGGGAGGAACACTTTTTGCAGATAAGAACAGTGGCAGCAGGAGGCAGGGAGGGTTTTGGGAGGGTGCTGCAAGGCTGACCCCTAGGAAAGGAGAGGGGAAGGAGGGAGAATGGGGAGGAAAGAGCCTCTGAGTGAGGGGCAGCTCTGAGAAGGTCTGACCAGCCCCCAGGGAGCCCCAGGGCAGAACTTGATCCTTAGAGGAAATAGGCAGAAATGGCCAGGTCCTAGGCCTCCCTCCTGGGCTCTGTCACTGGCTGGGCCTGACCTTGGCATGAAAGGTATACTGCAGTGGTCCCCATCTTTTTTGGCACCAGGGACCGGTTTCATGGAACACAATTTTTCCACGAACAGGGGCGGGTTAGGGGGATGGCTTGGGGATGAAATTGTTCCATCTCAGATCATTAGGCATTAGATTATCATAAGGAGTGTGCAACCTAGATCTCTGGAACGTGCAGTGCACAATAGCGTTTGCGCTCCTATGAGAATCTAATGCCACGGCTGACCTGACAAGAGGCGAGACTCAGGCAGTAATCCTGTTTCACCTATTGCTCACCTCCTGCCGTATGGCCCGGTTCCTAACAGGCCACAGGACAGTCACGTGGGACAAGCTGGGACTGGGGCACATGAACATCTTCATGTTAACAGGAAACCCAGGGCCCCTGTGTAACTCTGAAAAGACGAAAGGGTGCCTTCCACTCCTGATTAAGTCAGGTTCATCTGAAATAGAGGATCTGGGCATTTCTTGGTGGCTGGATAATCTTCTTTCCCTCTGGGCACCATCCTGGGGAAATGGATTATTAAATAATCTATCTCTTCTCAATATCTAAGACACTTAAAGGAGAGTTAAGCCGATTTGCCTCCCAAAAGGGAAAACCAGGCCAGAGAGTTCTTTTCACCATATTATGCGGGTTTCTAAAAACAGCATTAAAATTTCACTTCATTTAAAATTTCAAACAATGTAGGATTAAAATGTAGACATCTCCCAATTCTACATTATCCATTTCATTCCTTAAGAGCAAAGAGTATTTGCAGTTTGGGGTGAAACCTTCTATACATTTGCTATGTATGTACCACACATACACGCGGGTGCAATGATTTCCTCCCTTCTGTGATGCCATCAGATGCAAAATCCAGGAGTGAATTGGTGCCACTCCTCCAGGTTACTGTCCCCTCCCATTGCGTCCTCTCCCACTGTGCCCCAAGTGTAGGCACACCCCAATCCCTTTCTCCACAGCAAGGCTGATCAAGTAAGTGATGGTTTGCATAGAGATACTGACATTTTGAGAAATAACTGGCAGGAATTACATCACCTAACAAGCCAGAAAATGAAACTAGATATTACACATTATTGCTCTGGAACTGGACAGCCTAGATTCATATCCCAGCTTTTCTACTCACTAATGGTCTGACTTTGAGAAAATTACTGAGGTGTCTCAATTTTCTCATTTGTGAAATGAAGATAATAATGGTACCTGCCTTATAGGATTGTTTACAGAATTATATTACATACATGAGAAGAGCCCATAGCCATGCTGGGCAAGAAAGAGAGCTCAGCAAATGTTAAATTTGTTTAACTCTTCAAAAAAATCATACATTATACTATAAGGCAGGGGTTAGCAAGCTTTTTTGGTAAAGGATCACATAGTAAATACTTTAGGCTTTGGGAGCCATGTGGTCTCTGCCAAACTCTTCAACTCTGCACAGGGGAAAACAGCCCTAGACGATACATAAGTGCATGAGTCTGGCATCTTCCAATAAAGCTTTATTTATGGATACTGACATTTGAATTTTATATAATGTCACAAGTCATGAAATATTGTTCTTTTAAAAAATTTATTTCTCAATCATTTTAATGTAAAAAATCATTCTTCACTCCTGGGCCATGCAAAATCAGGCGGTGGGCTGGATTTGGCCTACGGGCTGTAGTTCACCAACAAATCTCCTCACCACCATCACCCCACTTAGCCACTTCTGCACCCTCTCTTCACCAGGTCTCCATCTCCCTGTTTTTGCTCATCTTTCCTCTATAGGAGAAAGCAAAACTCAGTAACTACATTTCTACCCAAGAAGAGTCCTTTCCCATTAGGACACAGGGAGCATGGTCCCTCTGTCTCAGGCTGTACACTCCAGGTTGAGCTCTGCCCTCAACCTCTGCAAACTAGAGGGACCGGGGAAAATGATCACATGTGTTGTAGGTAGAAGCCTGCCCTCTGCTGGGGACATATATTTTGTCTGCATAGCGGTCAACTGCTTGAGTCCACCAACTTCTTTAACTTGTCCCTTGGTAATTGACATGGTTTGGATGTGTGTTCCCACCCAAATCTCATGTTGAACTGTAATCCCCAGTATCAGAGGTGGGTCCTGGTGGGAGATGATCGGATTGTGGGGGTGGATTTCTCATGAGTAGTTTAGCATCATCCTCTTGGTGCTATCGCAATAATGAGTGACTTCTTGCAAGATCTGGCTATTTGAAGGCATGGCACCTCTTTCTCTCTCTCTCTCTCTCTCTCTCTCTCTCTCTCTCTCTCTCTCTGTCTGTCTCTGTCTCTCTCTCTCTCTTCCTCCTGTTCCCACCATGCGAGATACCTGCTCCCCCTTTACCTTCTACCACAATTGTAAGCCTCCTGAGGCCTCCCTGGAAGCAGATGCCTGTGTTATGCTTCCTGTATAGCCTGCAGAACTATAAACCAATTAAACCTTTTTCTTAATAAATTATCCAGTCTCAGATACTTCTTTATAGCAATGCATAAACAGCCTAATACAGTAATGAGTGTTTCTATTATATTGTTTCCAGGTTCCAGGTTTGCACTATTACAAAGAATGCTGCATTTTCTCATAAAATCCTCAAACAACTCTATGAAAGGGGAACAATTTAATCCCATTTTACGGATAAAGGAATGGAGGCACAGAAAAATGAAGTAATTTGGCTAATCTCACACATGGTTATAATGGTTAAGTGGTCTGTGATGGTTAATACTGAGTGTCAACTTGACTGGATACAAAGTATTGATCCTGGGTGTGTCTGTGACCGTGTTCCCAAAGGAGATTAACATTTGAGTCAGTGGGCTGGGAAAGGCAGACCCACCCTTAATCTGGGTGGGCACCATCTAATCAGCTGCCAGTGTGGCTAGAATATAAGCAGGCAGAAAAATGTGAAAAGAGAGACTGGCCTAGCCTCTCAGCCTACATCTTTTTCCCATGCTAGATGCTTCCTGCCTTCAAACACAGGACTCTGAATTCTTCAGTTTTGGAACTTGGACTGGCTCTCCTTGCTCTTCAGCCTGCAGATGGCCTATTGCAGGACCTTGTGATCATGTGAGTTAATACTTACTAAACTCCCCTTTATATATATATATATATTCCATTAGTTCTGTCTCTAGAGAACCCTGACTAATACAGGGACCCTGGAGAATCTCCGACCTGCCCCACAAGTGTTTACATTAGATACTTTTATGCAGATGAGGGAACTTGCCCAGGGCCTTGTCTGAGCATGCCCACATGTGCACTTGGGAAAAGGTGGGGGGGAGCCACAGGCAGTGGGAGGAGCCTGGCCTCTTCAGTTCCTGTGCAGTGGCCTGCGATTCAATCTGTGAGGTGGGAGGCCTGTTAGCAGGACTCCATTTTGCTTTGCTGAGTTTTTTTTTTTTCTTTTTTTCTCTTTTCACCCAATAAAATCCTGTTCTACTCACCCTTCAGTGTGTGTGCGTGCCTAAATTTTCCTGGTCGTGTGACAAGAACCCAGTTTTAGCTGAACTAAGGAGCAATATTCTGCAACACTATGACCCTACTTCCAGGATACAACTGACTGACCACCAGGAGTGGTCACCGGAGCCAAGATATTGTTACTGTTGTATTCATTTCCTTGTAGTACTTAATTGGTCTATAGGCAGGCACATGGCCCATGCTAAGCCAATCAGTGTCCTTTTCCTAGAATTTTAGAACTGGAATCAAGAAACTCTTATAATTCAAACTCAAGTCTACTAGCAGACTTTTGGAGAAAAATTCCTCTGTTTTCAAAGAAAAGGAAGCCAGGGCAGGCAGAAAAATGGATAAACCATGAGACTCCTGAGGGAACTCAAGGCTTGGTTCCAGGTGTTCCCAAGGCCCAGCTATACCCCTGACCTTCCAGAAGCTAAGTTGTTTTGTAAGACTCCACAATATATATTTAATCAATTACTTTTGAAAGTGCTTTTATTTAAAAAAGATTTCCTTTCACTTTTATCTGATAGAGTTCTAATTACCTTAAGTAAATTAATAATCTGGTGGTACTGTAAACATTATAAGAAGATAGCCATGAGGATGAGGACATTTCTCTGATGGCCACTGAAAGTTTAATAGGTTTGTAAACCAAAAATAAATTCCTAAGCACCCTCCAGCTGACAAAATGGATCCCTTGTTAGCCAAGAAGACCCCAGAGAAATCTGAAAGATTGAATTCCTGCCATGACAGGAAGAGAGTTTGGACATACCTGATTATGTCCCCTCCATTTTGGAGTTTAGGCAGAACCAACCAGCATCAACATTAAATAGAGATCACAAGACTGAAAAAACAGACTCTTTGTGGCAATAAGATACCAAATTCCCACCTGACTCTGGTATAGCATTGCATGATACATGGCAGACCGCGAGAGAAATCAAAGTATTTTACCCCAAAATATATTTATTTGACATATTTTGAAATTGCTCACAAAGCTGTCTTTTGTGGGGGAAATTTGCATCTGTAGAGAATCTCTATGAATGCAGCCAGGCCTTCCCTTTCCAAGCCTTTCCTGGATCTAGGAGAGATTAACTAAGAGTCTGATATATTTTAAGATCTGAAAAAAAGACATTTACCATGCATTCTCTCTGAAGGCTGCTACCTATGAGACTTCATCTTCAAAACAAGATCTTTGGTCTCCATAAGTCACCTTATCTTAACTCAAGCATTTTTTTCTACTGACTTCAAATCTTTAGACAAAGCTTAACTTTTTCAACCAATTGCCAACCAGAAAATCTTTGAATCCACCTAGGACCTGTAATCCCACCCCACCTCACCCCCACCTCACTGCCCACTTCAAGATATCCCACCTTTTTAGGCTGAACGAATATAGACTTTCCATATATTAATTTAGTATTTTACCTGCAATTCCTATCTCCCTAAAATGTATAAAACCAAACTGTAACCCAACTGCCTAGGCACGCTTTCTCAGAAGCTCTCAAGACTGTTCCCTGGGCCACAGCCACTCATATTAGTATAGAATAAACCTCTTTAAAATATTTTACAGTCTGGGGTTTGTTTGTTTGTTTTTTACATCAACAGGTTTTAGACTCAAGACAGGTATTTCTACTGAATAGTCAAAAGAAAGTACATTTAGCAAACCAAGATAAAAAATAGACCAAAATAAAGCCTCCAATGTTGTGAAACTTTCTTTGTTAAAAATAAAAAGGGGGAAAAAGTAGAGAAGTAAAGAAGGAATAACAGATCCCAATCAACAGGAATAAACCATTTAAACTCTTTTATGTAACCTCCTCAGTTTTAGGTAAAAAAAAATCTATTTCACTCTGATGTTAAAAAATGTCAACAGTAATTCACAAATTTTTTAAAGTCCTGAAAATATGACAAAGATTATTTTCATACTAAACACAACTGTCAAAAATGGAGATCTTGCAGCTTAGCTGCAACAATATAACCAGACTGAATACTTCAGAATATTCTTATTGGTTAATCAGTTTGTGTTTAGGATAAATTGCCACCAGCTCTCAGAAGTGACCTGTGAAGTCTAAGATATTGCCTGTGCTTTTTAGATACTAAAATATATAAAGCTGTTGTGTGACAATTAAAGAAAGCAAAATCAAATTGCTGTTATTTATTTCTGTATGGCTTTTAATTTAAACTTGCTACTCAGCTCAAGATCCAACTCATATTTATTTTAGTTTTAAAGTCTACTTCATTTCACACCAGTAGTTCACTTTATTAGGAATATTTTCTTTCCTGTGTGAAAGGAAAATATCTTGGGCCCCCAAATCACTAAGCTAAAGGGAAAAGTCAAGCTGGGAACTGCTTAGGGCAAACCTGCCTGCCATTCTATTCAAAGTCACCCCTCTGCTCACTGACATAAATGCATATCTGATGGCCTCCCTTGGAGAGGCTCATCAGAAACTCAAAAGAATGCAACCATTTGTCTCTTACCTACATATGACCTGGAAGCCCCCTCCCACTTCGATTTGTCCCGCCCTTCCAGACCAAATCAATGTTCATCTTACCTAAGTTGACTGAGGCCTCATGTCTCCCTAAAATGTGTAAAATCAAACTGTGCTCTGACCACTTGGGCACATGTCATTAGGACCTCGTGAGACTGTGTCACAGGTGTGCATTCTCAACCCTGGCAAAATATACTTTCTAAATTAACTGAGACCTGTCTCAGATTTTTGGGGTTCACAACTGTGATTTACTACAATATGCATATATGTGTGTGTGTGTATATACACACATACATATATAAAATCATATATGTACATGCATATAATTCGGGTAATGATTATAAAACATTTTTGACAGGTACAGAAAATGGTAATTAATGTTTTCCAGCTGCTACATGGTATGTCACCAAAAGAGCCACTGGCCCCACAGAATAAAGCAACACCTATGCAAGTAACCTAGCAGCCTTTCTGGACTGAGATTCTTTCAGTTTCATTAAAGCATATAAGCCCTGGCTTATGCCAACTCTTACTGTACATACAAATTCCATGCAATGAAAATGTTAAGAAAAAATAGGGCTTATGTCATGCAGCTCTCCCTTCTACAGTACCAGCAGAATAGGCACCAAAGAATCTGCTCTGCTCTCCCCTGACCAAACCCTTAAGTCAAGGATGCGCAGTGGGGTCTCATGAAAGCCATGAGCTTTATACACCCATGTTTATAGCAGCATTAGTCACAACAGCTAAAACATGGAGGCAACCCAAGGGTCCATCAATGTTTGAGGGATATGCAAAATGTGGTACAATAGAATGTCATTCAGCCTTATAAAGGAAGGAAATTCTGACATAGGCTAAAACATGGATGAACCTTGAGGATATCATGCTAGATGAAATAAGCCAATCACAAAAAGACAAATACTGTATGATTTCACTTATCTGAGATATTTATTTAGAGTAGTCAAAATCACAGAGATAGACAGGAGAATGATGGTTAGATGGGGGCTGGGGGCAGGGAGGAATGGGGAGTGGTTTAAGAGATACAAGGTTTCTGTTGTGCAAGATGAGTGGTCTGGAGATGGATGGTGGTGATGGTTGTACAACATTATGCCACTGGACAGTACACTTAGAAATGGTTGAGGTTGTACATTTTATGTTATGTATATTTTACCACCATTTTTTAAATTGGGAAAAACAAATATCCACCAATAACAGAATGATTAGATGAGCTATGCTATATCCTTATTTGTGTGACATTTTGTGACATTACGCAGCAGTTAAATATGCCATCTCTGAGACGCATTGTTAGTGAAAAAGCAAGCTACAGAAATATATATATATATATATATATATATCCGTCATAGTTCAACTAAAGAAACAAAACCAGTAGGAAATACATATTAAGAGACTTATTGCAAGGAATATGTGTATGCAATTGTCAGGCTGGCTAGGCAGTCTGAGAACCATAGAGCAGGCCATCAGGGAGAGAAGTCTGGAACTATCAGGCATGAACTGATGCTGCTATCCACAGGCAGAATTCCTTTTTCTTCAGGGAAGACTCAGCTCCGCTCTTAAGAACTCTCAAATGATTGATTCAGGCCCATCCAGATTATCTAGGATCGTCTCCCTTACTCAAAGTCAACAGAATATAGATTTTAATCACATCTACAAAAATGCTTTTACAGCAACACACCTAGGTTAGTGTTGATTGAACGATGGAAACTGTACCCTAGCCAAGTTGATGTGTAAAACTGACAATCATAATCATATATATATATATATATATATATAGTGATCCAGATGCACTGTGGGTGCACGTGTGTGTGTTTGTGTGTGTGTGTGTGTGTGTGTGTGTGTGGCTATACTGACAAACAGAGTTTGGGAAGGATTCACACTAAATAGCTAACAATGGTTACTATTGAGGAACAATGTGAAAATAGGAAAGTTCAGGAACAGAGTGAAAATTGAAAGGAGGAGTGGTCTAGGGCAAAGAGAAAATTCATGTTTTGCTCTTTATAGTTCCAATTTTTAAGCCTTTTATCCACCAGATCATATAATAAATTACATGTCTGTGTGTGTGTGTATTTTTTTTCAGAGACAGGGTCTCACCCAGGCTGGAGTGCAGTGGCATAATAATAGCTCACCACAGCCCCAAACTCCCAGGCTCAGCCTCCTGAGTTGCTAGGACTACAAATCCACACCACCATGCAGGTCACATGGGACCCATTTTTTAGCACTCCAATCTAATGGACTTGTTGGATATGAGTTCTAAATTTCTCTTCAAAGAATCAATGTCAGTATGTTCAATTCTTTGCCTTCTACTTTTAAACTTAACTTCCTTGTAAAGCAATCTTTTTTGATTACCTGCTCCACCCTGACTCATTCCGATTACCTACTCCACCCTGACTCATGTGGATTACCTGCTCCACCCTGACTCAATCCGATTACCTGCTCTACCCTGACTCATTCTGATTACCTGCTCCACCCTGACTCATTCCAATTACCTGCTCTGTCATAACCATTTTTCCTGCCAAACCACTCACCACCCCATCACTCTCTTTAAATTAGCCAATCAAAATTAGTTTAGCCTGTGCAGCCTAACCCTAGCCAACAGGGGAATGACACAGCAGCAGGGGCCACATGCGTCAGGGATAAGAACCCCTTCCCCTCCCTTGTCCAAGTGTGCTGCTCACCATTGCTCCATCTGTAAAGGCGCACCCTTCTATAGAAGTAACTTGCCTTGCTGATAATTAAAAAGAAAATTTTATATTTGAGAGCTATTTATTTTGCAGCACCGAAACTTTATTTATAACAATTTGGGGGCTCGCCCATGATTAAGTTCCCTTCCAGGGCCGGTCTCTGGTTCTCTCTCGTGAGGAGGCGCACCCTGCCCACTTGTGATGGCCTCAGGGGTGAGAAATCATGACCCACCCAGTGCCAGGAATAACCTGAGCTCTCAGCAACGTGGAAAGAAACTGGCCAGCAACCTAGCTTAAAGGATCCTCATATACTGCAGCCACGACTCTGTGCACAGACCAAGGAAGGAGAAGCTGCAGGAGCCGGTAAAGTATTTCCTTGGTGGTCGCGACTAAGGAAAAAGCCACGGGGTAGTAAAGCATTCCTTGATTAGGACATACCAAGGAAAGAGAAACCACAGAGGTGGTAAAGCATTCCTTAGGCTGGACTAGGGAAAGAAAGCAGTGGGGGGCGGTGAAGTACTCCTTAGTCGGGATGTCTTAGAGGTTAAAAAGAAGTGAGAAATCCCCATGGGGGGTGGGGGTTGAAACTCAAAAAGAGGTGAGAAATCCCCACGGAGGGGGTTGAACCTCACACAAACCTCTGGTAGCAAGAAAAATATTCAGAATCCCCCTTTCCTTTCTTCTCGAGGGAAGAAAGAGTAGCTCCTCTCCCGCCGGTCCCTCCCCTAGGGGAAGGGGAAGGAGAGGAGGGAACAGCAGCATAAGTGGCTAGCAGAGGCAGGGAAAGACCAGCAGAGAGGAAACAGAAAGAGAGAGAGAGTGAGAGAAAGAGAGAGTGAGAGAGAGAGAGAGACAGAGGGGGGGGGGAGAGAGAGGGGAGAGAGAGAGGAAAGAGAGAGAGAGAGGAAGAGACAGAAAGACAAAGAGGAATCAAAGAGAGAGAGAGAGACAGAGAGGCAGAGAGAGGAAGAGACAGAGGGACAAAGAGGGAGTCAGAGAGAGAGAGAGACAGAAAGTCAAAGAGAGAAAGAGAGAGATAGAAGTAGTAAAGAGAAGACAGTGTATCCTATTCCTTTAAAAGCCAGGGTAAATTTAAAACCTATAATTGATAATTGAAGGTCTTCTCCATGACCCTATAACACTCCAATGCCACCTTGTTGTCAGTGTGAACAAGGGCGTAGCCTGAAAGCACTGAGGCCACTGACAACCGGTAGCCCTCCTAATCAAAATCCTTAACCCAGTAACCAGCGAATGGCCCAAATGCATTCAATCTGTAGCGGCAACTGCTTTGCTAACAGAAAAAGTAGAAAAATAACTTTTAGAGGAAACCTCATTGTGAGCACACCTCATCAGGTCAGAACTATCCTAAGTCAAAAAAAAAAAAAAAGCAAAAATGTAGCTTAAGACTCAAGACTCAAGACTCAAGAACCTTAAAGTACAAGGCTATTCTGTTAGAAAAAGACGATGTAATATTAACCACTGAAAATTCCCTTAACCCAGCAGGTTTCCTAACAGGGAAATCTAAATCTTAATTACCATACAAAGGTCCAACCAAACCTAGGAGGAACTCCCTTCAGGACAGGACGATAGATGGTTCCTCCCAGGTGACTGAGGGAAAAAGACACAATGGGTATTCAGTAAGTGATAAGAAAACTCTTGTAGAAGCAGAGTCAGGAAAACTGCCTAATAATTGGTCTGCTCAAACTTATGAGCTGTTTGCACTCAGCCAAGCCTTAAAGTGCTTACAGAATCAGGGAAGAGCCATCTATACCAATTCTAAGTTAATGTGGACTGAACAAAGTCTTATTAATAGCAAAGAATAATTGAAATCCCAAACTTACAAGGTATTCAACAAAAGTAAATTTGCTAAAAGTTAACAGTGTAACATGTATTAGCCTAACTTCTAATCTTGTAGCCTTAGACAGTCTAGTCCACAGACATGAAGGAAGTTTGCTTTGGAAAAGAATGGTTATCATCTTTGAGAAAAAAAGGGGGGGGGGGGAGAATTTATGTAAAAAGGAATGTTATATGGTAAATCCTTATCCTAAAATAAATTAACTGGTTGTTTAAAGAAAGGGATGTTTGCAACAAGTAAGAAAGCTGAGGCATGCCAAAGAATTGTCTGTAAAAGTCGTGAAAAAAAGTTATAAAAGGGAATTTATGCAAGAAATGTTGTATAATTTAAAAGTAATTAGGCATCCTGAATGTGAAACTATTGAAAAAACAGTTTATGTGCAAGGTATATAATCTTGGACTTCCCAGCCACCAGACCCATGAACCAATAAATCTGTGCTCACTATAAATTGCTCAGTCTGTGGTATTTTTATAATAGCACAAAATGGACTAAGACAGGTGTGAACTAGAATTCAATTCTGACACAAACCACCCAGACTTAGCATCAAACTCTACAGGTTTTAAAATTCAGTTACAAGTAGGGTCCCCAGCCCCTGACATTTCTGACAAACTGGCTACAAATTCAGGGTTCTCACTATCTCCTCAGGTTTGATAACTTACTAGAATGACTCAAAGAACTCAAGAAAATGCTATACTTATTATTACAGTTTTATTTTAAAGGATACACATAGGGCAAAGTCTGGGAGAGTCCAGGACAAGAGCTTCTCCCAATACAGTCAGGCTATGACACGCTCTCGGCACATTGATGTATTCTCCGGCCAGGAAGCTCCCCCAAGTCTCCATGAGCAGAGTTTTTATTGGAGTTTTATTACTTAGGCATGATTGATTAAATCATTGGTCACATAACTGAACTCAATCTCCAAACTTTCCCGCCCTAGAGGGCAAGTGGCTGAAAGTTCTAACCCTCTAATCCTATTCCTGGTCTTTTTGGAGGGCAGTTCCCATCCTAAAGCTATCTAATGGCCCACAGTGAGTCATCTAATCAGTAAAACAAAACCATTCCCATCACACAGAAAACTCCAAGCGTTTTGAAGCTATTTTTAGGGAACCACAGACAACTACTTTTCGTTTTTCTTTTTTTTAAGAGACAGAGTCTTGCTCTGTTTTCCAGGCTGGAATGCAAGTAGTGCAATCATAGCTCACTGCAGCCTTGAACTTGTAGGCTCAACTTAATACATTAGTTAAAAATTAAAAATGGAAAGGTCACAGTGAAACATCAGAGTATCCAGAACACAGAGAAAAATCGTAAAGCCTTCATTTAAAAAACGACAGATTACTGGAACTCCTAGGTAGAGCAATCAGACAAGAGAAATAAATAAAGGACATCCAAATTGGAAAGGAGGAAGTCAAATTATCTTTGTAGATGATATAATGTTATATTTGGAAAAACCTAAAAACTCCACCAAAAAACTATCAGAACTGAAAAACAAATTCAGTAAAGTTTCAGGATACAACATCGACATACAAAAGCAGTAGCATTTCTATATGCCAACAACAATCAGAAAAAGAAACAAAATAAAAAGTAATCCCATTTATAATAGCTATGAATAAAATAGAATGCCAAGAATTAACCAAAAAAGTGAAAGATCTCTACAATGAAAACTATAAAACATTAATGAAAAAAATTGAAAGGGACACAAAAAATGGAAAGATAGTCCATGTTCATTGATTGGAAGAAACAATATTGTTAAACTGTCCATAATACCCAAAGCATTCTACAGACTCAACGCAATCCATATCAAAATAACTAATTACATTCTTCACAGAAATAGAGAAAACAATCCTAAAATTTATATGGAACCACAGAAGACCCAGAATAGCCAAAGCTATCCTGAGTGTGGTGGGGGGGCGGGATATAAACAACAACAACAACAAAAACTGGAGGAATCACATTACCTGACTTCAAATTCAATCACAGAGAGCTATAGTAGCCAAAACACCATAGTACTGGCATAAAAACAGTCGCAGACGAATAGAACAGAATAAAGAACCCGGAAACAAATCCATACATCTACATTGAACTCATTTTTCACAAAGGTGCCAAGAACATACACTGGGGAAAGGACAGTTTCTTCAATAAATACTGCTTGGAAAACTGGATATCCATATGCAGAAAAAGGAAACTAAACCCCCATCTCTTGCCAGATTCAAAAATCAAATCAAAATGGATTAAAGACATAAATCTAAGACCTCAAACTATGAAACCACTAAAAGAAAACTTTGGGGAAACTCTCCAGGGCATTGGACTGAGCAAAGATTTCTTGAGTGATACCCCCTAATCACAAGCAACCAAAGCAAAAATGGACAGATGGGATCACATCAAGTTAAAAAGCTTCTGCATGGCAATGGAAACAGAAGAGGCAACCCAAAAAATGGGAGCAAATATTTGCAAACTATCCATCTTACAAGGGACTAATAACAAGAATATATATGAGGAGCTCAATCAACTTAATCAGAAAAATCTAATAATCTGATTAGAAAATCAGCAAAAGATCTCAAGAGACATTCCTCAAAAGAAGACATACAAATGGCAAACAGGTTTATAAAAAGGTTCTCAATATCACCAATCATCAGAGAAATGTAAATCAAAAGTACACTGATATATCATCTCACCTTAGTTAAAATGGCATACATCCAAAAGACAGGCAATAAGAAATGCTGGCAAGGCTGTGGAGAAAAGGGAATCCTTGTACACTGTTGGTGGGAATGTAAATTAGTACTATGCAGAGCAGTTGGAAGTTCCTCAAAAAACTAAAAATAGAGTTACCATATGATTCAGAAATTCCACTGCTGGGTATATACACAAAAGAAAAGAAATTGATATATTGAAGAAATATATGCACTTGCATGTTTATTGAAGCACTACTCACAATAGCCAAGACTTGGAATTAACCTAAGTCTCCATCAACAGATGAATGGATAAAGAAAATGCAGTGCATATACAAAATGGAGTACTATTTGGCCATAAAAAAGAATGAGATCCTGTCATTTGCAACAACATGGATGGAACTGGAGGACATTTTATGTTAAGTGAAATAAGCCAGGCACAGAAAGAGAAACTTCACGTTCTCACATATTTGTGAGAGCTAAAAGTTAAAACAATTGAACTCATAGAGATAGAGGGTAGAATTATGATTACCAGAGGCTAGAAAGGGTAGTAGGGGTGGGGGGTGGGAATGGGGATGGTTAATGGGTACAAAAATATAGTTACGTAGAGTAAATAAGATCTAGTATTTGACAGCAAAACAGGGTGCCTACAGTCAATTTATTATACATTTTAAAATAAAAGAGCATAATTGGATTGTTTGTAACACAAAGAAAGGATAAATGCTTGAGGTGATGGATAACCCATTCACCCTCATATAATTATTATACATTATATGCCTCTATGAAAATATCTCATGTACTCCATAAATATATACACCTATTATGTATCCACAAAATTTCAAAATTTCAAAATTTAAATGACAGATTAACTGTAAAGAAATGGCTATCATGTGGGTAGCAGAGCACTCATAAAAATAAGCAAAAATGAATGCTAAAGGATCATGGGGAAATATCTTCAATGTACCCAAAGTAAAGAACTCTGAACCTAAACTTCTACACATAATAAACTACCATTGAAGAAAAAAGATAATTAAACACATATCCAGACATTTAAATAAAACAAGAGTTTCTGCCTCACTGACATTTGCAAAGAAGCTACTGAAGAATGGGCACCAGCAACAAAACTGATTCAAGCAGGGAGGGAAATACAATGGTGAGCAAATCAATTCAAAAACATATTGCTGAACTAAATCAAGTATTAACACTGAAAAAAATAAACAGTAACTTTCATGTAGTGTTTCAAAATCAAAGTGGAATTAAAATTCTATATAACAGTAACATGGAAGTTGGGTGTTCCAGCAAAAAATAAAAATATTATAAATATTTTTGTTCATTTTAGAATAGAATTTACTAAGTAGATTTAGAATTTGTTAGAGAAATACGAAGCTGACATACACGTTAAAAATTCAAGAGTAACTTTTTAAGCAAATCACAGAAATAAAGAAAACCACCCTAATCCAGCAAAAGGGGCAAAGAATAACAACAGAAAAAGCAGGTGGGGATAAAGTCATGGTAGACAACACAAAATAGGATAATAGAAATAAATCCAAAAATAAATCATAGGCTGGGCGCAATGGCCCATGCCTGTAATCCCAGCACTTTGGGAGGCTGAGGCAGGGGGGTCTCTTGAGCCCGAGTTCAAGACCAGCCCGGGCAAGATAGTGAGATCCTGTCTCTACAAAAACAAAAAATAAATAAAAATAAATTTTACATCTGTAGTTCCAGCTGCAGGGGAAGCTGAGGTGAGAAGATTGTTTGAGCCTGAGAGGTCAAGGCTGCAGTAAGCTATGATAGTACCACCGCACTCCAGCTTGAACAACAGCAAAACCCTGTCTCAAAAAGTTCAAATGGGTATAAAACACCGATTAGGAGACAAACTTTAAAATTAGGTGTTTTTAAAATTTTTTTAAATCCTGCTATAAGAGACATACCTAAAACAAACCAATACTAAATGTTTAAAAATCAAGGCATAGAAAAAGACACAAAAAGTAATAAATGGTGCTGATATTGTGATATTTTTCAGTACCAAATATTTAATGAGGTAAAGAGAGACATTTGATATTGAGAAAAGGACAGATTTCCAAGAAGATCATAAGCAAAATATCCTAGAATATAATGGAAACAAACAGAATTACAAAGATAAATTAACAAATTCACAATCGTGGTAAAAGATTTTACATCTCTCTCACTCAGAAATTGATAGGAAAAGCAGATAAAAGATACAGAAATGTGTAGCACATTTATGGAGAAAGGATCTTGTACACAAAGGAGTAAATATTATTTTCAAGTACATATGGATTTACATATATTAGACCAGAAAAGATATCTCAACAAATTCCAAAGAACTGACATTAAATAAACCATTTTCTGATAATAATATAATAAAATCATAAATAAAAATAAAATATAACCAAGAAAATTCAGTAGTTTTAGAAATCATTCTACTTTAAAATAAGCCATGTCGCTTCTAGGTCATGTTACAGCTGTACCCATAGCAGAGTCTAGAGCTCTGAAACAAGCAGGAAAGGGTTGCACAGTAACTCAAAGATAGCAGAGGAGCTCAGAACATTTGGCCTGATTTTATTTCCTAAAAGCTGAATCCCTTTTATAGAATGATACAGAAAAACTGAAAGGAGAGTAATGAATGGTAGCCTTTTTCAATTGACCTACTAAACCCACACAAGCATTAGTAATCTGGATATCTGAATTACTGAAATAAAATAATCAGAATAGATCATCTAGAATCAGGAGAGTAGATTAAACCAGATCCTGAAACACATACATGTTTTACTATAGAACTTAGTACTTTGTAGTGACTGATTTGTTGAGTAATTGTAAACATTTAATTGCTGTGCTTTAAGGAGGTAAAAAAATATCTGCTGATGTGTAATAAAGAAATACCCTCAGGCCGGGCACAGTGGCTGGGGTCTGTAATAGCAGCACTTTCAGAGGTCAGGGTGGCAGGATGGCTTGAGTCCAGGAGTTTGAGACCTGCCTGAACCACATGGCATGACCACATCTCTAAAACACTTTTTTTTTTTTAAAGCTAGCCAGGTGTAGTGGCATGCACCTTTAGTCCCAGCTACTTGGAAGGCTGAGGCGGGAGGATCACTTGAGCTCAGGAGTTGGAGGCTGCAATGAGACATGATCATGCCACTGCACTCCAGCTTGTGTGACAGAGTACAACCCTGTGAAAGAAGGAAGGAAGGAAGGAGAGAGAGGGAAAGAGAGAAAGAGAGACATAAGAAAGAGAAAGGAAGGAAGAAGGAAAAAAGGAAGGGAAGGAGGGAGGGAGGGAGGGAGGAAGGAAAGAAGGAAGGAAGGAAGGAAAGAAAGAAAGAAAGAAAGAAAGAAAGAAAGAAAGAAAGAAAGAAAGAAAGAAAGAAAGAAAGGAAGGAAGGAAGGAAGGAAGGAAGGAAGGAAATATCATATCATAGATACGGGCAGCGAGAGGGCCTGGATTTAGACTTGCTCTGTTGTATAACCCCCCAACTCTTGACATTTCAGGAAGGGAGGAAAGAAAGAAAAAGAGAAAAATAAAGAAAGAGAAAGAAAGAGAGAGAGAGAAGAAAGGAAGAAAGAAAGAAAGAAAGAAAGAAAGAAAGAAAGAAAGAAAGAAAGAAAGAAAGAAAGAAAGAAAGAAAGAAAGGAAAGAAAGAAAGAGAAAGAAAGGAAGGAAGGAAGGAAGGAAATATCCTAGATACGGGCAGCGAGAGGGCCTGGGTTTAGACTTGCTCTGTTGTATAACCCCCCAACTCTTGACATTTCAGGAAGGGAGGAAAGAAAGAAAAAGAGAAAAAAGAAAGAAAGAAAGAAAGAAAGAGAGAGAGAGAGAGAGAGAGAGGGAGGGAGGGAGGGAGGGAGGGAGGAAGGAAGGAAAGGAAGGAAGGAAGGAAGGAAGGAAGAACAGGAGGGAGGCAGGGGAAAGAGAAAGAGAGAAAGAAAGGAAGGAAGGAAGGAAGGAAGGAAGGAAGGAAGGAAGGAAGGAAGGAAGGAAAGAAATATCATAGATATAGACAGCGAGAGGGCCTGGGTTTAGGCTTGCTCCGTTGTATAAACCCCCAACTCTGACATTTCATCTAAAATGCTTAGGAGAGCAGCTGAGCTATTCTCTCCTTAATGTGGAAGTGGTCCAAGGAATGGAATTCCAAAATTGGTTACTCCATCTATCGACTTTAAATGTGATCCAGCTGCTACTAGGTTTATGGCTCATGAATGATAAACTCAAGAGGCAGCTATAACTAGGACTTGGAACATGCAAAAATGAAAGACAAAAGAAATCCTCAGTCCAATGTACCATATATATATGTATTTTTTTGAGATGGAGTCTCACTCTGTCGCCCAGGCTGGAGTGCAGTGGGGCGATCTCTGCTCACTGCAAGCTCCGCCTCTCGGGTTCACGCCATTCTCCTGCCTGAGACTCCCGAGTAGCTGGGACCACAGGCGCCCGCCACCACGCCCGGCTAATTTTTTGTATTTTTAGAAGAGACGGGGTTTCACCATGTTGGTGATGATCTCGATCTCCTGACCTCGTGATCCGCCCGCCTCGGCCTCCCAAAGTGCTGGGATTACAGGCGTGAGCCACCATGCCCGGCCACTACCATATTTCTTTAAAAATAGAAAACTGATGCCATCTTGTGGTTATTTTAATAAGGTCACTCTTAAACGACTAAAATTTCGGAAAGCTAACAAAATCTCTTCTTCCTTTCTCCTTTAAAATATTGTTAAATATATTTTCCTTGGACTTTAGATGCACTTTCCTTACAATCTGGAGATTTCATTAAAATGCTGCATCTACCCACATGGAAACACAATTACTATTAAAGTATTAATGCTAAGTGATTGCTAACCATGGAAAAGCACCAAGCAATTTTCGCAGTTCTAGAAAATGCATGACCTGGCTTTCAAGAACTGAGTTCAGTGCATGTTAAAAGGTAGGATTTTCATTAAAATGTCACCACCAAGGACCAGAACTGGTACATGGTGAGTTCATGGGCAGAGTGCGAGTCACACTCCAAATGACATTCCCCCATCTTGGGAACTGCAGGATAGACCAAAGAAATTGAACAAAAAAGAGACAAGCTTACAAAAATTCTGGAGACTCAAGGCAATACCATTCATATGTCACAAATTTTGGAGAGTTTCTTCCAGATAGAATTCAGAGGAAATCAGATTTTAACAATGATCCAGTGGACTACTCATAATTAATTGCTGTATAAATGGTGGAGGCAAGTCCTCTAAACATGACTAGATAGATGCATTTGTTTTATTCATAGATTCCCAATATCATTAAAATAATGTATATATCAGTCCTCAAAAGTATGCTGTCTTAGCCAAAATTACCAACACGAGTATGGTAATTAACATATATGAATACAAAATACATTAAGATGAAAAAGGATGCTGTTAATATATTCTTCTGAAATGAGAATAACAAAATATATCCATGTGACACCTGTAGACGTATGCATGGCTTGCATGTGGGAGTTGTGGATGAGGATAGAGAATGACTTGGGTATGAGATTGTTAAAATAGTTTGACTAAATCAAACAGCTCAGAACCACTCCCATGGAACACAGAAACTGAACAGACCTTTCATGATCCCAAAATATCACTGAACCACTCCCTACCCTGAGTCTCCCAGAGTATCACAAAACTTTCCTTTTTGTATGTTCATGACATTGAGGGATGCCTAAATAGCTGGTATTGTTTCTGGGTGTGTCTGTGAGGGGGTTGCCAGAGGAGACTGACATTTGAGTGGGTGGACTGGGAAAGGAAAACCCACCGTCGATATGCGTGGGCACCATCCAATCGGCTGCCAGCGCGGCTAGAACAAACCAGATGGAAGAAGGTGGGATAAGCAGTTTGCTGAGTCTTCTGGCTCTCTTTCTTCTTCCCAGGCCGGATGCTTGCTGCTGCTCCTCCTGCCCTTGGACATCAGACTCCATGTTCTTCGACCTTTGGACTCTGGGACTTGCCCCAATGGCTTGCAGGGGGCTCTTGGGCTACATGGTCAGCTTCCCTGGTTTCGAGGCTTTCAGACTTGGACTGAGCCACTACCAGCTTTTCTCTCTACCCAGCTTGCAGACGGCCTATCGTGGGACTTCACCTTGTAATCGTGAGCCAATTCTCCCTAATAAAGCCCCTTTTATATATACATATATTCTGTTGGTTCTGTCCCTCTGGAGAGCCCTAATAACCTATCCCTTGATCCAGTAACCTAGACTTATACTCTTCTTGCCTCAGAGCTGTTATCACTTCAGCTAAATTAGTTGAACATCTTCAGTTCTTGTACTGGGATGACCTTCAAATCTGAAGATAGCATATGCAGTACAATCTCCACTGATAACTAAAAGCACTGCAACTTCAACCCGTTGGTTAACTATGAAATATGATTTCTTTCTCCTCATATTTCTTAATACTTTTTATTTTTAAAAAGTAGAGACAGGGTCTCATGTATTGCCCAGGCTGGTCTCAAACTCCAGGCCTCAAGCAATCCAGGCTATGCTCCCTTCTCGCTCCAAACCACCTGGCACTCACTGGTAGGATGGTTTCTGCCAACCTTGAGGCCAATCTGGCAGCTACTATGAAGTCTGGGAGATTGCTTCTCATACACCTGGTTCCAGTTTCAGCCTTTCCCCACCAAGGACCAGAACTGGTGCATGGTGAGTTCATGTGCTCTGCCCTTGCTCCCAAGGGCAGTGAAGGGGTGGCCTGCCCTTCCACACCTGTGGGTATTTCTAGTCGGGTGGGATGAGAGACTGAGAAAAGAAATAAGACACAGAGACAAAGTATAGAGAAACAACAGTGGGCCCAGGGGACCGGCACACAGCACACCAAGGACCTGCACTGGCACCGGCCTCTGAGTTCCCTCAGTTTTTATTGATTATTATTTTCATTATTTCAGCAAAAAGGAATGTAGCAGGAGAGCAGGGTGATAATAAGGAGAAGGTCAGCAAAAAACATGTGAGCAAAAGAATCTATGTCATAATTAAGTTCAAGGGAAAGTACTATGACTGGATGTGCACGTAAGCCAGATTTATGTTTCTCTCCACCCAAACATCTCAGTGGAGTAAAGAATAACAAAGCAGCATTGCTGCAAACATGTCTCACCTCCCACCATAGGGCGGTTTTTCTCCTATCTCAGAATTGAACAAATGTACAATCGGGTTTTATACCGAGACATTCAGTTCCCAGGGGCAGACAGGAGACAGTGGCCTTCCTCTATCTCAACTGCAAGAGGCTTTCCTCTTTTACTAATCCACCTCAGCACAGACCCTTTAAGGGTGTCAGGCTGGGGGACGGTCAGGTCTTTCTCATCCCAGGAGCCCATATTTCAGGCTATGACATGGGGAGAAACCTTGGACAATATCCCGCTTTCAAGGGCAGAGGTCCCTGCGGCTTTCCACAGTGCATTGTTCCCCTGGTTTATTGAGACTAGAGAATGGCGATGACTTTTACCAAGTATACTACTTGTAAACATTTTGTTAACAAGGCACGTCCTGTACAGCCCTAGATTCCTTAAACCTTGATTTCATACAACACATGTTTTTGTGAGCTCCAGGTTGGGTCAAAGTGGCTGGGGCAAAGTGGCTGGGGCAAAGCTACAAATTAACAACATCTCAGCAAAGCAATTGTTTAAAGTGCAGGTCTTTTTCAAAATGCAGTCTCTTCTGTCTTCCCTTTCTACATAGACACAGTAACAGTCTGATCTCTCTTTTCTTCCCCTACAGGCAGAGTGTGAGTCACATTCCAAATTCAAGGACACTGCCTGCCATCTCTTGACCACAGGCTCATCCAGGCTCCAAGACCTTTATGTACCTTTATTCCCAAAGCCTCCTGGTCAACACAGGCACTGGGAATAAGTTAACAAACAAAAACACACCTTAGTGCTGCAGTCCCAAAGACACGGTCTGGCCAGGGTGTATGTGGGGAATGTGCTAATTCTTTATGAGAATGGAAGGTAAGAAAGACACATGCACAAACAGTTCCATCTACTCCAGGGTCACACCAGTGCCTCCTGGTCTAGTTCTCCTACTTTCAATGACAATGTAATTCATAAATTGATCAAACCAATTTTATATTATTAATTTCACTTTGTTTCTGGAATAGGCAAGATTGATGGGGTAGGTAGTCATGTATCTCTTAATGATGGAGACACATTCTGAGCATTGTGTCATCAGGCGATTTCGTTGTGTGCAAACATCACAGAGTGTACTTACACAAACCAAGGTGGGAGAGCCTGTGACACACCTATGCTGTATGGTATAGCCTATTGCTCCTAGGCTATAGATCTGTACAGCAGGTTACTATACTCAATACCATAGGCAATAGTAACATAATGTAAGTATTTGTGTATCTAAACACAGTGACAAAGGTACAGTAAAAACACAGTATTATCTTATGAAACCATCGTCATATGTGATCTGTACTTGACCAAGACATTATGTGGTGCATGATTTTATAATTCTTAATTGGGCATATGAGTAAACTGAGGCATCAAGTGATTCAGTGACTCCTAAATGTTGACTGGTGAGTTGTGGAACCAGGATTAGAACTTTCACTCTGGTCTATTTCTACTATGTTGCAAATTCTGCTTTTCTGGGTTATGTAAGTTTTTGACTTTTATATTATAGTGAGATAGAATTAACTTTGTATCAAGAGTTTAGGGATCCATGAAAATTGTATGCTCAATTTGATGTGCATGTAAGATCCTCCTTATGAGATGACTTACAATTTTCATGAAGTTTCTAAAAGGGTCTCTGTAACCAAAAAGGTTAAGAACGCTGGCGTGCTGTGTGTGTCACAATGAGACTGAGGTCAAGTCTAGGGTGACCTTTTTACGGACTGTAAGTAGGGGACGGTAAACCCAGAGAAGATGGATGTTCGGGTGGGAATAATCATTTCATTCTTTAGAGTCAGAGAGCATTGGAGCGGCCACCTTCCTGAGAAGGTGGTACACGTGCTTATAGCTCTACAAGTCCATTCGGACAAGCTTAGAACCTTAGATAGAGGATTCTTGAAGATCATTAAACCTGAGGGTCCACAAATCTGGCTACACATTAGAATCATCTGGGGAGCTTTGAAAGACACCATGTCTGGGACCAACCCCCAGGGATTTCTATTTTAATTGTCCTAAGATTCTGGCTTCTGTATTTGTTTTTAAAGCTCCTCAGATAGTTCCCATGTACCAGAGTTAGGATTACCAATCTTCTAAATGAGTAGTTATCAACCTTGGCTGAACAATGAAATCACTTGGGGAGCTGTTAAGAAGTCCTCTTGCCTGAATCTCACCCTCAGATCTTCTGATTTAATTTGTCAGGGGTGTGCTAGGCATCAGGAATTTTTCAAATGACCCCAGGTGATTTTCACAGGCACTCCAATTTGAGAACCATTGTTGGGATCTAATCCGACACTTCCTGATGCAAAGAAAACCAAGCCGAAGAGAAGTGGCCTAAGGTCATAGGGCTAAGACAGAACCAGGATTAAACCCAGGACCCAACTCTAGGCTTGGACTCTATGGTTCACCTAGTCAAGGTACATGGATTTAACTTAGGCAGTTCAGGGCGGATCTGAGAAAGGGAGCTCGTCAGGGACAGGCCTTGCTTCTCTCTTTGATTAGTGAGAAACATATAAACATATATATATGTTTCTGAATGAATGTTGTCCTGCTTAAGGGATGAAATCCCAGTGTTCTGGCCCAGATGCATGGGTCCCTGTGACCCCTCAGATTGGCAGCTAACTCTATGGGAGACGACCTCTAAGATGAGCCCCAACAATCCCTGTGTCTGTATTCACACCCTTGTGTGATCTCTGCAATAGAGTATGGCTAGACCCAGAGATTTACTTCTAATGAACAGAATATGGCAGAAGGGATATGATGCTACTTCTGAGATTAGATTATAAAGAGATAGTAGCTTTTGTCTTGCAAACCTCTCTTGCTTACTTCCTTATTGCTCACTTTGATAGAAGCCAGTTGCCATGTAGTGAGCTGTTCTATGGATCCCCATATGGCAAAGAACTGAGGAAAGTTCACTGACCAACAGTCAGTAGGGAACTGAGACCCTTAATCCAATAGCCTGAGAGGAATTGAATTGTGCCAGCAACCATGTGAGTGAGCTTAGAAGTGGATCCTCTCTCAATTGAACCTTCAGATGAAACAGCAGCTCTAGCCAATAACTGTATTACAGCCTAGTAAGACTTTGAGGCGGTTACCCAATAAGCCATGTCTGGACTCCTGACCCACAGAAACTGTGAGATAGTGTTTGTTGTTTCAAACGACGATTTAAGTTTTGAAGTAATTTGTATGCAGAAATAGATAACTATTACAAAGTCCATGCATAAAAGTTCTTAAGTCATGTTATAGTTGTTGAAACCAAGGTATCAAAAGACCAAATGTATTTTCCATAGTCAACCAGGGAAGCAGTGACAAAACAAGAAATGGAGTTTAGATGCCAGTTGATTCCCAGACTTATTCTCTCCTATATAAAGGTTAATGACATTTTGCATGAAATAATGCTAGTAGAACCCACGAGGTTGTTAGCCATGCTACCTTCCTTATCTTCCCTTGACTTTCTTTTTAAATCTCTTTATAGAGTAACCGTTGAGCACTGAGCCTTTTCCCCAGAAATATTATTTTTTTAACAATGCATCCCTGTCTTGTGCCAGTTTTCAATATACCCAAAGGACTATAAATCATGCTGCTATAAAGACACATGCACACGTATGTTTATTGCGGCACTATTCACAATAGCAAAGACTTGGAACCAACCCAAATGTCCAACAATGATAGACTGGATTAAGAAAATGTGGCACATATACACCATGGAATACTATGCAGCCATAAAAAATGATGAGTTCATGTCCTTTGTAGGGACATGGATGAAATTGGAAACCATCATTCTCAGTAAACTATCGCAAGAACAAAAAACCAAACACCGCATATTCTCACTCATAGGTGGGAATTGAACAATGAGATCACATGGACACAGGAAGGGGAATATCACACTCTGGGGACTGTGGTGGGGTCGGGGGAGGGGGGAGGGATAGCATTGGGAGATATACCTAATGCTAGATGACACGTTAGTGGGTGCAGCGCACCAGCATGGCACATGTATACATATGTAACTAACCTGCACAATGTGCATATGTACCCTAAAACTTAGAGTATAATAAAAAAAAAAAAAAAATTAAAAAAAAAAAAAAAAAAAAAAAAAAAACAATGCAACTTTGTCTTTTCTAAAACAAAGAGATTCCAGGCATTCAGTGTGCATTCTAAAAAGTGAGATGTTGAGGCATGGGAGGAAAGTGACTTTCAAATAAGCACATAATGATCAAGTAATCTTCTCTCTACCTTTCATGCTGAGAACAGTCACAAATATTTCATTCCTGAGAATCTTGTTCCCAAATTGACAATGCTTCAATAAGCACCTTTTTGTACTTTCTTCTTAATCAAGTAGAAAGAAAAAACATCATAAATACAAGAGGGGTATTTTCCCTTCTACTCAAAGTGTGTAGCCAGGAGCCCCAGCATTCTTTCCACAGAGAGATAGTATGGTTCTAAACTATCACTTAGGCGACTGAGCACAGTATTTGGATAGAAGGATGCTTTGTATCAACCATGCCAATTTAAAAAAATCATTGAAGAAATCTAACATGCACTTTAGTAAGAGTGAAGAACTAGTAATGTTAGGATATATTCTAATACCTAACATTAGGATAAAATCTAACCTAATGTTGGTAATATCAGGTTAGAGTACTCCCACTTTATAGGAATTGGATATGAGCAGAAGTTCTTTGACAGAAAACTGAGGATCAGAAGGGTAAATATTTGTCTAAGGCCATAAAGTGAGTTTCCACTGGAATCAGTACTTAATTCCACAATGCACTTTACCCTCTTAATTCTGGCTACTATTCTTATCTCAGAGAGAAGACTCATTGCCCTTGAAAAACTCCTCCTGAGGAGGTCAATGTGAGAAAGAGGAGGCATGCCACTTGAACAAATTGTCTGCCATATAGCCACAGACAGTAAACAAATCTCATAAAAGCTTTTGAAACAAAAGCAAGACTATGAAGAGATAAAACTTAGCTTTACTAAGTTAAATCAGAAGAGAAAAAGACAGATCTAGAAGATACTATTTCCAAAACATGTATTCTATAAACTGAAACGGAAATGCAAGTGGCCAGCTTTCTTTTATTCTTTCACCGGCCAAGGGGGAGCAACGTTTTGTGCAGGGCCACTTCACCACCAAGGACTCTGACCGCTTCTCCACCTCCAGGACAAGCACTGAGGCCAATTCCACCTCCAATCTGCTGGTCTTCCACATTCACACAGGGCCATTTCACCACCGACTCCTACTGCTTCTCTGCCTCCAAGAGGAGCACTGAGGCCAATTTCGCCTCGATTCTGAATGTCTCCCACTTTGGTGTAGGGCCATTTCACCACAGAGGACTCTGACCACTTCTCCACCTCCAGGATGAGCACTGAGGCCGATATCACCTCCATTCTGGTGGCCTCACACAGCAACTCGCTGCTGAACCCAGACATCTTTGCTGAAGTCAGTTGACTGGACAGTACAGTGCAGGATCTGCGTGTGGCACAGGGAAACGCAAGCCAGCTCCAGTACCAGCAGGTGTGCGCGAGGTACAAGATGCTCTGCGTGGTGCCCCCAACCCACTCCTGTACACCTGGCAGGTGGACAAAACGCTCGACCTGGGCAGCATCTCCTTCCCCATCTATAACCATAGTGGACACCCCCTCTACCTGACCAGCTTCTTCAGAGGACACATCTTTGGGGACAGCCTAGGAATGGGCCACTTACTCCTGCAGGCCAAAGCCATGCAGCTGCTGTACTGCCTGAAGACCGAGCACTCTGAGGACGATGTGCAGAGCAAGCAGTGGCTCACCCATTTCCTTGACCAATTTACCAACATTAAGAACAGCCTGGTCTTGAAGAAAATTGAGGTACCTGGCGGTTTGGGTTTACAAGGAGGCCAGGAGAAGGTGGGAGGGACGAGGAAGATTTGCACCCAGAACCCTAACAAAAGTACTGCATGACTACTTGATGGGGCCCTTGCCTCAAAGCCGGGTTTGCTCTGCTGTATTTGGTACTCAATCCAATTTTCTTAACCCTGACAGATGCTAGAAATCGTGAATCCTGGGTAACATTGCAGTCGATAACGCAAATCCTGTGTCCACCAGATGGGCCAGCTCAGTACAGACACTGATCTTCACATTTAATTTTGGGGTTTGGTTTCTAATACTTTGAAATTCTACTTTTAGTTAAAGTCTTCACTGGTTTTGGGGAGCCTCCTAAAACTTGTTTGGAGCTCACTGGGATTAAAAAAGAAAAACAAACTTTTAAGTAAAAGTTAATGGTGTTAAGGTAACTAGCTCAGCATTTTTCAAGTTAGATACATATGAAGCGCCTGGCTTAGTGTGAGGTACATATCAGCTGTTCAGTTATTGCTGGGTCAGCAACTCTACTAAGACTTATAAATAGAGGAGCAGTGGTGTTGGCAGCATCAGGGCATGGCCCAGGCAGGAGCAGCGGCCACAGCGTTCATCCATCTATGGAGGAAGAGGCTGCCTTGGCGGGTCAACTGTGTTGCTCCAAGTGACATAATGTCATGATTTTGATAGCTGAAGTGTTTTGCCTTGTGTACATACTAGAGTTTCTTGATGTCTTCATTTGTGGATGGACAGGTTCATCTGTGTTGCTCCAAACAACAAAATTTCATTATTTTGGTAGCCAAAAAGCATTTCCCTTCAGTATATATACCAGAGCTTCCTGATCCCTTCATCTGTGGATGGACAGGTTTCTCCACGTGGTTGCGGATGACAGGGTTTCCCGAAGCTTTATGGCTGAAGAGTATACCATCATGTATCTAATACGGCAGTTTCTTTACCACTTTATCTGTGGATGGACAGGTTCATGTGATTCCTGCATTGTCTGGAAGAAGCAAATACAGAACAGAGCTGGAAGATAAATGCCTAAATCAAATCATTGCAGATTCTCACTAAAGATGAGCTCATAATTCCAAATAATAAAACACATGATCAATGAGAGAGAACAGAAAATGTGAGCAACCAGATTTGATCAATCTGAACAAGACTATAAATAAGTGTAATTAAACAAATTAAGGACATAAAAGTATAAAGTAGAAATCAAGAAGTCGATTTGCAATAGAACCAAATAGAACTTCTAGAAGTAAAAATTACACACACAGAGAATCTAAGGCCCGTTGGTCATACTGAGCAGCAGACTGAATACGGCTGGAAAGAATTAATACACTGAAAGATAAAACCAAGGAAATTAACCAGGAGGCAGCACAGAGAGATAAAGCTCTTGTCTAAAAATGTCTTTATTTTGTCCTGTTGAATTACTAATTTAGATTGCTGGAAAGAGACTTGTAAGTTTACTGTTGTCTTCCCTTGGCACAGTTGATATATTATAGACTTTCTTTTACTGTAAAAAAAAAAAAAATAAAGGCTTATAAATAAGCCTGGTGAAAGAGACACCTGCTGGAAAGAGCCTTCAAAGACTAAGCCCACCTCAAATGATATTTATGCAACTGAAATAGTAGAAGACACCAACCTAATAAAAATTTACAAAAAGTTATAATTTTTTTTTCTTTTCTTTTTTCTTTTTTTTTTTTTTTTGAGACAGTCTTGCTCTGTCGCTCAGGCTGGAGTGCAGTGGTGCGATCTCAACTCACTGCAACCTCCACCTGCCAGGTTCAAGTGATTCTCGCACCTCAGCCTCCTGAGTAGCTGGGATTACAGGTGTGTACCACCACACCTGGTTTTTTGTATTTTTAGCAGAGACAGGGTTTCACCATGTTGGCCAGGCTGGTTTCGAACTCCTGACCTCAGGTGATCTGCCCACCTCGACCTCCCTAAGTGCTGGGATTATAGGAGTGAGCCACCGCACCCAGCCAAAAGTTATAATTTCTACAGCTATTAATGAGAACAAGATATCACAGTTTTAGACTGGGCACGGTGGTTCATGCCTGTAATTCCAGCATTTTGGCAGGCTGAGGCAGGTAGAGTGCTTGAGCCTAGGAGTTCGAGACCAGCTTGGGCAAACTGGTGAAACCCCATCTCTACTAAAAATACAAAAATTAGCCAGATGTGGGGGCACACACCTGTAGGTGTCTTGCTGTGTTTTCCAGGCTGGCCTCAAACTCCTTGGATCAACTGATCCTTCTGCCCCAGCTTCCCGAGTAGCTAGAAGTACATACATGTGAATCCAGAAGGAAACTACTAGAGTTAATAAATTCAGCACAGCTTCAGGATACAAGACCAACACACAAAAATTAGTTGTTTTTCTGTACATGTACAATGAACAATCTAAAAAGGAAATTAAGAAGGCTATTCCATTTAAATAGCGCTAAACAAATAAAATGCTTAGGAATAAATTTAACCAAGGAAGTGAA
Source organism: Homo sapiens (assembly GCF_000001405.40). Classification (NCBI taxonomy): domain Eukaryota; kingdom Metazoa; phylum Chordata; class Mammalia; order Primates; family Hominidae; genus Homo; species Homo sapiens. Next base: position 29,419,004 of record NC_000010.11, on the reverse strand, counting down.
AGACCTGCATGCTGAATACTACCAAACATTGGTAAAAGAAACTTAAAAAGACCTAGGTAAATGGAAAGATCCTTAGTTCCTGGGTCGGCAGACTCAATATTGCTAAAATGCCAGTCCTATTCAAAACAATCTACAGATTCAACACAATCCCCATCAAAATTCTGACAACCATTTTTCCCCCCAGAAATAGAGAAGCCAATCCTTAAATTCAAATGGAATTGCAAGGAGTCTCAGATGACCAAAATAATCTTGAAAAAGACGAACAGAGTTGGAGGACTCAGTATTATTCAGCCATAAAAAGGAATGAAGTCTGATACATGCTACAAGGATGAACCTTGAAAACATTATGCCTAGTGAAATGAGCCAGTCACAAAAAGACAAATATACGGTTCCACTTATATGAAATCTTTAGAATAGGAAAGTTCACAGAGACAAAGCAGATTAAAGGTTAACTGGCAATGGGGGGCTGGTGGTGATGGGGAGTTACTGCAGAATGATAACAGAGTTCCTGTTTGGGGTGATGAAAAATATTTGGGAACAGATAGTTGTGATGGCTGCATGACAGTGTGGATGTAATTAATGCCACCAAATTATACATGTAAGAGTTGTTATAATAGCATATTTTATGTCATATATATTTTACCACAATAAAATATTTTTCACAAAGTAAGAGATTTAAAAACCAATCAAAGCTTTTTACCTGCAGCATGATATGACTGCAAGCAGTATGATGAGAACATATGCCAGGTGAAAACAAAGGGACTGCTGTCACAGACATTGTCTCAAATTCCAGTTGTCTGGAAAGTGATGTAAAGTGGACCACCTGCCACAAAAATATACTCAGGTATATAACTTTTAAATCCAGTATTTGTGTGTGAGTTACAAAAACTATTGAAACACTTTATGTTAGTGATGAAACAATGTGTTAAAATTCAGTAAAAGATCAAAATACATGGAATATGATTTTAGAAGAGAGAAAATAATGTAGATTTGCTTCTTCCCACAAATCTATGAGCTCCTCCTAAAGTTTCTTTCAGATTCAAAGTTTAAGTAAAACTCCTGAATATAAAGAATCCGAATTCACAAAAAAAGAAAAACAAAAAGGAGCTCTTGGTTGGGCGCAGTGGCTCACACCTGTAATCCCAGCACTTTGGGAGGTTGTGGTGGGCAGATTACTTGAAGCCAGGAGTTCGAGACCAGCCTGGCCAGCAGCATGGTGAAACCCCACCTCTGCTGAAAATACAAAAATTAGCCCGGCATGGTGGCACACGTTTGTAGTCCCAGCTGCTCTGGAGGCTGAGGTGGGAGAATTGCTTGAACCTGGGAAGTGGAGGCTGCAGTGAGCCTAGATGATGCCACTGCACTCCAACCTGAGTGACAGGGTGAGACTCTGTCTCAAATTTAAAAATAAAACAAAGAGCCCTTCCTTACAGAATTCCAAATAAGATATGTAGACAGAGTGATGGCATTTGAAAAAAATTGTCATTTGATAGCCACCACAGTTAGAACAGCAGGATCATATACTGTCCTTCTCGCTTGTCACAGGCAAAAAATATCAATGGATGCTAAAATAAGAGGGCAAAGAATACGATGAAAAGGAGGATATCTAATAAAGTTTCGATGTATCTCTCCAAAAGAAATATATTCATTACAAGAGGAAAAATAATAACTTCACAGAGGAAAAAGTTGGCATGTATCACCCAATAGTAACCAAAGTCCCAACACCAGTAAATGGGACAAACAGACATCATGTGCCTCCTGACACTGTGCTCTGAGAAACACTTCTGTGGAATTCCTGCCAAAAGTGCATAACCTGAATCCAACCATAAGGACACCGAATATATGTAAATTAAGCAGCATTCTACAAAATAATTATTTACTCTTCAAAAATGTCAAGGCCCTGGAAACACAAAGACTGAAGAACTGTTCAGATTAAAAGAGACTGAAGAGTGGCCAGGCGCAGTGGCTCATGCCTGTAATCCCAGCACTTTGGGAGGCCGAGGTGGGTGAATCATCTGCGGTCAGGAGTTCAAGACCAGCCTGGCCAACATGGTGATATCCCATCTCTACTAAAAATACAAAAATTAAAAAAAAAAAAATACAAAAATTAGCTGGGCGCAGTGGCATGTGCCTGTAATCTCAGCTACTTCGGAGGCTGAGGCAGGAGAATCGTTTGAACCCAGGAGGCGGAGGTTGCAGTGAGCTGAGATTGCACCATTGCACTCCAGCTTGGGTGACAGGGCGAGACTCCATCTCAAAAAAAAAAAAAAAGAGAGACTGAAGAGAAATAACCAAATTCAATGTATGATCCTGAACCCAAAACGATTATTTGTCTTTTGCTATGTAGGACATTAATGGGATAACTGATAAAATCTGTGTATAGACAATAGAGTTGTATCTATGTTGATTTAAGAAATATACAAAGTATGTAGACATTTTAAAGACATCATGTCTGCAATCCACTCTCAAATAATTCATTTTAAAAAACCAGAAAAAAATGCATTTTTTTAAAAGAATACTGTGTGTGTATACATAGAGAGAATGATAAAGCAAATGTGACAAATATTAACATTTGGATGGAGTAATTTAGTAGGATATACAAGAATTATTTTTGCTATTTTTACAGATATATGAGTCTGAAAAAATAGACATACAATAAATGTAAACAAATAAAGGCAGTTAAGATAAACTATTTGCTTTCCCTAATAATACTGCTAGGATCATCTTTACTATACTCTCATCAGATCATCAAATTTAAAATTTTATGATTTAAATTTTAAAGCTCAGGGAAAAAAAAGTATTCTCTCTCCCCAAAACCTCCCAATTTACAGATGAAGTTAGTAAGTCAAGATTACACCTAATTCAAGGCAAAGCCAAGACTATTATCTAGCTCTGACTCAGCTCAGCTACCTTTCAACTATTCCAAGCGGTCTTTTCATTCCTTTACGTTGTTGTCTATGGTCTAAACACATGACACCAAAATACTTATCTCTATCTTCTCATATATTTTCATAAGTTAGTGTGACTAACCACTTTCAGGCCATCTAAATTTTATCTTTAAAAGGCATTTAAGTATCATTGCTCCTAACAGTCCTTAATAACTAATATGAATACATATGTAAAGATCAGAATACATGTCAAACACTGTAGCAAATGCTGAACATACACAATTAATGTACTTTACTGTTAGGTCCATGATGACAGAGACCAAGTTTATGTTATTCACTATTATACCCCCACCTCTTAGTAACAGTGCCTGGTATACAGTAAGTACTCAAATAACTGTTGTATATTGCAAAATAAAAGACAATCCATAATAGAGGAAAGAAATGTGTGTATAGATAACCATAATATCAGTAGTTTTAATAAAGTCCCATGATACAACAGATAAGGAAATTATTTTCTCTTGGTAAGATCTAGAAAGGCTTCAAGAGATTTAACGATACCAAAGTTAAATCTTGAAGGACAAATAAAATGTCAACAGACATGGAGGTGGTGGCGTGGTAAGAGGAAGGTAGAAGGATTTAGATAAAAAAGCCCAAAGGCAAGAAAATATTAGACATTTCTATTGAATTTTTAAACACAGGCTCACCTATTGTTGCTGCAAGTTCTGGATCAAAGGTATCATCTGTGAACCTCAAGAGCAGGCTGAAAGAGATATTAAAAAGACAGGTTAGGAATTAGAATTTTTCTTTCTAATCATATGATAAGTGTGTTCATGATTATTATATCCAGTCACAAATTATTAAATGCAGATAAAAATAACTGATGGAGGCCTGCTCCTAGAAATACTGCCTCAGAGCAGGTATACACAGAAGAATTAAATTACTAGAAAGGCAATTTAAAAACTGCCAAGAGCAAAGTAGTTTACTATTAAATATATTCCCCATGCTCTCCTACCCAATCCCCCAAGTACAAAAGGTGGGGGTTTTTGTTGTTGTTTTTAACTGTTCCGGTATGTCCTGAGACACTGATATTAGCAACATGTCATGCTTTAATTGACATGGATGAAAAGAGAAAAAATAAAGTTTCTTGGAATGCAACAAAGTAAAGTAACTTAAAAAAATCTGATGTGTAATCCACTTTAAATTCAAGCACAAACAGAAAGATATCAAAGCCTAGCATTCTATAACAGGCAGTATGGCTACCACCTAAGTGGGAAGAAAAGATACAGTAAAAAGAGAGGTAAAAAAAAAAAAGATCACAGGACAGAGTAGGTATACTCAGGCAAACACCAGGTAGGGTTTACAAAACCAAGTAGGCAACTGGAAGCTATTGAAGGCTTTTAAACAAAGTTATGACAAGAACTGCTCTTTGTTTTGAAAAGTTAATGCCAACAAAAAATGGAAGAAAAATCAACAGAAGAAAACTGCCACGGTTATGGCAGGAGAGAACAAAGGACTAAACCTAGGAAATGGTAGGAAACTAGAAAGGAAGGATAAAAGCAAAAGACACCAGATTAGAAGGATACTCTAAGGTTTTTCATCTTCCAGAATTATTTTACTAACTATGAAGCAGAAGTGTCAGTTATTAGAAGCTCTTCAAAAATAAAAGCTAATGTTAAAGCCCTAAATTTTAAAATCACTCAACTTCACTTGTTAACTTCTAAAGTATAAGTCTGTCCTGTTGACCTGCTTGTATTAATAAAATCAAAGAAACAGTCATCAGATGTCTAAATTATAGAAAAATCTGATGAATATTCCTAATATTCTAATTTCTAATTAGATTCTAATATTCATAAGGTTGTGATTACTGCTGCTAGAGATATGTTTTGTCCACAGAGTATTCTGCAAAACATAATGACCTCCTGGTAGTTTCCAAACCCAGTGTCATTAATTATATTTGAAGGATTAACTCTGCCTTACTTGGTTTTGTTTTCTTGTGTTTACCATAAAACGAGCACCACAGAATCAAAGTAAAACAGGAGAGTCAAATTCAAGATTTCTCTATTTCACATCTTAACTATATTTACTTACTTCAAACATAAGTTAGGTGACAGCACTAATAAGACTCTAAAATAAAACTTACAAAAATTTTCTTCTCTCCCAACAGTTACCCATAATCTAAGAATAGAAAAGATACATATCTACACGTGGTCACCACAGAAAATATTATTACAAAAACATAAGTTAATATAACCTTGTAGAGTAGTTGTAATAATAATAATAATAATAATACAAGTAATAATAATGATATTGGGTATTATTTATTGAACATATGGCAATGTGCAGACAAAAAGCCAGAGGTTTTTCTCTCATGATTGCTAATCCTTACAACAGCCATTGTCATTAATGGTACTTTGTCAGGAGAGGCAGGGAATTGGTGGCATGGTGTGAAGCAACAAATTTTAATACAGGCTCTGGGTACACATCAGATCTTAGCCAGGGGTACCCTGGTAGCCCAAAATGTATTCTAAATTCCATGTGTGCATTTTTCTAGGCAGAGAGTCCATTTCTCTATTTATTAGACTTTGAAAGGGGCAGAGAGTCCATTTCTCTATTACATTTTGAAAGGAATGGGCAATCTCAAAATGATTAAGAAGGACCCTTTTTTTTTTTTTTTTTTAAAGAGACAGGGTCTCACTTTGTCACCCAGGCTGGAATGCAGTGGCACAATCACAGCTCACTAATCCTCCCACCTTAGCCCCCCAAGTAACTGGCACGACAGGTGTGCATCACCATGGCCGGCTAATTTTTTTATTTTTCAGTTTTTTAGAGGCATGGTCTTGCTATGTTGCCCAAGCTGGTCTCGATCTCCTGGCCTCAAGTGATCCTCCTGCCTCAGCCTCCTGAGTAGCTAGGATTACAGGATGAGCCACCGCACCTGGTAGAAGCACCATTCTTACAATATTGTATATTTACACCTTCATATTTCAAAGTTAAAGGAGCAAAATGCTTTCCATGCAGAGGTAGAGATGGAAGGAGTAACTACCACCATGGCACTTAGATGAGACCAAATTTACAACAAACAGAGTGTGATTATAACTAATCTGCATTTCTTTATCTACAAATGAAATTCACCAAAACGAATGGCAAGGCTAGGGTATGCATAGGAGGGACAGCAATTTACAAAATAGGTCTCTTTAATCCCTTCCAGTTCTTGATACACTCTGCTACCTCTACCTCACCGGGCCTAGCTACAGAATCGCAGTCTTATACATTTAACACTAGATAGGGTTTGAGAGGTTTCTATTCCAACCCCCTCACTTTTGAAATGAAGGCCTAGAGCATTCAAGGATCACACACAAGGCCACACAAGTGGCAGCCCCAGTTTCATAATCCTGATCTGCTGATTACTATCATATACCCTTTAGACTCCAACGCCATGAAATACACTAGAAAGTAATCCACTAATTCAGCTTAAAGATATCCTTTGTTGTGCAATAATTCCCCAACATGAGTGCTATTTCACTTCCACTAGCTCCAGCTCTATAAAGAAACAGAACAAACTTGGTAAAAACAACCCTTTAAGGTCACACCCATGACAAATGTTTCTGTACTAACTCACTTTAAAAAGTATAGGCTTCTATTTTAGTGGAGTCATTTATTCCCACCTTATCCAGAAAGATAAGTGTTTAAGGTTCTTTTCCATAGCATATCACATAGGCCAATAATGTATATCTAGCCAGACAAATAAGACAACTTTCTCACTAAATGCAGTCCTTTCACGAAAGAGGTAATACAGTGCCAAAATTTTGCAGTGAGCAGTTGATAATCCACCACTACACATTGAGGAAAAAGTTTAAAAAAGATTAGGCCTAAATACATTTGTTTCTGGGGAGTGAAGTAGAGAGACTGATAAATCCCACTTAACAGACCTTATTCTAAAAAGGGACTCTCAGCTGGGTGCCATGGCTCATGCCTGTAATCCCAGCACCCTGAGAGGCCAAGGCTGGAGGATGGCGTGAGCCCATGAGTTCCAGACTAGCTTGGGCAACATAGGGAAATCCCATCTACAAAAAAAATTTTAAAAGTAGAGCAGGGTATGGTGGCTTATGCCTATGATACCAGCATTTTGCGAAGATCCATTGAGGGCAGGAAGATCCACTGAGCTCAAGAGTTCAAGAACAGCCTAGGCAACACAGCAACACCTTGTCTCTATAAAAAACCCTAGCCAGGCATGGTGATTCGTCCCTGTAGTCCCAGCTACTCAGGAGGCTGAGGTGGGAGGATCGATTGAGCCAGGCAAGTCAAGGCTGCAGTGAACCGTGATCACACCACTGCACTCCAGCAGGTGACAGAACAAGACCCTGTCTCAAAAAAAAAAAAGCAGTGGTGCGGGGACGGGGGACGGGGAACGAATCTCATTTATATACTCCAGTTAACGTTCCAGAAAATTTTAACCACCCTAACTTGTCACCCATGCAATAAATTTACATAAAGTGCTAACCAATTTCAACCCAATTTCATGTATTGGGTTGAACTACAAGAAATGACAACCAACCATTCGTGACTTCAAAAATGCCAATTTCATATGCCTGAACTTACATGAGAACCAACATGTCAAGGAAAAAAAAGAGAAATGAAAAAGAAAGATCACAAGATTATAAAATTCCTATTAAGGCAATTTTTATTATATTAACTTTTTAACCCTCAAATATGTACATGCAATAACAGATGATCAGGTAAATAATTTTATTCATCCCTTTTATACACACACACAAATCATACTGGTTTGCTTACCCATAGTGTTTCATTATTCTATTCCTTGGTATGTGCAAACCCCTCTGACTACAGTAGACATAGAGTACATTAAGTGAGGAATACTGGAAAAATGTATTGTCAAACTTTAAAAATACAAAAAAAATTCAGAATATATTACATAGTAAGCTTTAAAATCCTGAAGTAGCTAAAAAAGTAGGACTTTGTAATCTTATTTATTTATTTATTATACTTTAAGTTCTGGGATACATGTGCAGAATGTGCAGGTTTGTAATTTTAAAAGTTACCTGAGGAAAGCTTTCATTCTACTTTGTATAAGGATACTTCCATTTATAAAATTTTACATGAATAACAAGTTATTTGAAAGATATGTATCAGCCAACCGCGGTGGCTCACGCCTGTAATCCCAGCACTTTGGGAGGCCGAGGCGGGTGGATCACTTGAGGTCAGGAGTTTGAGACCAGCCTGGCCAACATGGTGAAACCCCGTCTCTACTAAAGTACAAAAATTAGCCGGGTGTGGTGACACACACCTGAAATCCCTGCTACTCAGGAGGCTGAGGCAGGAGAATCGCTTGAACCCGGGAGGCGGAGATTGCACTGAGCTGAGATCTCGCCACTGCACTCCAGCCTCGGCAACAGAGCGAGACTCCGTCACAAAAAAAAAAAAAAAAAAAAAAAAAAAATATGTGTATCAGAAGGTATAGCTAAAATATGAAACTGATTACAGCCCCTGGAGTGTAAATGTGGTTTAAGGATTAGGACGGCCTTGAACATAACCTACTCATAATCAGATGGCAAGAATGACTTCACCTGAACTCTGTTCCAAGACCTCGATGAAATCACAACCCTCTAGCAACATCCACCTAGATCCATGTCTTACCTTATACTCAACTCCATTGTCAATATTATTTTCCCCAAGAAGAAAAATAAAAAATGAAAAGACACAACACTAATCTTTTGTCTCCACAGGATGTGGCAAAATGAGAAATAACAATTACACGTTATTTTCAAAGGTGGTCCGACTGCTTCAGCCGTGGACCACTTACACTAAAGAGAAAATTTCCAGCACTTCACAAGATCCAGCTGTTCTTTCACAGACGACTAATAAAAAAGTAAAAGAAGCGACATTAAGCTGCGCCCAAACAGGCCAGGAATGGGTCCTAAGGCATCACGAAACTTCCCGAGGACATTATGTATTTAGAGAAGGCCCCACAGAAACCCTCAAGCGGGAAAGTTACGTCTTCTGGGTCTCGGGGTGGCAGGCAGCCTGAACCCCGAGGGGCTCGAGGCGAGGCGCCCCCGGCCGGATTCGGGCCCAAACCAGCCCGCCACGCCCTGAGCTCCGCGCAGCAAACCGGCCGGCCGAGCGGCGGCCCTCGGAATGGTGTTTTCTCGGCGCCACAGGAGGGAGAGCGACCCAGAGAACTTGGGCGTGGCAGAGGCCGGGAACAGGCAGGCGCGGGTGGGGAGAGGAAAGCAAACGTCGCGGGAGAGCGCGGCCCAGAGGCCGAGGAGGGCGCGGGCGGAGCCGGCCCGAGCCCGGCCGCCATCGTGGACACTTGCAGCGGTTGACAGTTCCCACCGCGGCCCAAGAGACAGCGGCTACGGAGGCAGAAAGAGCCCAGCCACCCTCATCACAGCCCGCACGCCCGCCTCACCTGGACTTGCCCACCCCACTCTCACCGATGATGAGGCTCTTCAGGGTGCAACACGTCCTCGTCCATCCTAACCCCGCTGCACTCCGAGCCCAGCTGGCCGCCCGGGTGCGCCTCTCAGCTATTCAGCAGCGGGAGCTGCCGCGCATGTGCGCGCTCCAAGGCCGCGCACTCCCAGAATTCCCCCGCGTCTTTCCGGAGGGCGAGTTCCTTATGTGTCTTTGCTGACACGGTGGGCTCTGAATCCGCCCCGACCTCAACCCAGCTCTCTTTCTGTCTTGTCAGTGGGAGAGGACTGAGTCAGGAGAATATCAAGCTGTTTTATTTCAGCAAATGCTCATAACAGCTGTATTGCTGTGCGAAAAGCGCTGTGCTTTAATCCTGTTACCTTAAATTTAGGTCGAACTCTACCTTGTCACACTGCTCAGCCTTCTGAGCCTTTCTCCATCTCAGACAGAGACACGAAGGCTTCTTAGAACAACTGCTTCTTATTGTTATGAAGGTTAAATGAGTTACTTTGGGAAGGCAGATTGTTAACCACAGTGCTCTATAAAAGGTGTGATCAGGTATTAACTTGCTGGCTTCCCCTCTGTTAGAGTGGGGAGCACCCTTTACATGTTAATTCATCTTGAAAGGGAGGTGTAGACTTCAGGTAGGTCAGGTGCATATAAACTTCTTGTGGTGCAACCTCAGACCAACTCTTCCTCCTCGTAAGAACTGCTGCACTCCAACTGCAGGAGGTGTATGTCTACACCTTGCCTCTTGCATTAAGTTGTAAATATTAGTGAAGGTACCAAACCTCATTCATTAAACTTAGCACAGTGCCTGGTACATGGCAGGCACTCAATGAACACCCGTAATCTTGTCTTATCTCCTTATACCTGCAGTTAATGTCATATACAATAGATATTTGATTAAAGAATACATACACATAAAGCTTAGCTGGGTGCTGTGGCTCATGCCTGTAATCCCAGCACTTTTGGAGGCCTAAGCAGGTGGATTATTTGAGCTCAGAAGTTCGAGACCAGCCTGGCTAACATGTGAAACCCCGTCTCTATTAAAAATACAAAAATTAGCTGGGTGTGGTGGCGCACACCTGTAATCCTAGCTACTCAAGAGGTGGAGGCAGGAGAATTGCTGGAATCTTAAGAGGTGGAAGTTGCAGTGAGCAGAGATTGTACCACTGCACTCCAGCCTGGGCGACAGAGTGAGAGATACCGTGTCTCAAAAACAAAAAATAAAACGTAGAATAAGTTAGGAAATTATTTGTTAAATATCTGGAAAAGCTCTTTTACCAGATATCCAAATGGCTTCTTTGCCTACTTCAGATCTTTGCTCAAATGTTGCCTTCTTAAGGAGGCCTTCCCTGCACATCCTACTGAAAATATGCAGATTCCTCCAGCATCTCCGAGGAATCCAAAAGCCTGGCATACTGGCAAAAGGTAAGAATTTCTTACCAGACTTCTGGCCTCTCTCTTTCTCTGTGCAAATTAGTTGAATGAATAGTAAAAATCACTGTTTATCTCCTCTGTAAAGTTTTAGTTAATGAGATGAAGGATTCGTGAGGCTAATCTTAAGCTGTAGAGAATCTAGTGTGCTTTGTGTGTCTTTCTGTGTTCTATAATGGATAAGGGTAACTTAGGATAGAACACAGGCTTAGGATACCTGTAAGCCTGCTTTTTAAGATGGCCCAGCAAGCTGGTCAGTTACAAACTTTGCTGCAGGTCTCTAAAAAAAAACTGGATGAGTTTTCCCTCTTGTCTTGTATGTCCTTGGGAGCTTGATCTTGTAACCATGCTGCCATGCTTTTTCTTTTCACAATGCAGCCCAGGTTCAGGGTACAATTCCTGGCTTGGAAAATGAGTCCTTTTATCTTCTGTCTGTCTATGTATTTAAATGTATTATGTGAGTTATGTTTACATATGAAAGAGCTTTAATTAGTCAATATTTTCACACATAGAATTATGTTCACAAAGTTAATTTTTACAAACCTTCCATAACTTGTTTAAACCTTTAGCTTTATTTTATTTAATTTTAAACAATCCTTTAACCCTCTAAACTAGGCAAAAATTTACATTCCCATGCCTTCTTATAAACTCTTTCCAAAAACACATTTCCTTCTCCTCACACACCTTGCATGTAAGCCTATTTTTTAAGTAGTCTCAATTACATGTTATAATGGTAATTCTTAGCGACTGTCACTTTTGGTGCATAAATTTTCTTTTATAAATCTTTTCACAGCATACACAGACCATCTACAACATGTTTGGACTTTCTGACTTGTCGTAAGCATCCCTATTTTTAAACAACCAGTTATTTTACTTTAGGACAAGAATTTACCATAAAAGATCCTTTCTTATATAAAATCTCTTTTCTTTATAACCTCCTTTGAATAGCTAGGGGGCATGGCTAATTCCATATATCCCCAGGCCTTATTTAGAATTTAATGTCTCTAAAAGAAATTGAACAATTTTTTTTTTTTTTGAGACGGAGTCTCGCTCTGTCGCCCGGACTGGAGTGCAGTGGCGGGATCTTGGCTCACTGCAAGCTCCACCTCTCGGGTAAATTGAACAATTTTTAAAAGTCAAAGAAGCAGTTTATGACCTTAAAGCATTTAGCAAACTTAATATCTGACCTGCATAGTTTAGACCAAATGTTTGTATTTTTAAAGATATTTTTATTTTACCAATAATCTTCAAAACTGTCTTTATTTCCAAGAGATTACTTAAGTCACATGAACTAAAAGGCATTACACTTTTTACTTTCTAATAAAATATTTGATTTAAGCACTTATTATTTTTAAACTAATTATAATATGTCTAAGTATATGTTGTCAATCATAATTATGGTTATTAAGTTATTGTACACCACAGAAATAACCAAATTTCCCTGTATAAATGTGCTAACATAAGTAGAACAAAAAAATTAATTAAATACTAAGAAAATACTTTGCCAAATTTTCATGTTAAACCAGGCGATACGGAAATTGTTTACATGTACAATTTGAACTCCATGGTCCAAGTCAAATTATCTGTAATAACCCATTAGTTGTTGGTGCTATGCACCTAAATTGGAGAAACAACTGGTATTCAAGAGGACATAAAGTCCCATGTTAAGCATAGACTCATGGAGAACCAGGACAGCCACTTGGCCCTTCCTGAGTCCTTAAATGTGTTGTTATTAAAGGTTCTGCATTCCATGACTCATCATGGAACAGATAAAACAATCCAAATTGAATATATTGATGTGATGACTTATAAATTGTGAAAATAGTTTAAAACCAGTGTTTGGTTCCATATTCCTGGGAAGACAATCAAACCTTTACGTACATTTGGCTACCTGATGGGTCATTTAAACATAAAGAGATTTCATTCGATTGTTAGTTTCAATGCATGTCTTATGTTATAACAGTTAATTATCATCCCACAGTATATTTTCACCAGGTAAAGAAAGCTTTTTATGGTTCGCTGGGGACAATCAACCCCTTCACAATCTAGAACCTGAAGATTGGATATTCTCAGAACATCAGAGAAAGACTGTCCTTGCCATTCACACTGCAACAAAACTTTGGAAACTTGAACCTTGGGTTCATAAACTCACAACTGAGAAAGGTCCCTCCACACCCTTGGAACTGTACACCCATTAGAACCCTCAAGGTAAAACTAAACAGGAAAGTTTCTCCAGAAAAGAAGATGACATCCTTGATGTAAACAGGTTTTCCCAAGATCACAGATCAAGACTTCTACTATCATGAGATTCTTTTTTTATTTTTATGTTTTGAGACAGAGTTTCACTCTTGTTGCCCAGGCTGGAGTGCAATGGTGCCATCTGGGCTCACTGCAACCTCCACCTCCTCGGTCCAAGCAATTCTCCTGCCTCAGCCTCCCGAGTAGCTGGGATTACAGGCATGTACCACCACACCTGGCTAATTTTGTATTTTTAGTAGAGATAGGGTTTTGCCATGTTGGTCAGGCTGGTCTCAAACTCCCGACCTCAGGTGATCCGCCCACCTCAGCCTCCCAAAGTGCTGGGATTACAGGCATCAGCCACCGTGCCTGGCCTATCATGAGACTCTTATATCTTTGAATATTTTTTCCTTGTTTATGCCTCTATGAACAATAGAAATAAAAAGGGGGTCTATTATGTGCACTTATAGGGTGCACTTTTATTTGTGAAGGATTTTTTTAGCCAGCTTTCTACATAAATAACCTTATATGGTGATAGATAAAAGATAAAGTTCCAATGTAGGTGAGAAACTTTAATGGTACATTCATTGCCTCATAATTAGTCAAAAGTCCTCTTAATTCTCATCATGGGTTAAAGAGAACATTGCCAGAAGACCTTCACTCTTACAGAAGGACATCATTTGTTAGGTTCTTCTTCCATGGTTTAGAATAAAAGAGGCAATAATTAGAAATGTATCCCTTATGATAGGCTGTATAGTAGATTCTAAGTAAAGGCTATGTTTACACAACAGACTTTAAATTTTCTTGTGAAAGTTATGCTAAATAATAGAATTGGCTAAACAGAAAGGTACTTGTGCAGCTGCTGGCACTTTTGGCCTATGGAGAAATACATCAAATATAGATTATAAAAATTCAGTTGTAGGGGATTAATAAAAAGACCCCTTAAGCAAGCAGACTCTTCATCTAGCTTATTCTTTAATCTATTTAATTTTATGTGGTTTGGTTTATGGGGACCCTGGGTAAGGAGCATACTCCAAATTCTTGGTATTATGCTCCCAGTAGTTATAATAATAGTTTTCCTGATGTGCTATGTTCTCTCAAAGGTTTTAAATATTTGCATGCAGCCATCTCTAGAAAGTCAAATGGTATCTCTTCAACTGGAATGACAAGAGATGAAAGAAATGTGCAACCATGAGGATATTGTAACCTACGAATGATGTGCTGAGACCGGAAACCCAAAATGATGGTAACAGAGAGGGGTGCTGAGGCCCTAAGTTTTGGTCATACTCTCACCTAAGTGAGAACCTGACCAAAAAGGGGGAATTTTTTAAAACAAAATTATGAGAGGCCATTGTTTTGGACTAAGCTCATGCCCTAGGCCCCAATAGGCCAAACCAAACTAAAAAGGAGTAACTTGTGCTAAATGTGACATAATGAAACTAAGACTTTAAGGAAACATATAGATCCTAGAACAGACCAGGTTTTGTTTTTCTCCTGTAAACAGGACGTTCCAGCATAAAGAGGTACCCTCTACTCATTCCTCATTCCCTCCTTCCAAAACCCACTGTTCTACTGTTTCCCAGTGGGCTTCAACACCAAATAAGTACATTTACAAAGGTGATGGTGACATCAGTAACTACAGTTTTGGTCAATCTCTCAAAATTGAGAAAATGACCAAAAGGGAGGAATTGTTAAAGTGAATTAAATATGTCCTTAGAAGGACCCCACACTTCTATATTTGAGTCCTTGTGGATGAACTGCAACCTAGCTTAATAGGTAGACAGGATTCAAAACGTAACTTAGGAATATGTGCCTATAATAATAGCTGAGCCTTGGTCAATCCCAGTGGCCATACTTCAACAATTCATACACTGCTGAAGGTTCAAACTGTGTTCAAATAAGGCAAATGCCAAGCCGTAACCAATCCAGCTGTTCTGTACCTCACTTCCAATTTCCGTACGTTGTTTCCCTTTTTTTTGTCTATAAATCTTCTTCCACCACGTGGCTATGCTGGAGTCTCTGTGAATCTGCTGTGATTCTGGGGGCTGCCCGTTTCACGAATCATTCACTGCTCAATTAAACTCCTTTAAATTTAATTTGGCTGAAGTTTTTATTTTACCAGGTGGGAGGATCACTTGAACTCAGGAGTTTGAGACCAGCCTGGGCAACATAGCAAAACCCTGTCTCTACCAAAAAAATACAAAAATTAGCCAGGTGTGGTGGTGCAGGCCTATCATCCAAGCTACTCAGGAGACTGAGGTGGGAGGTTGGCTTGAGCCCAGGAGATCAAGGCTGCAGTGAGCCATGATTGCACCACAACATTCCAGCCTGGGCAAAAAAGGAGATCCTCTCTCAAAAAAAAAAGAGAATATTTAATTTTATTTAATAAAATACTCTTAAATAGTTTATTCTTTGTGATGCTACTATAAATGGGAGTTGCTGTTTAAGAGACTTTTGTTTTTAGAACAGTGTTAGATTTGCAGCAAAATTGAGCAGAAGGTATATAGATTTTCCATATGCCCTTATCCCCATGCACTCCCAGCTTCCTCTGTTGTCAACATCCTGGACCAGAGTGGCACATTTGTTACAATCAATGAGTCCATGTTGACACAGCATTTTCACCCAAAGCCCACAGCATACATTAGGGTTTATTGTTGGTGCTGTATATTCTATTGGCAAATATATAATGATATGTTTCCATCATTATAATTTCACACAGAGTATTTTCATTCACCTAAAAAATCTTCTGTGCTCCACTGATTCTTGCCTCCTCCCACCCTCAACCCTTGGCAACCACGGATTTTTTTACTGCCTCCATAGTTCTGCCTTTTCCACAGTGTCATATATTTGAAATCATACAGCATGGAGGCTTTTCATAATTGGTGTCTTTGTCTTACTAATATGCATTTCGAGTTCCTTTGTATTTTTTCATAGCTCTATTTTTAGTGCTAAATAATATTCCAGTGTGTGGATATACCACAGCTTATCTGCTCACCTACTGACAGCATCTTGGTTTCTTCCAAGTTTTGGCAATTATAAATAAAACTGCCACAAACATCTGTGTACAGGTATTTTTGTGGACATAAGTTTTCAATATATTTAAGTAAATAGCAAGAGTGTAATTCTGGTTCATATGATAATAGTGTGTTTAGTTTTGTAAGAAGCTGCCAAGCTGTCTTCTGAAATGGCTGTACCATTTTGCATTCCTTCCAGCAATGAATGAGAGTTCTTGTTGCTCCACAGCCTCTCCAGCATTTGATGCTCTCAGTGTTTTGGATTTTCATAATTCGAATAGGTGTGTAGTGGTATCTCATTGTCTTTTTAATTTGTAATCCTCTAATGACATATGATGTTGAGCATTTTTTCATATGCTTACTTGCCATCTGTACATCTTCTCTGGTAAGGTGTCTGTTCAGATATTTTCACCCACAAGTCAAGAATTATTTGTGTAAGAACTCTTTGTGTGTATGTATGTGTATATATGTATATATACACTATATATATATATTTTTTTTTTGAGACAAGGTCTTGCTTTGTCACTAAGGCTTGGGTGCAGTGGCATGAACATAGCTCATGCAGCCTCGACCTCCCAGGCTCAAGTGATCCTCCCAACTCAGCCTCTCAAGTAGCTGGGACCACAGGTGCACACTGACATGCTGGGCTAATTTTTTGTATTTTTTGTACCAACAGGGTTTCACCATATTGCACAGGATGGTTTCGAACTTCTGAACCCAAGCAATCCACCCTCCTTGGCATCCCAAAGTGTTGGGATTACAGAGGTGAGCCACCTCACCCAGCATGTATACTTTGGATAACAGTTCTTTACCAGATGTGTGTTTTGCAAATATATTCTCCCAGTTTGTGGCTTGTATTTTTATTCTATTGACATTGTCTTTAACAGAACAGACATTTTTAATTTTAAAGAAGTCCATCTTATAAATTATTTTCTTCATGAATTATGCCTTGATGTAGTATCCAAAAAGTCACCACCTACCCAAGATCAACTAGGTTTTCTCTTATGTTAATTTCTAAGAGTTTTATAGTTTTGCATTGTACACTTAGGTCTGTGATTCATTTGTAGTTAATACTTATGAAGGGCATGAGATCTGTGTCTGGATCTATCTTTTTGCATGTGGATATCCAGTTCTTCCAGCACCATTTGTTGAAAATACTATCTTTTCTTCATTATATTGCCTTTACTCTGTTGCCAAAGATGAGTTGACTATATTTATGTGGGTCTGTTTGGGGCTCTTTATTTTGTTTTGATTGGTCTACTTGTCCATTCTTTCACCAATATGATGCAATTTTGATTGCTGTAGCTTTACAGTAAATCTCAAAGTCAGGTAATGACGGTCCTCTAACTTTGTTTTTTTCTTTAATATTGTGTTGGCTATTCTGGGTCTTTTGCCTCTCCATATAAAGTTTAGAATCAGTTTGTCTATAATCACAATATAACTTGCTGAGATTCTGATTGGGATTCCATTGAGTCTGTAGATCAATTTGGGAAGAAATGACATCTTGACAATATTGAGTCTTCTTATCCATGAACATGTGTTATCTCTTTATTTATTTAGTTCTTCTCTGACATCTTTCATCAGAGTTTTGTAGTTTCCCTCATATAGGTCTTATACATATTTTCTATTAGGTTTATACCTACGTATCTCATTTTTTGTATGCTGAATGGTATTGTGTTTTTAATTTTAAATTCCACTTGTTTATTGCTATTGTACAGAAAAGCAATTGACTTTTGTATATTAACCTTGTAGCCTGCACCCTTACTATAGTTCCTTGTTAGTTCCAGGAGATTTTTAAAAATTATTTTTATTTTAGATTTTCTGCATAGATAATCATGTTATTTGCAAATAAAGATAGTCTTGTTTCTTTCTGCCCAATCTGTACACATTTTGTTTCATTTTCTTGTCTTATTGCATTAGCTAGGACTTCCAATAAGATGTTGAAAAGGAGTGATGAGGGGGACGTCCTTGCCTTTTTCCTGATGGAATTGTCTTTTAAATTTAATTTTTGAATTGTTCACTGCAAATGTATGGAAACAATTGATTTTTGTATATTGATCTGATATCCTGAGCATTCCATTTTTTACATGTAGTCTTCATATTTCTTCTTCTTTTTTTTTTTTTTTTTTTTTTGTGAGACAGAGCATCACTCTATCACCCAGGCTGGAGTGCAGTGGTGCAATCTCAGCTCACTGCAACCTTGACATCCTGGGTTCAAGTGATCATCCCACTTCAGCTTCCCAAGTAGCTGGGACTACAGACATGCACTGCTATGCCCAGTTAATTTTTAAAATTTTTTTGTGGAGACAGGGTTTGCCATGTTGCTCAGGCTGGTCTTGAACCCCTGGGCTCATGTGATCTGTCCACCTCGGCCTCCCAAAGTGTTATGATTACAGGCATGAACCACTATGCCCAGCTCCCCCTGTATTGTTATAGCATAATTTTTGTTTCATATTAATGTACTGATGTCTTCATGAAGTCTTCTAAAACTTAATAAATAAATGCTGCTCACTGGTAAGCCAAGTAGTAATGTCCTCTGATGATATCTGGTTAAACTACTTGACATGGTCAGTATCCATCTATTTTGACTTAGGAAGATGACAGTTTCATGTAGTTCAGCCTAACCTTTGGTATAAGTTTTGTTTTTCTTAACGTTAATAACTGATTCTTTTTTTTTTTTTTTTTGGCATGTGTTTCTTTGATGCTGAAACTTTTTAAACCTTTTAAAGACCTTTTCTAAGTTCCTGAGGGCCAGTTCTAATATCACAGTTAGAAGCCTGGAAAAAGTTCCCAGGCAGACTGTGGAGGAAGGCCCAGAGAACTGAGCCTGCCAGTTGGATCTGCTCTACCCAGCCTGATTCTCGGCAGGATCTGGAGGAGACTTGTATACCAAGATACTGAGGAGTGAGTTTTTGGGAGCTCCGGTACTGTTGAGAAGCTCAGAGTGGGGGACTGTTCCCTGGGTGCCAGAGCTGATGGGAGGAGATGCTGTTATAGAACTGGGGCCTCTAGCAGCAAGATGAGTGAAAGGATCCTTGAAAAGGAGAGGTCACCTGCAGTGCTGAACCATCAGATGCAAGTGACCTTAATGGGCAGAAAGGTTGAAAAGGTATCCAGGGAGTCTTGAACAGCAAAGGTCTATGGAGACAGCAGAAGAAAATGATATTCATAGGAGCAAGAGAGATGGGTAGCCAATGAGAGTATGGAATAAATGTATTATAATGTGTGTTATATTGATCTTAAAGAAGGTAAAGCATGGATGAGCAGAAGGATGAGGTCAGTTACCCCAGATGGAAAGTCATGATCCCTTGCTTTCTTTCCAGACCTAAGCCAGTTCTTACACCTAGAACCCATCAATTGAAGGAAAGGCTGGGTCCCTGTGGGGAAATACCTGCCATCCCATGGCAGATGTAGAAAGAGGTAATTTCCCCGGACTTTCCCCAAAGATGTCTATAGCCATGTACTCAGATCACCATGCAATGGGGAAAGAGGAATGTCCAAATTTCTCTAATGCTATTAGAATATCAAGATTGACACTCAAAGTGATAAAGGCCTTCCTGTTCGATTAGGGATATATGGGAACTATGTGATCAATAAAGTTCTGGCTCAGGTCCGTGGACCTACCTGTGGGTCACTTTGCGAGTTCCTGAATGTATAATTGGAATGGACATAATTACCATTCAGTGGAACTGTCATGTGGTCTCTTGATTGGTAAAGTAAGAACATAATGTTATAGTAGGAATGGTCCAGTGGATGGCGCTGAAACCACCCTCTCACCCAGGCCAAGACATTAAATCAAAACCAATATCACACTATATTGATGACATCACATTAATCAGACGGATGAGAAAGAAGTAGCAAGAATAAGGCATTCTGGCAAGGTGAGGTGGCTCACCCCTGTAGTCCCAGCTACTTGGGAGGCTGAGGCGGGAGAATCACTTGAGCCCAGGAGTTCAAGGTTGCATTGAGCTATGATTGCGCCACTGCACTACAGCCTGGGTGACAGAACAAGACCTTGTCACTAAAAAATAATATAAAAATTTAAAAAGCACACCTGTAATCCCAGCACTTTGGGAGGCTGAGGCAGGCAGATCACGAGGTAAGGAGATCGAGACCATCCTGGCTAACACAGTGAAACCCCCATCTCTACTAAAAATACAAAAAATTAGTCGGGCCTGGTGGCGGGTGCCTGTAGTCCCAGCTACTTGGGAGGCTGAGGCAGGAGAATGGCCTGAACCTGGGAGGCGGAGCTTGCAGTGAGCCAAGATCACACCACTGCACTCCACCCTGGGCAACAGAGTAAGACTCTGTCTCAAACAAACAAAGAAAAAAAAGAATTAGGCACTCTGATGCACCGTTCCTCAGCTGTACTTGGGTGGTCTGTTCCCAAAGAAGAAGGGCAGCTGGGATTAGGAGATGACCAGCAATCATCGCTTCACCACGTCAGTTCTGACTTATGTTGGTAACCCCTTTTAACCTGGACATAATTCTAGCACTTAGCTATTGAATTCAATTCTGCAGGCAGTTACTGAGAGGCTACTGCCTGCTAAGCCCAGTGCTAGGTGCTATGGCTGTCTGCAAGGCTGTTTGAAACACTCAGAGCACAGAAGGAGGACGGGTGTCTGCGCTTCCAAGCACTGGGATGCAGCCTCTTTTCTCAATAAGAGGGGCTTGGGCAGTGGAGAAAAAAGTATGTCAGCAAAAGAATAAGGCTGTACTTTAATTTTTTTTTCTTTTTAGATTTTTGATTCCTTGTTTCTTAATGCCTTCTCCTTCCATATTGACTTGGACACCCACCTGGTGTCCACCTAATCACTGACTTTACTGCCTTTGTCCCTCCCTTGTCCTCCCCTCATCCCTCTTGTTGCAATTGTAGGGTCGATGACCTTGTTGGCTGGGACAGACTCAGGAATAAGTGATTAGGGATGATTTTTTTTTTTAAATAAAGACAAGGTCTCGCTCTGCCACCCAGGCTGGAGTGCAGCGACATGATCATAGCTCAATGAAGCTTCAAACTCCTGGGCTCAAGGCATTCTCTTGCCTCAGCCTCCTGAGTAGCTGGGATTGTATAAGTAAGCCACCGTGCCAGGCCTGTCATTTTTTTCAACGTCCATTTCCCAATTTTTCAGCACCTATTAAAATGATCATGCGAAAGTGTTAGAGGTTAAGATGTCACCACACTATGAGGGCACATGAGCCTTTGGTGGCCTCCAGGACACAGATGACAAACAGTGAACAAAAATCCATCAGTGGAGGAGGGGAACAGACAGTGCCCTGAGTCCCCAAATGGGGATTTACGTTTGCTGATGTCTGTCTGTCTGTATACATGCATAGATATGTGTGTATCTGTGTGTGTATTCATATATACATAACTCCTTTTATAACAAGTATCCTTTGATTAAAAGTAATAAATCTCCCTTGGCTGAAGTGACAGGTATTATTATTTTGCTTTTGGCAACCCATAAAAGAAAAACCAAATCCACAAGATGTGCAGGGGAGGAACAGGTTAAATACTAAGTGCTGGGTCTAATCCTTCAGCAGCCAGGCAGGATTAGGGGCTGAGGCTTGTACTGCTGAGGAGAGACAGCAGAAGGCTGCATGGTAAGTGTCACGTCTTCTAATGAGTTGAAAGCAGCATGAAGGAGCCTTTTTTATCCTCTGGATCTAAGAGGTTGCCGTATCTTCTTAAGTGTCAATTTGTTAATATTTGAAGAGAAAACCAGAAAAGTTTTACTGATTCCTGCTTTCTCCTATGCTTTCTTTTGAGGAGGTCGCTCGTTTAGAAGCGCTTGGCCTGGGTGGGCATCCCTATGAGCTGGAGGGGCCCAGGCTGCAGAGGCTCTCATGGGAGTGCTGTGGCTGGAAGTGGGTTGTTGGAGCAACTTGAACCCGAAGTTGAGTTCATTCATTATCCCAGGAAAGCATCATCAATTAGAAAGGGAACATGTGAAACTGTCAAGACCAGCCTGCTTTCAAGGTGTCAACTGATCATGTAGACAATGGTCTTATTAGGAAAAGCAAAGACCTCTGTAAGGAACAATAAGCAAGGGCAGGAGTGTGGGTCTTGGGCACCAGGACCAGCCTGCCCAGCAGCTCATACCTCCGCAGGCTCAAGAAAGTGACCCAGTGCCTCTGTGCCTAAGTCTCAATCTCTAAAATGAGGATCATAATAATATATGTCCATAAGGTTATTGTGAGGATAAGATGAGGTAACAAGGCCATGTGCAGTGGCTCATGCCCATAATACCAGCTCTTTTGGAGATTGAGATGGAAGGATCATTTGAGGTCAGGAGTTTGAGATCAGCCTGGGCAACAGAGAAAGACCCCAAATCTAAAACAAAGAAAAGAAAATTAGCAGGGCATGGTGGCATGCACCTGTAGTCCCAGCTACTGGGGAGGCTGAGAGGATAAGATTGCATGAGCCCATGAGTTTGAGGTTACAGAGAGCTATGGTCCTGCCACTGCACTCCAGCCTGGGTGACAGAGTGAGACCTTGTCTCCAGAAAAAAAGAAAAAAACAGATGAGGTAACAAGTATATGCACCTAGAACAGTGCCTTGTCCATGGTATTAACTATTATCGTAACTTGCCTCATGGGACTTTATGTTGGAAAGAGATAAGATAATCAAATCCTAACCAGAATGATTTCAGAATTGCAAGGATTTGTTTGGCATATTTTCCTGCAAAGAAAAATTTGAAAAGAGTGGATAATAAGCAATAATATATGTTATGTGAGCACATAGATACCTATGTGCAATATTTTATAAATAAATCCATGTGAGAGATGCCTTTTGTAGGAGAAAGGGAATGAACTTGGATGGAGAAAAATAAACGGAACTTCAGTTTAACTGCAGTGTTATTTTACTTTACTTTGTTTTTAAATGGAAAAGAAAGATTGAAAAGAACTATCCTAGTAATTCAAGAGTAGTCAGTTATGGGTAGTAATCAGAGAGGTGTTTGTTATAAGAGTCTTTCAACTTTTCTGGCGTTTTCTAAATTTCTCAAAGTTACAAATATAAAGTGTTTAAAAGAAACAAAATCAACCATGACATTAATTCCAGAAAGAAAGGGATTGATCTGTGAGAAAGATAACAATGAAGACAAGCAGGAAAAGTACTGTCATGGGGTCCTTCGGGTGTCGCTTTTCCAGCTGGAAACCTCTGTGAGTAGTGGCACTTTTTCCTCAGTTTTGCTGGGCTCCACTGGGCTTGTTCTGTCCACTCGGCCTGGCAGGCTGCACTCAGCTTGTGCTATTGGTCTTGATCCCATGCCTACCAAGGTTGAGCCAGGCGCAGAGTGGCTAGGAGTGTGTGAGTGAGCAAGTATGGGGTCTGGCGACTGCACACATCCAGGCACACCAGCTGCTGCTGTGGGGCGGGCAGCTCCAGGTGCCAGCACATGTGCCAGCTCCATGCAAGAGCCTGCGGCTGGATCAGACGCACTGCCAACAGCTTCCACTGTGGGCATCTGTGTCTGGACAAGGGGAATGTGGTGGCACCTGGAAGCTTGGAGATGCCAGAAACCACAGAGCACCAAAGAGGGTGTCACAGCCCTGGCTCAGGAAGCCCCTAGGTCTGGGTTCCCTAAAGGGCCACAGTTCTTCTCTCTTTCTTGTCACCCAAAATGTGGGGAGCAGGGGGATGTGTTTCAGTCCTGTTTGTGTTACAGCTCTTTCAGTCTTGCTATTCAGCAGGTCCTGACTTCTTATCCTGCATCCAGAAAGAGTGAGATATGTGGACAACTGGAGGGTGAGCAAGGCAGAGAGGAGCTTCACTGAGTGATGGAACAGTTCTCCAATGACCCAAAGTTGACAGCTCCTTTCCTCAGGCAGGTCATCCTGATGACTGTCCAGTTCCTTTCCCCAGACAGGTCATCCTGGCAAGTTGAGGAGACCCAAAATAGGTAGCTCCTTCCAGCAGCTGGTAATCCTGATGTCTGTGTAAGTCTGGGGTTTTTATGGGCTCAGAAAGGAGAAAGGGGATGGCCCATGGGCGGCTATGGGTGGACCCAGAAAAAGCACCATAAATTCTCACTCCGGAGCATGGACTTCACCTAGAACTGGCAGCCTAGCCCCCAGGCTTCAGGCCGTGCCTGACTTAAAGGAGGGGCTTCACCAGGGACCTGCCCCTTTCCACTTAGGAACCTATTTGCCTCCTGCCATCATCAACATGCCATCTAGGGTGCCCAGGCTGTTCATGCAGAGAGGCATCTGCAGGCCTGTGCAGAGTCACCCTCAGTCCCTCCCCTGCCCAAAGTCCAGAGGGGGCCAAGGCGTCAGGGGACCAGCATGTCAGCACCACCCTGAGTGCTCACACACCTGGCAACAGTGTCCAGGCTTGGCTGCAAATTTTCTCCGCACTACAAACTTGCTCCTCTGGGAGCAAGGAGAGGCCAGGGAGCAGGAGCAAGCACTTCAGAGCCTGTGGGGGGAGCAGGGACTTCCCAGGCTCCTGAGAACGCAGGGATGCCCTGTCTGGAGCTGTGGCTGGGCAGCTGCAGCTGTGCCTGGGAGCACAGGGCTCCTGCCCCACTGACTTGGTAGTCGCATGGGGCTCTTGCCTGTTCCCAGCCCTTGCTGGTTCCGCAGAGCTGCAGCCCCAGCCGGGCCTCCCTCACTGCAGCAGGCATCTTTGCAGCAGCTGCTCCAGATGGGCCACTGCCGCCATCAGTACCCTATGAGGATGATTTTTCTACCAACTCCTTCAGGCACATTGTACCCAAAACAAAGAAACAGCAGAGAGGAACATCCCTGGGCTCCTGAGAGGAGAGATGGAGGGCCGTTTCTCTACTGCAGATGGTATTTGTCTCCCTGGCAATTCCCGATAGAAATACATCTCTGAAGCTTTTTACTCCTTTGCAATTGGCTTCATTAGCATTTCAGAAAAGATTCTGCTCACAAGTTTTACCTTTCTGATACTCGTTCTTTATTTTCAGGAAATTTATCAAAAGAAGTAGAATGATTCAGATTAAGTGTACCAATGAAATGGCATCAAAAAGCAATATTAACATGTTTTTCAGGCTTGGTATGGTGGCTCATGCCTGTAATCTCAGCACTTTGGGAGACCGAGGTGGGCAGATCATTTGTGCTCATGAGTTCCAGACCAGCCTGGGCAACATGGTAAAACCCCACCTCTACAAAAAAATACAAAAATTAGCTGGGTGTGGTGGAGCATGCCTGTAGTCCCAGCTACTCAGGAGGCTGAGATGGGAGGGTGGCTTGAGCCGGGGAGGCAGAGGTTGTAGTGAGCTGAGATCATGCCACTGCACCCCAGCCTGGGCGATAGGGCCAGATCTTGTCTCAAAAAAAACCAAAACAAAACAAAACAAAATTTCCTACTTCCTTGAGAATATTTTTCTTTGTGATGCAGGAGTTACCTGGCATTTTACAGGGATGGTGCAAGTGAGCTCAAGTGACGGGTCAGTGCGGTGGGACACTGGCCATGGTGCCAGCAGCGTGGGGTCACGTCCTGGCTCCGTTCTGTGGCCTTGGAAAAGTCATGTACCCTGTGGGTTGAGTGTGCTCATATGTTAATCAGGAGATGGCTTACACAGGAGATAGCTGCTTTGCGTCACAAAATTGCTGTGAGAAATAGCATAAAGCAAGATGATATTTGGGAAAGTCCTTTGGAAATAACACAGTTACCCACATGCCAAGTGGTTTTATTCCATGCTGCCCTGTTTCAGCTTGCTTGGGCAGCTGATTCAATCACCTGGAGCGCCAGGGGGAAGAGGACTTTGTTTAATTTGTTTTTCTGCTGTTTTCACTGGTTTAATTAAAAGTCCTTACTGATGCAACCCTTCTTATACATTTTTCTAAGCTCCACCTGGCCTTTTGCTCAGCTTATCACTGTACCATGCTGAACAATTTTCCTTTTGTGTAAAGATGGTGTCTGTTATTTTTTTATGAATAAAGTTACTATTTTTTCTTTATAATTAAAAGCAGGATGGATGTGGTGGCTCATGCCTGTAATCTCATTACTTTGGGAGGCCAAGGAAGGACGATTTACTTGAGACCAGGAAATCAAGGCTGCAGTGAGCTATGTTTGCCACTACATTTCAGCCTTGGTGACAGAGAGAGACCCATCTCAAAAAAAAATTAGAAAGTAACTTCTGGAGAGATACTTTGAGACTATGTAAATATCCTGTTCCTATCAAACCTTCACCCACTAGGTTCAGCATTTAACCTCAATACATTTCTAATTCCTTCATTCTTTCCATATTTCTTGGCCAGAACTCTGCTATACGGAAGAGTTTCCCTCTCCCTAATCAATTTATCATTTGTTTGTTGATATCAATATGAACTCATGGATTCTTTTTCTATTCAATGGGTTACAATCCATCACTATCTTTCTGTTTCACTGCTACATTATCCCCACATTTGCCAGTAGGGGGCCCCAGCTAGCTTCTACATCCTCCTGCTATAGCCCTTCACTCTGTTTTCCTGACTTTCCAGCACAAGTCGTTTGCCCTTCTGGGCTTAATCTAATGATCCATGTCATCTGTCCTACGAGCTTGGAATTCTACATAGAAGTCAACAGACAGGAGAGGAATTTTGCTCAAGATAAAAAAAAGACACAGTTTCTGAGTAAAATGATAGCCCAAGTCATCTCCTTTCTAGACCTCTGATGAACTGATGAAGAAATATGAAAAACAGAAAAGACTCCATAACAGTGCAGGAAATTAGAGAAGAGCTCCCCCTTCACATTAGAAATTCAATTTCCCTTCTTAAGAAACAACAGTGTCCTTGGGAGGTAGGCAGAAGACATTTTATTAGAACTCTTTAACCTGCAGCAGCAAGGGTTGAGATTCAAGCAGGATGTGTATTCATTTGACAAATATTCCTTGAGCGCTTACTATGTGTTAGGCAAGTCCCGTATAGTGAAGGAAAGAGACAAACATCTATTCCCTATAGAACTTGCATTCTTGTAGGAAAGAGAGACAAATGAAAGGGCGTCCAGCGTAGTCCTCACTGAAGCGGGAGGAGTTGAGGGGGAGCCTGGAGCTGCCTGGGGATGAGTGTTCCAGCAGGAGCAAGGAGCGGGCATCCCATGTGGTCAGAGCAGAGGGCAAAAGTATTAGAGGGTGAAGGCAGAGGGATGGCCAGGGGTGAGCAGGTAGGATCCATGGAGTCAGAAAGAAGGGCAGCCTGCCACTTATAATTCCTACTGCAATTAAGGTGTGAGATTAGCACTTGGGCCTTCAGGATGTGTATAGTGGCTGCACCACATTTAACTGACTTTTCTTTGTATCCAGATATAACCCAAGTAGGACCAATTCCAACTCCAAAGCATGTACAGGCATAAAGGTGGGATTGCGTACCCCAGGCAAAACACAGCCACATTTGGAAGGCCAATGGTGGTAGTAACTGAGGTAGACAGTTTCTTCCTGTGCTCAACCCACGTAAAGAAAGGAGGGTATCTGTGAAATCAAATAATTGTGGCTTTTCACTATCCACAATAGCAAAGACATAGAACCAACCTCAATGTCCACCAATGGATGATTGGATAAAGTAAATGTGGTATATATACACCCTGGAACACTACTCAGCCATAAAGGAATATGAAATCATGTCTTTTGCAGCAACGTGGATGGAACTGGAGGCCACTATTTTAAGTCAAAGAACTCAGAAACAGAGAAACAAATACCACATGTTCTCACTTATAAGTGGGAGCTAAGTAATGTGCACAAGCCTGGGCGCAGTGGCTCACGCCTGTAATCCTAGCATTTTGGGAAGACAAGGCAGTTGGATCACTTGAGCCCAGGAGTTCAAGACCAGCCTGGGCAACATGGCGAAACCCTGTCTCTACAAAAGGTAGCCAGGCATGGTGGTGCGCACCTGTGATCCCAGTTATTTAGGAGGCTGAGGTGGGAGGATTGAATGAGCCTGGGAGGTCAAGGTTTCAGTGAACTGTGATCGCACCACTGTGCTCCAGCCTGGACAACAGAGCAAGACCCCATCTCAAAAAAAATGTATACGCATGGACATAGAGAGTGAAATGATAGACATTGGAGACTCAGGAGGGAGGGGAGGGGGCGGGTGATGAGAAATTACTTAATAGGTACAGTGTACATTATTTGGGTGATGGATACACTAAAAGCCCTGATTTTACTACTATGCAATACATCCCTGTAATAAGTTGCATTCGTACCCCATACATTTATACAAATAAAACTTTTTTAAAGAAGAAAATGATTGTAGCCCTTGTTCCAGGGCCTCATGGCATCTCATGCCACCTGGGCAAGACAGCGTGTATTCTCATCAGGCAACCTGGCACTTTGGAATTCTGGTGAGTGACTGACTTTTGGAAGGTCCTCATCATCTGTCTTAGGTTACCCTGATTGTTAAAAAGAGAGTATACTTTGTATGGATCAGGAAGACCCTTTGTTCCCCACAAATAATTAAGTACACTAGCTTTGTAAAGACATCTTCAACCTCTATCAGGCTACAGAGATTCCACCTTTCTCCCACCACCTCCAACCTTGACATTGCTCCCACAGCCCATCTGGGGGCCACTGCCCCCTCCTCCCTGTGCCATCTGCTTCCACGCTGCTAATCTCTTTCTTTTATTTTTTTAAATTTATTTTTCTTGTTTAATTTTTGTCCTTCTAATCCTCGAAACTTGTGCATTGTTTTTCCTTATTTATTTATTTATTTAATTATGTATATCTTCTTATGTTGCTAATCTCAAAGGATGCTTTTCTCTGAGTAGCAGAGAAAATTGATTCGGCAAATGTGTAGTTTCCCACTGACACCTAAGGAAAAACGAAACAGGGCCTGGGAGACAGTTTACACCATATTCATCCAGGCCGTTTTCACTGATGGACTTTCCATGAAAGCTCTGCAAGTTTTCTTTCAGTTTCACTGTCCGTTGGCCGGTACTGGTTGCTTGACTAAGCTCTGTTAGCGTGGGTTACTGCTCACCCCGACCGGTCTCTGTGAAACACAAAACAATACAAGCATTCAAGTCACCTGCCTCAAACTTCAGCTAAAGGAAGCAAGAGCTGCCTTGTGGGGCTGGGTGCTCTCTTCATTCCCAGAACCAAACGGTGCCCTCAAGTTTTCCCCAGTCCTCCCTTCTCCTGAGTAAGGAGCATTATATTTATGGTCAGGAAAACACCAATATGAATTTTATACTGAAGATTTCCAAGATTTCATTTTAAGATGAGAAGGGGAGACACACAACCCTTGTGATCCCAGGAGAACAGTTGCATGAGTCCATACAGATTCCCTGATAATGCTATCTCAGAATCAGGGCACGACGGCGGGAGCTTAGGGATCATCCACTGTACCAGCCCATCTTACAGGTGAGCAAACCAAGGCCAGAAACACCAAGTGACTTTCTCTTGAGTCCCAGAACAGCATTCTTTCTAGGCTGTTATATAAACCAGACTGGTGGTTCTAGCTTACAGTCACAGTGGAAGAGGCAGTCAGCCCCTAGAATTCCTATGCAACTCTTAAGTCTCCCAAGGAAGTTATAAGTAGATGCATCACAAAGAAACTCTGTAGAGGAATAATCAGCTATCAGCAAATCTTGATGCCTTGAAGGTGAAACCCAGGGGCTGTGGGAATAAATGAGAATATTTTAATTTCAGACTTTCTTGAAGCCAAAAACTTTGTGAGACTTGCCAAAAATGTGTGACATGGAGTACATGCCCTCTGCTTTCAACAGCTAGGGTCCCTTCAACCTTGTACTAGACCCTAGAGGGGTTTAGCATCCTTCCGCCGGCTAACTTATGACATGGCATTTCTAGGCAGGTGTCTCAACCTGGTGCTGGATAGTTCTTTCTCACAGGGTGCTGGTAAGTCTGTGTCTTGTAAAATGTGTAGCAGCATCCCTGACCTCTGCCCATTAGATGCTGGCAGGATCCCCACTCAGTAACATTCAAAAATGTCTTCAAAACATCTGCATTAGTATGGCTATTGTTGGTGGCCAACCATCATGTATAGCCGTTTAAACACACACACACACACAGACACACACACACACACACACACGCATTTTTTTTTTCTTTTTTGAGACAGAGTCTCACTCTGTCACCCAGGCTGGAGTGCAGTGGTGTGATCTCGGCCCACTGCAACCTCAGCTTCCTGGGTTCAGGTGATTCTCATGCCTCAGCCTCCCGAGAAGCTGGAATTACAGGCATGCGCCACCACGCTTGGCAAATTTTTGTATTTTTATTGATTCATTTATTTCTTTATTTTTGAGATGGAGTCTTGCTCTGTCACCCAGGCTGGAGTGCAGTGGCACAATCTCAGCTCACTGCAACCTCTGCCTCCCGGGTTCAAGCGATTCTCCTTCCTCAGCCTCCTGAGTAGCTGGCATTACAGGTGCCCACCACCACGCCCAGCTAATTTTGGTATTTTTAGTAGAGATGGGGTTTCACCCATGTTGGCCAGGCTGGTCTTGAACTCCTAACCTCAGGTGATCCACCTGCCTCAGCCTCCCAAAGTGCTAGGATTACAGGTGTGAGCCACTGTGCCCTGCCTAATTTTTGTATTTTTAGTAGAGACAGAGTTTTGTCATGTTGACCAGGCTGGTCTTGAACTCCTGAGCTCAAGTGATCTGCCCACCTTGGCCTCCCAAAGTGCTGGGATTATAGGCATGAGCCACTGTGCCCAGCCTGTTTACACATTCTTTATTCAAGCCTTGCAGCACCTCTAATTGGTGCATATTCTGATATTCATTTTACAAATAGAGAAAGTGCGGCTCTGAGAGTTAGGCAGTGCTTAAGTGTGCATAGCCTGTACATGGAGAAGTATGAATTCTAATCCAGGTCTGTTTTAATCTACAGTCAGACATCAACAAAAATGTCCTAATGGTGAAGGGAAAAAAGCAGTGGTTCCTGGTTAAATCTCCTCTAGAAACTCGATGAAAAGGAAGGGGCAGGTGGTTTTGTTGGTCTTGTTTTGTTTTGCTTGGCATGGCTTAAGAGCTGCTCCTTCTGGAGGTAAGAATTAGACATTAGACCAGGTGATTTCTTGAGGTCCATTCTAACCCGATGAGTTTATGTTTTTACAAAAGATGCTAACTTAAAAAAATAATTTGCAAATGTAGACACTTTGTACTGTCAATCACCTTTTTTTTTTTCCGAGCTGCATATTTCTGATGTTTTCGGTGCACAAGTTGCCAGCAGGAATTCATCCCTCTGAATGTCTGTCATTTGGGTTTTGGCTTCTGCGTTTGTCAGATGCCCCTGGTGCTGTCGGGTGCTGGGTTGCGTCAGTGGTGACTGAACTGAGATGTGAGGTCTGCCTTCTTTTTGTTTGGGTATCAGTCCCAAGAGCCATTTGGCCTCAGTGCTCTGTCACCAAGTTCTGCACTTGAGGTCTCTCTCTCTGGTAAAGTGGCCTCGGGCAGCCCAAGCTCTGTGTTACTGGGCTGCAGGCTGGCACTTGGGAAGAAGTCCTCTGCAGTTTAGCATCCCACGACACATCTAGCAGATCTGCTGCCTCGTTTAAGGACTCAGGACACACAGGTCCCTCCACTGCAGTCAGCACAGCTCACCCACACCTGCCGCACACCTGCCGCACACCTGTCACTCCTGAAGCACCAACACTGCCCAGAGGAGCCTCCCAGGGGAGAAGATGGAACCACCAACAAGTTCTCCTATGAAAGCACAGATCCAGAGAATATCCCTGGTTTTATTTCAAATATTAGTTCCAAAGGGCTAGAACTGCAGGGCAGAGAACAATCAAAATAAAGATTGTGTTAAAATCTACTGGAAAATATGATTCAAGATGCAAAAACTGAATTTGCATATGTCACTTTTCAAGAGTATATTCAAGGCTGGGCACAGTGGCTCACGTCTGTAATCCCAGCACTTTGGGAGGCCAAGGCAGGTGGATCACCTGAGGTCAGGAGTTTGAGACCAGCCTGGCCAACATGGCGAAACCCCGCCTCTATTAAAACACAAAAATTAGCCAGGCCGGGTGGCAGGCACCTGTAATTCCAGCTACTCAGGAGGCTGAGGTAGGAGAATCACTTGAACCTGGTAAGCGGAGGTTGCAGTGAGCCGAAATAACGCTATTGCACTCCAGCCTGGGCAACATAGTGAGACTCCCTCTCAAAAAAAAAAAAAAAAGACTTTATTCAGGGACTCCTTAAAACTTAGAGGGACTTTAAAAAACAACCTAGTACAATAACATTTATTGCATAAATATTGACATTGTGACTGAACTATCAAAAACGTACCCAAGTAAGCTGTAAATTTGGTTTTAGAATTCTAAATTAAGTAGCTTTGAATGACATTTCTCCTAAAGCATTGGTTATGTATTATATGCAGAAGTCCTTGGTTAGTTTTCTTGGTTTACCCTTATGATTTTTTTTTAAAAATCATATTTGTTTCTGTACCTTTGTTCTAACCTTTACTGGTTTCTCTTTCTCTGTTTAATTTGAGTTTTATCTTTGTTTTTTTTCTGACTGCCATCTAGAGGCCGACAGGAGTAATTACAGACACTAGGCTTCCTAGGCGGGCGGGTAGGAAAGGGGGTTGGAGACCAAGTCATCAATTCATCTTTCCCCGCTCTGATGGCTAAGAAATGCTTTGCATGCCTGACTCTTCACAAATACTTTCTTTCTGAGGTTGCAAAGTCTAACTGGCCCTTCTACACTCTCCTTTGGCTTCTTTAGAAGAGCATAGCTTGCCGCTTTAGATATCCCATCTGTCTGAAGCCTCTGCCCAAAGATCTTATTTAATTCATAAAATAAAATAAATCCGTTCATTTCACTTCATGCTCCTAGGGAAGCAGCCTCACCTTGGGAGCCCACGCTGTAGTATTTCAGGTGACTTTAGCCCCTGGAGGAGGTAGGTGTCACTTTGTGGAATCTTAGACACTTAACAGGTGGAAGGAGCTTTGGAGACTGTCTAGCAAGTGATCCTCAGCCTAGAAAATGGGTTTTCTCTGGCTCCAGAATTGCAATCAATTAATGGCCTATCTTCCCCAAGTCACAGGAAGAAAGTTAATGAGAACGATTTTCTCAATTCTGAGTTTTCTCTCATGTATTTTTTTTTCTTTTCTTTTAATATTATTTTATTGAGACAAGGTCTTGCTCTGTCACCCAGGCTGGAGTGCAGTGGTGCTGTCACGGCTCACTGCAGCCTCGACCTCCCAGGCTCAAGCAGTCTTCCCACATCAGCCTCCTGAGTAGCTGGGACCACAGGCACACACCACCAAGCCCAGCTAATTTTGTTTTATTAATTTTTTTTTGTAGAAAGGAGGTCTCACTATGTTGCCCAGGCTGGTCTTGGACTCCTGGGCTCAAGTGATCCTCCCACATCAGCCTCCTGAGTAGCTGGGACCACAGGCATGTGCCACCATGCCCAGCTAATTTTTTTTTTTTTTTTAGACAGGAGGTCTCACTATGTTGCCCAGGCTGACCTCAAACTCCTGGGCTCAAGTGATCCTCCTGCCTCTGCCTCTCCAAGTGCTAGGATTACAGGTGTGACCCCCTGTGCCATATATTTTCTCCCATATATTTTTCTTAAATCATTGTACCTACTATGCCTCTCTAACCAAAAAGACTCTTACGTGAGACCCTGGGACAGATGAACTGTGGTCAACAGCTGCCCCTCTTCCCTTCCCATGGCTCAGGTCCCTTGTTTAGTATTAGACTATAAAGATAAGGCCTCTATTTCTCCCTTTTTTTTTGCTGGAAAAATTCTTTTTATTTCTTATTATAAAATTAAATTTGTTTAGAATTTAGAAATTATTGTATATTTATTTAGAAATCCACAATGTGCTGAATAGGCCACAGTGTTATGCATAGAGTGATGTGGGGGTTCTATCATCCAGACAGCATGAGAATCTGGCAACTGATCCCCTTATTCCACAGAGGAAGCAGATAAGGCCGAGAAGGGTGAGGTGAATGTGGGCAGAGAGCTGGGTCTGGAGTCCTAATTAGTAAAAAGGAGTCAGGCTGGTGGGAGGAGGGGAAAGCAAAAAGAGGAAACAGGTAAGCTGTAAGTCTGCCTTTCTTCATGGTCCA